>NC_000005.10:50109807-50734807 GCF_000001405.40 Homo sapiens | reverse complement strand
CTCAGGAAAAATTCACTTCTCTATGTCTAAAAATAAACATATCTTTAGCTGCAGATAAGTCAATGAAGAAATTTCTCAGGGTACAGACTTGGGGGAAAAGCAGACAGCAAGAGAGAGCACTAAATATTTATTTGATCAATCAATTTGAGATAGAAAATATATATTAGCCATCCCGGAGACATCTGCAATTTAGATGAGAATTATATAGCTCTAAAGACATAAAAAAGGAAAAGAGACTCAATTTTATATACTAGTAAATATATTACTGACAAATTAATTTGTTTGAATGATTATGTCTTTTCCAGCAAAGCATTCACCTACATCCTGCCCTTTGTTATCATGAAGGACTAAATATATGATTATCATGACTTTAATCCTCATGACTTTAGTTCTCCAGAGACAGCCCAAAGCAAATGAAGAACTGGACACTCCTACACCATCACACAAACCTTTCCTTCTCCTTTTTTCCCTTTCTTTTTCTGAAAAGGGCTGGGGAATCATGAAGAGAAGGAAAAGATAAAATTTCCTTCATGAGATTTCCCAATGCTCATCCTAACCCCAAAAAAGAGATCCATAATAACATATAGATTTCACATATACCAACTGACAAGAAGATAAACATCCAAATGGGATCTGAAATAAAACCGCCGTAAAAAAGGAAGATGGAGCTCAATGTTAAAAGCCTTTTTATCACTCTTTCAATATGTTTATATTTAACAACATTAAATCATAGGATTTTCTGAATGCTTCCAAAAGTATTTTTCATAACAAAGTATGTCACTTAAATTCATCTTCCTCATTAGTAAAGTTATCAGTTACTGTTCACGGTATGAAGAAAATAAGGAAATGCTATACATAAGACAAGACAACTTAAGTTACGCTTTTGGAGGGAAGTGTGCAGTATTTGAGAACGTACCAGAAACAAGTAAGTAGTAGAGATTTAAGGAAAAGATGGACAAGTAGGGGAACCAGATCTGTAAGAAACTGTAGGGAATCTGGCTTGGTAAGAAGGAAATAATCATAATAAATACTAAAATGAAGCCTCACATGACAAAAAAAAAGTTTGAATATGATGTAAAAACATTAGATTTTACCACAGATATAGAAAAATTGCCCTTTTATACAATTTAATACAACAATTGTGAGGTTTTGAGTCAATAACTGAGTAACTATTTTCTAAATTATTCAACCACGATTTCTGTCCCTGAGTATAGTTTAGTTGACATAAATACTGCTATCTATAGCTTAGTGTAGTTTTTCAAAAATTGATAATTTAAAGGTATTTAGCTAAAGTCAATAAATCAAGACATCATTTAGGAGGCTTTAAAAAACTACTTCATCAAGAATTCTAAAATGTGAAAAAGATTTTTTAAGAGAAAAAAGTATTTTTAAAAAACTATTGGTACTAACAGTTTGAATTTTCAGTTTTTAAAAGTCAAGCTGCCCAATAGGCACCATCTGTTAGGTCAGGAGCAAGTTTTTCGCCCATTTATTTTTTTTTTGTTTTGGTTTTTTTGTTTTTTTGAGCCTGTCACCCAGGCTGGAGTGCGGTGTGGCGCGATCTCGGCTCACTGCAACTACCACCTCCCTGGTTCAAGCAATTCCCCTGCTGAGTAGCTGGGATTATAGGCACACAACACCACGCCTGGCTAATTTTTTTGTATTTTTAGTAAAGACTGGGTTTCACCATGTTGGCCAGACTGTTCTCAAACTCCTGACCTCAGGCAATCCACCCGCTTTGGCCTCCCAAAGTGCTGGCATTACAGGCATGAGCCACCGCGCCCGGCCTTTCACCCATTTTTAATGTCATCTATGACCACAGATGAGAAATAAAAAAGCACTGTTATGTGAAAACTATTCACAGTTTCATTTCCTACACTTAAAAGATACGGCTGGTCGCGGTGGCTCACACCTGTAATCCCAGCACTTTGGGAGGCCAAGGCTGGCAGATCATGAGGTCAGGAGATCGAGACCATCCTTGCCAACACGGTGCAACCCCGTCTCTAATAAAAATACAAAAAATTAGCCGAGCGTGGTGGTGGGTGCCTGTAGTCCCAGCTACTCAGGAGGCTGAGGCAGGAGAATGGCATGAACCCGGGTGGCGGAGCTTGCAGTGAGACAAGATCGCGCCACTGCACTCCAGCTTGGACCACAGAGCGAGACTCCATCTCAAAAAAAAAGGAAAAAAAGAAAAAAATACAATCTGCTGAGTCAAAGCTATTGCATGTCATTTACATTATCATTAAAATAACAACTTTTACTACTATGTTCTCAAAGCCAAATTAGTCAACTATATACTGTTTCCAAAGAAGTGCTTTAATTAGTTTTTTATGCAAATATCAGTCGGTATATCTACTACTTCTATTCAGACTTTCTTTGAACCGTTTTTAGCAAATATTACAAAATATTGTTTGCATTTATAACTTAAAACTGGTTTTAAAAATTATAAGTAATATACAGTAATTTCTACAGATAATACTATCATATGTTTTGTGCTTGTTATAAGGTTCCCTTCCATATTGTATATAATTCATTTTTCCAGATTCTAATTCCAATCTTTCTTAGAACCACTCACTAAATTACTATGTATCGTATTGTATTTCTACTGCCAGTGATGAGTAAGAAACCAATGTTCTCATGTTCACATACTAATTCTTCAGGAAAATTTATGATGATAAAGATTGTCATTATCTGAACTTTTAATTACCATCAGTTTGTGATATGAAACCCTGGTGGCCTAATGTGCTTCAAATTTCAGAAATTTCCTTTTTTTAGAAAAATAATCGAGGGCATATTTTACACAAAACCCTCAGTAAGAAACCGTGTCATTAAAAACAATAATATATCCGTAGGGAGATGCATGAACACTCCCACTATGTGGCAAATGTATGGGATATTTATGGAGAGGGCAAACTTTATATAATCTCATGTCTGTTCGAATAGGTTTACCGCTAAATATGTTTGGAGCAAATTTACAAAATAACCTGGCTTGAATTTTCAGAGCTTTTAAGAATCAGAAATTCTAGATAAGGAGCTGTATCCAACCTATATATTTCAAGTTTTAATACCTAAGAAGATTACTCATGAGACTAAGTTCTGTAATTAAGCAAATGCATAACTGAGTATAGTAAGAAATCTATAAATATATACCAAAGGGTTGAGTCCTATACCTCATGCTTTCCCAACGACTGCATCCAAAAAAATAACATTTCCCATCATACTACGATCAGGATGAATATATCCTTACAATGGAAATAACAAAAAGCTGTTTAGCGACCCTTTACTCAGGGTACAAGCACATCTTTCTTCTTTAGCATATAAATAAATTTAAACTCTACCATATTTCCCAGATTTAGATGAGCCAGACCTGTACAAGCAAATGCACACTGCTATGAATTTCCTATTTTACATTTTCATTTGACTCAAGTCCAACAGACCAACACACTCATTCTTTTGGACAGAAGAGCAAAAGAGAACTCAATTGAAAAAAGAAATTCAAAATTGAGAGATTTTTGATTTCACTCTCTAAAGGCCAAAGAATAAAAATTTTGGAAATTTGGAAAAAAATGTACATGTGATCTTGATTTCACAGAGTGTTAGGTTGGAACAGAAGTCAGAAATCACCCAGTTGCACATCCCTTATTTTACAGATGAACAAACATAAATTTAAAGAGACTCATTCAATTCCATGCGGAACCAGAAGCAGAGCCAGGTTTTCTGACATTTCCTCTAAGTCACTCAGCCTCTTGTGATTTTTCGCACTGACCTTTTTTGCTTACGGCAAGAAACTTCTGATTAGTTTGTGACAAGATCTAATCTTTCTTGCTCAAAGTATTCCTGAACATGCAGTCAACGGTGTAAAGTTACTGCCCCATGTGAGCCAAACTTCACTGGGTAATCTGCCCTTGCACATTACTTCCTTGTCTTCTGATTAATATGCCTAAGTTTATGCAGTAATTTCTTCATCTATTAACCCTCACCTTTGATCATTATTAACAAAACAACTTAATCTTATTCAAAAAGTATAAAATTATTTTCAAAGGAAATCACTTAAAATATAACAAAAATATCTCAATAATCTCTGGTTTTCAATAAATATTCCATCAACTAATGTACTGGTTCATATTAGCACATAATACATTCAGTTGAATCACATCAGCTCTTTTTAAGAAATAAGAATTGGTTTGTGAAATGGTTTGGCTGTGTCCGCAACCAAATCTCATCTTGAATGCAGTTCCCATAATCTCCACGTGTCATAGGAGGGACCCGGTGGGAGGTAATTTAATCATGGAGGCGGTTAACCCGATGCTGCTGTTCTCATAATAGTGAGTGAGTTCTCTTGAGATCTGATGGTTTTACAAAGGGCTTTTCCCCCTTTTGCTCAGCACTTTTCTCCCCTGCTATCATGTGAAGAAGGACATGGTTGCTTCCCCTTCTGCCATAATTGTAAATTTCCTGAGGCCTCCCCAGGCCTGTTGAACTGTGAGTCAATTAAACCTCTTTCCTTTATAAATTACCCTGTCTTGGGTATTTCTTCATAGCAGCATGAAAACGGACTAATACAGTTTGACATTTATAAAATTATACAGATTAACTAAAAAAATTGACAAAATTTAGACAAAACCAAATCCTGTTAAAATTCTCCTAAAATCTGAACTGAGAGCTCAATTAAATTACATGGGTTTTTAAAATCTACTTCAATTTTAGAAGAGGAACTATACAAGGTGCTTCCTAATTAGTAGTACACAAGCAAAAACACTTTCTAATATCTTAATGTATTTCTGTATGTGCTCACTTTAAGAAAGCATTTAAAATGTTTATTTGACAATGCTTGCATTCTCAAATGCATATAGCTCCCTTCTTTTCTCACTCTGCATTGTAAAATGAATTCTGTTCAGCTAACCGACATTTAATAAAAGATAGAAAATGTTTCAAGGCCAAGCTTAATAGTCCTAATGTATACTTTTTTCCTTTTAAAACCAATGAGTATTTTTATGTTTAAAGTCTGCAAGGTGACAAGAAGGATACTGAAGCTGTCATCAGTGTCAAGAAGGAGTCCAAATTTATCAGTAAAGAAGAGAAGGAAAAACATTTGAGACAGCTAATCTTGAAGAGATGGATGGAAGATGCCTGAGGAGATATTCACACCTAACTGAAAAGAAATAACTCAGAAAGAGTAAGCTTTCTGAACGGCAAGAAAAACAAAATTTATTCCCAGAACACTCACAGACCTAGAGTTACAAAATGGACCATCTATCTGTTCCTTTTATTTTACACGCAAGAATATTAAGGCTCAGAGAGGTCTATCAATTTGTCCTAGTTACACAGCACTTGGTCCAGAACTTAGTTCTCCTTTGGTCCAAATACCTTTCATTACATTTTATCATTTCAACACTTGTTTAATTCAGTTTGTACAGCATATTTAGCAACTCATCAGAAATCAATTTAAAACAATTATGCAATGTATTAAATAGCCAAGTGTGAAAAAAAAGTTTTTTCCCCTGTATGCTCTTTCCTTAGCAAAGCAAATTCTGTGAAAGGAGGCATATCTCACTCCATTTGGCATTACTTTTGCAAATTGATTAGTTATCCAGAGTTCCTATAACAATGAGATGACCCTACTAAAAACTATTTTTACTTAGTTCATAGTCACCAAAGCAGTAGGAAAACAAAAATTTATCTAGTTTTATTTTGTTAGGTGAATGAGATTTTCACTTTAGAAGAGGAGCAATTTTGAACAACCGCACACTAATGTGTTCCATAAGACTGGACCATAAAATTATCACATATCTAAGTAAATTTATGAGAAAAAATGTTTAACTCTCAGTCAGTTCCAATAAAAATTAGATAATAAGTTGCCTTTTTCAACATCAACAAACATCTTTGATTTGTCTCATCACATTTTTAAGTATTTTTCAGGTACATATATATCTCCAATATAAAATATGGAAAAACTTAGTCTAAAATATTTATTATACAATTTCATTTTAAGAGTGACATCAAAATTATACTTTATACATTATGCAACATTTTAAACTTTGATGGAGAAGTTATCAACTCAAAAACAGCTAACTTCCTTGATATTAAAATACTTTAAATATTAAAATATTAGTTTTGTTTTCTCTTTGGGACATATTTCTAATAGTGGTCTCAAAAAAGGAAAGGAAAGACAACGAATTCTGGGAGAGCAGTAACTGACTTATTTGGGTGCCAAAAAAAAAAAATTCTGTGTAGTTCTTTAGGAACTGAGGAAACTATGGGACCTTAATTTAAACGTGTGATTCCTATGAAAACAAGGGCCCACCATAACAATAGACAGATTGATAAACTGCAAATTAAGTTGCACTCTGAATGTCATAGAGACAAAAAAATGAAAATGATGTCAATTTTAAAAGATAAATCAAAATGCTATTAAAACCTTCTCAAAACTCAAAATGTTAAGATCAACAGAATCATTTTTATGAGCTAATTCACAGATAAATTCAAGTCAGTCTAATTGCAATAGCATCAATTCATCACTTATACCCAACTCTAAAATTACAATATCAATGAAGCTTCTGCACTGGATGTTGTCAATTAATAAAGGGAACAGGGAAATGCCTTAGAAATATTCATTAGAATTGATAGGAAATACTTAAGCCATCATTTACTTCTACCTAGAAAAATGACACAGAAGCAATCAATGCTGGCACTCCCAAGGTCTCGGCACTGGCAAGAATTTTGAATTCAAAAATTAACTCTCACTGATCATTAGTAGTTGGAACTCACACATTCATTCAACCAATTATGAAGTAAATGATTACTGAAGACCCACTCTGTGCCAACACAGGTGGAAAGTAAAAATAGACAGGGGCCTTGAATTCAGAAGTTTCTAGTCCAGCAAGGGAAAACACAATTAAAGTATCACCCAAATAAATGAAAATTATAGTTGTAATTTTCAACTCTGAAGGCGGACCACACCATGTATTGTGGCATCACATAAGGGCCCCATAACTTGACAAAGGGTACCAGGAAAGTTTCCTGCAGGATGCGATGATGGGACAAAAATACGTGGATGAGTAAAAGAAAATAATTGCGGAATTTGAATATACCATCCTCATTCTTCAAAATTTTCACTTTTTCAGCCTTATAGTTCCAAATTAAATGTAGAATCCAAACTTCCCTTTAGTGGTTATTATATTTTATTTCTCTATGTAGCCCCTGGCACAGTGGAAGGTATAGACCATAACTGACATTCACACATTCTGTCAAAATTAACTAAAAACAAGCCTACAAGCCATGTACATTAACAGAAGTATTTTACTTTTGAACAATATAGTCCACACGTACTCTGGCCAAAAGCTGGATCAAAGCAGTTGACATACTACCTAAACAAAGAACAAAAATATGAAAACAGGGACAAAGTTTGAGTGGATCCATGTCCATTTTTTCAAAAGAACACCAAGTCCGGGTGGGAAGTGGGAGCAGGAGCGGGGACTGGGTACACTCCAACAACAGAAGGGAGTAGTTGGCACGCAAAAGCCAGGTCTGACTCACAACGTGTCTAAATGTGCCTGCAGTTCTTAGTACAAGGAAGTATCTCAAATGTTCATCTAAAGAAGGGTAAAGGAAGTCATAAAAATACTACAGCCCACTGATAGGTAGAAAACTAAAGATAAAATGATTACCAAAAACTATTATCAGAGCTATGCCCTGTCCCTCACAAAATACTACTATACAAAGGAATTGCCTGTGTTTTTCTCACAACCTTCAGAAAGACCCTGGAAAATTTCAGATGGTTTTGATTTATGACTGTAAATGTCATCTTTACCAGATAGCATGAGATGGCCTAGTCCTCAAATGAGAGAGTAGTTCCTAACGACACAATCTTTGGGTTATTTCCACAAAAAGAATTAATATAGGAAACAGAGAGATGTGTTATTCTAAAATACAAATTTCCTCTACAATATTTCCACCCAACCTACCAAATAAAGCAGTCTTGCTTTAGAAGCAAGCAGAATGGCCTGTAGCATGAGGACAGAGATGATCCACAGTTGACAGGCCCTAGACCGTCTCCTTTGTACTTGCATATGACCAGCCTGCACAATTCCCAGTGGTTTTGCCCTTCTCAGAGAATATTCAGGAGCCAGCAAGTCTACATGAGACCAGTGGGCAAAACAGCTCCCTTGTGGGATTTCCCACACTGGGGTAAAGGAATTTCCTCAATCATCGCTGTGCTCAAGACAACTTTGTTAAATGGGGCTTTGTTCCCAGTGGATTTTTAATTGACACATCATTGGCAATATACAATATGCTTTACAGTGGTTAGTGATGCTAATCATGTGGCTAAACAAGAAAAAGCAGCTTCCCCTCTTAGAGTTCGTGATCAGATCTGAGGTACTCCTATCAATAAAAACATATTTGTAAAATGCGGGAAAAAAAGTAAAGCTTGAAAAGTAGCTAATGAACTAGATTACACATACATCCTCCATTGGATAGATTTTTACTGAACACCTTTTTTGTACTACGCACTTAATGACATCATTAAATAAAACACCATAAATTCACTGTTATTGTATAGTCGAGGAAACAGACTCCCAAGTTTAGAAATGCTCCCAAAGTCACTGTGCTACTAAGGGAATTAAAGTGAAGCTTCAAACCCAGGTCTGTTTGACACACAGCTAAAATAAAAAAATAAAAAATTTAAAAAAAAAATAAGTAGGGAGGAGGACGACTTGTAACAACATGGCATAAGCTGTGGAATAACCACATATAAAGCAATCAAGTTGTCAGCTTTCAAAAATGAGGCATCACAATACCATAGGAGTAGGTAGCATAACCATAAACAGCTCAGGCTCTACAGGATGCGTCTCCGGTCATGATTTGAAGGAAATCTTGTGTATATGCACAAAATCAGAAAAACTAACTTTGTATACTATCTAAGCAGTATTGCTTACAAGCTGATAATGCCAACATTAGCAGTGTCATTTCAAAACACAAAAACCAACAGAGAAGAACACACTGATTATATTTTAGAAAGACTATCTTAAGATCCAGCAGATCTACTTCTATTGCAATTTAACTAAACTACAGACAGTTGCCTGAGCACAAGTGTTGTATACTGTATAAATAATGGAAACCGTTTGCCATGGAAAAAACAATCAGCAAATTTAAAAAATATCTTTTAACTTCTGTTAGCTAGCCCACTAATTTTGCTTTAATTGACAGCCATATTAGCAGTGAACACATGAAATATGTTTGAATTTCACAGATACCCTGACCGAACATGCATTCATGTTAGGGAGCAATATTTAGCCAATATTTTCCCAGATTAAAAGTGAGGATTTAAACATAAGATTTTTATTTGAACCTGTGTATAACTAAGTATCTTGCTACAAGTACAGATGAATAATTCATTAATTGCCTTTTCTTACTTTAGACATTAGCCATCATTTGATGCAACACAAACATGTAAGATTGTTCATGTAAAATAATGAAATTTATTTTACTGGTATTAAACTATTACATCGACAAAAATTAAAAGGCATTTAAGTACTTTAAAACAATACAAATGTTAAATAAAATATATTAAAGAGTATCATAATATATTGTGCAACCAATCTAAGTGCCCATCAACTAATGAGTGGATACAGAACATGTTTTATATATATATATATACACACATATACATACATACATATATCTATACATATATAGTATACATACACATATGTGTATATATATATATATACACATACACACACAATGGAATACTACTCAGCCACTAAAAAGGGACAAAATAATGTGTTCTACAGCAACATAAATGGCACTGGAGGCCATATTCTAAGTGAAGTAACTCAGGAGTGGAAAACCAAAAACCATACGTTTTCACTTAAAAGTGGGAGCTAAGCTACGAGTACGCAAAGGCAAACAGAGTGATATAATGGACTTTTGAGACTCAGAGTGGGAGGGAGGAAGGGGGTCTAGGGATAAAAAACTACACAGTAGGTACAATGTACACTACCTAGGTGACAGGTGCACTAAAATCTCAGAATTCACCACCGTGTAATTCATCCATGCAAAAAAAAACCACTTGTACCCCCAAAGCTACTGAAACAAAAACCAATAAAAAGAGAGCATCATAATATAGTCAAAATTGTAATATGTATTGCTTTTACCAAAAAAAATTAAAAACAACATAATTACAATACATTCCTTAATAAAAGAATAAATTGTAGACAGATGGCAGAAGAGGAAAGAATTATCTTACATTTCACCATACATCATAAGCAGCCATTTCTGACAAATTGTGGAAACTCATCTACATATCAATTCATGTAGCTACAATTTTTTTCCCTGAACCAATCAACTTCTGCTTTCAGTAAAGAATAACCAAACTGATTTTTTTTTCTTTTGCTGTGCTGGCACATACACTGTGTCACTTAAAAGGAAATAAAGCAACACATTTGATTAGCTATAATTTATTTTAAATGCATCTACTGAAAACTTAGCAATTTGCATGCTTAATGAGGTAGGTAAAAGTAAAGAATCAATTTTCACATATATAATATAATTTCACTGAGCTATATTTATTTGTTCATTCCAAAAGCAGAAAGGAAAGGCATATAATATAAACAGACAATCGTATTTTCAAGAATTTCTACAGCTGGTCCTGAAGAATATTTATAGGCACATCATTTTACAGTTAGATGTTTGAAGGAGGGGATGCCTATAGTCCCAACTACTCAGGAGGCCGAGTAGGGTGGACCACTTAAGCCCAGGAGTTTGAGGCAAGCCTGGGGAATGCAGCAAGACCCTCTCTTTGTGAAAATGATTCTTTTTTAATTTAAAAATGAATGTTTGCCTAAAGAGAATAATTTCTCCTGGAGGATTTCAAATTCTCTACTTAATATTTAAAAGGAAAACTAAATTTCTCATCAACAAATTTTAGAAAATAATTTCAATGCCTCACGAATTTAAAACTTTGACCAAGTAGAAAACTTTTTAATAATTCTCACCTTCCTCCTAAAAGAATATTTTTTAAATCTAATAAAGAATAGTAAAAAGCCTGTTTGGCAAAATCTGAAAATATTCCTTACTAATATATACTTTTTTCTTATGTTTCCTTTTCAGTCACTTAGTTTTGTCTTTTGATGTTCTTTCTACATACCTTTAAGAACTTAGTTTTTCCTCTAATTGTAAAAAGAGGTTAAGAGGTTTATCTAATGTCACACAATAAGAAGGTGACACAATTAGCACAAAAATCTAGTATCCATCCAGAACCAAACCTACCTAAATGAAATTAAATACAAATCAACCACACACAAAAAAAATCACTTCTTTTAGAAAGGAAAGGCCTCTTCTCATCTTTGATATCCAAACACTCAGTCATATTAATATTGTAATTGCCATCATCATAATCATCATCACCAAAGTCTTGAGAAGGCAACTGTTTAATTTAGAAACTGAGAGACAACAATCTATACCTAGTAGAGAATACAATGAATTAAACACTTGAGAGATATTTAATACCTTTCCATTGCTTCCTAAGAAAGACAGGACTTCACTCTAGAATTCTGGAGTGAGTTTTGTAAAACATGAGACTTTCGATGTACACAATTATAAATATTTTTTAATTTATCAAAAATTTATCATTCAAGTCATCTAAAAGTTGATTCTCAAGAGAAAGAAATGTTTAGCTTACTACTACTATTTGCATGTAAAGGAAAAGCTATTATCATATGTAAGAGGCGAGAATATATTTTAACATTCACCAAGTGAAAAGGCTGGGCAAGATTTAATAACTCTCATCTTTAATCAGCAAATCATTTCAAATGGCATCTGATAACTATTCACTGCTGCCAAGCTGCATTACAGATCATTCCAGTAAGCAGGCTATAAAGCAACACAATTAGAGAAGTTAATTATCTGCTGCAGAAATATTCATAATGTAGAGTGAACTGAAATATCTTCTTGATGCTGGACTATCCCAAACACTCCTAGTGAGTATACAACTCGCACCACATTACAGGGTTAGGAGAGAGCTGGGGTCATACCAGATGCATAGAATCTTTAAGCACATATAACATCCACACATGAACATTTTAACAAAATGTCTGTCAGAGACAACACTCTATTTTCACCAAATCCCATTTCTATTTCCTCCAGGGCACACAGTTGGATTCCAGGGGCCCAACGGTCTGAGAAGCAAATAGTTTTTTGGAACAATTCTGATATGACATTAGGTAATACTATAATAAACCTAGATTTCAAAAACTTAACACAATACAGGCTGACTTCTTGTACACATCATATTATATGAGGAAGAGTGGGGGACTCAGCTCCATACAGTCACTGAGGGACCCAGGCTGGCTGACTGCTGTGTCCCACTATCGGCTAAGGCTTCATCCTCCTCTGCAAACTACTAGGGAAGCTGGGAAATGGAACATAGCTGTGCCCGAGGGGAGAGGGATTAGTAAACACATAGAAGTATATACCATATCTTTTAACCTTAGTCATACATTTGGCTTATTATAAAATGCCTTAATATTTACTTGAAAAACTCTTTCCTTAACTATCGAACTTCAGTTTTCAGCGGCAGTGACACAAATGAGAAATGAATGGCAAAGAAAAACAACTATATATAATTTTAAAGCAGATCTCCATAAGCCTTAAAACTTTCTCAAAAACAACTACTCAGTCCAGCTGTCCCTCATCCTTCAAATATTATAATAAAACATTCACTAAGAAAACTGTAACATATTTTAATTGGACACACAAAAAAGGGAACAGCTTGGGCACACAAAATAAAATTTGGTTCAGCTACTTAGTCATGTTTCTTAATATTATTACAAAGCTACGACATTTTTAGGGCATGATATAGATACAGGAGAACATAAAATATAAAAAGAAGAACAGAGTATCTTATAAGAATTACCTGTAAAAAGAAGACAGAAAAAAATCAGAATTGCTTTAGCAGTTTTTTAATCATTAAGTTTTGCGTACAAAGGCATGAGTTCTTACCAACCAATAAGAACTTTTTCCTACTAATGAGAAAGCTCTTTTATTAATTCACTCACCTTTTCTAGCTAAATAAGACACTAGTATGTTTAAAAATAAAATATAAAGAGTTACCAAAAGGGAGACAGGTTCAGCCACAGAACATCATCAATCTCATTCTGATAGTGGAGGCTGTTGCAGCTATACTCCACCCACTTGAATTAATCGGCCACAGAAATGAAAGGCACAGAACAATACAATCGGTTATTTAGTAAGTCACAGGTCCTTGACTTTTGGAATTAAGAAAAAAATGGGAGGGGAAGATTCACTGAATTGAATATTCTCTCTCAACTCTGTCAGTTCTGAACTCTGAGATAAATTACAAAATACATGGACTACAACAGAAGGCACAATAACTTAATGCTTCTGAAATAGCTGGCCAATTTTTATATGCCAATAAATCATCTCAAATATGGTAGCATTACAAACTCTACCTGGGGTGATGGGGGATGAAATTGTAGTCTCCTGCACCCATTGGTGTTTAAATGACATGTTTTCTCAGAGGAAGCACTCCCAGCTGCAGCCTCCTAATGAAAACTATACGCAGGTGAGACAGACTTTTCTTAAGATCAGGAATGCTGCCATTGGAAAGTTTCACACTGAAGGCTATAAGATGACTGAAAATACTTTATCCCATCTCAGAAATATTTCATACACACCCCCTAAGGAAGGTAAAAAAAAAAAAAACAATTATTTTAATTGGATCATTAGATGACCTTCTCCTGACATGTAGCAGAGGACACAGGAGATGTATCAGAACAAAGAAACAGGCCTGTCATGTATGGCCCTGGAGACTTGGAGCACAAGGGCTCCAAGCTGAAGGTTTCCCAGGAAGTGGCTATCTAAGTTGTGTTCTGCTCAATAAGACTTGCAACCTAGCACAGGTTGGTCTGAAAGAAGAGATGCCCCTTTCCCATTTTCAAAGATTCCATGTCAAATAGTTATGGTAAGGGGAAGAGGAGGAGCAAAGGTCAGCTCAAAAGCATGGTGTATTTCATGGAAAAGCAGGCTTTTGTGGCGTCAGGAGTATGGCAGTTACTACTAGTTGACCCCGATATTTATTTACATCTTTTTCTATAGAAACCTGATGTTTAGCTTAGAATATGGTGCACTGAATCAGGACTATATATCCCAGGCTCCTCTGCTCTAAAGAATTATGATATAATTAAGTTCTGCCCAGTATGGTACAAACAAAAGTATTCTGCCACAGCTTCTGGGATCTTCCTTTCAGAGGCAGCTGGCAGATGTCTCTGCCACCTTCTTCTTCCATTCTTCCCTTTTGTCAGAAACAGGGATACCACCCAGGACCATAAGGAAGAGGCGAGCTGAAAGAGGGCTGAGGGTTGCTGAATAGAGTGATCAGACCAGGCCTGAAAGACCTAAAGCAGAAGGAAAACACTTCTTATTCAGGGTGATGTTATCACCAGCTTTTTATTATTATAATTGCCAACAAACTGTGATGTGCAGCTTTAAGAACTGAGAACACACAAAAGGAGTTAAGAGGGGCCCAAAACGTACTACTTCCCAAATCCCCACTGAATGCAAACTGCTGCCGCGAGTTAGATCTTGACAGTGATAAATCAAATGTCTCTTTTCATGTAAGCAATGCAAACAACAATATAAGGATGCTTTCATTATATAAGAAGCAATAAAGGAAGATTTCCTAAACATATTGCTTTTGAAAGGTTCTCCACCAATGAAAATTAATATATTGTGGTTGTTGGGACTCATAACAAGGATAGAAGCATGTCAGATTTTTTTTTAATTTTGCCTGAGGATTTTATGCTTTATAACAATTATACCTGACAAGACACTACAGGTTCTCTTAAGTCTTTTAGAAGTTCAATTAACAGCATAAAACTGATCTAGGATAGGCTTTGACTTTTCATAATGAAAATCATTTCTGAAGATGTACTGCGTGTTTTGTTACCAACGGGTATTCTTTCTCTGGAGAAGCTGTGAAAATATTTCTTTTTATAACTTCTCTCTTTATTCTTTTAAACTACCAAACTTCTAAAAGAAAAAGGAAGCCACACATTTTAATATGATTCCTCTTAAAATCTACAACACAGGAGCCAAAAACACCGCCAATATTTGGATGGAATAGGGAACCCAGAAATAAATCCATGCATTAACAGTCAACTTATTTTTGACAAAGGTGCCAAGGACATACATTAAGGTAACGACAGTCTCTTCAATAAATGTTGCTGAGAAAACTGGATATCTATATGCAGAAAAATAAAACTAGATCCCTATCTCTTGCCATACACAAAAATCTAATCGAAATGAATTAAAGACTTAAATCTAAGACCTGAAACTATGAAACTACTAGAAGAAAACACTGAGAAACACTCCAGAACATTGTTCTGGGCAAAGATTTCTTAAGTAAGACATCAAAAGCATAGGTAACCAAAGCAAAAGTGAATAAATGGGATTATATCAAGCTACAAAGTGTCTGTACAACAAAGCAAACAATCAACAAAGTGAAGAGACAACCAACAGAATGGGAGAAAATATTTGCAAGAAAATATTTGCAAACTACCCATCTGACAAGGGATTAATATCCAGAATATATAAGGAGCTTAAACAACTCAATAAAGAAAGTCAAATAATCCAATTTAAAAATGGGTAAAAGGTCTGAATAGACATTTCTGAAAAGACAACATACAAATGGCCAAAAGGTATGTGAAAAAATGCTCAACATCCTTAATAATCAGAGAAATGCAACCCAAAACTACAATGAGTTACCATCTCACCCCACTTAAAATGGCTTCTATTGAAAAGACAGGCAATAATTAATGCTGGTGAGCATGCAGAGAAAGCGGACCCCTGGTACATTGTTGGTGGGAATTAGTACAGCCACTATGGAAGAGTACAGACGTTCCTCAGAAAACTAAAAATACAAATACCATATGATCCAGCAATTCCATTGCTGTGTATATACTCAAAAGAAAGAACACCAGTATGTCAAAAAGCTATCTGCACTCCCATGCTTACTGATGCACTATTAGCAATAGCCAAGATATGGAAGTAACCTAAGTGTCCATCAATAGATAAATGCATAAAGAAAATGTGGTACAGATACACAATGGGAAACTATTCAGCCATAAAATAGAAGGAAATCATGTCATTTGCAATAACATGGATGGAACTGGAGGACATTATGCTATGTAAAATAAGCCAGTCACAGAAAGGCAAAGACTACATATTCTCACTCATATGTCGGAGCTGAAAAAAAACTGAACCAAATTACTGTTGGCACATCTTCAGGGAGAAAAATTACATATATAATTGTATATATATACATACACACACGTATACACACACACATACACACACATATGTGTACATATGCTTTCTCCATGGTTTTAAAAGCAGTTTCTATTTAGTCAATAAGACATTTACAATTTTTATCAAGAAGTCATTATGCAAGATTGCTTCTTAGAAAGAAGTTATAAGGTTAATTTACCTGTATTGTTTAATAATTTTACACTAAAATTGTTTTATCAAAGCTCTTACCTAATGTCAAACTCCCAGAATATGAATTTTCAACTGGTCACAACTGTGTAATTCCTTGATGATTATATTCTCACCTCTTCAACTTCACTTGTGAAATTTTTAAAAATTCCCCTTATTTCTTAGATCATTTCCATTAGCTTCCAAACATACTGTAGTATAATCAGCACTCCAGTATAATCTATTTTCTGATATAACCTAGTATAATTTTTCCAAGCTACCAACCTATTTCTCTGTTCTACTTCCTACGAACGTTTCTTGAAAGAGTCCCCATACTCACTACTTCCATTTTTTTAGTTTCCATTTTCCTTTTAAACCAATCAAACTGGGCTTCTGCTTGTTAGTATAATCAACAACCTCCATGATCCTAAATCCATCAGTCACTTCTCTCTCCCTGTCACAGCTGAACTCTCAGTAGCAATGAGTAGTTAATGATTATGCAAAATTGCTTCATGAAGAGAAGGAAGTCATGAGGTCAACTTACCTCATGTGCAAAGATTCATTGTTTTATCAAAACACTTTTGTTGGCTTCTATGACACCATGATCTCTCAGTTTCTATGCCTATGGTCCTTCCTTAGTTTCAACTGCAGAACCCATCTTCTTGCTTAGCCTCTAAATTATGGGAATATTCCAGGGTTCAGTCCTGGAACCTTTTTCTCTGCTTGCACAGATATTGTATCATCTACTCTTGGGCTTTAAATGTCGTCTCTATTGCAATGAAACCCAAATCTACCTTCCCTATATACTAACCTCACACTTGAACTCCAGACTAGAAATCTAACTTCTGATTTGACCTGCTGATTCCCCACTCCTGAAATCTGTTCTTCCCATACTTCTCTATCTTTAGCATCTACATACTTGCTCAGGCCAAAAACATTATTCTCATGATTGATTCCTTTCTTTCCTTTGCCCCCTATATCTGTCCATTCCATCGTAAGTCTCATAGACACTACTTTCTGGGGCTGCAGCTTTGCATTTCCCCTTTTTTTAACCCCAACTCAAGCCACCATCATTTTTCCCCTGGACTCCTCTAATAGCCTCCCCCAAGACTGTTAACTTCGTTTTTCCAAATAATTCATTGCATGCAGAGAATACAGCCTTCTATTTACAAATTATATAATTCAGTATATATTTACAAATTATGTAACTTTCCTACAGTAAATCTTCCAATGGCTTCCTTCATAGTTAGAATAAAATCCAAATTATTTAATATGCTCTACAGATTCTTTCCCCTGCCTACCTTGCCTTGTTCATTGCTGTAAACACAGTATTGCAAACACACTGAACAGTGGCTGATACATGATCAGTGTGCAATTAGTATTTGTTAAATGAATTTATGGATGGAATACATATAAAACACATACTAAACTTACAGTATGTTTATTCAAACACAGCTTACATTCACTAGCAGGAAGAAACTAAATATTTTAGCACTCTTTTAATCTGAGACTCTTAATGTTATGTAGGCATTAGCTCATTTAATCATCAAACCCTTTGATGAGCAGATTAAAGATAATATTCACTGTATTGACACAGGTATTAAACCATGTTAAAGAAATTTCCTACCACAGGCCACTGTTTTGGACTAAGCTCCTGCACTAAGCCCAAAGACCAGACAAAACTAAAATGGAGTCATTCATGCTAGGTGTCACATAAGCTGAATTTTAAAATGGGCCAATTTTCAAAATAAAATAGGAGATTCCAACAGAAAAGGGCCTAGTCTACCTGAGCCAGCATGATAAAGAAATCCCCTCTGTTTTTACCCTGTAGGGAAAGTAACTTTGAAACAATTAATCTACTTTTTGTTCTTAATTCAGTCCTTTTCTGCCTATAAAGCCAGCTCCCTCTGCTCAGCTCAGCAGAGCACCTTCCTACTTCACAGAGGAGAAGCCGCCCAATCCATGAATCACTAATAAAAGCCAATTAGATCATTAAACTCAATTTGTTGGAACTTTGTTCTCTGATAATCAGAACTACCCTATATCGTATAATTATTATCTCACTTGTAAAACTCTATGCCACATCATAGTCATCTTCCTTTGTAATTTAACTTCCTTTGTATTCTAATGTAAGGAATAACCAGCCTCTTCCCTTCTCCATAGAAGGTTCCAAGTTAACTATTCTCAGCCTCTATGTGGAAACATGGGGATATAACATGATCATTTGAATCACAGCAAGTTTTTGGAAAGAATTACTCATTTCGATAAAGCACAGTAAATTTTGGATTCTTGCTACAACATCAATTTTATTCATTCATATGTACTTTTGTCCAAGTGGGAGTTAAAGAGGAATGGAATTACACTGAGAAAGCTGGGAACTGAACACTTCAAATAAGGATCCAATATAGTGCTTATCTTTACCCATTATGTATGAAGAAGGTAGTATTTTTTTAAAAAAGGTTATATTATTCTTGAGACTGAAAAGAAGGAGACAGAAGCTCTGGACATAACTGTTTGTAAAAAATCTAATAGTTTCAACTGCCAATTTCATACAAGCATAGAAATTTGCTAACATAAGTTAAAAAGTAAACATACTATGTATTATAATTTAAACACTAAAGTTTTTTATATTCTCTCAATATTTACCTGTTCCCCTTGTTACTACTGTCTGTGGTGTAGAGGTCTGAAAAATAATTGTTTAAAAACACAAATTTTAAAATTTTGATTAATCATGTTATCTGTTACTTATTAAGTGACCAATTTTGGTCATCTTTATTTGCAGTAATCACAAGCTTTTATACTAGATCCTCATGAATACCATGACACTCTGACACACACCACAACCCCCCACAAAAAGTATACACTACAATTTCCCTTCTCTCCTCAAATATGAGGAAGGAGCTCATGAAAGTATAAATAAATTCCTAGAACGGTTATAAAAATATAGGTGAATTCATAGGAACTTATCCAAAATATGAAACATATCCATCACACATATTTTGACAGAGTGTGGAGGAGCATTTTGCCTCCTGCCTACTGTTCTACTGTATGGAAAGGTTACTAAAGAGCGATAACTGTGGGTGCTTTCATAAAGACCATGTGAGACGCTTTTGCACTGCGGTCATGTTGGGTGAATTTACGTTACTGTTTGCAGCAGTCTTTTGAGAGTGCTGAAGTGAGAGGAGGCACTGCCATGGGTCAAAAATTGATATGCTGCTTGAGTTGGGAATAGTTAGCTGGCCACTGATGACTGTTTCCTGATGAACTCTTACTAAAATTACAGAAAATGAAAGGAAAAAAAAGCATAAATTCACAAAGACAGCAAGAATGAAAGAGGAATCCATGGAAGACAGATTTCTACCACTTTTAGAAAAAGACAAGGGGCTAGAAAAATGTGAAGTGATCTAACAGTGTGGAAAAGCTAGTGGTGGGCTTCTTACAGGAATGACAGCTAAGGATAACAGAAGCAGTGGCTGCCTTAAAGACCCTGGAAAAGCCCCAGTCTTGTACACACAGTCAGCTGCAGGAGGGAGGCTAAAATCAGGGGCTGCTTGGAAGGCTGCACATAGAGTTGGAAAGCCCTGGTTCCTTCTCTGTGTGACTGCTTCCATCATAAAGCCTATCAGTCCACAGCCCTGTGGGCACCCCACAGCTTCCAATAATCTTGGCAATAACTTAATCCCCCAGAACACATTCCTTCCTTTGTGACATGGAAATAATGCCTATTTGTATTTGTTTTCTATTGATACTGTGCAAAATCAGTGGCTACCTAATGCATGCGGGGCTTAAAACCTAGATGACGGGTTGATAGGCGCAGCAAACCACCATGGCACATGTATACCTATGTAACAAACCTGCATGTTCAGCACATGTATCCCAGAACTTAAAGTAAAATAAAACAGAAAATTAAATAAATAAATGGTTTAAAAAATAGAAAAGAAAAACTGTAATTCTGTTCTAAGAGGATTATGGAAAGATAGTGATAGAATTTCAATGTCTTATTTCCTATCCCTTCTTCCTAGCTTGAATTTATTTGTCTATGTTGAGCCAAGCAGCAATCGGTGTTGGTGAGCTGTTGTGTGTAAGGTATTGAGTTCCAAAAAGTCTTGACAGAGAAGAAAATGTGGGGCTCTTCCCAACATGGGTTAGGCATTCTTCTGAAAACCAGACTCAGATACCCTCAAAATAAACTTTGTGCTTGATGAATTCTGGGGAAAAAAAAAAAAAAAGAAAGAAAGAAAAGAAAAGAAAAATCATCAGTGGCTTAAAATGCCACAAATGTATCATCTTACAGATCTGGTAGGTCAGAATTCCAATTAAATGGGTTCAACCAGACCAGAATCAAGATGTCAGGGGGGCCACATTCCTGCCAGGAGCTCCAGGAGAAAATCCATTTCCTTTCATTTCCAGGTTCTAGAATCTGCCCACATTCCTTGCCTCATGGTTCCTTCCATCTTGCTAGGCTGCAGCAGAGCATCTTCAGATCTCTGACTCTATCCCTCTGCTTCCTTCATCCCATCTCCTTCTCTGACTCGCCTGCCTCTTCTAAGGATCCATGTGATGACACTGGGCTCAACATAATTATCAAGGTAATCCCCCCATCTCAAAATCTTAATTTAATCATATTGGTAAATTCCTTTTGGCCATATAAGGTAATATGTTCACAAGTTCCAGGATTAGGATGTGGATATCTTGGTGGCCATTATTCTGTCTACCACATTATATTATCAGATTAATGAAAAAATTAAATGAGATTATCCAAATAATAATAATAGCTGGGTGTGATGGTTCACGCCTGTAATCCCAGCACTATGGGAGGCACAGGGGAGCAAATCACATGAGCCCAGAAGTTCAAGGTCAGCCTGGGCAACAAGGCAAAACCCCATCTCTACAAAAAATACCAAAATTAGCCAGGCATAGTGGCACATGCCTGTAGTCCTAACTACTTGGAGGGCTGAGGTGGGAGAACTGCTTGAGCCCAGGAGGCCAAGGTTGTGGTGAACCAAGATCACACCACTGCACTCCAGCCTGGGCAATAGAGTGAGACCCTGTCTCAAAATAATAATAATAATAATAATATCTAAAGTTTATTGAGCACTCAATATGAATAAGCACTCTTGTAAGTCCTTTGGATAATTAACTTATTGAAACATCACCACAGATCTATAACATATAGATGACTCTCACAGCCATTTTATAAATGGGGAAAATAAAGCACAATTAATATACCTAAACCTAATAACACAGCAAATATCTGACATGAGTGGTTTTGAAAGTCAAGCCATCTGGCACTTATACTCACTCTTTTAATTGCCACAGAAACACTGAATAAATTTTAGTTGTTATTATTACATCTCTGTATTGAGTTTATTATAATACTTTACCTCATGCCACTAACATAAATAAAAAAAAAATCTCCTAAACACAATAAAATCAAGCCTAATGTTAGCAACAAAACTTAAAAAAAAAAAAACCTTGTTCCTCCTTCTTTCCTGTTTTAAACAGTCCTTATACCAAAATATCTTTCTTCTCCTTCTGACCACCAGATCCATATTTGTTTCTTTCTCACCCTGCATGCTCCCGTGGCTCCCTGCACTTATCTTGTCACTTATGACATTATACTATAATGTTTGCTGCTTTATCTCATCCCTGCTCTGTGAATGCCTTCAGGACAGGGACTCTTCTATATTCAGGGTGGCCTGCAGAGCCTGGTCCTCAGTGCTTACTGAATGAGTAAATGAGGAAATCATGAACTACAATAATTTAAAAATCTGGTCAACTGTTTTGCCAAGAATCTTTGCAACTTTTACTATTTTGTACATTTCTTATAATAAAATGTTGTCTGATATTAACACAAAAACAATATGAAGTTGAATAGATTCTAAAAAGCTCCTGTTAGTTTCTGCCATCAACGGTACAATAATTGAAGCATGAAAAACATGACCAATTCATTTTGTTGTATTATAGGTGCTCCACAAAACTGTACATATTTATTGTAGGGAAACAGAAGATTTCCCAGAAGTTGGGTTTTTTAAAGTATAAAATGCCAAATATCTATTTCTAAATATATAATCCTGGGAGGAGCCTACAAAATGGTAACCAACAGCCAAAGGTCAGCATATGCTGTTCTTATTATTTTGGACATAACATAATTTAGTTTCTGCCATTTCACTTTGTGATCTATTTCAAATCACTCTGAATAAAGTGAAGATTAATAAAACTTACTACTCTTAAAATTGATAAAGAATAAACTTATATTGCACCATAAATATCTGTCAGAAGTGGAAGAAGTAATGAGGTCCTTCAGGATGCAGATAAATCAACTTTGCAGAAAAATCATTTAGATTTTTGTTTCTCAGAAGGTTTATTATTATCACAGTAATGCTAGATAAATAGCCTGGCCTATGATTTACTCTACTCGCTTAAAAGAGAAAAGAGAAGTTAACAGCTGTTAATAATCACTATGGAAAACAGAAATAAAAGGTAAAGCAGTGATGTGTCTCAGCAATAATGCTTTTGGCTGCAACTGTCAAAAACCTATACTGAATTGACTTTAAACATAAGGACCTTGATTTTCTCATATAAGTGCAGAAATGTATGTTGGATTATGGGCAGGAGGGTTGGGGTTTAGGGCGGGGTGAGGAGGTCTATTATTAATTCAGCGGCTCAACCAAGGACTCATTCCCAAAGACTCAAATTCTGCCCATTTTGTCTTTCTGTTTCTCACAGTATAGCAGCAGTTTCAAACTACATCTGGGCTAACTTCCCGTGTGGCCCACATGACAGGTGCTGCAGTCCCAATATCACATCCAGAAATGAAAATGAAAGTCAGCCCCAGAAGCCACAGAGCAAACTCCTCACATTTCAGAGGCCAGAGAGAAGTTCCTAGACAGCCCTGAATCAATCAGTTAGGGGAGGAGGGAGAAGGCAGGCCAGAGGGACAAGTCACATGACTGAATTAAACTAATAGGCTTTTATTCCTGAGCTGGAGAGAGGGCCATGCATTTTCACTAAGGTATGATTTCTTGAACAACACTGGTGTTCCCTTTGCATGGAAAAAGGTAGTAATGAATGGCTGATAGACAATAATATTTAAAACAGCAAGACTATCAGAAGACTTAGCTCTACAATTGGCCTAATTCCCAAGCTCTAAGGAGGTAAAACGAGAGAGGAAAGTTTCATAATAACATAATTGTGTTTATCAGAGGAGGAATCAAGATGCTATTTTACAGACGACCAGTAGCAACAAACAATTCACCACAAGGTAGTTAAACACACTAATATATGCTGAGGCTAGGAAAGCATTCAAATATACACATTTGATTGTATGCACAGGCACATATGTATATGTGTTTATGTACAGATAGAGACATAGATATGGATAAATGATTGACAGATAGTTATAAAGCTACAGATAGAAACAGATACACTGTGGCTAGGTAATAAGTCATCAAAAGTAGAACCTGTTAGATATAAAAATTTTCAATCACATATGTAGGTTGCAGACACAGAAACAAAAATTGTGTTCTTTTTCAAAAGTCTACACCAGAGTTACACTGCTAAATCTGTTATATTTAAATATTGATACTTTGAAAAGGGAGAATGAAGTCCAAGACAATTCACACAACAAAAGAGCATCCACACAAAAACAAGCTGATCCTTATTTCTCTCTAAAAGGTTCCTACCAGACCAGAAATGAGAATTAGCAGGACCCAGTAAGATCTAAGTACCATCAGACCATCAGGTGTTGAACCCATTCTAATCTCTGATTCTTCTAAATAAAAAAGGTTTATTTAATTTAGAAAAAAAACTTTTTTAAAAAAGGTTTCCTTCTAAATAAAAAAAGATATAAATAAGAAGCATGAAGCATGTGACTACTTCTTTACTACTATTGCTGATAAAGTTCTAAGGCAAAAGCAACCACTGCCTCAAAACTCACCTCAAAATATAGATAAAAGTCAGTGGGAGATGGATTCTAAGAAAAGATCCATGAAAGTACAAAAACAATCAATTTATATTTCAGATTAAACCAGACATGCAACTGGATCTCCCTATGATAACAGCAGCAAAAATGTGCACTAAGTAATGAACTAATGGAAGGTGCTTGTTTCAACACCTTTAAATAACTGAGAAAATACATCAGGAGCACAAAGATGTAATAAAATGAAAGCACAATAATTAGCCCCAGAAAAAAATTATTAATATGAATTGTCTCTGTCCAAAATCTAAACAGTTTCTCCTTATTAAAGGGTCATTAAGCATATTTCACAAACATCTCAAACATACATATATATGTGTGTATATATGTGTGTGTGTATATATGTATATATATGTGTGTGTGTGTATATATGTATGTGTATATATATATATATATATATATATATATATATACACTCTTTCTACCTCATATTCTCATAGTCTCTCCCCCCCAACACAAACACACACACACACACACACACACACACACACTCTTGTACAAACAGTCCATCCATCCATCTCTGACTCTTTGTCTATTTATCTCTCTTTTGGTTCCTTGGTCTTTTTCTTTTCTCCTTTTTATATTTTTGCAACAGTACCAGGGCTTAATAACACTGGCATTTTTTTGTGGAACGAGCAAATTTAATCTCTGGATGAGTCAGAGTGAAGACACTGTAAGCCTGTGGCTACTGCACTCAAGAATTTTACTGATTATCTCCTACCATGGTGCTTACATTATTATTAAAATATGTTTCCCACTACCTTACTCTTAAATGTGAATAGACAGTTGAAAGATCAGTAGACATTTGAGAAAAGCCTACAACATGAATATGAAAGACAAGAAGAAATAAAAAAAAATGACACTTGGAGGAAACAGAAGCAGTGAAAGGAACAGAAGAAACTTAAATGTACTTAAAAGAAATATAGATAACCAGAATATACTTGGCACATGAAACAAGAACAAAATGCTCTGAAAAGCATTTTCAAAAGAAAAAGAAAAAAATGAAAGAATTTAAAAAGAGCCTTTGGAAATTTAAAATATGTCAAAACTTAAAAATGCAACAAAATGGTTGGAACATAAAAATGAAGAAATCTTGAAAAAGCAGAATAAAGAGATGAAGAGGTGGGAAATATGAAAGTAAATATAAGAAACTGAGTATCACTACAGGAATTTCAATGGTAGACCCCAAAAAAGGAGTAGAAGGAGGTAAGAGAATATTATCAAAGATATAAATACAAGAAAATGTCCTGGCCTGGCACGGTGGCTAATACTGGTAATCTTAGCACTTTGGGAGGCTGAGGTGGGAAGATTGCTTGAGGCCAGGAGTTCAAGACCAGCCTGGACAACATATTGAGACCCCTGTCTCTACAAAATAACAAATAAAAAATCAGCCAGGCATGGTGGCAAGTGCCTGTAGTCCTGGCTACTTGGGAGGCTGAAGCAGGAGAATTGCTTGAGCCCAGGAGTTTGAAGCTGCAGTGAGCTATGATTATGCCACTGCACTCCAGCCTGGTTGACGGGTAAGACACTGTCTCTAAAAAATAATAACAATAATTGAAAAAAAAAAATTCCTAAGACAGGAGTCTCCACAGTGAAGGGCTTTGCAGTAAACACCAAGCCTGATAGGTATTTTTTATAAGTTGACATCAAGCCATATCAATGTGAAATTTCAGAACTTCAGGGATGAAAAAGAGATTTGATAAACTTCAAAGATATACAAAGGTAAGTTACATATAAAGAAATTAGAAAAGCACTAGATTAACCAGCAACACTGCACAGTAGTAGGATATTGAGCAATCTTCAAAATTATAAGGGACAATGAGTTCTAACACAGAATTCCATACCTTCTCAATCTATTAATTAAAATGAGGGTAAAATAAAGGTATTTTAGACATGCAGAGATTAAAAAAAAGAAAAATGACCTTCGATACAACTTTTCTTTACAAAGAATAAAGTTTTCTTTACAAAGAGTGCTATGTTTCAGTAAAACAAGAAGAATATGGCATCCAGAAAAGAGAATATGACACATGACAACAGATGTGCATCATACTCTCAGAGAATATGGTTCAGACTCAAGAAAAAAGGAGAGCTCTGGGAAGGTCTCTAGGGTGGAGGAGAAGGCAAAACTAATTCATTATTGATAATTTATTTGATGTGTTAGACTATTTAGGAAAATTATTGAGAACCATGACTAATGTTCTTAAATTATTAGGGAAAAAACAATAATGGACACACAGCAAAATACAAGCTAATGGGAAAAATGATAAGCAATTTTTAACTATAGGAAAAATAAAAAGTAGAAGAAAAAATATATACTTATGGTGTAACAGTACAGTCATTGTAATATGCTGATTAGTGATGCAACCAAAAATTCTGAAGTGGCTATGGTGCGAGATCGTGTGGTAAGGAAATGTAAGAAAGATAAATACTCAATAATATAACAGGCATTCAATAGAAACTGTCTAAAACTTATGTCAATAAAGTGCAACTCACGCATATTGTTCTAAAATACGTTAAATAAGGTTGATATAAGACTCTTAGTACTGTTTGGTTTTGTAATCAAATATGTGCTTACTTGAAGAAATACATAAATTTTTGCCTAACTCCCCAAAGAAAACAAGAGGAGATCAGGCAACTGCATGCCAATAAAAGCAGGATAATACTGGCATTTTCTCTCTCTCTCTCTCTCTCTCTCTCTCTCTCTCTCTGTCTCCCCTATCTATCTCTATCTCTCTATCTCATATCTCCTTGGAATATCTTCCAAAGGGTAAATCTTCAAATCATTCAATTAATTACATTCAGATTTTAAAAGGTTAGCTTTAATGACTTAAGAATTTTAATCAAACCTTCACAATTTGCCACTGTTTTTGAGAAAAAGATTATGAATTCTAGGTAGCTGTCAAGTCTACTTAATTGTTACTGTGAAATGAGTACAAAAAATAAAAAATCTAAATTTAAAGCTCTACAGAATACAAAAGCACTTTAGGAAAATCATTAAATGTTTTAATTTCTATGTATCAAAGACAGTTTCTTTCCTGCAGGAGTTGAACCTTGGGAGATAAACTACTGACTGATTATATCTTTATGTTAATTGAATGACGAATTATATACTGTATCTAAAGAATTGTGCTTACATTATATATAAACAACAATTTACACTGATGCATGTCTGACAAGCGTCTGATTTATTAAATCAGTAAATGTTCTTATGTGTACAAAAAAGGTTTTATATCAGTTTACAAAGAACATATTGATTTAGTGAGCTACATAAATATATGCAAATCTAACACTTAAGACTATCCAATAAAAAAGCAGCTATATAGATTTTTGTGTAAATTGTGAAACTCTTGAGTAATGATTTCCATAAGCAAGATATATGCGTGCTAGTATATGAAAATTACAGAAATCAATCACTGTATGCTAGCATCATAATGCACTATTAGAATCTGAATTAGGTAATGCTAATCAGTTAACCAAGTTTTACTTAAGTAAAAGCACTCTGGTAAAAGGTATCTGTTTTCAAAAAATGAACATACTTGGTGCTATTCTCTTTCTTCTTATTATTACTTCAAATTATTGTGGATACTGTCCCAAGCTCTGCGGTATTTGTACATGTGAGTGTGTGCTTATGTGTACTATAACATATTGTTATTCCTATTCAGAAACTGGAAAGACTACATAACTACTCAATTACAGGTATAATATGCTGAGAAAATAGTCTTAAATGCAAAAACAAAAAATAAAATAAATAACTACCCAAAATGATGAAGATCTTGAACTCAAATCCAAACTTTTGAGCTCTTAAAATCTTAATCACTAAAATTACTGTTAAGTAGGCTTGTTTCTGATATTAACAATCCTAAGAAGTTTACCATCAAAAGGCTCCAGCTATGGTCAAATGGGACAGGAAGAGAATTAAATAATTTTTCAGGCTAGAAAAATTGATACCAGACATGAAAACTTCTACATCCCAAAAACCAGCCATCTGAAAAACATAAAGGTTTCCTAAAATTTACTCAGAAAAAAATATTTAAAACTCAATAAAATATATGTAAAAGCATATGAAACGTCACAGAAATAAAATTCCAAACTTTCAATAAACTGAAAAAAACCCAAACTCACTAATAATCAGTAGGTACAAATTAAAATAACAATGGGATATGATTTAACATATAACACTGATACCAATTTTAAAATATAACATCAGTTATTGGCAAGAATGGGGGAAACAGTACCTTTCTACCTCGAGTAGAATTTGATAGAACCAATTTAGAAAGCAATTGTTAAGCAGGAGCATATCTTAATCCAACTAGTCCATTTTAAAACCTACCCTCAAGAGAGTCTAGCACAAGTACACAAGGAGATACAAAGATTCTCACTGAAGGACTGTGCATGATAAATGGGTGAAAACCTTCTAACTGACCCTCCATATGGAGAATGGATACATAAAAGTATCAATGAAATGCAGGCAAATGGCAACAAATCAAATAGTATAAGTAGTTTATGATGAAAGTCAAGTCCTAGCCCAGACCCATCAACCCCCCTTTTTTTTTTGGGAAACAGAGTCTTGTGTCACCTAGGCTGGAGTGCAGTGGCTTGATCAGGCTCACTGCAACCTTTGCCTCCTGGTTCAAGAGACTCTCATGCCTCAGCCTCCCGAGTAGCTGGGATTACAGGCGCACGCCATCACGCCCAGCTAATTTTTGTATCTTTAGTAAAGATGGGGTTTCACCATATTGGCCAGGCTGGTCTCAAACTCCTAGTCTCAAGTGATTCACATGCCTTGGCCTCCCAAAGTGGGATTACAGGTGTGAGCCACCGCACTGGCCCCATCAATTCCTTTTAAATTTATTTAGTTTTAGCTCCTCTCCGGTTTTCTCCATATCATTTATATCTTCTTATTTTACCACCTTCACATTGTTTATATATAATATAGACACTATTATTTTTAATCTTTCAACTGTTTTGCACCTTGGTGACTTGAAATAATATACTTCTATCCCTATTTCTTTGCCCACCAATTTTTGTCAGCAACCTGGCTCACCTCTTTTCTTCATAGCAGAGCCAGATATTACAGAAAATAGTTTCTAGATGTTTGACCAAAAAGCATTAACATGTTCTTTTTATCTTTTACTCCTAAAATCACATATTCTCTTGAGCCATGCTGCCTAAGACAGAGCAACTGTTTTAAACAGTAAACTATTTTTGAAAGTAATAAAGGTACTTACTTTTAAAATTTCAATCTATATTGAGCAGATAATCTGGATGGCAATGAAGACACTGCTTTGTCCAGTTTGAAATTTGCCCATTTGTAAATGTCATATTTGTCCCACATGCAATATTAAAGCTTTCACTTGCTTTACAAGGAAGTAAATCATTGATCATGAAGTAGTTCTAAATTTACACATTACACTGCTCTAGAGTAATCTTGCAACTCTTCAAATAGATCAACGAATCCAGGCTTCCAAAACCATTTTGAACATTCCATATGCATTCCTATTTTAAAGCAGTACTGTCCAAAAGAAATATATTGCAAGCTACGTTGGCAATTTTAAATCGTCACATTAAAAAGGTAAAGAGTAGATGAAATCAGTTTTAATAATATACCTTATTTAGTCCCATACAGCCAAAACACTATCATTCCAATATACAATCAATATGACAATGTTCATGAGATATGTTACATTCTTTTTATTACACTAAGTCTTTCAAATCCAGTGTGTACTTTAACACTTACAGCACGTCTCAATCCAGTCACATTTTAAGTGCTCGAAAGCCACTTTTGGCTAGTGGCTACCATTTGGGGGAGGGTAGAGTAAAGAAATCACTTTCAGAAATAAAATGTTAAAATTATCACTGCAAGTGTTTAGAGGTGAGCATATAAGGAGTGAAGATTCAAATAAGGTAAGTGAGCACGTGCTCACTTAGGTAATTATATCTTGGTCAGAGCAGTTTTTCAAAGACGGCAGAAAAATCAACAACATTTTCTGATTATGTCCTGACAGAAGATAGTTAAGTGGCCTTTTTTGACTGTCAGATTGGTGACCAGGATCTACATATACCAAGGAAAATTGTGAGGATATCTATACACAAGAGCTAGCCACAAGAAGTAATAAATATCACATCTCTCGGGACTTAGATGTGCCTCAAGTTTCAAAGGGTAAAGGAAGCTAAACTCTCCAGCTTAAGGCAGATTTGGCAACCTCTCTGCTAGTGCACAAGCTGGACAATTTCTTACTGCAAAAAAAAGACTGAATGTGAATTAAGAAAACAAGTTAAACAAATGTTAAATACATGTCAAAAGATTAGCAACAATAAAATAGATCATAATAAGTAATCAATTGAATTTTATATCTTGCTGTATATAGCAGGTGCTTTCTCCTACAAATCATGTTTAAATATGGAAAATTCATGTTGGAAGAATGAAATTTAAAAAAAAAAAAGGGTCTCATTTTATCATGCAGGCTAGAGTGCAGTGATCACTGCAGCCTCGACCTCCTGGGATCAAACAATCCTCCCACCTCAGCCTCCAGAGTAGCTCGGACCACAGGTGCACAACACCACACCTGGCTAACTTTTAAATTTTTTGTAGGGATAGGGTCTCCCTGCATTGCCCAGGTTGGAAAACGAATGTATAGAGTTAGACCATTATACAACTGAAGAGCCTGGAAAGTGGGTTTTATTAAAACAGTAGAGAACACATGGCAAATTCACTGAGATCAGGGGATTTCACAGCTTTGTTCTCCCAAGCGAGAATAGAGGCTGAAATACATCAGGCCCTCAATAAGTATGTGTGGAATGATGAATAAGCTGTGGCAGTAATAATAATCATGAATCCTTCAAGGAAGAAATCAAACCCCCCTAAGGAGACCTCCAAGAAATGATCTCATTGAGCAGGACAGTTCAAATATCATCTCTCATATCCATACAGAATAAATGATGAAGACAAATTATTTCTTAATCAGAAATAGCATTTCCCAGTGATTATGATATCATCATGTTAATCTGCCTTTACAAGACTTTTTTTTTTTTTTTTGAGACACGGTCTCACTCCGTCACCCAGGCTGGAGTGCAGTGGTGTGATCATGGCTCATTTAGCCTCAATTTCTTGGGCTCAAGCGATCTCCCCACCTCCGCCTCCCAAGTAGCTGGGACTTAAGGTGCAGGCTGCCACACCCCTCTATTGTTTGTGTTTTCTGTAGAGATTAGGTTTCACCATGTTGCCCAAGCTGGTCTTGAGCTCTTGGGCTCAAGTGATGCTGCCGCCTCAGCCTCCCAAAGTGCTGGGATTACAGGCACGAGCCACATCACCTGGCCTATAACACTTTTTATCTTCTGTAATTATCTGGTTTGTTTGTACAACTCTCTGTCTGCTGGTCTCACTTAGATGCCAAGCTCCATGAGGACAGGGTTCCAGGCAGCCCTGTCACCACTACAGCCATGTGCCCAGCACAGAGGAAGCACTTAAGGAACGATAGGAGAATTAAAGACAGATATTTTCCTCACCACTTCCTCTTCTGTGTAACGGACGTGTTTACCTAATGGTTGTTTTTGCACTAAGTACTATGTGATACCTCAATTAGCTCTACAGGAGAATTAAAGAATGCTGACACTACACTAATTAAAAACACAATTTCTAATATATTTGTTAAAGTAAGTAGAAAATGAATCTAAGTGGAGGGAAAGAGCAGTGTTACAGCAATGGAATTACAGATTTTATACATTTTCTAGTAGTGCTAAGACTAAGATGTCAAAAGCAAGAGCCTCATCTTCTAAGTTTTGAGTGAATCAGGGCATTTTGACTTAGAATGAATTTCAAATACTTTTTAGAAAATAAAAACGCCCTAGAAAATCACATATCAAAATGAGAAGCCCTGAAAATCATCATTTCAGACTACTTTCAACTCTCCAGGCAGGTGTGAGATTAAAGGTGATAGTTTCTAGAGGTCACCTATAAAACAGAAACATATTTATCCCATCAAAGGATTTTTCTACTGTTATGCTTTATCAGGGATCACAGATCAAGTTATTTATTGTCACATGATAAGTAAATTACTGCAATTATGTGATCAACTGTGATGTAATACTTATCTTTTTTAAAAAAAACTTAATTTATTGTCCTTTCTTAGTGTAATTAAAAAAGATTTAATTGATGTTAAATGTTATTTTTTAAAAGTTAAGAGATGTTCCTTTTATTTCTAAAGAAAAAGCAAACGAATACTTACATAAATAGTACAAGTAAATAGGAATACATTTTCATCAGTTTTTAAATTACATTTCTGCAGGAAAACTTCATGTCATTTTATTAAGAAGGTCAGTTGTCAAAACCAGAAAAATGTAATAGTTTATCTTTCCAAGCTAAAATGATTATAACTCCCCAATTACGGCCATTATTTTTGTGAGTCAGAACTATAAGAACTAGGTCAAATTCTTGAAGTTTTAAAACAAAATTATGATACAAAAGGATCTTAGGTTCTAAATAAGAAACGAAGAATTTCTAAATGCTTGTATATAACCATGTTACTGACCAACAACAACAAAAAACTCAGCAGGTACCCTATCTGAAGCCCCTTGAGTGAAGCAAGATTTTTGTAGGATGTAGCTATATCTACGCAGAAAAGCAAATAGTTTATTTTGGATATATTAATCAACACATTATTTAAATGGCCTTTCCAAACTAACTTTATCTCTTTAACAACCTCATGAATTTTCCAGATTTTAAAAGAACCAATCTTATTAGTCAAAGTCACTTCTAAAATAGTTATTCAAACTGTAAATGGAGTTACATAATTAGAAATCCATATATATTGCATGCCACTTATGAAAACTATGCAAAGGGGAGCAAATAAATAATTATAAAGAGAATTCAGATAAAAAGCATTTTCTTTTTGTTTGAAGAATTAAAAACTTTATCCCCAGATAACCAAATTCACTATGCCAAAGCATAACTTTATTTTACTGATGTACCATGATCCGTATCCCACACATCCAATCAACACCAATTTCTGATAATTTTGCAGTAAATGTTTCTTCAATCCATCCACTTATACATATCCTTATAGCCACTACCAGAACAGTCTCCTATTATTAACAATAACTATATGAAACCCGTTCCATTTTATCATTCTTTTAAGAAAAAGAAATGAGTGGAGAGGGAGTCAACAACGTAGGCTGTCAAATCTTTAATCTGTGTTCATTAAGGACTCCAAGATTAAAAATCTGTAAAGTCAATTCACATCTGGAAACCATATTTAAGATTAGAAGAGGGTACTCAAACAATGTAAGATTTGAATATACATTCTAATAGAAGAAATTCTCCATGGAATTTCCATTGTCTCCCAGATAAAGAAATTCAGAAAACTCCAATAGCATCAAGAAGTGTTTTACTGGGTACTCAGATGGATCTGGAGTGCTGCTTGGAGGATTATCTATTAACTACTTCAAGTATGACGGTGAGGATTACCGAGCATAATGATTATCCTGAGAGAAGGCTTTTGCCAGATTAAAAAAAGACATGGAAGTTTATGAAAGAGTAGCTGAGTTAGCATTACTACATTAACATTGTATTCGCAGGAAGAAAAACGTAATTTTGAGTAATTATGCCCCAACACAAATATTCAGTTATTAAATATAAGCAATAGTCAAGAGACTGCAAACAGTTAAGAGAAAACCAATCCAATTCTTACCAATTTAAATACTTGCCTTAAAGCATTGTTTAGTAAATTTAGATCACAGTATGTTTATTTCCTTGTAGTTGCTCAAATTAAGTCTCCAATTTCACTGCATTACAGATTTATTCCACAGAGCACACTTGTGTTTTCATTATATTGATAATATAGATGGCTGTAAATAATTTGGGTGACCCACAATAGTGGGATCAAACAAAAATTTACGATTAGAAACCACAGGCTACTCAAGGAAAGAAGTTTTTATCTTTAAACTTATTATCTTGTCTCCCAACTGTGAATGAAGTTATCTACAGAATAATCAATAGTTAGATGAAACTTGGCTTTTGCTACAGAGAAGCTTTATCCTCTCAGAGAATTTCAAAGAGGAAAACCATTTAAAGGTAAGTTCACTTTTCAGCATAGTAGCAACAGATAAAAAATACTACCTTTTCACCCCTAAACCAGTGCAATTACTTTTTCCAGAAGCTGATTCTGGCACTTCTGGGCCTTGGTATAAAGGAAAGAGGACAAGTAATGATTTAAGACTTAAATCCCACTATTTTCTTGAACAAGTGAACCATCAAAGACTAATGTTTCTCACCAGAATGCCTAATATTTGGACTTTTAAAAATGGATGACTATTTAGTCTAGTTTACTTCACTAATTTTAAATGAAGACAGGTTCCATGAGTCATGCTATCTATCCTTTTTGCAAGTTAATGGAACTTTTACTCATCCAGTGGGTGATGATGTTATCCTGTCAACAATGTGTCAGGCAGAGTAGAAACCAACAGGCCTCAGCTGAACCGAGACCTCTTATGTCCTAGCAACTTGATACTGATACTCAAAATATGGTCCATAGTCCCGCAGCATCAGCTCACTTTTAGGAGCTTATTAAAAATATGTCCATCCCATCTTGGCCCATCTCAGATCTTTCAATAGATCTGAATCTGCATTTCAACAGAGGCCCATATAATCACATTCAAGCCTAAGATTTATTCCATAGAGCACACTTGTGTTTCAATATATTGATAATATAGATGGCTGTAAATAATTTGGGTGACCCACAATAACCTCTTAAGGAATGCATGTGGGAGGAGCCTCAAGTCAGTGATAATATGGTAATGAAGATGGCTGAGTAAACCTGTTTCCCCTGATGTCACCACCTCTTTACACTAATCTGCTCAAGCCAACAGGGAAACTGAGGTAGCTAGGAAACAAAAACATATGAAAGTGTTACGTACAAATACTTTGAAAATGGTAAAATCTTAAATAACTTCTGGTATTGCAATTATTTCTGAAGATTCCAACACTGTCAAGATCCATGTCCTTTAGGGAACGGACTTACGTAGCAAGGGAGAAATCCAAAGAGTCAATGAACCCAGTGCTCCTTTCCATACTCCAGTGCTGGAGGCCCTTCTCAATTTTCCATTCACTTGGGCAGTCATTTAACACACACTTACTCAAAGCTATCTATATAAGGCCATGTTATAGTAAAGGTACAGTCGGTGGAGAGTGAGAGAGACAGGACCCCACTTAAATGGAACTGAAGTCATCATGACTGTAGGACAGGTTTTAACCTTTTCCAAGTGGACAATCAAAACCCAATGACACCACTGTGTCCTCATTTCCTGAACAAAGGGATGTGGAAAATTATCTTTTCACTATAGTTCGGAGGAGGCAAGGTTGGAATTTTTTTCAAAATAAACTTTTCTTTTTTGTAAAACAAGGTAAAATCCTGCTCTAACTCTTCCCTAGGGGAAGGGAAACAGGTCTTGAATACATTTATTTGGTACATTTTTAGCTAACTAATTCAAAGTTAAAGATCATTTTGGCTGGCATAGTTTATTAAACATCTACTCTTCTAATCCTTTTCTTTCCTTTCCCTGAACACTTTCAAGGAACTCCTGGTCCCATGGCTTCCTTTTGAGATTTTTCTGGTTCACTTTTAGTTTTTCCAGTGGGTTCTCAATCCATTAAGAGAAGGGATAAAGGTACTATCTCATCAGGATAAAAGACTGATTATTCTTTCATTGGGTAGTGGTCCTTGGCTTTTCTCCTGCTCTCCACTGTGCTTTGGGGGGAAAAAATTGTATCATCCTATTTCCACTGAGATTCTGCTGCATTTAAAACTCTCGGTATAAGTTATGGCTTTATATAAAGCACAGGGTCATTTTATCACAGTAATAAGAAGTAAGAAGATAATAAGGAATAAGAAGGGGATATGAAGAACCTGCTGGGAGAGAAATTCATTCCTAAGTATTTCAATTATAATATTCATAAATGTTCTAGGATTCTCAGGTAGCCCTGAAAACAATAAGGAATGCTTTAGATTAACATGAACACTTCAAGTACAAAGGTCATGTTGAATTCATCATCTGCCAGAGTGGCAGACACATAAATCAATTAGAAAATATTATACATGTTTTGTTCTCTGAGGTTTTCTTATCTAAACCTCCAATTTAATTGTGAAGCCCAAACTCATTCATTTATTAACTCGTGTATTCGACTGAGAAATATTCCATGAGCACCCATCTACATCCATGACACCAAAAGTCTTCATGAAGGTCATATCTTCCATAGTCATATCTAAATGTGTAAAACTGCAGTTGCAATGGTATGAGAAAACTCCAATAAGATTTAACCTAATCACAAGGAGAGAGAGAGACAGAAGGCTTTTCTTCCTGACACTGAAGATGTAACCTGAAGAATACAAAGGAGATGAAAAAGGAAGTGGTGCCACTGGACCAGCACAGTGGTTATTTTCATTATTAGTAAAGTTGACTAAAGTAACAAGAGTATATATGCCATATGCTGAAACACATTATTGAAGACAAATGAGAATATTACTTAAAAGATATAGCTTTGAATATCCTCCGTCTATTACTATCAACATTTTGGGAGGCTGAGGTAGGAGGACTTCTTAAGGCCATGAGTTCAAGGCCAGCCTGGACAACAAAGCAAGACCCTGCCGCTACAAAACATTTAAAAATGAGCCAGGCATGATGGCATGTGCCTACACTCCCAGCTACTCAGGAGGCTAAGGCAGGAGGATTGCTTAAGCCCAGGAGTTCAAGTCTGCAGTGAGCCATGATCGTGCCACTGCACTCCTGCCTGGATGACAGAGCAAGATCTTGTCTGAAAATAATTTTAAGGAAAAGAAAAGATAACGATAAATATAATTTGGATTCTTTCTGAAATTGATAAGCCTTTTAATTTATTAACATACTGATTTAAGTACTGATTTTCTTCTTTAAAATCCTGCTGCACAGGATTTGAAATATGAGATAGGATTTTCAGATAAGATTCTGGGATTCTATTCATTCAATAACTTTCCAAACACCTGAGAATTTTTTATTCCGAAGGATATGAACTTGTTTTCAGACTCATTCTTTTTTTTTGTTTGTTTTCTTTGAGACGGAGTCTCGCTCTGTCGCCAGATTGGAGTGCTGTGGCACAATCTCGGCTCACTGCAACCTCCAACTCCCTGGTTCAAGCGATTCTCCTGCCTCAGCCTCCTGAGTAGCTGGGATTATAGGCATGCCTGGCTAATTTTTGTATCTGAATAGAGAAGGAGTTTCACTATGTTGGCCAGGATGGTCTCCATCTCCTGACCTCATGATCCACCCGCCTCAGCCTCCCAAAGTGCTGGGATTACAGGCATGAGCCACCCCGCCCGGCACAGACTCATTCTTCTTAATGTCCTAGCTGAGTGGCAGCTGTTGTTGGGTCTCACTACCATAAAGGAGAAAAAGAACACCCAAGGCAAGAACAGTTAAGTCCAATGTTACAGAGGAAGGTTAAGTCCTGAGGGGCTGACGGCAGCTACATTTGCAAAAGAAGAAATTCCAAAAGCTACAGTCAATTAAGAAAGAAGCAACAGATTAGGGGGCAAGCAGATAAAGAAGTACAAATAGAGAAATAGAGAAACCTGAGAAGTGATTAGGGATGGCGTGAAACAAACAGAACTAGGAGAAAGTGATGTCAGTTAAGTCAAAGGAAAAAAAGACTTTTCAAAATGAAGATGCAAAATAGAAGGTGGCCTATCAGAGTAGTAAGGACAAAGGACAGATATCAGAGCAAAGGGAAAATGAAGAGCATGAAACGCTGTTGCAGAGGGAAAGAGCAAGAGAAGTTACTGGTGGGTAACAGGATCCTACTTCGTATTTAGATAATATAATTATGGCTGCCTTATCATTTTCATCTTTCCAAACAAAGATTATGGGCTTCTGGAATGAGGATTATTCAAGAAATTTAATGCATACTTCCACACACAATAAACTATGGTACCTTGGGTGGCCAAATTTAATTCAAAACTTGGGACAATTTTTCAGTTACCCAAGTTTACACTAATCTTAGCATAAAACTTTTAGCTTTCACCTAGGTAAAGATTAAATAAATTCTGATTTAATGTATTTTCTTTTTGCTATTTCTGTAAAACAGCCCAAACAGTCTAAAAAGTGATGATACACTAATAAAAGACAGATTAACCCACAGAAAGAGCTATGGTATAGTTTGACTCGCCTTAATCCTAGGCTACATTATATATCTAAGATTAATTAGATGTAACTGTTTCTCTTTTCTTCATTAAAAGCAAAATCTTTACTCTCTCCTTTATAAGCATTAAATTATGTTTTCACAGTGCTGGTGTACAGATTTAACTTTTAAGATTTACATAATTCCTAACAATAAAGAGCATATATTTCTTTCACCTCAAAATCATGTCTTTGTTAAAAAATTAACAGTAAATTCAACTCAAATATATCAAGATAATGCATAGAGGAGAATGATTTTGAATTCATCCAAGTGAAAAATTTTGAAATTTATAATTCCCATAGCAGCTCTAAATCACAAAAACATTGTTCAGGTACACTAAAGCTTGAATTTTGCATATCCAAATGTAAATCAAATTGCAGTGCTTCAAGGAATAATAACTCCATACCTGATGAGTTATTTTTAAATCCAAATAATTTGTTATTAGAAAAAAATTTAGAAATAGTCCATTACTGAACTATACAATGAAGCAAGGATGCAAATATTAGAATGAAATCGAAAAATAATCACAGGATATAAATGACCATATTTATTTTTTAAAAGAGCCACAAAAGATTAGTTTATATAACTGTTTTGCCCTTTTATTGACAATAATCATTAATTAGTGCACATTATTAGTACAAATTACGGCTTTTATGAAGTGTGTCTAATAAATACTCAATTAGCTAAGCTGGTCAGACTCCAACAATCATTTACAACCTAGTTCATTAATTTAGGAGGCCTGAATGACTAAGTATGAACCTGCACTAGGTTGTTACTTCAGTAATTTTCTAAGCATTGGGTGTGCTACATCAGGTCATGGTGACACCTACAGTTCAGATCTACATGATGACTGACAATTCAGTATTATTACCAAGGCACTTGCTACAATGCAATATTCTCATTCCATTTCTACACTTGGGAGCTGATTACTTCATAGATTCTACATAGCCAGTATGATGGTTAATATTAAGTGTCAACTTGATTGGATTGAAGGATGCAAAGTATTGTTCTTGGGTGTGTCTGTGAGGGGGTTGCCAAAGGAGATGAACATTTGAGTCAGTGGACTGGGAGAGGCAGACCCATCCGAGTCAGTCTGGGTGGGTACCATCTAATCAACTACCAGCACGGCTAGAACAAAGCCGACTTGCTGAATCTTCCAGCCTTCATCTTTCTCCTGTGCTGGATGCTTCCTGCCCTCAAACATCAGACTAGAACATTACACTCCGAGTTCTTCAGCTTTTGGACTCTTGGACTTACACCAGTGATATGCTAGGGGCTCTCAGGCTTTCAGGCACAGACTGAAGGCTGCACTGTTGGCTTCCTTACTTCTGAGGTTTTGAGACTCAGACTGGCTTCCTTGCTCCTCAGCTTGCAGACAGACTATTGTGGGATTTCACCTTGTGATTGTGTGAGTCAATACTCCTTAATAAACTCCCCTTCATATATACATCTATTAGTTCCGTCCTTCTAGAGAACCCAGACTAATACAGCCAGGTACATGTGGTCCCAGTTTCTAGAAGGTAATATCTCAATGTGCACTGTCAGGCTCATAGTTAAAACTGAGGTTCTTAAAGCCACCCTAAGGAAATGCCACAAAATTTATAAAAGCAGGGCTGAAACCCTTTCACAAGAAATGTGGTTACAAGACCCCTTTAGCAAATGCTAATTAAACCTAGGAAAATAAAGAAAACATAAAAACATATTTAAATTCACTATCAAATAAATGCAAATTAAATAAATGCAAATTAATAATCAAATCAATATCAAATAAATGCAATTTAAAACTATAAGGAAATTCAACTTTGTGACTATGGAACTGACAAGGAATTAAAAAGAATTCTAATATCCCACACTAAGTCATGAGAGTACTGGCAGGAGTTGATGTCACTTCCATAAGGGCAATTTCACAACATGTGTCACAAGACTCAGAATTTTCACTTCTAGTAATATAGTATGAGTAAATAGACAAGTGCAAAAATATATAAGTACAAGGATCCTTGTTCATTGCAGGATACTGGAAGCAACATAAAATGTTCACAAATAGTTGTTTAAAACATAAAGAATGGTACAGAAAGAGGGTGTAGACAATTATTTACTGCTACTGTTAAGTAAAAAGTCTACTTGCAAGACACCATTTAGGGGTTTAGGATAATCCTTCTTTATACATAATAAATAAAAGTATGAGAGTGAGAGAAAGCAAATGTGTGTTTGTGTGTGTACAGAAAAAAGGGAAAGGACATATATCAAATTGTTAACACATTATCTTTGGGTGCTTATAATTATATAAATTAATATAAATTAATAATTGATTGTATAATTTAATCATACAATTAATCCACATAACTCAATCATATAATTAATCCACATAGCTTAATTATATAATTAATTTATATGATGTGATTATACGATTACATTATATAATTCAATCAAATGATTAATTTACATAATTTAATTTACATGATTGATTTCTGTGACTTAATTATATAATTAATGTATGTAATAGATTAATATAAATTATATAAATTAAGTGCTTAAATTATAGGCAGTTTTACTTTCTTTATATCCTTCTGCATTGTCATAACAAGTATGCATAACTCTGAAATCATGGGCAATGTAGACATGAATATAATTTAAAAACCTTAGAATTAGTCTATATTGCCCTAGATGCTAAATTGAACTTATGCTTCTATAAATGTTATGTTCTATCTTGAGATAGGGTCTGACCTCCTAAGACAATGGACACAATCAGCAACACCTGGAGAGGTTTAATTTCCTAAGAGCTTCAGAACAAGGCTTAGATTCAAAACACTGGCTAAATGTCATTCATTCTATGCCTGGGAATCCTCTGACCTGCAGTACTAAGGGTAAGAAAAGGCTGAGCCATAGTAGCTAATTCCCATACTAATTCAAACTTTACTTGAGGCAGGCCATTTAAAAATTGGTAGGGGAATCTATGGCCAGTTGTTATAAATAATTAAGGCAAGAAAAAAAGCATTTAAAATACACCTTTCAGTTATCAACTGATAACTTGGCTTAAAATCTTCCTTTGGCATTTTAGTTTGGTAATCATTTTAAGAACTTTGATGTTTAACTTATATGAAGAATTCCTAAGGGAGGTCCTCAACACCCTTATCATAAAAATTTTAAGAACTCCTTTCCTGAGCTCATCATTTGGAAACACAGATAAAAAAATATAAAGTCCTGCTTCAAAGAACTCTCTGTTGAAGTCTCTCTCAGTGAAGAGATGAATGAATACAGGCAGGAAAACCAATAATTATACATAAATAATTGTTTTAAGTGCTGTAACAGATCACACAAGGTGCCAAGGAGGTACAGAGTGCCTCAAAGACAGAGGAATGATGAGCCGGGTGGGCCTACTGAAGCTGAAATTTAAGAGAGTAAGATTTAGTCTAATGGATTAGAGGGAAAAAAAGTATTATTTTTTTACCAGCCTATGAAATCAAGAAAAAGAAACCATAGGGACAAAGAGAATTCTCACAGGTAGGGTTGTCTAAATGAGGTCCCAAGAGCATTCATTCCTTCATTCAAAAGCCTTGACTGAGTACTTCTTTAAGTCAGGCACTGTACTAACAAAGAAGAAAAAAAAACACTGTGCTAAGAAACAAGACCAAAAAAAAGCTTCTTTCTGCCTTTAAAGAATAAAAAAGACAAAGTCATAAATAGAAACTTTTAATCATGTGATCACTATCCCCAGATGACTAAGTATTAGGGGCTATGATAGCTCCTAGAGGAGATGTTTAATTTTGAGAGTCTTAGGGAAGACTTCCACTGAAATAAACAGGAATAGACAATGCAAAATAAAAATATATTAAAAATTATAAATAATATGATAGAGATTAGTGAGTTAAGGCTGGAAAGGTCAAGAGATGCCAGATCACGAAGACACTTTTGAATGACATGACAAAGATTTTAGATTTCACTCTGCGGTCAATAGAATAACAAGGAAGGGCTTTAAGCAGATGAAGTAATATGATCAGATTTATATTCAATAAAGATAATTTTGCTATGGGTTGAATGGAATAGAATGAAGCACAACTGGATAAAGAGAGACTAATCTGGAAAAGGCTTTTGAATAGTCAAAGTAAGAAACGGTGGTGGTGGTTGGAATTAAGGTAGAGGAAGTTGGAATGGAAAGTAGCCACCATTCAGTATCAGCCATTTGACTGATATGATAACAAATAGTTAAAATCATTAAGAACGTGGTCATTAATTGTAAGTAGGGGCTGTGGGAGATGAAGACATCTTAGGTGCCACCAGGTTTTTCACATGCGTAATATGGGTAACTAATGGAGTCAGGCACTGGCATGAGAAACTTGAAAGGTGAGTAGATGACGAGTTTCATTTTTAATATGCTGAGTTTGAAGATTCTTAAACTGTCCAGTTTGTGATGTCTAGTAGGCAGTGGATACACAGAACATAGATCTGAGCTGAAACACAGATTACAGAAGAACAACAGAGTTACAAAGGGTCAGGAATTTGGGGGATCTCTGGAATGTGGTGTAACCAACACAAGGTTGATGGAGATTTCCGGATGTATGGAGTGGGTAAAGATGAGGAAACAGAAGGTGTCATTAAATTACACTGTCATTTAAAATATTTAAATAGAAAGTGGAGTTCTATAAAAGGGGCCTAGGAATCAGAGATGTGAGGCAAAAACCAGGATTTCATCACAGCAGCCAAGAGAGGAGCGCACTTCCAAAAGGAGGGCATGATTAACCCCGTCTAAGGAGACATTCCACCAGTGAAGTAAAATGAAAGCTGCTTCAGTGGAGTCCTGGAGGCACTGGCAGACTGCTGTAAGGCTGAAGAGAAAACCTGAGGATGGACAGAAAAGAACAGAAACACTTCCATCTGAGAATCTGGTTTTGGAGGGGAGGAAAAAAGAAGCAAAGGGCAAATGGGGAAACCAGAGAGGTTTTACTTGTATGTTTATCGAATTTTATGTTTTTCAAGACAGAAAGAAGTTAGTGAGAAAAAGGTAAGTGAAAGGTAAGTCACGCAGTGGATTTGCGGTATCAGGCCTCAGCCAGAGCCTCCTTTCCAGTGAGATTTGAATAGAGGAAGAAACGATGATGAGGACATGTTAGGGTTGTAGGTATCTGGCAAGAAGTAGAAAGAGCTGCTACCTTTTGGATACTGACTTCTATATGAATTTCAATGTCATTTTGAAGAAGGTAGAGAAATAAGAAATTTGAGAAGTGTAGAGAAGGGAAGTAGAAACAGCATAGAGAACTACTATGGATAATAGGGAGAGAACTGAACAAAGAAAGAGAGTGTTTGTTTCCCACTATTTAACATTATTTATACCATGTATGTAGTGTCTGATATATGAGGGTTTGGCTGGGGATGGAAATCATGCATTTAAGAATATCAATTGCCACTGTTGAGTTTCTATCTCCAGAAATGCTATCAGTCTGGGCATAGGATTGGACTAGGTGAATAGATCTTTAGACATAGTTTTGCTAGATAGGTCCAATAAAAGAATAAAAGAACAAAGAAGCTGAGCTGCCATTGGCAAATGATGGAACACAGCTAAAAAAGGAAGAGGTAAAATTGAGAGGAAGTTAATAGGGTTAGTTGGAAGACTTCAAACTCGGCACCAAAGTCCTCAAAAAAGGAGGGAGAATAACCAAGAGTTTGGTAAAGACCAGCAAGAGGGAAGAGAGAGAGGGTGGCACAGCAAAATAGAACTTTAAAAGAGAATTTGGCACAGGATGAAAAATAAAGCAGCACTAGGGATCTCTCTTCCTCCTCCATACCTCTTCACAGTGGCTTTTCCAATTTTTTCTACTCTTAAGTTCTCTAATTCCTCTACCTTCTTCCAAAAAGAAATGGAGACCATCCAGTAGGAATCCCTTAACCTTTTTACTATCATACATAATTCACTGATCCTAGCTTCTAGTTGTAAGGAAAAGAGGTATGAACTTATGAGGAGCCCTCCTGAGAGGCTGCAGGAAGAAGGATGGCCTCAGGCACAGCTCAATCTTCACCTAAGGCTCAAACCAAAAAGCTGGAGTTTGTCTACTGGTTTGTTTCCTATGTTGCAGAGGAGAGAAAAGTCTCCCTTGTCCCCTTGGGTTCACAGAGAAGTAGAAGAGCAAGGGAATGAGAGAACAGAAATAGATGGATGATCAAAGAGCTTTAGCTGTTGAGTAGGAACCAAGAATGGACGTGAGGTACAGTGGAATGTTCCCAAAAATGCCAGTCCCAGCAGCCTTGGGCTGGAATGATAGTATTTCCAAAAGAACCCTCCAATAGAAAATACCTGCAATCCAGGTGCATGGTGGGACCTATGCCTCATTTAGAAGTTACCTAGATCTGTGGATTCCAAGAGACCCTTCTACCAACTGAGGAGGAAGACAAGAAAATGAATTAGATCCCATCAACCTCACGAAGTGTTCGGAAACTGCAACATTTTCTGGGTCATAGAAAAATACAGCATGGGTGATAACGTTCCCCAAATATTCCTTTCACTCCTCTTCACTGCAACCCTTACAGTCAGGTATACATGACTAATGTGAGTCCATGAAATGTGAGAGGAAGCAATGTGTGTCACTTTTGGGCTGAGGTAGTAAAAGACCCAAATGGAATTCCCCATTTTCCCTCCTTCCCTGAAATGGAGATTAAAGAGGGAGTGTTTCCAGATAATGTACATACAAGATGGTGGTTCTTCAATCTGACTCCCCAAGTGATTAAATGGAGCAGAGGCCTCAACCAGCTGAAGATGGATACAGAGAATAAGAATAAGAAATAAACCTCAGTAGAATTAAGTGGCTCTAATTTCACAGCTATTTGTTTTTGCAGCATAGCCTAGGCTACAGTTAGTAAATGTAGAAAACTTCCATGTTGGCCAAGAAAATCAAAGCTGTGACAGCTAACAAGAGTGGATGGTGTGGAAAAAAGGACAGAGAACACAGTTTACAGTTTCAAAGAGCCCATTCCTAGAAAATCACACCTCAAATAACAGGTGGATTAAGGATCTCTTTCCCAGAAAGCCAGAGGGTCAAAACAGCAGCTTAAGAGCCCCCAGGAACACTGTAGCATGCCCTAAATAACTCACCAAAAAAAAAAAAAAAAAATCAAAAAAAAAAAATTCATTCATATTTAAACATCTTGTCAAATGCCAGCCCATTTTCTGGCACAAACAAGGAAGCAGTACTCAGTGATACTATCTGTCCAAGATCAAGTGCACTCAAACCATCATTTTCTTGTCTGAGTAGCTTGGGCTACCGCTCAACCAATAATACATCATAATGTTCTTAATTTTCTAAACTGACAAGGCTATATAATAAAAGGTACAAAATGTACATAACCACTCATCATAGGTAAGTGGCAGGTTTTCTTTCAGTAAAGAATTTAAATACTATAATACTTCAAGAGTCAAGCTAGACTTACTTTCTAGGTTTTATATTAATGTTAATTGAGAACTTTCATAATTACTTCCTATATAAAGATGAGAATTATCTGACTTTGAATTTCTATCAAATTAGTATATATTTTAAGCCATATATGTGAGTTTGAAACCTACATCAATAATACCATGTAAGTTCTAAATGAATTGTAGAATATTGTCCAAAAAATTAAAATATTTACATATCATTATCCCCACCACATGCATTGGAAGGAGTTTGTTCATTATGACATATTCTGGTATATTTCCCAGTGAATCTCTATCTCTTGTGAAGTTTCTTCTTATGCAATGCCTGCTCACCAGGGATCTGTGAGGTTCATGATAGAAATACTAACAGCAGTTACTGAAGTCTGAGCTGACTTGTGTTGCAGATGCTGTGTGTCAGAGTGAAGTATTCTTATACAGTAAGTACATTTACTTACTTAAGTCCAACTGTTCCCTGGTTTTCCAAGGTCAAGGAAAAAAATGAGTTATAAAATGGAAATAGAAAAACTCTCTCTGGTCGGCTTTGTGGTTATTGTACCAATATCTATTTCTTAGAAATTTTCCTGCTAGCCAGGTACAGTGGCTCACACCTATAATCTAGAGCTTTGGGAAGCCAAGGTAGGAAGATCCCCTGAGCCTAGAACTTCCAGACAAGCCTGGGCAACACAGCAAGACATCATCTCTACATAAATTAAAACACAGCCAGTATGGTGGCACACATCTGTAGTCCCAGCTACTTGAGAGATTGAGGTGTCCCACCTCAATCATCATTTGAGCCCAGGAGGTGGATGCTACAAGGAGACAAGATTGTACTTGATATGGTTTGGCTGTGTCCCTATACAAATCTCATCTTGAATTTCCACGTGCTGTGAGAGGGACCCTGTGGGAGGTAATTGAATCATGGGGGCAGTTCCTTCTGGTGCTGCTTTCGTGACAGTGAGTAACTCTCAAGAGATCTGATAGTTATTATACGGGGGAGTTTTCCTGCACAAGCCTCTTTGCCTACTGCCATCTATGTAAGATGTGACTTACTCCTCCTTGCCTTCTGCCATGACTGTGAGGCTTCCCTAGCCACGTGAAACTGTAAGTTCAGTTAAACCTCTTTCTTTTGTAAACTGCCCAGTCTGGGGTGGACTTTATCAACAGTGTGAAAACAGACTACTACAGTAAATTGGCACCAGTAGAGAGTGGGGGTTGCTGAAAAGATACCCAAAAATGTGGAAGCGACTTTGAAACTGGGTAACAGGCAGAGGCTGGAACGGTTTGGAGGGCTCAGAAGACAGAAAAATGTGGGAAAGTTTGGAACTTCCTAGAGACTTGTTGAATGGCTTTGACCAAAAACCTGATAGCAATATGGACAATAAAGTCCAGGCTAAGGTGGTCTGAGATGGAGATGAGAAACTTGTTGGGGACTGGAGCGAAGGTGACTCGTTACGTTTTAGCAAAGAGACTGGCAGCATTTTGCCCCTGCCCTAAAGATTTGTGGAACTTTAAACTTGAGAGAGATGATTTAGGGTATCTGGTGGAAGAAATTTCTAAGCAGCAAAGCATTCAAGATGTGACCTGGGTACTGTTAAAGGCATTCAGTTTTATAAGGGAAGCAGAGCATAAAAGTTCAGAAAATTTGCTGCCTGACAATGTGATAGAAAAGAAAAACCCATTTTCTGAGGAGAAATTCAAGCTGGCTGCAGAAATTTGCATAAGTAACTAGAAGCCGAATGTTAATCCCCAAGACAATGGGGAAAATGTCTCCAGGGCATGTCAAAGGTCTTCACGGCAGCCCCTCCCATCACAGGCCCAGAAGCCTAGGAGAAAATGGTTTCATGGTCTAGGCCCAGGGTCTCCATGCCGTGTGCAGCCTAGGGACTCCATGCCCTGCGTCCCAGCCACTGCAACCCTGACTGAAAGGACCCAAGGTATAGCTCAGGCTGTTGCTTCAGAGGGTGGAAGCTCCAAGCCTTGGCAGCTTCCATCTAGTGTTGAGCCTGCAGGTGCACAGAAGTCAAGAACTGAGGTTTGGAAACCTCTCTCTAGATTTTAGAGGATGTATGGAAATGCCTGGATGCCCAGGCAAAAGTATGCTGTAGGGGGCAGGGCCCTCATGGAGAACCTCTGCTAGGGCAGTGTGGAAGGGAAATGTGGGGTCAGAGCCCCCACACAGAGTCCTTACTGGGGCACCGCGTAGTGGAGTTGTGAGAAGTGGGCCACTGTCCTCCAGACCCCAGAATGGTAGATCCACTGACAGCTTGCACCATGTGCCTGGAAAAGCTGTGCAGACACTAAACACCAGCCTGTGAAAGCAGCCAGGAGGGGGCTACACCCTACAAAGTCACAGGGGTGGAGCTGCCCAAGACCATGGGAACCCACTTCTTGCCTTAGTGTAACCTCGATGTGAGACATGGAGTCAAAGGAGATCATTTTGGAGCTTTAAGATTTAACTGTCCTGCTGAATTTTGGACTTGCAGGGGGCCTGTAGCCCCTCTGTTTTGGCCAATGTCTCCCATTTGGAATGACTGCATCTATTCAACGCCTGTATCCGCAATGCATCTAGGAAGTAACTAACTTGCTTTTGATTTTACAGGCTCACAGGTGGAAGGGACTTTCCATGTCTTGGATGAGACTTTGGACTGGACTTTTGAGTTAATGCTGAAATGAGTTAAGACTTTGGGGGACTGTTGGGAAGGCATGATTGGTTTTGAAATGTGAGGACATGAGATTTGGGAGGGGCCCAGGGCAGAATGGTTTGGCTGTGTCCCTACCCAAATCTCATCTTGAATTTCCATGTGTTGTGGGAGGGACCCAGTGGGAAGTAATTGAATCATGGGGGCAGGTCTTTCCCATGCTGTTCTTGTGAGAGTAAGTTTCAAGAGGGGAGTTTTGCTGCACAAGCTCTCTTTGCCTGCTGCCATCCATGTAAGATGTGACTTGCTCCTCCTTGCCTTCTGCCATGATTGTGAGGCTTCCCAGGCCACATGGAACTGTAAGTCCAATTAAACCTCTTTCTTTTGTAAATTGCCCAGTCATGGGTATGTCTTTATCAGCAGCATGAAAACAGACTAAGACAGTACTCCAGCTTGGGCTACAGAAAGAGACCCTATCTCTATAAAAATAAAATGAAAAATGTTCCTGCTATTCAATACTATATCATATCTTCCTCAGGATAGTTCATTTGGGAATTGCTAAGTTTACTCCTGACTCTAGAGATGGGACATGGAATTTACACCTAAAATATCAGCTTCTGAAAGGATGTTCCCCCTCTGGATATGGAAAAGGAAGAACTGCAGGAGTTGTATGCAGCTGCCTTGCAATCCCGTGGGAAACAATGCTAGCTCACAGGAAAGCAAAAGCTGACTGTTGAAAAGAAACCAAGTCCTTGAAGACATTGTTAGGCCCCAAACCAATCAACCCAGAAACCCATTTACCACTGAATCTACAGTTAAATAAGCAAGAAAATCCCCTTTTATTTAATCCAGTCTGAGTTGGGTATTCTGTCATTAGCAAATGAAGGCATCCTGACATGTGGGAATGTCAAGACATACAAGCTCTTGTGCAGTTTTCCATGCATGGGGACAGTGCCCTGGCATTCCAGAAATCCTGGCTTACTTATCACCACTCTCTAATCAACTGCAAATAACATTTTAAAACTAAATGCAAAGAGAATGATCAGGAATATCATAAAATCTGCATTTCTTTAAAAAAAACAAAAAAGGAGCTTTACAGTGAAGTAGTCTCAAGCAACTGTTTTCTAAGTGGGACGGCTGAAGCAAGAGACCTTAAATCACTTGACTGTCTCCACGAAACAGAACTGAAGCAGAACCAAAAGTCCCCTGATAGCCTTTCAAGCACACCACCTACAAATACACCGTAATCCCTCATACCCCACATGCCACTTCAGGGAAAGGGACATGAGGCAGGAATACAAATATATACCATCTGTGACACTTTCTAAGCTCCTGACTTCAGAGTAGCCATCCTGATAATTATTTTTTAAAGTCCACGTATAAATATGCAAGTTAAGTGAGTTATAGAAATCATTCCAGATACTGGTTCACCAGTAACATCAGTTTAGCCCTAAATATTGTCATAAGTTCTCTGACAGGCTCATGTGATTTAAGCTGGTGCTCTGTCAAGACTAGACTTAGGCATTTTATCCTTTTTATGACATTATGTATGTTGAAGAGAATATATGAATATATTTTATATATATGAATATATATAAAACCTTCATTATCACATTATTCTCAATCCAGCATTTTTTCAGCCCCTGATTTCATATTAGTTCAGCATTCTTATATCTTTACAGATTTTCATCTAAGACTGCATTTTTATTGTTTTATATAATCAGCCCCCCTAAGATCAACATGTCCACATTTTTTGGCAAAGACAAAGGCTACTGATTTCAGGACCATTATTTTCCTTTTTCAAAAGCACAAACCCAAACTGAGAAATAAATCAAGAGAAATTCTCCTCTTTTCTATGCTAATTTAGAAGTCGAGTCTTTATTTCTTTTCAAACCCAAAGAGAATCAGACATACAATATGAATTTATCTACTTTCACTTGCTCAGACTGAGAAGAAAGATTAATATTTTCAGGCTGTTAGTCAAAACTGTTCATTCAAATATTATTTAATAAAATCCAAGAACCAGCTAAAAAGCCACTTAAGCTAAGAAACCTTCACCAGCCTCATAGGAAATTGTGTACAGTTTTATATGAGAATAGCCTATAAATGCTTACGAAAATGTCTAAGTTCATATCTTGGTAACTAACATTTTAATTCAATCTGCAGAATAATATATGCTTCTTTAGTGCTAAGATATGAATATTAGAGGCTTTCTTTCTTAAAATTTCTACTTAGCTATATTTTCACAAATAACTATATAATGTTAAAATTCTGCATGTGGCATAAAACATATTTTAACGGAGAAGGTAATGTGTAGGGAGTTTATTTCTGTTTGCTATTAGAACTTGTGTTTATTCTTGGTTAAAAAACTGCACTGATTACAATATAGAAAAAAACAAAAGTGTGTTGAATATCTCTTACAGTAGAAGATAAAGAGTAGTTCTAAATTTAGAAAGGAAAAATAACTACACACTGTGAAAATATGTGTCAGTGAGATGTTAATCAAAGATCAACTATTGCTGAGACCGGCAATATTAAATCCCTGCACAATTACTCATATTATAATGAGAATTTTAAAAAGAAAATATGAACACATAATGAAGGCAGAAGTCACTCTCATCCTTCATCTTTGTATTCCCAATTCAGGAAGCTGGTATAGTGTCTTCATTATAATTACTATTCAACAAACATTTGTAAAATGAATGAATAAGGAATGAATGATGAGAAAAACATCTCCCTGTCTCCTGGGAGTTAACTGCACTACTTTCTTTTAAATTTAATTAATCCTCAATGTCCTTGTCAAATAGCCAAAGGGAAAATGTATTTACATTACTCTGAATATTGATGGAATCTACAAAAAGGGTTAAACAACTTCCTCAAAGTAAATAAAATGTTCACAATCCAGCTAGGATAAAAGGATTTAAATCATTTCCTAGGTAGAGGGCTTCCAATTAGAGCCCCTGCTGCATTAACCATGGGAACTCATCTCACTCGCTTCATGATGGAGCCCTGAGTGTTGCTGCTAATCTGTACTCTACCATTCTAATGCTTTTAAGGTTCCTTTTCAGCCCTTCCTCCTCCTAATCCACAAATACCGAGACCAAGGCATTTTTTGGGTCAGTCCTAATTTCAAGCATTGTATCCTGCCCTCCCCAAATGTACTCACGCTTATTAGACCATATGTTCCTATATTAGTTCAGGAAGGGGGGAAAAAACGTTAATCACACTTGTATATAAGAGATCATAGAAAAACTGTTTACTAACCTGTGAAAATACCATTCATTCTCTGCTCACCTCTGGTCCACAGCTAAGCAATCAGTAGGATATAAATGTACCCTATCTTCACTATTCAGTACTCATAAGGATACTACTTATGAATTGGAAATCTGACACAACATTTACATGACCTAATTTTGAAAATTTAAAATAGTGTAAGGCCCCTAGGCTTAATTTTACAGGGGAAAGATTAAAGGGACACAAGCAAGCATATATTCTCTCTCTGTGCTGTGGGACACTGGTAATTTTTTTTTAACTTAAAATATTTGATACTTAAAATGTCAAACTTCTACATTTCTGCAGTAACAAGGTAGTTATCATATTGAATACCATTTCTTTCTCTCCAGTAAGTAGAGTTAATATTAGCACATGAACTGAAAATATTAAGTGATTTAAAAAAGTCCAAATGAATTCATTAAAATTTAGCTTGGCAAAATGTTACTTTCATGTTCTTGGTAGAAGTCCTTTTTATTTATAGTCAAATGAAATGAACAATTTACAAGCAAAGGAAATGGCATCAAATATTCGACACCCTGCCTCCCAAGGTGTATTGATTCACGCTTTTTGCTCAGATCTAGGTTTCTCCACTCAGGAAAAGTGGAGAATGTACTCATACTTGGGAAAACAAGTTTCCAATGGCACAGCTTTGATCAAACAGCAAAATTCTATCCATCTATGTATTGCCATCTGCCAATATGACAAATGGTCCCATGTGCAATATTTACACTGCATTGTAGCCAAACCTGTAAGTCAAAGGATATGAAATAATAGTAACTACACATTAAGCACATAAGAAAACGAAACAAACAAAAAGGTTTTAAACCAACCAAAAATATATCTTATTTTGGATGTTCTATACATTCCTACGTTCTCTCAGGTCTTTTGTGTCATCATGAACACAATTCTAACAAGCTTGATTATTTTATTTCCATTCACATATTACAAGCAACAAGCTGAAAAAGTAGAACAGGGTGTAGGGAGACAGGACAAAGTAGAGATGAGGGCTTGAAGTGCCCCTGACCAGTTGACAGCAACCACATGGAATAATGACTCATGTGCATTAATGATCACAATAAATGATATTTGCTTTTTTACCTAGTCCTTCAACTCACAGCTTAAAGAATTTCAGGTTGGAAGAAACCCTGTTCTGATTCTTGAGTCTCCTCTACAACTTCAGAGAGGACTTTCATTTTATTTTGGAGCAAATGCTCCACAACTAGTTGAAACTGGAATTACATTTTATATGAAGTTCCTAGATGATTTAAAGCTGTAAGAAGAATAATAATGAATCATAAGAAAACTTGCTGCTACAGATATCAAAAAGGAATGTTACCATCCCTCATGCTAATCCTTTTCATTTTAAATAAACAGGATCTAAAAAAAAATAATGCTTAGAAGTCCTAACCACATCAAGAATGCCTCAGATCAGTGACCCAAGGAACCTTCCAGAATGGATGAAATAGACCCAAAGCTGAATTCACCTAATTTTAGGGCCAAAAAATCCAAAAAACAAAACAAGGCCAAAAAAATCTTCAGATACTGGGAGAACAAATATCAATTGCTTAATTGTATCTTATGAAAACAATTTTTCAACATAAAACAAGAGATATTTAAGATTCATTAAGTTCTTGTCATTTAAAATTTTAAGAAAAATATTTTCTAATGGAATTACATATATTTGTATGATTCTTCTAGTTATATCCATGGTAATAAATACTATTTTTAGTTGGAAATAAAACCCATTTGTGCTGTATTACTAGGGAAAATATCTACATAAATTAGTTTTTAAGATAACTAAAGTCTATCTTTTGAATTCATAAGCATAAAATCTTAACCACTTGCAAAATTTCTAACACACTTAAGGTAGTCAGATGCCTTGTCAAGTAGGGTAACAAAAGTGATTTTCACCTGTTTGTTTTAATAACAGTGCATCGATTTTATGAAAATCAGGCATGCCCTTGGGTCCTAACAAAGTATACAAAGCTGAATGGATCTATGCCAAATATGCCAGATTTTACTTTCTTACTTGAGTCTGATTTTATACTTCTGTCCTCTTTCTTACCACATGGCTTCCAGCATCACTTACAAACTAACCCTTAAAAAGGAGAAGGCTAAGTTACCAACATTTGGAAGGCTTATGAAAGTGAAGCATACTTACAAGCCAGCAATGTTTTTATTTATGGAATGTGTGAGAACCATACACTTAAGCAAACTTTGGGGAATGAGAGTTGGGGAGAATCAACTCTTTTATTTGCTAATTGGTATTTCCTTTAAAAGATAGATTTCCTGCAGATTTTAACTGTGTTAACAGTTACTCTAGAAAAATTGGAGATTTGTGTGCATATATTTTATGTTGTAAACAGACACACACCCAGAGACACTGAGAGAGACAAATAGACAGTAAACAGAGGAGCACTAACCACAAACGGTTTACAAATGACCTCCGTACTCATTCACCCGTCTGTTCCCCACCTTGCCTTTTATAGCAACTATAGCAACAGCCATGAGAGTCATTGTGGAAAAAAATAAAATAAAATAAAAAAATCCTGGAAGCTTGTAAAGAACCTGAGCAAAGGGGAGGAAGTTGTGAAAAAAACGAATAAAGGGCACCGATCCAGAGTATTGAAGAAGGCAGAGTGGACAGCCTAGCAATGAGTATCTGGTACTCCAGTATCCTCTCCCACAGAATCTGTACAGCTTTCCATTTATGACAGTTTAAACTTAATTTAAATTATCAAACAGACACTTTCCTCAAACATATAAATCGTGAGGCAGTTCATTCAGGCTGTATGTATAAAGTTGTTCCAGCCACCTTTTTCTAACGGCTTCTCTATATGTTTTACATGGAGACAAAGAGAGATTTCCTTAGGACAATTTGACCGTAATTTAGAAGCAGGAAATGGGAAGTATTTGTATCTTCTTTGCCTAACTCACATTAGTTACTCAAGTAAGCATTTCTTCCGTTGTTGCATTTTCTTGATTACAAGTTTTATGTTTTCTCTAAAACACATATCAAAAGAAACTTCCTAAGCACTATGCAGGGGGAAGCCATGACATTTATCTGCCACTGTCAGCAGAAACATGAACTTAGCCCTCAACAGAATATTTCACTTCATTCTAGTGTCACCTCTGCATCACCTGCATTGGAGTCACCACTTGCCTGTTGGGTAAAACCAGGATGCGCCACTGAAATAAAAAGGGGTCAGACAATACAAGAAAAGCCAGTCGAAATTGCCAAATGTATCAGAATACACACAGGCTTTCTAAGGATATGGGAGGGTGGCCCAAGACAAAAGCTCTAGAGCCCACCCTGAAACAGGATTTTTGACTTCACAGAGAAATTATTTAATTTTCAATAACACAATTCAACTAAAGAAAGGGAAATACAAGGCTAAACAAATAAGAAATGGAGACAAAAACCCAACCTTTCAAATCTAAAGAAAATAATCTGTTTTAAAGACACAGGTGAAGATCAGGAACCCAAAACAGGAGAAAGGAAAAGCATTAACGCTGGCATCTGATAATAACGAAAAGTATGGAGTCTGGAGAATCGCTAGACTCTAAAAATTATAAAGGTTTAGACTTGGACTTTGTACACTGAAGAAAAGAAAACTGCATGCATTTATATTGATCAGTGTACACTATTGCTGCTTTTTAACTTTTGTGTATATGTAGGGTAGATTTTTTTTTTAAGTGAAAGCAAGTTTATTAAGAAAGTAAAGGAATAAAAAGGTGGCTTCTCCACAGGCAGAAAACCAGTGTAGTTTTTTATTAGAAATTGTTATTCAATAATAGTACATGTTACAAATAAATATCATTTTAAACTGAAAAAATTGTAGACTTTCAAATCAGTTAGGATGGTCACCCTACAAAAGGGCATTTTTTTCCCCCTTAGTCTCCTTGTTCATGTTGCTCACAACAAGAATTGGGCTAATGCTATGAATAGTAATAACAAACACTGACTTCTGTCAGGCCCTGTGCTGAACACTGTCTGCATATGTATAGGAAAGGGTTAACTCAGCAGGCCTTGTTTGCTCAGACTCTGTACATTTCCAAGAAAGGTCTGCCTTTAGGACTGGTCCTTGGCCAGCTCCTGGAGAATGAGCTCTCAGCTTTTAGAAAATTCTATCTGGTAAGAGTAGTTTTGCATGTCTCAGGTCTTGGGCCACAAAATATCAGTTTAATCCGATAGTTTATGTTAACAAGCGTGATTTATCGCAAACATAGATCTCTAATCTCCATTTCTCTCTCATATATCTATATTTATCTATCCATATATATGTACCTATATATATCAAATATGAAGATACATTTATAGCAATTGTATATCACAGAGAGACAGTATGAAGAGAGACATAGATATCCTTCATTTTAGAATGTTATCTTGGTATGTTTAAAAGGAAAAGCTTAAGATGTGTTGCAATTGTAGTATGAGTTTCAGGTATGTACATGTTATGTGTGTGTGACAGACACACACAAACACATTTCAAACATGTTTTATGTTTAAGCTCAATATTCAAACACAGAAATATAACATCAATTCTTAATATGTTTTATGTAAGTACTGCAGCAGCATTATTAAATATTGTATTTCTATGGTGATTGAAAATTAGTAGGCAGGGAATTTTTGTAATGGTTCTTAATAATTTTTGTAATAGTAAATAATTACTTTTTGTTTAGTATAGTTTTATAATCTATATATGAATAAAGTTGATATTTTTATTCATATAAAAATGTGATTTACTCTCATGTACTTATCTACATTCTAAAACCATAAGTTATCAATTTTAGTTCTGTGCCAAGGCACTTTTACTGAATAAAAATAATCAGCTAATTTTATATTTTCCTGATTCAAATGTATATGCCTGTATAATGTACAGGGTTTTTTTTTTTTAATTTCTGTAAATCAGAATATTCAGATGTTGAAAAAGTCTTTGCCTTCAGAAAGATACCTTTGAAATGTAGCATATCCCTAAATGCAACCCAGAGGCTGGCAATGTCAACATTTTTCTGTTTTAAAAAACCTCTTATGAAAACTATCGCCATACTAAATTTTTTACTTGCTGACGACTTACAGCTGGAAAGGATTCTGTACATGTAAGACATCAAATATTGAGGATACTGGAAATTTTAAATTAATGGCACAGAAAGTCAACAAAGGAAGTTCATATGAAATCAAACTAGCAATATGATTACAAAAAAAATAAGTTTAAAATTTTTCTTGGCCCCAGTCTCATCATTTCTGAGCCAAATACAATTCTCATTGAAATCACCTAACTGAAACTGAAATCACCATTCTAGGCTGGTTTTCCCATAACGATGGACTGCTCCAAAAAGAAAAATCAAGAAAGAATTTGTCTCACAGTGAATTATTCAAACTTTGTCTTAGTTAACTAAAAATAAAATCTGACTGTTAACTACAGAAATCATTTCAAATTCTGTGGTGATAATAAAGTAATGACCGCTTTTCAGCTGGAGGGACTAACTTTTTTTTTTTTTTTTTTGCTGCATATCTAGCTGTGATGCATTTTAATGAGAAATGATGACTGCATCAGCTTATATCCATGGAGCAGATTTTAGCATTCAGCTTAGGTCTCCCAGTCAATATCTACGAGTCTCTTCTTAAGGAGATCAATGACACAGATACATACAGACTAACAAATGTGATATCAACAATCAAGAATTCACTCCGTTAAGATTTTGCACACTGATTTCCACACAAGAAACCTAGAATTTACTAGATTCTTGTGCCTGTGAGGCTCCACTCGTTTTCCTGAATCACAAAAGCTACAGAGTATTTAGATAGAAATATACCTACTCTTAACATGAACCATTTTAAGTATATGTATTACTGTGTCCACAGGAGTACACTTTAAAGCAGGGACTTCACTCTTCAATCTCTCCAATCATCTGTTACCTAAAGTGGCATGTGGTTCCCTAAAGCTTAATAACTGACATTGCCTTAAAAAAGGGGTTTGCTTCCCGACTAATGTGGAAAAAGTCTGAGAAATGATTTTAAATCTTTCACTAAATTTCTCATTTGGTCACATGGAGGAAAATGATTTCACCAAATAGATACTCTCATTGATTTTTTAATGTAATTTATCAAAGAAATGAAATATTTAGACAAATTCCAGATTTCCCCCACCACGAGCTTCTCTGAAAGTACACTCCAACATAGACTGCTCACTAAGAAGCTCTACTGCAGTCAAAGTGACCGAATTTAAGAGGACATAATGAGTACTTCTGCTACACAGAATCATTATCCATCTCTAACACTTCCCTATGAGACGGAAGACGGACTTCTAATCAGGTACCAGAGAGGGCTCTGCCAACTTCAGGGCTTTGATGAATAAGAAAGGTTGAGAGCCCTTAACATAAATGAATTCAGTATAACTAGTGAGAGAGTGAGAGAACCAGAGAAATACACCCTCATGTAGAAAAGTTAGGGGCATGAAATGCCAAATGCCAGTTAACCAAAGCTTTCTTTGTCATAAAGCAACTTCTATAAAAATTGCTGAAAATAAATTCTTCCCGGCTCAATATGAATCAGTAATTTCCATTTCTATTACACTGTTGTTTACCCAAAAACTATTTTTAATGAATAAGACTCAGAGTTTGCCAAAGTGTTTTCCGCAAAACAACTGTTTTGAGATACTCCAGATCTGTAATCAAGTAAGTCTGAAAAACCCCAAATACTTCACTCACATCTTGGATATGCATAAAGCACACTAATATATAACATTCTAAAAAGCCAATCATTAAAACTGTTTTATATTGTTTAAGCATTTCCTAGACATATTTGGCTACAAATCTAATATCTAATTAAACAGTTTGGGAAATGCCATCACATAATGTAGGAATATTACTAGTCATTTAAGAAACTAGAAATATTTACTATATTCTAGGCAGTTGGCTAGGAGTTGGAGTTCTAGTCTCTAAACAAAATACTGACTTATTTCTGCGACTTTTTTTTTAATGTGACATCACTCTTTTAAGCAGCTCTGTGCTTAACAATTTTTTTTTCCTGGTTTGTTTTCCACTTTTGTCTGTACTTTATTCCTTCACAGATGTGAAAGGCTAACAAATGTAAACTAATTATATTAATCAGCCTCTGCCTTGGTTCTACACTTCAAATACAGTATATATTCTATCAACAATTCTTGGATAATAACAACCTGTACTTGTTTTTTAAACAATAAAACAGGCCGGGCGCCATGGCTGGCTCACGCCCGTAATCCCAACACTTTGGGAGGCCGAGGCGGGCAGATCACCTGAGGTCACCTGAGTTCGAGACCAACCTGGCCAATATGGTGAATTCCCGTCTCGACTAAGAATACAAAAAAATTAGCCGGCCGTGGTGGTGTGTGCCTGTAATCCCAGTTACTTGAGAGACTGAGACGGGAGAATCGTTTGAACCCGGGGGGCGGAGGTTGCAGCGAGCCAAGATCAGGCCACTGCACTCCAGCCTGGGCAACAAGAGCGAAAACTCCATCTCAAAAATAAAATAAACAATAAAACAATGATGAAAACACAAATAACTACAGCACTTCAGAGTTAGTTGACAAATCCACCTTTTCAATCTACATTTCAAAATGTTCAGAAAGACACCATCCTAGGGGAAGTCAACCAGCAGCAACCTCTCTGCTAATTTTTGTACACAGAAACTTGACCTGACTGCACAAAGGTTTCAATAGATGTCTCCCTCTAAAATTAATATTGAATGATTTGTCATCTTCCATTTAATACCAAGAGGGTATCAGCCACAAACTGAAATATCACTCATATGCAAATAAATAACATTCAAGACTTTTGTCATTGTGGTTATTAATCTTGTAATGGATGGACATAAATCTATTTACATTCTCATCCTATCCTCAAATTTCACTATCCTCTCCTCTTATTCTTACTTTGTTCTACTCATATTCTCACTCTATCCTCCTATGCGTAAAACGTTATGTATTCTAATGAACAGAGATGTCATTCGTGGGCAAGGAAAAAATACAATGAACTGCTCTTTGTGATAAAAACCATGATCTTGACACAGATGTTATCAATCAATAAACTTTACACAGCTTTACACTAAATTAATACAAACTGTTGATGAGTGGGCGGGGGGTGGTCACTAAGCAAACAGAAGCATGTAGATGTTAGGAAGCATGAGAAACATGTATCAGTGGATAGGGAAGGCAGCTCTCAAAGGCCAAGAATGTTAAGTTTCAGGTCTATATGGAAAAAGCTGTGGTCACATTTGAAGGCTTCTGAACAGATGAATGATTAATTTCATGCTTAAAGAGTTCAGGTGTAAATAAACTGGATGGATAAGAAACTCAAAATCAAGAATTTTAAGACACTAGGTTAAGGCGATTGATCTAAGTCAAAGCCAACAGGGCATGGGCTAAATGTTGACATGGGATGGGATGAAGAGGCCAACAGTGTTTCAAAGTAGAGGTTGGCAGAGCTTCAGGAACCAGAAGAGGAAGACTTGAGGTGAAATCTGAAACTGTAATCCCCATACCGGGCTCAAAAGATGTGATACTGACTAGGAAAAGGCTGGAGACAGAAGCTTCTTTTAAAGAGCTAAGAAGGGATTGTTTTAATGTGCTGGGGTTGAGGTGAAAATGACAAATACTCAGGTGGAAGTGTCCACCATTCAAGTAGGATAAATTGGAACAGAAAGCCCAACTTATGTCATGGTGAAATGAGGATAGTAAGTCTTGTTAATAAAAACACATCTTACTAGTCTTTCCTGGGGAACACGAAAGATGGAATTTCAGAAATTTAGAGAATGAAAAAGGAAAGATTACAAGGCAATAAGTTGATTAAAATAGACTAAAATAATCAGTGGCAGCTATCTTAAAGCAAGATATATCTTCTACAGCACAATCTACCCAAATGCAAATCTGGGCAGATAATTACAAAATATTTTTAGGATTGATAAAATTTCAGCTATATGTCTTTTTAAAAATGCTGCAGAGAGAAATGATGGGAAATTTACATGGATTTGCCAAATGTTTGCATAAGGATTCCACAGCCAACGTACATAATTTTCCAACTATTATGGTTAGCACTGGGCTCAGGCACTACCTTTGCCAACCAGCAGATTTTCAGTATTGCCCCTGGCAGACATCCCATTAGCAATCTCTCCCCATTCCCAAACATTCCCAACTATTCTAGCCATGCCAATTCAACCAATGTCCCTTAAGTCTTACATAAACATTGACTTACACTGAAATGTATCCTATGGCTCTTACTAACTGTAACTTACTTAAATCACCCAAGCCTCTGTTTTTCCTGCTATAAAACGTAAAACAGCTGACAAAATACTTATTTGTGTTTTTTGGAAACACGGGATAAAGCAAGGCAAGCAAAGAGAACAGCAGAGACGATGCTTAATAAATATCACTATAGGATCACCTTAATCCATGAAGAAAATGGAGTTTAAATTTTAATACAAAAAAACTCAATAAAGTTATACTTATGTTAAATTGGTGGTTATTTTAGGTCAGTGGTTTTAAAACTCAACAATGAAACTGTTTTCAAAAAGAGTTGTTATACAGAACAGAAAAAAGCAGCTGCAATTTTAAAAAAGATATGAAGACCCAGATTCTCACTAACTCATTCAGCTCCCTTCACACTCCCTCCCCACAGCCACCCCAGCTCCTGAGGCAGGTTCCCAGGACTCCAAGGAACACACTTTTAAAAAATCAATATTTTGAATATATAATAAGTGATATAACATAAAAGTATGGTGAGAAAGTCCCATTGCCAAGAGAAATATGTTAATTTTTTATTTAAAAAATCATCACTGTTTTCATTGTGACATCTTGAAGAACACTGAATGGCTTCAAAGTAACTGTATATGCCAAGATTTCTGGAGTGGGCACGTCTGATCTTTCATAATGAAAATTGACAAACCTTTTTAAGGGGATAGCATTGCTTCTTCACCCTCCCCCTCCTCACCCCTGCACACACATACACTTCTCCTTTCTGGGGAACTCCAAAGAAAACAAAGGCCCTTTAGCAATCAAGTAGATTGTCTCTCCTGATGGCATCCCATGAGTTATGGAATTACACACTGCGGGCCCAGGTGGATTAGGGCCCCTAGAAAGTTTGCTTGATCAACAGAGTGCTGTTGATTTTTTCAACTGAATTAATTACCCTTGGAGTCCAAACTCTCCACTGTGTCACAGTCCTCATCACGCCCTAGTATCTTAAATATTGCATTATCTGTCCCCTAAAAGTATTTGCACATGTGACCCAGAGAAGTGGACTTATAACTTGACTAGGCAACTTCTGTCACACTGGATTCGTATGAAATTCCACTGCAAGTGACATCACCAGATTGGGGACCCTGAAGTGTCTGAGTATCTTCTCCACATCTGGTCATTTAGGCCAGGAAATTCCTTCTTGTCTGCCAGGTCTTTTAGCATTCATTTTGTAAGTCATTCAACACCTACTTACTTAGAAGAATACTGGGCTAGACAGTGTGCTAGGGGCTGGGGAAACTGCAACGCATAGGAGAGAATTCCCATCTCCAAGAGGCTCACAGTCAAACAGACATAAATGGGCGATTACAATATACTGTAACGACATGGTTTTAGAAACACCTAGCAGAATCATACAGACGAAGATGCCAGGAAAGGCTTCTCAGAGAATCTGGCTTAGCAAATATCTTAACAAAGAGGGCTGAGCAGGGATGAGCCAAAGGAGAGGATGGAAAGCAGGTTGTGGGTGAGTTTTCCAGGCAGCATGTGCAAAGGCTCAGGAGAAAGAGGAAGGAGCCTGTGCTTTAAGGAATATTCCATTACTATTATTAGTGTCACGCGTGCTATTTATCTAGACGGAAGCTCCTGAAACAAAAAGGATACACTTCAAAAGATGCCAATATATCCATGACCACACAAAAGAGTGTCCAGTCATATAATAAAGGGTGTACATATGCAGGCAACACACATCCTGCCAAATATTAAATTTCTAATTTTATTATAATTTCTAATAAAACATTAGCTTTATTATTATACAGAGTCATACTCCTTAATTGGGAAACTCTCAACTTAATAAACATTCTTTAGTCTCATGTCTTTTCTAAAGGAAAGAAATTAATGTTATATTCTTGGGTGAAAAAAATGTGAGGTCTCAAAAGAGTATTAATACAATTTGGGGATGCATATATATTTTATATGTATATAGACACATAAAAATCTAAAAGAATAAATTTTAATATGTTAACAGAAGACAGAAGTCATGTATTTTTTACTTTCTTCTTTTTGGCGTATTTCTTCTTCTAACTTTTTTTTTATTTTTTTTTTTTACAAAACACAATTCTTATTTGTGTACTTTTAAAACCTCAGAGTTATACTTTCACAATACATTCCTGGCTGAAAGTTCACACTCGGAATTCCAGAGCAGTCCATGGCCAGGCCCACTGGGCTCCACTTGCTCTCTCCTTGGCTTTGGTAACCACTGGCCCCAGGGACTCAGCCTGCTTTCCTATCCATCCCCTCAGTAGCTGTCACCATGCAGGTTACCCCTTCTGTTCCTTCTACCACTAACTCCATGTCTGACTGCAAGTGAAAGGAACAGAAGCCCAAACCTTTGGGTTTTAAGGAGTTTATTGCTAATCAGTAAAACAGAAAGAGACAGAAGATAAGTATGACAAAGTATAGGGAAGAAATGACTTTTGCCTAAACTTCCAAATTGTGTACAATTGAAGCCTCTGCTTTATAGTTCTTAGCACACCTCTCAAATAAGAAGGCAGTACTGGGAAGGCTCTGAACCTGTGGCAGAACCACTGATAGCTGTGGAGCTATTCCAAGGAGTCTGGGAATCAGGGGGATTATCAAGATCATTGCTAGAATAAATTAATCTTACCGTATATATAGCACAAGTTTTCAAGCATATGTAAATGCTACTTATAACCAAATAATTACACCTTGTTTTTCTTTAAACTGTAACTCTCAATTATGTCTCTACATAATTTTTTGATGGTAAAGTGTCTGCATGCTCAAAAAGCTTGAAAACACTAATGGAGAAGAAGGAGGTCTCAGGAGTGTGATGGAACAGGTTTACATGGCAGCTTCAACATTTAATTGATGAAAGTGACTATGTGTCTTAAACTCTCTGAGCCTCAGTTTGCACATCCAAAAGCAAGGATATAATTCCATGAACCTTTCCACCTCAAGTCCACAAGGCAGAATAGCAAGATGTTAACTGCCACTCTGAGGACCACCAAATAAAAGGACAATTTATTAGGCCACTTGCCAGCATGGACACAATCGCCTCTTGGCATTTCTTATTATCCACAGAAAAATTAAAAGTATAAATGTAGAACAAAATTATTATTTTTTTTTAATAGTAACATGTAAGATCAATCTTTGTCTTTAAAATACCATGTATCTCATTCTTGGAAAGCATCAAAAAGAAAACGGTATAGTAAGTTTTATCTACAACTTGAATTAAAATTATTCTTGAAATATGTTCTTAATGGTTAGATGAAATGGTAGTTAAATACAAATAGAGATAATCATATACTCTCTCTCCATAAGGCTCCCACCTCCTTCAATAAAGTCTAGTTCACCTAAAATGATACTATTAATTCAATATTACAAGTTGATAAGCACATTAAATCAAAACACAGCAAGATTATTTTAAGAGTCTGACTGAAATGTCAGGATAAGAAATAGATTAATAAATATTGGTTTATAATGTCGGTAATGAAAACAAATACGTTATTTTCAGAAAATAAAAGGTATTCGCCATTAGGTACAAATCATAAAGGGATTATCTACGGTTACTACACTGTAACAACTTTTTACATATTGTATTTTAGAACAAGCTTTTGAGAAGACAAAGCAACACATCAGCAGTTTAACCAATTGTCTTTCTCTTTTAACAGGCTGGTCTACATTAGATTAGATATAAAAGGCTCAGGTACACTTGTGCTCGATCTTAGCCAAATGGCTGAGAAACAGCCAGGTACATTTAAATCAGTGACAAAAGAAAACACTATCCTTTAATAAAATTACATAAAATAGGAAACATCTCTTACTTTAAGAGCAACCATGGTACTTCTTCCTATGGTGAAAACTGATGTTATCTCGCTTAATTATTCATCCCAACACCTGGCCTTGCTCCCTTTTCCACCTCTAGCTATGTTAACACTAGAGTCCAATAATTTGCTGATAAAGAATCTTAACTGCAGTATCTAACAGATCTTAGTGATTAAGCATATGATTTACCCTTTGATTGTACAGATAAGTAAACTGAGGCCAAAAGAACTGAGGTATCTTATTAAAAATCAGAAAGCTAGTTACTTGAAAAGCCCACCTGTCCTTCCTGTCCACATGTCTCACCAGAAAAACAGCAATAGTGAAAAGTCAACTCTGTTTTTAATGGGCCACTTTGTATATTTTAACTGTTAAAATAATCCAAGAGGATATTAGTCATATACGAAGATCCTTTAGATATAATGTGTAGGACCAGCGTTAATTTAATCAACCAAGTCTCCTCTCATTGAATTATTAATTCATAATTACAAAGATGACATTACAGTAAATTAAGAAATACTGTAATTTCATTCTCTCCCAAAAAGTATACACTTAAGTTTGGTGATTCACTGTTATATTTTCAACTAGTAAATCAATGTGCTAATTCTGGGGCTTAGGTATATTGCATATACTGGAATGATATTCACTTTAAATGTTTTGAGATGTATAATGTAATACAGATCCTACGTGTTTTTAAAAGTTCACATCAATTTCAAGCTTTTAAAAATGTATGTACACAAGAAAGCTTCTTTTGCAATTTATATGTTTATAAATGTTTCCATTAGCTAAGATATATTTTGGAATGTGATCAAACAATATTGAATGTCAAGTCCTAACAGCAGGGCTGGTCTAAGGAATTCCCTCTAAGCTAAATCTGGTACTTCTCATATGTGGCTACTGCTCTTTTAAACTACTGTGTCCCTAAAGGGCTAAAAGGAAGAAAATCCTAACTCAACAAGTGAAGGTAGCAAGGCATAGTATTTGAATGGCTACCTTTCATTTTAACTCTACTTCCTAAATTCAAAATTGGATTTGGGTTTGTTTCAAGTTGTTCACAATTTACTAACGAAATGTGCATCTCTCATTCTTCCCCCAAAAGAAAGAAGTCATCCACTCCAGCTACATATAAGTCTCCAATTTCTATACGTGAAAACCGAAATACCACTCATTGAAAAAAAAATGTACAGAGAATTGGCAGGCTGCATGTTTATGTAAACCTTCAGAAAACATGGAAACACGCAGCCCCAACTCACCAGGAAAATCAACACTTCTGATCAAACTATTTTGTGACATTTTATGTCTTTTATACATTTCACTTCATATCCAGTATTCCAGTTTTGCACCGGCGTGCCTGTATCAACCCCAAATCGCCTGAGAGCAATCTAGTACTGTAGCAGAACAGTTTCAACATGAAGAGTTCTGCTCATTGCCTGTGGCGTGGTCCTCGAAACACCTGAATCAAACATTGATTCCCCTCCTCCTGCTATTTAAAACCGAGGGACGTCAGGCTTGGGTAGCAGGTAAAGAAAAGCCACAATAATCAAACAAACAAGCAACCAAAATACCCGAACACGGAACACGCTAAGAACAAAGGAAACACAAGAGTGTGAACAGGAAATGAAGCAACTCTATACACATAAATACCTTCTGGGGCCGCCAACGTAGGTAAAAGTAAAGGTGGAGTCAGAGTATCTGAAATCTGAAACAGAAAGTCCCGTCAAAAGCTACCCCTGGAGTGGATTTGTTTTAACCCCGATCAGGACTTGAGCCCCACATTCGGTGGTGTCAGGGGAGGCCTGGCCGGGCAGAAGGCAAGGGCTAGAGGGCGGCGAGGTCCCTCTGCGCCGCGTCCGAGGGGATGCGGCGCGCCCCCGACTGGGTGCAGCGGGAGGCCGCCCCCCGCAACAAGTGCCGGGTGCCATGGCAACAGCGGGAATTTCCCGATAGGGGAGGCCGGAAGCAGCCTCAGCCGGGCTCGCGGTAGCGAAAGCAAAATCCCGGGGGAGCAAAATGGACGAAAGGCGACCCCCAGGCAGGGGCGCTGGGTGCCTTGGGAATCCGAGGAATCCCTTCTCTTTGCCAGTCGGAGGGGACTAGAGGGAGCCGAAGGGGCCGGAGATGGGCCGAGCGCTGCCCCCCGGGGGTCCTCGGCGCCGGGCGCAGCTTACAAGCGCAGCGCAGCGCAGCAGGCTCCATTCCCGGCCGCCGCCGCTCAGCCCATTGCGCAAACCAACCCCGCTCTGCCGCCGCTGCTGGAACCCAGGAAGCGTGCTTGGAGGCTTCGGGCACTACGCGGGGCTGGAAATACCACGCACTGCCCCTTCGCCTAGACCCCCGCTCCGGCCACGCGGGCTCTGCCCTCAAAGCTGGTGGCTGCCTCAGACTTGGCGGTGGGGGAGGGGAAGGGGAGAGGCTGGCGCCCCCTCCCCCTTTTGGCTCCCGCGCTCGTTGCAGCAGCTGTTGCCAAATGAACCCCAGAATGGGGACGTGCAACCCTCCACCCCACCCCCAGCCACAGACGTCGCGGTCAGAAAACTGGGAAGGGGGCGCTGGGTCCGAGGTTCTGGAAAAGCAAGAACTCACCTGCAAACAGGCAGTCCTTCTCAGCTCTGGACTTCTGGATCACGACGTCGATATCCTTCTGAATTCGCTCTTGCCTTGAACACATCCCCATTAAATAAATCCCTGGAAAAGAAGCAGCCGCTATTTCCACCCCACCCCACCCCCCTCGCACGCTTCCAGCTTTCGTAAATATTCAGTTAAAAATGAAACCTCTGGCCGAGGCAGGGGCTGAAGGCGAAGTGGTTTCGGAAGTGATCCTGGGTGAGAGAAGAGGAGGAGGAGGAGGGGGAGGAGGAGGAGGAGGGGGAGGTCGGCTTTGCATTCCCAGATGTGACCGCCCAGCTGCTGCTCGCCGCTGCTGGATTCCAATTTCCTCCCCTTCTGACAATGGATGGTGATGACACCAAGTCTCACTTTCTCCCTCACCCGCCCGGACCAACGGCCGTGGGGGCCGAGGTGCCGGGGACAGCCAGAGAGCAATCACCGGCTGGGCGGCGGGCGCCGGCGAGGGGCGAGCCCCGCTCCGGCTCACGCGCGCACACCCCTCACGGCTCGCACGCCGGCCTTCCACACCCGCGCACACTCGCGCCCGCGGGCGGCGGCAGCCGTGCCCAGGCTGCTGCAGCGCCGCCCGCCCGCCGCAGACCCTCCGCGCCCGCCGCCTAGTCACCCCGCCGGCCGCGGGCTGCCGGGGCTCGCAGAGTATTAGCCATCCCGGGCGGGAGCCGCTTCTCCCCACACCGACCTCCACTCGCGCCGGGAGCTGAGCGGTCGTGAAGACTCCCTGGGGCTCCCAGCCTTCCCTCTCCGCGCCCCTCCCCCCATCACTTTTATGAATTCGACTCCACTTTCTAAAGGAATTATAGTCTTGTGGCAAACCCAAACCGGAGTGGCTGGGAGGGGGAAAAGGGGGGAAAAGAAAATCTTTAAAAATTAAAAAAATAATAAAACGAACAAATCTTTCCTTATTGCCACATCACATAACACGGAAAAGGCCTTAAAATTACTCCAGACGTGCACCCTCCCCTTCCCTCAGTGCCTGAGTCTTTTTCCTCCAGATCGAAGTAGTTCAGCCCTTTTGGGGCGCCGTTTACGAAACACAGCCCCTTTTGAGGGACTTCCTCCTCTTGAAACTCACCAGTTCTCCCTTCCTAGGTGTTTCTGTTCATGAGAAATGGTCAGAATCAACTGGCACGTTCCAGGGTCTTCCTAAAAGATGGAAACCTGTTTGGCTTGATTTTTAAAACCACCTCCTTTGACAGTCAAGGGAAAGCTACAATCCAGGTGTTCAGAAATGAGATACTGCTCTGATTCTCACTTTCTGTTCTGCCTAAGGACACCCCAGGCTGACGTAGCTGCCCCACCTCTATATTGGTTTATGCCCTAGGAGAGGTCTCCAGCAGGCACTTTTCTTGTTGATCTTTTCTCCACTGAGAAGGCTCCCGCCAGTAGACCATGACTCCTTTTGCTTTGCATACTCAGTGCCATGTACAGTGCCTGGAATACAGGAGGGTGGCCTAAATGTTGGCTGAATGCACGAATGGTCATTTCTTGCAGCCTCTTTTCATTACCCTGTCTCATCACTTTTCTTATCAGCATAAGTGCCCAAGAGTTGCCAAACTGTTTCAGACCCTTAATCAATTTAGTTCTGATTCTGACCGTGACAACATGATGTTCAGCACGGTAGGAATGACTGCCATCCCTGAAGGAGTCTTAAGATTCTGTAGAATCAATGAAAGATCCTATGTTCTAACTCCTTTATCTTTCAGGAAACAAATTACAAAATAATTTCCTTGTCCAGTCATATTCACTATGAGTTACAAAAGGAAACATTCTGCATTATTGAGATCCACTGCAGCCTTTGATGTAGTAAAGCCACAGTCACAACAGTCTATATCTCCTGCTCAGTCCTCTCCTGAAATGCTTCCTGTTTAGGGTAGGACAGGTTCAAGCCCTTTGTCCTTCCTGGATATGTTGCTTTGTGTAGGCCCTTTGGCTGCCAAAAATGCTCTCTTCTCTTCCACATCACCACTGAGAATCATGAGTATTTCTTCTTCCATTATGTGCTTTAATTTCTCTGAAAGGCTGAAAGTCTATTAACTCACAAGAATTTATTTTATAGTTATCTAGCCACAAGGCTTGCATCTTCCAAGTAGAACCCTTACTACAAATAAATGTGAAATAGTTTTAAAGCTACCAAATATTTTTTTGTCTGGATGAGCTCTTAGTTTACTACTCACTCCTTAAAATAGGCCTTCTTGTGACTTGTCCTATATTTGATTTTTTTTTAAGCTTCATGGGCTGCCCTGTTTTGGTTAAACAAAGCTAACCTCACCCTGTTCATGCCCTTAAGGTGTGATGTATTTAATAAATATTTGTACATTTGAAGGAGTAAGATTAAAAAATAAAAACCTATCTAGTATGTATTTCTGCAAGATAAATTTCTCTAATTAAAAACTATACCAACGTAGATCCTTCCAAGGATCTTCCAGGCTAGATCCTTATGGAGCACTTTGCTCAAAGTAAGTCAGCCCATATCCAGGATCCTTTCTTTACCTTGCCCCATCTCCGAATATTTAAATGTTTATATTATGTGTGCTCAACATACTTCCCTTATCAAAAACTATATGCGCCTTTGAGATGAAACAGTTCTATCTCTCCTTAAACACTCATGAGTATACAACATACACACACATGCATTCAGGAACGTGGCACATAAGAGGCCCTTCACCAATTTGTTAAATAAATAAAATCAATATTTACAGTGAGGGAGAACTCAGGTGGTATCCCAAACTAAATTGAAGATAATAATCTACATGTTGGATGATAGACTCTACTGAAAAAATTCCACCGGTTTAGAATAATGATTCAAAGCCACCAGATATAATTTATTAGTGAAAAATATAAATTTTTTGCCTGTGCCAAAAGGCCCAACTGCGGAAGTATAAGGTAATGGACATGCGGCATTAAGTTCAATAATGTGATGTGGGTATTAATAACTAACATTTATCCAGAACTTAATATTTATCCAGAACTTATCCAGAATTCATTAACATTTATCCAGAACTGGTAGAAACTGTTCTAAAAGCTTTACATATAGTTACTCATTTAATATTCACAATAACCCGTATATACTAGCTGTTATTTTTCTCATTTTACAAAAGAGGAAACAGGCTCAAAGGGGTTAATTCATCTAAGGTGAGACATGGACTACAAGAAGTTTTTTTCTCTCTTGAAACCTTTCAGCAATTGAATTGAACTTAAAGGAATAAATATGTACAGAAGCCACACGAGGAAGTAAACCGCCCCGCCAATGGCTGCAGGCCAGGAGTGAAGCCGACAAGAAGCCCTATGATGGATTTTGAGGAGGGCTGAAGCCTGTGGACTCTCAAAATAGCCTCTGCTAGTGGCAGTTATATTTCCCTTTCTTGCATTCAACTTCCTTTCCCAAATGACCCAGCCATTAGTACAGTCTTAAGAAAAGTACAAGCCTGACCTCTGCTATTCCATGGTTATTAAGAAGAGGATAGGAGGCAGGATTAGCAAAGAGGGGAACAGCCTTCTTTGCCATATGCATGATAGTGTCATCAGTGGTAAATGCCCATGGGAATGCCTACCATCCTTGCTGGGATGTGGAAACAGCACTGGGACAGTTTGCTTTTGTGGCAGAATCAGTGAAGGAGGGACAAGGTAGGGGCCGAGGCATTGCTGTGAGAAGACACCACAAAGGGCCTTTAAACAAAGGTGAGGAAGTGGGATTTCATCTGAGAAAAATGGAGAGCCACTGGAAGGAAGATGATCTGAAAAGTTCTTTCTAATTATGAGATTGATATAGCTTCTGCTTGCGGTGGTTCTGTAATGGAAAGAAATCCGTAAAATTCAAAATGCCTGCTAAGGGCCCAACTACCTTCTTCTAAGTAGAGGGACGTGTGCAATTCTTTCCTTATAAAGCTGCTTGGCTGGTGTGGTGGCTCATGCCTGTAATCCCAGCACTTTGGGAGGTTGAGGTGGGAGGGTTGCTTGAGGTCAGGAGTTCAAAACCAGCCTTGGCAATATTGCAAGACCCCTGTCTCTACAAAAAATAAAATAAAAATTAGCTGGGCATGTGGGTGAATACCTGTAGTGCTAGCTACTTGGGAGGATCTCTTGAGCACAGGAGTTTGAGGCTGCAGTGTACTGTAACTATACCACTGCACTCTAGTTGAGATGACAGAGGGAGACCCTGTTTCTTAAAAAAGAAAAGAAAAAGCTGCCTTTGGAAACTAATCCTACTTTTCTGACCTCTTCTGATAGGTCTACTGTAAAAAACCAAAGTCAACTTTGAATAAACTTGACAAGCTGAAGGAGAACTTTAGGTGATGTTTTGTGGATTTGTCACATTTTGGTTCTTACCATACCCCCCGTTAGGTTACTAAGGTCAAATGTGACGGCACAGGGGTGGTGTTGAGGTTTTATGGCCCTTTCTAGCATCTTAACTAACCTAGGTAATACTAAAGCTACAGGATGAAACCTTAACTCTTCTTTCTAGTTCCAAATTTCACTTTAATTTAGATCCATTTTTCCTGTAAAATTTTAATTCCCCTTTCTACCTAGAAGCATTCTAGACCATAATTAGATGAGATGCCTCACTGTGCCATGCAAACAAACTCATTCTTAGCTTGTATTCATTCATATTAATTCCTTCTTTTGAATACCTCTTTTTCTTTTTCTTAGAAAGTACATAAATACTATATGAATATATTCTCAGCGCAAATGATTTAAGACATATATTAGTACATAAAGTAAAATGTGAAAATTCTTACCTATCCTGACCCCTAATTTCACTCTTCGTCCCAGAGGTAACTAGTGTTAATAACTTTGTGGGAATGTCTTGCATTACTGCATTCTCATATCTTCACACAGATGTACATATGTTGACAGATTTATACATATAAATTTTAATTTAGGTTGGGCACAGTAGCTCATGCCTATAATCCCAGCACTTTGGGAGGCCAAGGTGGGTGGATTGCTTGAGGTGAGGAGTGCGAGACCAGCCTGGGTAACGTGGCGAAACCTCGTTTCTACTAAAAATACAAAAATTAGCCAGGTGTGGTGGCATATACCTGTAGTCCCAGCTACTCAGGAGGCTGGGACCTAAGAATTGCTTGAACCCAGGAAGCAAAGGTTGCAGTGAGCCAAGGTCAGGCCACTGCACTCCAGCCTGGGTGACACAGTGACTCTGTCTCAAAAAATAATAATAATAATTTAATGGAACTACATAATATATATTGTTTTACAACTTGATTTTTTTTTTTTTTTGAGATGGAGTTTTGCTGTGTTGCCAGGCTGGAGTGCAGTGGCATGATCTCAGCTCACTGCAACCTCCACCTCTCGGGTTCAAGCAATTCCCTTGCCTCAGCCTCCCAAGTAGCTGGTACTACAGGCGTGCACCACCACACCTGGCTAGTTTTTTGCATTTTAGTAGAGACGGGGTTTCACCATGTTTGCCAGGATGATCTCCATCTCCTGACCTCATGATCCATCCCGCTCGGCCTCCCAAAGTGCTGGGATTACAGGCATGAGCCACCGCGCCTGGCCACAACTTAATTTTTCTACTTGTCTTGAAGAGCTTTTTTTCTTTGTCATGGAAAGAGATCTAGCTCATTCTGTTTAGCCACTGCAGAGAATGATATTGAATGAATGCAGTATAATAAGTGTTAACCGTACTTCTGCAATCATGTTGGCTTTTGCAAAATGTTTTGTGATTAAAACAATTTACAACAAATGCACAACTTTATGCACAGTTTCAGCAGTTTCTTTGGGAAGTGAATTGACTGGCTCACAGGGAACTGGCTGGCTCACAGGGAACTGGCAAATTTAAAAATTTGATAGATACAAGCAAATTGCTCTCAAATTTACTTTATCATTTTATACTCCACTGTTTTTGAGAATACCTAATTCCCTGCAACATTCCCAACAGTATATACCATTCGTCTTTAATTTTTTTTCAACCAGCTAGGTGTAAAGTATTCATCTTGTTTTTGTCTGTAATTCCCTGATTATTAATGATATTGAGCATTTTTTCAAGTGTTTATTGACAGTTTGTATAGTCTCTGTATGATTGCCTGTCATTTCCTCTATTTTTTAATTGAATTTTTTTGTTTGTATTATTTATTTGTAGGAAGTTTTTATATATTCTAGATAGCAATTCATTTTCTGTTATAGATACTCTTTACTTACACAAAAGCCTTAAATTTTTATTTGTTAGAAAATTTAAAAAAATACACTTTGGGAGGCCGAGGCAGGCAAATTACCTGAGTTGCAGGAGTTCGAGACCAGCCTGGTCAACATGACGAAACCCCGTCTTTACTAAAAATACAAAAATTAGCTGGGCATGGTGGTGTGCCCCTGTAGTCCCAGTTACTCAGGAGGCTGAGGCAGGAGAATCACTTGAACCCGGGAGACGGAGTTTGCAGTGAACCGAGATCACGCCATTGCACTCCAGCCTGGGTGACAGAGGGAGACTCCATCTTAAAAAATAAAAATAAAGAAAAAAGAAAGAAAAAGAAAAGAAAAGAAAGAAAAGAAAAAAAATTTTTAAGCCAACTCCAGACCAAATGCTACCTTATTCAAAAAAATCTGTCTTGATTTTTCCAACTCGCTAATCTTCCCTCATCCTTGAACTCCCCATTTCTAGACTATAAGTTCCTTGCATGCAGGAACTGTTTTTATTGATCTTTGTAACCATGGAAGAGGCTACCATAGAGACTATCTTAACACACGAATGGTCCCCAACTTATGATAGCTCGACTTTAGATTTTATAACTTTACAGTGGTGTCAAAGCAATACACATTCAGTGGAAACCTTACTTCAAGTGCCCATACAATCATTCTGTTTTTCATTTTCAGTACAGTATTCAAAAATTACATGATATATTCAACACTTAATTATAAAATAGGCTTTGTATTAGATGATTTTGCCCAACTATAGGCAAATGGAAGTATTCTGAGCACATTTAAGGTAGGCTAGGCTAAACAATGATGCTCAGTACGTTTGTATTTTAAATGCATTTTCTCCTTTTGATATTTTCAACTTATGATGAGTTTACTGGGACATGACCCTATCATAAGTTGAGGAGCATCTGTAATGCACAAGAGGGGGTCTTAATTATTGTCTTTTATTGCTGTAGTTTTTAAATTACTTGAGACTTGAATTCTGCCTGCTACTTCGTTTTCACTGCCCCTAAATAGCCCATAGAACAACGCTTAGTAGGTTGGAGGCACACAGTATACATGCATTGATTGATTTTAATTTGCACTCACTTTCAAAGTTTCATGCTTTCTTTACAAAAGAGAAGCATTTCCCCAAGAGTGTTTTATAGTATATTAATTTCATATTATGTAATGAGGTTTTCTCCCAAAACAGATCTAGGTCCAAGTAAGTTTGGAGGAAAATAGATTAAATAAAGTTAAATAAATTTCTCTCTTAATAATTTTAAGCCTGTAATATGCCTACTATGACATTTCAAAATGTTGTTTTTGTTTTTGCTTTTTGAGACAGGGTCTCATACTGTCACCCAGGCTGGAGTGCAGTGGCACAATCATGGCTCACTGCAGCCTCTATCTCCTGGGTTCAAGTCATCTTCCCACCTCAGCCTCCCAAACAGCTACAGGCACAGGCCACCACGCCCAGTTTAAAAAAAAAATTTTTGTAGAGACAGGGTGCAACTATGTTGCCCAGGCTGTTCTCAAACTCCTGGGCTCAAGTGATCCTCCTGCCTTTGCTTCCCAAAGGGCTGGAATTATAGGTGTGAGCCTCTGTGCCTGGCCCCACAAAGTTTTAATTGACTAAACATTTGAGTTTGTTTAGTTGGTTGGTTGATTTTTGCAGTGCTTACTTAGGAACAGGATTCCATGTAATTTCAAAAATATATTTTTAAAATTCAGGTAGAAACTTCTGTATTATTTTTCTTTGTGATATTAAGTGTCAAACAATTTTAACACTTATCTCAAGAAGGCTTGTGGAGACTGGGATTTGGAGTAAAACAGACTCAACTTCTGACTTTTACTGGAGTAAAATGGACTGCAACTCCTAGATATGTGAACTTGGGCAAGCTACACAATTTCTTAATACATAAAATCTCAGTTTTCTCATCTGAAGAATGAGGAGAACAAAGGCTTCTATCTCTTTATAGTTGTAGAAGAGAATTAAATGAGATAAACACAGGCAAAAAGAAATATCTAAGTTGCTTAATAAGAATTAATTATTATTGACCAGGCACGGTGGCTCACGCCTGTAAGCCCAGCACTTTGGGAGGCCGAGGCAGGCGGATCACAAGGTCAGGAGATCGAGACCATCCTGGCTAACACGGTGAAACCCCGTCTCTACTAAAAATACAAAAAATTAGCCGGTCATGGTGGCAGGTGCCTGTAGTCCCAGCTACCCGGGAGGCTGAGGCAAGAGAATGGAGTGAACCCGGGAAGTGGAGCTTGCAGTGAGCCAAGACTGTGCCACTGCACTCCAGCCTGGGTGACAGAGCGAGACTCTGTCTCAAAAAATAAATAAATAAATAAATAAAAAGAATTAATTATTATTAAGGAGCCACTTTTATTCTCTCCTGACCCTTCTATACAATTGACTAATTCCTCCTTTGTTTCCCCAGTTTAGCTGGTAGTTTTCTATCACGTTTTTTGGATTCATTTGTTTCAAGTAAATGGTAAGTCCCTGCATAGGGACTTCCTCTTATTTCTATTTGTAAGCCCCATGGGCTTGGTGACATCTGGGAATGCAGACAGATTTAAGGCAGAGAGAGAAGCTTGAAGGAATAGCAGAACAAGTGCCTCCCAGGGGTACATTTTCTTATTGGCAGTCACAATCCAGTCTTGCCTCCTTGAGGCCTCATCCAGGGTCACTGCATTTGTCAGAAAACATTTGGTTGCATGACATAACTGTAACTCAAACCAACAAAGACAAGATACAGTTTCTTGACTGATACAATGTACAATGGTAAAGCATGCTTGGATGGCCTAGCAGACAAAGCAAGAGCTGGAGGACCCAGGGACTCAGGCAATTGAACGGGGAACTCAACCAGAACTTTTCTCTTTTCCATTTCTGTTTGGCAGTTTGTTTTCTTTTTTCTTTTTTTTCTTTCTTTTTTTTTTTTTTTTTTTTTTTTTTGAGATGGAGCCTTGCTCTGTCACCAGGTTGGAGTGCAATGGCACAATCTCGGCTGACTGCTACCTCTACCTCCTGGGTTCAAGCGATTCTCCTGCCTCAGCCTCCCGAGTAGCTGGGAGTACAGGCACGTGCCACCATGCCCAGCTAATTTTTGTATTGTTAGTAGAGACGGGGTTTCACCGTGTTGGGCAGGATGATCTCAATCTCTTGATCTTGTGATCCACCCGCCTCGGCCTCCCAAAGTGCTGGGATTACAGGCGTGAGCCACCCTGCCTGGCCAGCAGTTTCTTTTAAGTAACAGAGAAAATTGTCATTTGGTAATCCCAAATCTGTGACATTCCAGTTTAGTAAACTCAGCGGGGGAAGGATAACTTTTTTTTCTCCATACTCTAAATATTAATCTCAGGATAAAAATGATACCATTCGCTACCCACTTTGGATCAAGGGCCTATCTTTGGGACAAGCACTGTTGCCAAGTGGATGAGGTAGTAAGATTTGCTGAGCCCAAGTCAAGTACCTATTTCTGTGTTGAGAAGCACGTGGGAAAGGTGAAGGCAATATCTCTCATTGGTCTACTGCTAGTCTGATTAAAAGTCCTTTGCTACACCAATTCACTGCATTTCCCTAGGCTGGATCTGGCATAGCCACTCATCTTTTTGAGGGTGAATCATATTTAAAAAAAAGGATGATTTTGTTCCTCACAGTTTGGATTTCTTCTAATTTTACTCTCTCAGTGCAATAATTATAGTTGCAGGCTATGCTCCATGTCGGTGCCCGTCCTCTGTTCTTAGCCCAGTTATAGCACTTACCACATTTACTGCTTGTCTGCCTTTGTAAGAGGCTAAGCAAATGTGCCTGAAGCCTGAGTAATTTGCTCTCTTCAACAGTGTTTCTCCCAGACGTAAGCTAATGTGTGAAACACAGAGAGCACCCAATACGTACTTGTTAAAAGAAAGAAAGATCAAAACCTTCCAAGGTGCAAAATAGAACACAGACAAGAGGCGTAGAACTCAGATTGAATTGGGGATGGAGGTTTGAGGGTGTCAGAGTTGCTGAGTATGGAAGGAAGAGTAGGTGTGGAGAAAGTAAAGAACATTTAGGTGTGGAGAAAGTAAAGAACATTCTAGGTAGTGGGGAGGCATAGAGACAGTGGTGCGCTGGAGCTGGCTCACATAAACTTGCAAGAACACTTGTGCACTTCTCTTCCCAACTTCACACTCAGGGATTTCACATTGGTAGGCGGATGTCAGCCATGGTGGGAGTATTTACACCACAGAAATTGGAGCCGGTACAAAGCAAGGCTTCTGTTCTGTTGCCAGAGAGCTGACCATTAAATATTTGCCATGCCACCATATAAAAGCATGAAGGCGACAGGAATATTGCTGTAAGGGTACCTGGAAATCAAATCATGAAGGGACAGTGTTAAGCACAGGCTGGGCACAGTGGCTCACCCCTGTAATCCTAGCACTTTGGGAGGCCGAGGCAAGTGGATCACCTGAGGTCAGGAGTTCGAGACAAGCCTGGCTAACATGGCGAAAACCCGTCTCTACTTAAAATACAAAAAGTAGCTGGATATGGTGGTGCGCCTGTAGTCCCAGCTACTTGGGAGGCTGAGGCAGGAGAATCACTTGAACCTAGGAGGCAGAGGTTCCAGTAAACTGAGATCGCGCCTCTGCACTCCAGCCTGAGAGACAGAGCGAGACTCTGTCTCAAAAGAAAAAAAAAATTAAGCACAGTAATCCAAATTTCTCAGCCACTGAAAGATTTTGAAAGGGAAGGCATGACATGACTTGATGAATATCTGCTGGCTAGCATTCTTCAACAATAGTTTTGCATGGCAAACTTGGCAGAAGGTGGCATAGTCACTTTATATTAAATGCTTGCAGTTCTAGGGAAGTTATTACCTGTCCTAGCAAATCAATCTTATCCTATAGTTTACCCTAGAACTACGCCAGGCCCAATCTAAGCTTGATTCCATCAGGGCCAGGTGTGGCCACAACAGCAGCACCACTTTAAATCTGTGCCAGTAGCTCATATATTTTATATAGTACAAGTCTATTTCCTCATACCACCTGGCACACCAGCCTCCGTAATGTTGACATTAGCAAGCTTCCAACAAAAAGGTTGGCAGCCCTAGCCATATTTTTTCTTTTCTGTCTAGGTTATTTTAGCTGTGGTCCTGCTTAATACCAGAGGCATGAACCAAATAGATTTTCACATTGCTTCCAAATCTATGAATATATATAGAGAAAAGTTTATTCATGAAAGAGAGAAGGGAGGAAGGAAAGAAGGAAAAAAGGAAGGAAGGAAGGGAGGGGAGGAGGGAGAGAGGGAGGGAAAGAAAAGAGAGAAAAAGAAGAAGGAAGGAGAAAGAAAGTAAAGTAAGTCCAGGGAGCGAGAGAGGGGAGGAAGGAAGGAAGGAAAAGAAAGAGAAAGACGGAAAGAAAATGAGAAAGAAAGAAAGAGAGAGAAAGGAAGGAAAGAGAAAGAAAGAAAAAAAAGAAAAAGAAAAAGGGAGAAAGAAAGAAAGTCAAGTCAGTCCAGGGAGGGAGGGAGGGAAGAAGGAAGGAGGGAGGGAAGGAGAAAGAAGAGAGAGAGAAGGCAAGAAAGAAAGAGAGAGAAAGAAAGAAAGAAAGAAAGAAAGAGAAAGAAAGAAAAGAAAAAAGAAAGAAAAGAAAGAAAGAAAAGAAAAGGAAGGGAAGGGAAGAAGGAAAGAAAAGAAGGAAGGAGAGAGAGAGAAAGAAAGAAAGTTATAATGCTTTTGAACAGGATGTGCCTCACCTGTTTGCAAAAGGAGCAGTGTTCTTCCCAGGATTGTTGAGATGGTAACTCATAAAATGGTAAAAGCAACAGCAGCACATGCAAGTTGGATGAATTAAGGAACTGCATTGGAGCACTCTTTTCAAAGTCACTTTGTTGTTTTCCATTTAGAGTTTTGCTTTTATGAAAGCCTGAAGTGTTATCAGTATACGGGCTCTTGAAAACTTCTTACTTGACATTACAGCAGTTAAAGTGCCTTCTCTTTCCCCAGTTGCTAATCTCAGTTGCCTTGAATCTGGCTCTCTTCTCTTGGGTCTTTGGCCTTTTGACTGCCCCACATGGGGAATCTGTGTTTAAAATAATTTCTCTATCTGTTTAAACTTCTTATAGATTACTAACAAAAAAAAAGTAATAGAACCAGGAATTGGAATGAATATTTCTATCCCTAGTTACTACCATGGAAAAACATTTGTAGGAAAACCTGGTGAATTTAAACCCATTAAAAATGTATTTTTCTTCTTCCTTCTTATGAAAGTGAGTGATCCATGAAAGAAACTGTCATAGGCAAATTTGTGCAAATCAAAATACTTCAAGAATTTACAAAACAGGCTGGGTGCGGTGGCTCACAGCTGTAATCCCAGCACTTTGGGAGGCCGAGGCAGGCGGATCACATGAGGTCAGGAATTCAAGACCAGCCTGGCCAACATGGTGAAACCCCATCTCTACAAAAATACAAAAATTAGCCAGGCATGGTGGCATGTGCCTGTAATCCCAGCTACTCAGGAGGCTGAGGCAGGAGAATTGCTTGAACCCAGGAGACAGAGGTTGCAGTGAGCCAAGATCACGCCACTCCACTCCAGCCTGGGCAACAAAGCAAGACTGTTTCAAAAAAAAAAAAAAAAGCATAGTAAGTGCTGTAGTTTGGATGTTTGTCCCCTCCAAACCTCATGTTGAAATTTTATCCCTAATGTTGGAGGTGGGCCCCAATGAGAGACGTTTGAGTCTTGGGGGTGGATCCCTCATGAGTAGAGTAATGTACTCTCTGGACGGAGATGGAGAGTGAGTTCTCACTCTATTAGTTCCCACAATAGCAGGTTGTTAAAAGGAACCTGGCCCCTCCCCCCTTTCTCTTTCTTGCTTCCTCTTTCACCATGTGATATCTGCACACTGCAGCTCCCCTTCACCTTCCACCATGAATGCAGCAGCACGTGAGGCTTTCACCAGAAGCAGATGCTTGGGCCATGCTTCTTGTGCAGCCTGCAGAACTATAAGCAAAAAAAACCTCTTTTATTTATAAGTTACTCAGCATCATGTATTTCTTTATAGCAACACATAACAGACTAAGACAGTAAGGAAAACTTTATTCAGGACCATTGCCATAGGTATAGGGACCATGGCAATGGCGTCTTGCATTGAAGAGAGATATTGGGCTCAACTCCAAATATGGCATGGGCAAGTGGGAATTTATAATCAAGGAGCAGTGTAGGGGTCAATGGATAGAAAATTACCAAGAGAATCAGGAGGAAGAGGGAGATTCTGGCTAAACCAACCTAATAGGATTCTTGCTGAAGATAGGCCTGGGTCATCAGACATCACCTGGGGTATGATAAAAGGATGAGAAGCCTGATCAGATATGGAGGATGATCAGATATTGGAGATGGGGGGTTCTTGCTAAACTGACTCAGAAAAGTTCTTTGTTAAAGTTGGATTTTGCAAGGAAGATAGACACCTGACTAAAGTTTGGCCAAGCAAGGAATCTTTGTTAGTACTACTTCTTGTTTAAGGAAAGTAGAGACATTCATCTTTCCTTCAAACAATATAAGTCTCTTTTCTTGTTTGATCACCTTTTATTCATTAAGGACCAGTTGAATCATCTGTTGGGACTTGGTAGCAGAGGATATTTCCTGGATAGTGTGAGCTATCAGGCCTTCAATGTGGGAAGTTTAGTTTCTATAAAAATAAAATTAAAAAAGATTAATAGTTGGAACGAATTATAAAGACAGTTTCTGAGTCCAGAGGGCAGCTGATCAGTAAAATTTCTAGATGCTGGGCTTGTAGTATCTTCAGTTGGAGTGAGAAGAGGCATTGGATTAGTTTGCAGTTTGAAAGCCATAAAGATGGGCCACACACAAGCTGTTGTGGTAATTTTTCTGAAGCTTATGTCAAGTCATCCAGTTTCAGTTTGAAGGACTTCAAGAAAAGAAAAGTTTATAATTTTAGTGATTCCAAGCCAGAATAGCAGGAAAAAAATGAAATATTAATTTGGAGTGTTGTAGCTATTGTAGTAAACTAGAAAAATCGAGGATCTATTGCAGATTGCAGGTAGATAATAAAACCTCAGGAAAAAAAAAAAAACAGGGCTAGAATCTAATATTGGGTGCACTGCAGTTTTCTCCCAAAACATAACTTTTATCTCTATATTCACTCTCATTTCTGTCAAAGATAATCAAAGTCAGATTGATTTGTTTGCTAAATAAGTTTAATCTCATTAAACTTGTACTGGTTATGTACACAAGTGCAGTAAGAGTAGTGATTGACCATTTAGGCTCTTTTAAAGGTTGCGTTTGTCAGATAAGAAATCTCAGATTAAACTTTTTGTTTTTGTTTTTTTAGACAGAGTCTCCCTCTGTCTCTCAGGCTGGAGTACAGTGGTGCGATCTTGGCTCACTGCAGCCTCCGCCTCCTGGTTTCAAGCGATTCTTCTGCTCAGCCTCCCGAGTAGCTGGGATTATAGATGCGTGCCACTACGCCTGGCTCATTTTTTGTATTTTTAGTAGAGACAGGGTTTTCACCATATTGGTCAGGCTGGTCTTGAACTCCTGACCTCCTCATCCATCTGACTTGGCCTCCCAAAGTGCTGGGATTACAGGCATGAGCCACTGTCTCCAGTCAGATTAAACTTTTAAAAGCCACTTGAGGCTGGGATATAAGCCCAAAACTTGTCATTAGTCTGCACCTGTTACATTTACAGATTTAGATAAATTACTCTCTTCTTGAGGTCCCTAAAATACCCCAAGGTTTCCAGACCTGCCAAGAAGTGATATTCTTTACTCACCTGTAAGTCTGGGAACCCTAGAGCCAGTTTTTCCAAGATGGTACTTTATTGGTTCCATAAAGTCAACCTTAGTCCCATAAAGCCTTCTGGTCATATCTGAAAACATGATGTTTCAGTCAAAGCCTTGGTGATATAACCTGTGTTTCCAGTTTGTCCTGTTACAAAGACAACAGATTCTTATTAAACTTGTGCAAATAAATACATTGCCATAAAAATAAGAATATTCACAAATAGTTTCCAAATTCTGGAGGGATAAGTTAGAGAGAAAAAGTAAATGTTTCCATTTTGTACAAAAGTATTCTTTACTGAATTGGTGTAAGCTAGAGATAGCTTAAAAAAAAGTTTTCTCAAATCTGGAAAACAAAACATTTAAAGAACAAGCAATGTTACAAACAAAAAGTCATTTTAAAAATTATTCTCATCAGTTCATTCAGTACCATGTAATTAAATCTTGTTTTGCTTGATCTTGGGTTAGTAGTTACATGAACCCATCAGTTTTATTAGAGTTCTGGAAATTCTTACCAGTCCAATGGTATGATGTCAAAGTTGTTCAGAAACCTGTATTCCAGAATACTCATAAGACTATTTTCCATAAATCTCCTTGAAGAAGAAGCCATTTTGGACTGTGGCTAATTTCAAATGCTTTTAGAGAACAATTAAATTAAAACAATAACTGTCTACAGATGACAAGGACTTAAAATGTCCATGGTTAAAAAATCTAATGAGAGTTCATTACAATGATGCAATTTATAAGAAAATTTGGTTAGCATGGCATACAGCATTTTAACAGAATAACCAAAATTATGACTGATAACATACTAGATTTCTAGGAATCTCATACAATTTTTGTACACTTAATAATATATCCATAAATATACTTAAAGATGGCTTAGCATCACTTATTATTTGACTGCTACACTTATAATTTAACATATTAAATAAATCTAATTAGTTTAATGTCTCTTTTATTATTTATTTATTTATTATTATTATTAATGTCTCTTTCATACAAAAAATATTCTCTGTGGCTTTCTGAGGGTCCAATATGGAGAATCTTAAGTTAATTTGAGGTCAAAAAGACTTAATTTAGAATGTGATTTTGGGAAGATTGTCAAAAATGTCAAAAAGTTTAAAACATTTAAAACAATTAAATATGACCATAGTTATCTATTTAATAAAAGCTCCATTAAAAGATTTTAAAGGCAAATTCAGATTACATAGTTGTGAACAAGGACTTAGCTCCTTTAATATTGAGAAGACTCACTTTTCTTAAGTAACCAAAAACCTAATAAAACAACATGAAACTCAGGAAATTATCTTGATGAAACAGAGTCTGTGTTTCTGAGGCCAATTACTTAAGAGGAAAAAAATACCCTTTACATTCTCAGACCAACATTCCAAGAAAACTACCGTTTTAATGGAGAAGATCAAATTCTACTTTTGAATAAATGTATTACTAAAACTAAGTTATAATAAAACCTCATAAATAAATCTATCCAATCTCAGTCAGCTTAGACCATACAAGATAAGATTTTCACAATCCTTCTGGACATGTTTTCTTATTTACTTTTGCAGCAGACATACACCAGGCAATTAAGCAATTTACTTTTACTATATATTCTGTTCTTAGGTTGAATTTATGGTTTTATGGCCTTAAACATCTAACAGTAACAACACAAACTTGTCTAATCAGCAAAGCCAGGTAAAATAAGTGTATGCTGACAATTCTGAAAATGTTTCTATTTTTATTTTACCAATATTTTTTAAACTAGCTTTTATTTACTAAGGAATACCCCAGATTATGTGAACTTAAAAATATTGAGTCAGTTTCTACTTTTCTGAAAATTTTATACATTCTTATTTGTTTGAGTGTTTATTTATCCCTAGCCAATTTGGGTATTTTAGTTTGGTAATAACATCGGAGGTAGAAAAATATCACATATACGTAACACAATAACATAGACACACACGTACACATACACAAACGTATAGACTGATGTAACCAGATCTTAGGACTTTTCATTTAAAAAATTTTAACCAGGCCAGGTGCAGTGGCTCATGCCTGTAATCCCAGCACTTTGGGAGGCTGAGGTGGGTGGATCACCTGAGGTCAGGAGTTTGAGGCCAGCCTGGCCAACATGGCATAACCCCGTCTCTACTAAAAATATGAAAATTAGCTGGGCGTGGGGCGTGGTGGTGCCCAGCTGAGGCACAAGAAACACTTGAACCCAGGAGGTGGAGGTTGCAGTAAGCCGAGATTGCCCCGCTGCACTCCAGCCTGAGCAACGAAGTGAGACTCTGTCTCAAAAAAAAAAAAAAAAAAATTTAACCATGAGGCAGTAAAACAGAGTAATACAAAAATACAAACTTGCTGGTTTATCTCCACTTTATATTGTTATCCAAATTGTGCTTCTGAGGAAAAAGGGATAAGTTGAGTTGACCTACCTAACAAAGGCTAAAGCTTTTTACCAATATTTGTGGAGGAGGTTTTTTAAGATTTTTTTTTTTGCTTTCTCAGTTTCCAAATAGTTTCTTTTTTTCTCCTATTATCAGCCCCAGGTGCTTGTTTTTGAGGGGCCTCTTAGTCCCTTGAGAGCCCCCTCAAAGGAGGGTAGGATAGGAGTCCTGAAGTTCAGCAGAAAAGAAACGGGTCTGGCAAGAGTGGACAGAGAAATAGTCAGCAGAGACTTGAGAAGAGGGGTTTCAGGTGACAGAGTTCCCATGGGAGAAGCAGGATCCAATAGAGAGAAGAGAAAGAGCAGAGAGGTTTTATAGAGAGCCGGGAAGAACAATTTATAGGCCAGGGAATCAGGGAATAACCCCTCACTCAGAAAAAGGAAGCCAGAAAGAAGAGACTTCTAGTCTAGGGACTCAGAGAATTGCCCACTCAGAACAAGAAGCCCACACGAAGACCTTCCTGCCCAGAGGATTCCTTTCAAAAGAAGCGTGGGGCTGTACCCCAGCTTCAGAGAGAATACTCATCCCTTAAGATTCAAAATCTGTCCTTGGCCATCAAAGGGCTTTTGTCTGGAGCAATGGCTCAGGAATCTGATTCACCAGTGGATCCCTAATCAGTCAGAAATGACAACAAAGGCTTCAAAGGCATGTATTTAGGGTCCTGAGTGAGAGGCCCAGGATCCAGTGATGAATCTGTCCTATTTGAGTTTCAACACCATAGTTGTTAAAGAAAAAATTATTCAGTGATACTTTAAATGCACAGTAAAGAAAATTTTATTCAGGACCATCACCATAGATATAGGAACCACTGCAACACAGTCTTGGAGCTGGGGAGAGAGATGAGCTTAACTCTCAACACAGCATGGGCAAGTGGGAATTTATAGCCCAGGAGCAACGCAGGGGTCAGTGAATGGAAAATCACTAAGAGGAAACATCAGGAGTAAGGGAGATTCTGTCTACACTGACCTAAAAGAATTCTTGCTGAAGACTGGCCAGAGTGATCAGACATCACCTGCAGAATGGTGAAGAATGAAGAACCTGATCAGATATTGAGAATGAGGGGTTCTTTGGTAAACTTGGCAGTGTTCTTTGCTAAAGCTGGATTTTGCGAGGAAGTGCACAGTTTAGCCTAGCTGAAGATTTAGAAGCCTGACTAAAGTTGGCCAAGCAAAGAATCTTTGTTATCAACATATTCCATCAAGCCTCACATCCCTGCCTTAAATGATCAAACTATCCACACTCCTGTATGCTACTGTTCTCCATGAAAAGAAAAGTTACTTCTTCTTTGTCTTAACCAAAATCCAGCCATTCTAGAAGACACCAGAAGGCTTTCTGCAGCATCTAAAATTTCCCCACATTCTAGGCCCAAATCCTTTTCCTTTCCCTGCTGCTTTTAGATCCACATTGTGTAACCCTCATCTAGAAACCTCAGTTTCTTGGAGTCATTCTGTCTTTTTTTTTTTTGAGATGGAGTTTCCACTCTTGTTGCCCAGGCTAGAGTGCAGTGGCACGATCTCAGTTCACTGCAACCTCCGTCTCCCAGGTTCAAGCGATTCTCCTGCCTCTGCCTCTTGAGTAGCCGGGATTACATGTGCCTGCCACCACGCCTGGCTAATTTTTTGTATTTTTAGTAGAGACAGGGTTTCATCATTTTGGCCAGGCTGGTCCCGAACTCCTGATCTCAGATGATCACCTGCCTTGGCCTCCAAAGTGGTGGGATTATAGGCGTGAGCCACCAAGCAAGGCCATTCTGTCTTTTTATATAATGTAACTTGTACTTTTATGTAGTAAGTTATCACAATGGTGTGAGACACTCTGAGGAAGAATATTTTACTGTATCATTCCCATTACCTAATCAGGAAGTCTTAACAGGCAGATTTTAACAAAAATATAAGCCACAACTGTGCCCTAGCTTTTTTCACATACTTCCTTCCTCACGCTTCACATATTTCTTTTTCTCAGCACCCATTCTTAAGTAATAATTTGTTTCCCCTGAATATTATTTACCTTCTGTGGGCTACCTTACATATCATCTGAAAGCATGATCAAAACAGTTATATTTGTGAATAATTTTATTTTGGTTTATTTCTTAGCAGAAGGAGGAGTTAATACTAACATTTGTAGGCCGGGCATGGTGGCTCACGCCTGTAATCCCAGCACTTTGGGAGGCCGAGGCAGGCAGATCATGAGGTCAGGAGATCGAGACCATCCTGGCTAACACAGTGAAACCCTGTCTCTACTAAAATACAAAAAAATTAGCCGGGCGTGGTGGTGGGTGCCTGTAGTCCCAGCTACTCGGGAGGCTGAGGCAGGAGAATGGTGTGAACCCGGGAGTTGGAGCTTGCAGTGAGCCGAGATCGCGCCACTGGACTCCAGCCTGGGTGACAGAGCGAGACTCCATCTCATAAAAAACAAAACAACAACAACAACAAAAAAGTAACATTTGTAATCTCCCAAAGATTGCCAAGGAAAGCATTCTCCTGGCTGAATTTATGTGGAGTTCATCATCCAAGCATAAAATATTTTATAAAGGAATGGGCCAATCAAATAACTGCTATGCAGTTTACACCATGAACCAAGTTAAATTAGTACCACTCTAAATAGTTGCTGGGAATATAATTATTTTCAAAGACATGATCTCTAGAAATAAATAATTAAAAGAGAAGCACGGTGTCATGCATTTATGCATACATATAAGCAGGGACTAGAGACCGGGAATAGAAATAAAGGAGGTTTTTACACTTCGGGTGGTAAGGTCGCAATGATTTATTTGGAGAGAAAGCAGAAGCCCTTCTTTAGTAAATGCAAAGCACCATGTGCTTAATGAAGATACATGACCTAAGCTTTGAAGATCGTTTAATTCAACAACCTTACCAAGTATCCATTACTACATCTCAAAAATCAAATTTACAGTGACATCTTTGAGTTAAATCTCTCCATAGACGTCCGGAAACAGCTTAATTCTGTTAACTGCTGCCCATTGAATTATGCTTTATTTGGTTGTAGAATTTCATGTCATCTGTTATTCCTCTCATAACTTGGGAGATGTTATTCCTGTATTGTCTGTTCTCATTATTGATGAAGAGAAGTCTGTGATAATGTAATTGTCCTTCCTTTGCAGGTAATCTGCCTCTCATCTCTGGTTGATTGAAAATATTGTATTAGTCTTTAGTATCTTGCATTGTACTGTGGTATGTCTACATATGGATTTATACTTATTGAGTTTGCTCAGAGCTTGGAGTATTTCCTCAGTCTTAAAGGCCCTAGTTCTGAAAATGTTACTACTATATCATTCCCTACATTTATATATATACAAATATATAATATATAATATATAATATATAATAATATATTATATATAATGTGTATAATATATAATATATAATACTATATTATATAGAGTGTATTATATATATTATATATTATATAATATATAATAAATATATAATATAATACAATATATATTATATAATATATATTTACATTCATGTAATATAAAATATATAATATATTATATATAAATATACAATTATATATAATTATAAATATAAAATTATATATAATTATAAATATGCAATTATATATATAATTATAAATATATAATTATATATAAATATACAATTATATATAAATATACAATTATATATAAATATACAATTATGTATAAATATACAATTATGTATAAATATACAATTATATATAAATATACAATTATATATAATTATACAATTATATATAAATATGCAATTATATATAATTATACAATTATATATAAATATACAATTATATATAATTATATAATTATATAAAAATATACAATTATATATAATTATATAATTATATAAAAATATACAATTATATATAATTATATAATTATACACAATTATATATAAATATATAATTATATATACATGTACATATATAAATATATAATTATATATAATTATATAATTATATAATTATATATAAATATATAATTATATATAATTATACACAATTATAAATAAATATATAATTATATATAAATGTACATATATAAATATATAATTATATATAAATATACATATATAAATATATAATTATATATATATATATAAATTTATATATATATAAATATACATATATAATTATATAATTATATAAAAATATAAATATATATAATTATATATAAATATACATATATAATTATATAATTATATATAATTATATATAAATATACATATATATAAATATATAAGTATATATAATTATATATAATATATAATTTTTTATATATATATTATATATAGTATATATTATATATATTACATATTATTATATTTATATATAATTATATATTATTATATTTATATATAATTATATATAATTATATATTTATATATAATTATATATAATTATATATAATTATATATTTATATATAATTATATATTTATATATAATTATATATAAATATATAATTATATATAATTATATATAAATATATAATTATATATAATTATATATAAATATATAATTATATATAATTATATATAAATATATAATTATATATAATTATATATAAATATATAATTATATATAATTATATATAAATATAATAATATAAATATATAATATAAACATATACACATATTTGTGTGTATATGTAATATATAAAATAATATATAATATATTTTATATAGTATATATTATATATATTATATATATTTATATTTATATTATATATTATAAATATATATTTTATATATATATACACTCACGACTATGTGTGTATGCATATGTAATATATATATACTTCCTATATTACTTTGCTAGGGTTGTTATAACAATTACTGCAGACTGGATGAGTTAAACAACGGAAATTTATTTTCTGGAGGCTAGAAGTGTGAGGTCAAGGCATCAGATGTGTTAATTTTATTCTGAAATTTTTCTCCTTGGCTTTTAGATAGTCATTTTCTCATGTTGTCTTCTCATGGTCTTTTTTCTGTGCACATGTATGTCTGTACCTAAATTTCCTCTTCAAACAAGGACACCAGTGATATTGGATTAGGACACACACATGTGACCTCGTTTTACATTAGTTACCTCTTAAAAGTCTCTATCTCCAAATATAGCCACCTTCTGATATACTGAGGTGGCAGGGGGCAGGGTACAGCATATGAATTTGGGGGAAAGGACACAATTCTGCCTGTAACATATGCAATATATTCTTCCCTGATCTATATTACATAACTTTTATATATAATACATATATAATTTAATATACATTTTAACCCCTTGATTAATTTTCTCACCGCAGAGAAAACAAGACTTAAAGAAAAGCTTCAGGTGATATCGTTTTTGAATGAGTGAGAATTGAGCCTGCCCTTAACACAAGAATGAAGTAGAAATAAACTGACTTAGGGAACAGTATAAAAAAGTTCTCTTATGAGTCAAGATTTCAGTGTGATGTCATCATTTTTTCCAGGGATTAAATGTTAGAATATATTGCATGCCCATATTGAAGTGGAATCATAAACTTATTTCAGACTTATTATAATGGCTCATTTTCTCATGCCTTCGCCGCTGAACTTGTACTTAGCTGGGGATTGAGCTGAAAATTTGCCTTTTCTGTATCTGGCATAGTTGCACCAAATCTGACCTTAATCCTAAATTTTCCTGTCTGTAATATCTTGTTTCCAAATCTGAGGCTCGCATTGAATTTTCTCTTGTTAGAAATATAACTGGCAAGGTCAATCAAAACCATTCATTCCATTCAGTTGCCTGTGAACAAGCTTGATTTGCTTTGTTATTAATACAGCTTCTTGGGGGTTAAGTAGAAAGTTCTTTTGTAAATATCCCTCAGTTTAAGTATATATAGTTTACATTTCCAAGTAAACTATAAATTCTCTGAGAAAGGCCTGGCGCGGTGGCTCAAGCCTGTAATCCCAGCACTTTGGGAGGCTAAGATGGGTGGATCACTGGAGGTCAGGAGTTTGAGACCAGCCTGGCCAATGTGGTGAAACCCCATCTCTACCAAAAATACAAAAATTAGCCAGGCATGGTGATGCACGCCTGTAATCTCAGCTACTCAGGAGGCCAAGGCAAGTGATTAAACCCAGGAGGTGGAGGTTGCAGTGAGCTGAGATCGCACCACTGCACTCCAGCCTGGGTGACAGAGCTAGACTCTGTCTCAAAAAAAAAAAAAAAAAAAAAATTCTGTGAAAAGATCTGTGATTTCCATTCTCCTTTATCGTAATTGTTAAGCACTCACAATTAGATGGTTATAACAACTATCAAGGAAAAACAATTATTTTAGTAAACATTTTTCATCATTTTCTCCTTTCTAAGCCCTACACTATGCACTAAAAACTGCAGAGGAAATCAACACATTCTCTACCTCACAGCAGATTTCTTGGAGAGAGATGGGGGTGGGGAGGGGAATAAGGGTTGCTAAATGTTGTCAACATTGTAATACAACTCTCAAAGGGAGATAGTTATTAGGGTGGCAAAGTGCTCAGGCTCAGATTTCAGGTTGCCTAGATTTGAATTCTGTCTTCACTGCTTCTTTTATGATTTTCCCAAATTACTTAAGCTCTTTAAACCACAGTTTCCTCATCCTTAAGATAGGGATAATAAATAGAACTTATCTCATAAAATTGCCATGAGGATTGTAAGTGATTATGAAGTTGATTAAATTTCCCCAGTGCTTCATACAAAGAAAGGACTCAAAGGATATGCTAGTTCATAGTAGGGGCGTAGCAGAAGATATCCCTTCTCTCCTGGGATATAGGGTATACATAACTGTCCACTATAAAATTGAAGATAGGCTAGAGAAAAGTTAAAAATGAAGAATCTAATAACTCTTTAGCCAAGAGAAAATGAAACATGAGGGAAAGGGAGAAGTTCCAAATGAGGTCCACATTTGTCATGGGCCACTGAATGGTGGTGCCGTTCATGCAGAGGAAACCCAGAAGGAGGAGTCATTCTATTGTTAGAGAGCACTTAATGAGATAATATTAGAGATAACTGAGGTTGAGTTGTTGGTACATATCTGGGTGCAAAGTCTCCATAGGTCCGGAATTTTGAATAGTTTTCTGGAGTCATCTGGTTATTATTAAAGCCAAGAGAATTAGTGAGATCACAGAATACAATAATGATCAGTAAGAGGGAAGGGAAGAGAGCCAAGAATGGGACACTGGGACGCACACACATTTAATTAAGGTTTGGTAAGGTGAAAGGTGTTAGCAGAGAATGTAAAGGTGAAATAATGAGAGAAATAGGAGGACATCAAGGAGAAAGTCATGTTTTGAAAAAAACTAAAAGGACACATTTTCGAGAAAGACTTATCAATAAAACAATGTCACAAAATAGTACAGTATAATGACAATTTAAAAAAACAAAATCTATTGCTTTTGTTAATTAAATAACTAGTAACCTCGGCTGCAGCAGTTTCAGTAGAGTGATGAGAGTTGACACCCAACTGCAGGACTGTTTTTTTTTTTAATAAAAATATTTTCCCAAACTGTCTTTTTTGAAACTTCCAACATGTCTGCTTAAGAGCTTGTCTAAGTTGAATTCATTCGAACTTCTTGAACCTAATTAGTTTCTTTTTGCTGTTTTTTTTTTTTTTTTTTTTTTTTTTTTTTGAGGTGGAGCCTTGCTCTGTCACCCAGGCTGGAGTTCAATGGCGCAATTTCGGCTCACTGCAACCTCCTCCTCCTGGGTTCAAGCAGTTCTCCTGCCTCAGCCTGATTAGTTTTAAAGATGCTGCATATATTGGCAGGGAAAACCTAGAACACAAAGTCAAACTTCCAATTATCTCCCTTCAGTGCTCAAATCAAGAGTTCATTTGTTGCAAGGAATGGGGATCTGGACTCCAGGGAAAAGAATAGAGTTTTAGGAAGAGAGTTCTCCTAAAACTAAATGGAAGGAGGGTTCTTTGAGATACCAAGGATTTGCAGGACTTTATTTACAATGAAATGTTAGTTTCAGACAGCCCAGGAGGAATAGGTCTATTAAAGGAAAGCAAGAGTAGTTGGCCTAAGGAAACAACTTGCATTAGAGCCTGAGAGTGAGTATAGTAATGACCATGTGAGAGACCCATTTGACTCAAGTACTTCAAAGCATTGCCAGTGTTAGTCTTTGCTCCATAATCAAGTGGTGAAAACGTGAAATGTCTTTGAAGAGCATTTCCTGTAGGTGGCCTTTGAGGAGGTCCTGAAAATCCCAAACCTACAAGTATTAATGGCAAAGAATAAAATTTGTTTATGTAAAATACTTTTAAAAATCTTTCTAAATAGCAAGACATTATATATTATCATTGTTAAAAGATAAACGAATTGAGAAATAACATTAGAATTATATGCAGCAGATAAAATGGTCACTTCTTTTTTTATTTGAGACCGAGTCTCGCTCTGTCGCCAGGCTGGAGCACAGTGGCATGGTCTCGGCTCATTACAACCTCCAACTCCCTGGTTCAAGTGATTCTTCTGCCTCAGCCTCCCGAGTAGCTGGGATTACAGGCATGTGCCACCACCCCAGCCAATTTTTGTATTTTTAGTAGAGACGGGGTTTCACCATGTTGGACAGGATGGTCTCGATCTCCTGACCTTGTGATCTACCTGCTTCGGCCTCCCAAAGTGTTGGGATTACAGGCGTGAGCCACTGCACCCAGCCAAAAGGTCACTTTTTAAACTTAAAAATTATTAAGAAAACAGTGAAAACTTAATATTTAAAAGAGTGGAAGATAAGGAAAATTATTACACAGAAAAAGATAAACAACAGAGAAAGATAAATAGATTGCCAGTGAATATGTAAAAAGATGCTCAGCACCAGTGGTAGTTCAAATCCAAATAGCATTGAGTTAGCATTTTTTAACTAATAAATTGGCAAAACTTATATTTTGATAAAACCCAGTGTTGTTGACATCCCAAGAAAAAGGGCTATGCTCACACAGCCTTGGAGCAGGTGCACATTGATGATTTTTTTGGCGTAAAAATTAGTGGTTTCTATTAAAATCAGCAGTGTAATTCACAATCGCTAAGACATGGAATCAACCTAGGTGTCCATCAATGGTAGATTGGGTAAAGAAAATGTGTTACATATATGCCATGGAATACTTTGCAGCCATAAAAAAGAATAAAATTATGTCCTTTACAGCAACATGGATGCAACTCAACGCCATTATGCTAAGCGAATTAACACAGGAATAGAAAACCAAATACCACATATTCTCACTTATAAGCAGGAGCTAAACATTGAGTACACATGGACACAAAGATGGGAACAATAGAAACTGGGGACTACTCGAGGGTAGAAGGAGGGAGGGGGTAAAGGTTGAAAAACAACTACTATGCCTAGTACCTGGGTGATCGGATCAATCATGCAGCAAACCTCAGCATTACACAACATACCCATGTAACAAACCTGCACATGTACCCACTGTATCTAAAATCAAAAGTTGAAATTATAAAAAGTAAAAAAATAAAATCAACAATGTATATTTCTCTCAGACAGCAATCACTGTGATGTATTTGGGATAATACATGAATAAGGATGTTCATTGCAGTGTTGTCTGCAAGGGCAAAGTGAAAACAATCTGAATAACCATCAATATGACACAGAGTAAGTAATTACTGGTACGTCTGTACAATGCCTCATGCAGTCACCACTGACAGCATGGGAAAGAGAGACATCTATTATGAAATGACCACTAAGACATATGATTACATGACAAATGCAAAGTTCACGAATAAATAGTATGTATACTAGTATAGTGTACTTCTTTCTAAGAAAGAAACCATAACACATACAAGAATGGACAAGAAATTATTAACAATAGCTAACTTTGATGGTAAGACTGTAGGTAGTAAAAAGCCAGACCTTCGTTTCTCATTTTAAAACCAATGAGTTATTTAAATCTAACCCTACTGCATTCATTATCTTTATAATAAAATAAATATGTATAACAATGAAACATAGTTTTTAAGTATTTGGGATATAAATTAAACATTAATATATTACACCTCTTAAACTTTGTACTTTAGTATCCCAATTCTCTGTTAGAACTCTGAAAACTTCATCTTTCACAGTTTAGGTAATTCTTTGGTGTCTTATTTTGTTATTTTCTTGCCCTGAGATTAGCACTGTCAGATCTCCAAACTGCTAAGTTTTCCCTTTGGCAGATCAAATGCTTCTTCTTAAAAAAATTAATTTTTTAAAATGTATTTCGTAGGATTTTTGTGCTCTCTCTCCCTCTTTTTGTGCATATGTGTGTGTGTCTGATTAGTCTTTATTCTCTTAAAATAGTTAGTCCTGATAGACCTCTTTCTTCAAAATTTGTCTCAGTTCTTTGGCAGTTTGCTCTTAGCTTATAATTAAAGATCAATTTCTGACTTGTCTTGTTCTAGAAAACCTCAGTGGAAATTACAGAAAGCTGAATAGGATATTAATTAAAAACATAAACCTGGTGAAACCTGAACATAGAGGCTCCAATTCAAAGATGCTTCCAATAGTTGACATGGCCATTCATTCCTTAAAACCAGGTATTTTTCTTTCAAATTACATTACCTTTAATTCTGTAAATTGGATGTTATATAGTACCATGAAAACTGCTGTGAATAATTGTAATACTCATTGCTGAGTGATGTGACTTCTTCCTCAAGGCTATTTCTGAGGGAAATTGTACAATTAGATCTTTAGGTATTGTGACTTGTTTTGGAAATCATGGTGGCCCTCCAGGGAGCTAATGAATCTTTAAATATTTAGAGGTTCACATGAGACCCCTGACAGATATAAGCACATTAGCTCTGTAGTTAAGGGAACATTTAAAAACAGTAACATGAAATGTGTCAGACATAGAGGAAAGATGAAGAAGAAAGTAGAAGCTAATGCAAACAGAAAAGCTGCCAGCTCTCTATGGCACTCTATAGCTCTCTCTGTCAGTATTTGGTTGGCAATGTAGACATAGTGGATGAGTGCAATTACATATGTTAGGCTCATTCTGAAATGCAGGAGCCTTTTAAATTTTCATGTAGAAGCCTGACAAGCAAACTACATCTAGGATATACTTTGATAACTTTGAGTTGAGAGCTAAATTTTTTGAAGGTAAACCATCTCCCTGTTTTAAAGTAGTGTTTAAAATGATAAAAATCTTAATACGTCTGTAATATAAAATATTTAGATACAAATACTACAAATGCAAATGAATTTTTTTTTTTTTACTTCTGCATTCAACTTTTCTCTTCTCCCTTTAGGGAAAACACTTTTGTGTAAAGGCCTGCAAAATATATGTAGAGGTGTGTGTATGTTAAAAACATGTATACATATAATGCATAACCAAACAAATGAAATATCCTAAACATATGGACCTGAAAATTGCTTATAATAAATTTGGACTGAACATATGGGCATAAATGTGGTTCAGAAGTGTCCAGTTGAAGCAACTTCACTTTGTTAGGTCAACAAAAGTTGGGGACACCAAGATCTACTCCTCTGATTTTGTTCTAGCATTATCTTAATGGAAATGTTTACTGAAATGGAAATACCTGCAGTGGACATCGTGGTGGTACCTCAAGCATTCAGTGTTCCCTGATCTCACACACTCCTAACCAAATAATGAATTTCTCAGCTTCACAATGTTTAAGTGACATGAGTCCCATGCCCAATTCTTGGTCATTGTAATTGGTGCATGAAAGAGCATATGCCTTCTGCTAATCAAATCAGAATGAAGTACACCTTTTTCATTCCACGATTGAAGGGGGAAATGCCTTCTTTCCAAATGCAGCAGAGGAAGCACAAGGTACTAGGATTGGAAGTTGTCTACTCATGACATGATATTTTAAGCCATAGAATAAAACTGAGACCTAATGTCTTAGTCCTTTCAGATTGCTATACCAGAATATCACAGCCTGGATGGTTTATGAACAACATAAATTTATTTCTTACAGTTCTAGAGGCCAGGAAGTCCAAGATCTAGTTGTCAACAGATTCAGGGTCTAGTGAGGACTTGTTTCCTGTTTCATAGACCGCTGTCTTTTTGCTGTGTCCTCACATGGTGGAAGGGACAAGGAAGTTCTCTAAGGTCTCTTTTATAAGAGCAATAATCCCATTCATGAGGGCTCTGTCCTCATGACCTAATCACCCCCCGAAGACCCACTGCCAAATATCATCATCACACTAGGGATTAGATTTAAATATACAAATTTTGGGGGGATACATTCAATCTATACCACTTAAGGTAGAGTGAAGAAACAGGGAAGACAAGAAACATTTATTTTGTGTCATTATTGAACTTCTGCATTAAACTATCTTGAGCCTATACTATTGTTCAAAATCTATTATACAAGCCAGTTTGAATTTTGCTTTTTATTGTTTGCAACCAAAATTAACCTAATAAATTAAAATGTACTATAATGTTAGATCGTAATTTGTCTGTACTAGTAGTATTTGCTAGAGTGTTTAGGGGAATACTTGCTTGTTAACTTTTTAGTAAATATAACACTCCATGTTCAAATACATTTGGAAAATACTGAACATTTCACACTTTTAGAGACTCAAATCAGGCAGCACATTTTTAAAAAATAAAAATAAAACCAAATAGCATTGCATTTGGAGAATGGTATAAAAAAAGAGAATTTGATAAACTGGAGTTACCAGAACTCAGTGGATACTATGTGTTAGACATTATTATAAGCCATTAAACATTTTACAAGCTTGATACCTGAGTTAAAAATTAATAACCCAAAGACTCATTGGAAGAGAAAAGATGACATATTTTTTATTATATTAACGACATAAAAATATCATAGCAATTAACCTCATTATATACAACAAATGAATGAACATAAATAATATTAAATAACTATTACAAAGTCTCTCTGATTAAACGTAGAAATAAATAGGCACTGCTTTTGACCAATAAATGGAGGACATACATTATTTTCAAATACCAAACAAAAAGATTCTAAATGTAAAGGTTTTAGGCCCAAAATATGTTAGTCAATTCATGACAGCAGAAATTCAGCAGGTCATATTTTTGGGGTAATGTAAATGGCAGTAGAAATCATGGACTAAAGTGTAACAAACAAGAAATATCTAGGCAGGTGGAAATTTTATTAAGATGTTTTAAATTAACTTCTGGACTAGAGCAAAACTTCAAACTAAAATTCATCAGGGAGTCAGGGAGGGTCAAATGAAGAAGCATGGGGATTGAGGCAAAAACCCTGAATTATACCAATATTATCTTTTTTTTTTTTTTTTTTTTTTTTGGAGACAGGATCTTGCTCTGTTACCCAGGCTGGAGGGCAGTGGTGTGATCATAGTTCACTGCAACTGCGACCTCCTAGGCTCAAGGGATCCTCCCACCTCAGCCTCTTGAGTATCTGGGACTACAGACCCTCATCACCACCACACCCATCTAATTTATTTATTTTTTGTAGAGATGAGGTCTCACTTTGTTGCTCAGGCTGACCAGTATTATCTTAATGTTACAGAAAAAAAGTAATTCTGGCCATATATAGGTATTATTCTTTGCAGTGGAATGTCATTTCAGAAATTTGTGCCAAACATAAAATTAGTTTTCTAGTAGTAAAAAGTAATTAAACTTTATAAATTATTATTACCCCTAGTATACTGGGGAATGGGCGTGTGTTCCAAATGAAAAAACTTGGGATATCTAATGAGAGGCTGTTTTCTGTAGCAGAAAATCTATGTAAAATGTTTTTTCCCACGTGTACACTGTTGATATTTGAGACAGCACATGTTAACACTTCAAGAAGTAAAATAAATGTGTTGATTATATCCACAGTTTTCATATTTATTAACTATATATTTCATTTTTAATGTAATGCCTATTGAAAAACCTGTAAATAGTTGTTGCTTAAAATTGAAAAATACTGCCTAAGATTTTTCTATATATTTTCATATTTCACTTTTCCTGTGAGTTTAGAATGAACACTTTTAGCTAAGACATTTGGGCCTCCAAATACTAAACCTCTTAGAATGTTGGTTTATTATTTGGTTTTTACCTAAATTATTTTCTGCTTATTCAAGAACCTGAGGTCTATCCAGTTACATTTTTATTTTTTTATTTTGAAACAAATTCTCCCTCTGTTGCCAAGGCTGGAGTGCATTGGCATGATCTCGGCTCACTGCAACCTCTGCCTCCCAGGTTCAAGTTATTCTCCTGCCTCAGCCTCCTGAGTAGCTGGGATTACAGGGGCATACCACCACGCCCAGCTAATTTTTGTATTTTTAGTAGAGATGGGGTTTCACCATGCTGGCCAGGCTGGTCTCAAACTCCTGACTTCAGGTGATCTGCCCGCCTCAGGATCCCAAAGTGCTGGGATTATAGGCATGAGCCACCATGCCTGGCTGTATCCAGTTACATTTTTAAGACTAGCCAGGCTTAATATATCTTTGGTCTTTAGCGCAATTCAATTTGTTGAATTTTGTCCATTGTACTTCATGTGACACAGAATATATCTTAATTTAAAAAGACATATGTTTGTTGAGCTATCTGTTACATTTGTATATCTTGGAATTTTAAAAAATATAAACCACAGAAGCCAATTATGGCTGACATTAACAATAAATAGGTTTACCACAGAAATAGTGGGGAACTTGTAGAACTGTTGAGAAGGCTAGAAAGCCAGATCAAAGCTAGGCAGCCAGGAAATGTACCCCAAACCATGCTGTAGAACTCATCCAGGGAGGAAACCACTGTCACCACCAGTAAGAAGTAACGCTGAAGCTGCAGAGAGCAACAGTTGCAGCAATTGCTCAATCCTAGGCTAACTGCAAAGCCACCAGCACCACTCCCACTTGTTCCCTATGCAACAGATATTGTAGCAGCTGCTACATGGCCTCCACCAGAAACAAGAGAAAGCATAACTGAATCTGCTTCTTTTTTTATTAATTCCAAAGTCGAAATTCAGCACTGGCAAACAGATTGGCAAAACCTAAATCATATGCTTGTAGCCTAGCTGCAAAGGAGGCTGAGAAAGCAAGCATTTGGCATTTTAGCTTCTAAAGCAGGAGGTGGTTTCTTGTTTTCGTCAAAACTGATAGGCTGAGGAATTCCTCAAACACAGAAACAAACATCAAATAATAAATATGCATGCTTTAACTTGTTCAATATCAATATAAACTTTCCCTTTTGAAAGTAAACACAAAAGACCCAAGCTACCTTCTAACAGAGTGCAACTATTTCTCTAATAATTGAACATGTACCTACAATCTCTTGAACAATGAAACAATAAAAAATTCTCAATCACAGCATGTACTCTGAGTCTAAGAATTCTGGGTTATGTCCATTCCTTACGAAGTTCTCCACTATACTCTCTTGACATTCTGCCACATATCATTTAAAAATTAAGTTAATCACCCTCAATAAGCCCTGTTTTAAAAAGAGGGATAAATGAAGAGGAAAGAAGGAAACTTGTTAAGATACATAAGTATGCACAGGACAATACAAGAGAAACAATGTGTTTGGATGTCAAGGCTCTCCCTTCTGCAAGTGGCCATCAGGTCACTGTTGGCATCTACAGCCATGTGCCCTCAGCTAACACCTCTGCTAGTCAGGGTTTTACCTTGTGAGATGACCCAATATTCATTCCTGACAGAGAAATGTCCTCGATAATCTATTTGTGTGAGCGTGCTATGGTCATTGTTAATTTCTTTCATTTAAAAAAATAATAGACTTTATTTTTTGAGCTGTTTTAGCTTTACGGAAAGATCGAGCAGAAAGTACAGAGTTCTCACATACTCTCACCTTCATCCCACCCCCAGTTTACATTAGGGTTCACTCTTTGTGTGGTACAGGCCTATGAGTTTTGCAAAATGCATAATGTCATGTACCCATCATTACATTATTACCAAACTATGTTCAATCCCCTAAAAATCGCCTGTTTCAGAACTATTTATCTCCCTACCCATCCCCAAACCCCTGGCAACCACTGATCTTTTTTTTTTTGTTGTTGTTACTTGGTTTTTATTTCATAATCATAAACTTAACTCAACTCTGCAATCCAGCTAGTACGGAAGGGAACAAGGGAAACATGGAACCCAAAGGGAACTGCAGCAAGAGCACAAAGATTCTAGGATATTGCAAGCAAATGTGGTGGAGGGGTGCTCTCCTGAGCTACATAAGGAATGGGTCTGGTGGTTAAAATAAAACACAAGTCAAACTCATTAGAATTGTCCACAGTCAGCAATAGTGATCTTCTTGCTGGTCTTGCCATTCCTGTACCCAAAGTGCTCCATGGCTTCCACAATATTCATGTGTTCTTTCACCTTGCCAAAGGCCACATGCTTGCCATCCAAACACTCAGTCTTGGCAGTGCAGATGAAAAACTGGGAACCATTTGTGTTGGGTCCAGCATTTGCCATGGACAAGATGCCAGAACCTGTATGCTTTCGGATGAGGTTCTCATCATGAAATTTCTCCACCAGTGCCATTATGGTGTGTGAAGTCACCACCCCGACACATAAACCTTGGAATAATTCTGTGAAAGCAGGAACCCTTATAACAAAATCCTTTCTCTCCAGTGCTCAGAGCATGAAACTTTTCTGCTGTCTTTGGAATCTTGTCTGCAAACAGTTTGATGGAGATGCGGCCCGAGGGCTTGGCGTCGACGGCGATGTCAAAAAACACGATGGGTTTGACCATGGCTGATAGTACAGGGCTCCCAGCGACGGTGGCATCTGCAAAGATAACCACTGATCTTTTTACTGTCTTTATAGTTTGGCCTTTTGCAGAATGTCATATAGTTGAAATCACAGTATGTACCCTTTTCAGACTGGCTTCTTTCACTTAGCAAAATATATTTGTTTTTTCTGTATCTTTTTGTGGCTTGATAGTTTTTTCCTTTTAGCACTGAATAATATTCCACTGTATGAATATACCACAGTTTGCTTATGTAATCACCTATTGAAGGACATCTTGGTTGCTTCCAAGTTTTGGCAATTAGTCTTCATTAATTTTTTCTTTTTTTTTTTTTTTTTTTTGAGACAGAGTCTTGCTCTGTCACCCAGGCTGGAGTGAAGTGGCATGATCTCAGCTCACTGCAACCTCCGCCTCCCAGGTTCAAGTCATTCTCTTCCTCAGCCTCTGGAGTAGCTGGAATTACAGGTGTGCACCACCACGCCTGGCTAGTCTTCATGAATATTTATAGGACTGTATAGAATTAAGAGCCATCAAAGGGGATCCCTGAATTCTTTCTGTTTTTCTTACAAATACCAGTTTTAAGGTCAAGATTTACTACCCCATGCAACAGTGTGCCACATTTTAAATTTTAAATTTTTGACTGTTTGTCTAAAGGTCTCAGGCAACCTAAAAGGCCAGTTAGAAGTCTTTCATCCTCTAACAAAGGATGGATCGTAAAATGAAATACTGTTGAGACTCTCCCCTTGGGTACTAATTCTGCAAAAACCTAGAATCTCAGAGACAAGAGACAAATATTTGGAGTGGATCATTAGATGTAATGACAAAAGGAGTCACTTCAACATTCATAACAAAGATCAAAGATTGTTGTATTTTTTATATGGGAGACACCAGACAAGCTTATACTTAGTTACTAGTTCAGAGGATACACCACCACATCCTCTGGCATGAGTACAACCTTATAAGCCATTGTCTCCAGCTGGCACTGTGATTGAGTCTTTAATAAAATATTCGCCATTCTATAATAATAATAATTTTGGTTAGTGATAGGATAAATGGTGGACCAGGTGAGTGCAGTGAATATCTACTCATTTGTTATACAACAAGTTCTTTGAATAGAAGGATGTAGAACAGGATATTATGGCAGTATGTATAAAGCATTCAATGTACCCACGGAGAGTGGTGATCAGAGAAACATGATGTCAGGTCAAGCAAATGTAATTCAAGGATATAAAGCTAGATTCCATTTACAACATTCCTTGTTGCCTTTATCATAGAGGAGCTCCAGTAAAATCAACAAGTCTGACAAAAGGTGACTGTTTTTTTCACCCAGGATATGTTATTTTGTGCTTAGCCTTGGTCCTTGTTGCTTGTGTGTTGGACACCTAATAGTCTTGACAGCTAAATAGGCTTTGGTAAGGGACAGTGGTAAAGTCCAACATGTTGCTAAACCTATATGTATTCTCTACTGCTACCACCAATGTTGCTGTTTATTAGCCTTCTGAGCAAGCAATGTAGTGCCTGGTGAAAGAAGTTGTTTCATACCTTCATATTTATTTGATAACCTTCCTGATGATAGTTTGGTGAGTATTCATATTAAGCACAAATATTCTTACACTCTGGCTCATTTTCTGTAGTTCATCTACGTATTTTTCCCCAAAACTCATTGTCACCAATCCTTCAATCTTTGTCCTTCCAAGTCCCTAATTATCTTTTTTTTTTTTTTTTTGAGACGGAGTTTCGCTTTGTTGCCCAGGCTGGAGTGCAGTGGTGCAATCTTGGCTCACTGCAACTTCTGCCTCCTGGATTCAAGAGATTCTCCCGCCTCAGCCTCTCGAGTAGCTGGGACTACAGGCACACACCACCACACCTGGCTAATTTTTGTATTTTTAGTAAAGATGGAGTTTCACCATGTTAGCCAGGCTGGTTTCGAACTCCTGACCTCAGACAATCCGCCTGTCTTGTCCTCCCAAAGTTCTGGGATTACAAGTGTGAGCCACCAGTCCTGGCCCCAAGTCCCTAATTACCTAGACAAATTTTTAGCTGCCACATATAAATCAGTAATATCTCTCCTTCTAGACATCGTGGACAACTGATTACATAGGCTGAATTTCTTTTAAAATTGCATTCAAGTAGGTTATAATGCCTAAGCAATCTACTTTTGGCTGTTGCTGTGATGTTGTACAGCGACTTCTGTAAATCAGGCTCAATTTTTCCCTCACTAATCAACTGGCCATAGAGAAATTCCCATGAAGACATAGGTATAGATTCTATTATTCCTACCTGCGGATGAAGCAGGATAGTTAACTGGAAAACACTTATTTCATGATAAGCAGCTCATGTTGTCATATTTTTTTGCATTGGTAAGACTTCAGTTTCTACAATGGTCCAGGATCAATCAAGAATTCTTTAAAGAAAACATTTATTTTGTCAAAGAAAGAAGCATTTTGTTCCAAATCCTAAGAACCATAGTAGTGGTGTGTCAGAGGCTCTATTGCATCTGGATATAAAAACAAAGGGGCACAATATTCCTGACCAGTTGGGAATTATTATCTTGATCTCAATCCCATCAAAAGATGGCAGCATGACAAGTCATAAAGTAAAAGGACCAGGTGATAAAATGAGGTCTCCAAAATCCAATGCATCAAAGTTCTCAATTAGTGGTCAGGACTGCAACGTGCCATAATTTTTCACTTTGGAAGGTATACCTTGAGTATATTGAGTGTATGAGGCAAGTTAAAAGGTCATGCAGCTGAGCGCGGTGGCTCACGCTTGTAATCCCAGAACTTAGGGAAGCTGAGGCGGGCGGATCATGAGGTCAGGAGTTCAAGACCAGCTTGGCCAACATGATGAAACCCCGTCTCTACTAAAAATACAAAAATTAGTGGGGCATGGTGGCGCCCTCCGGTAGTCCCAGCTACTTGGGAGGCTGAGGCAGCAGAATCGCTTGAACCTTGAAGGCGGAGGTTGCAGTGAGCTAAGTTGGCACCACTGCATCCAGCCTGAGTGACGCAGTGAGACTCTGTCTCTTAAAAAGAATTAAAAAATAAAAATAAAAATCTTAAAAGTTTGTGATAAACACCTCTGTTAGCCTCTGATCTTTATAATAATTATCACACACACACAAACCAAACACCACACATAGAGGAAACAGTAAAAGATTAAAGGACACAGCTAAAAATACATTTGTATTGTTACTTCCCAAAGTTCTAAAATTATGAGAAGGGACTAGTGAATCTTTAAAAAATATTGATTATCCAACACTTTGTAATAATGACTGTAATTGCATTGAAGGCTACTGAACATGCACATATTCCTAAAATTTTTCTGTTATGGTATCTGGTTTGCGAAAGGAACAAAATTAAACACAGTTCCTTGGCAATTTTTCTCTCTTCCACTCTACTCATTGGCATATGTGCCACATGTGTTTATTGTAAAATAGGAATAAGATTCAGAGGTCAAGAATCAAAGTGAGTCAGAGTAGGAAAAGCCAGACTCAAGCGGAACAGAAGGGCAGCAAACCCCAAAATTAAAGGGTAAATTTAAACACAAGTAGAAGTGGTTCAAAAGCTAAGGGGATCCTCATAGTTCATGAAAAACAAGTATTCACGCAGGTAACAGACTCTAATCTGCTGCAAGCCAATGTGCTATTCTCTTCATGTTATTTATATCCCTCAGAATACCTCAAAGTTCCCGAGAGCAGTCAGTATTTAACTCTAAACTATATCATATATATGATATATTTATTATATATAATATATATATATTTATTATTATTTTTTTTGAGATGGAGTTTTGCTCTTGTTGCCCAGGTTGGAGTGCAATGGCACTATTTCAGCTCACCACAACCTCTGCCTCCCGGGCTCAAGTGATTCTCTTGCCTCAGTGTCCTGAGTAGCTGGGATTACAGGCATGTGCCACCACGCCTGGTTAATTTTGTATTTTTAATAGAGACGGGGTTTCTCCATGTTGGTCAGGCTGGTCTGGAACACCCATCCTCAGGAGATCCACCTGCCTCGGCCTCCCAAAGTGCTGGGATTATAGGTGTGAGCCAACGTGCCCAGCCAACTATATCATATTTTAATTGTGTAGTGATAACCCTCATCAAAAGAAGTATTCATTATGGTCAGTGTACTCTGCTTACTTACCACTGAAGCTTAACACAAAATTGTTGAAATAAACATGCATATTGAAGTACTCAGCTAGCTATTGAGGCAATACAGGTTTCTAGATTTACTCATTTTTTTTCACTGTACACAAATGTCATGTGTGTCATGATAAACCCATGTGTGTGCATATATTGATTAAATATTATATTTCTTTTTACTTTTATTACTATTATTGAGAAAGGGTCTCACTCTGTCGCCCAGGCTGGAGTGCAGTGGCACGATCTCAGCTGACTGCAGCCTTGTCCTCCGAAAGCCCTAGACCCTATAACATAACAGAATATGTATGTTTCTAATTTGTGCAATATTGAAGCAGGAATACTAGATAGTACTGTCATCTTTTCCTATTGCATTTATTTTGGTGTGGAAAAATATAATAATTGGCTTCAATCACTAAGTCTATTTCATTCAAGAATATTTAAATATAATCCAAACCATCTTAAGTACATTTTGTGATACAAGAGGATGGTATCTTCTATTTGGAAATATAAAATCCCAGGGTCTCACAGTTTAAGTATACTTTCCAGGGGTATGTGTAAAACAAGAATCCCACTTTACAAAATTAATAGAAAAAATATGCTAATTGGAAGGAGAGGCTACTGATTGAGGATAAAGTGGAAATTTTCACATACTGCTAATTACACTTCAATGGAGTAAGAAAAAAAGAACTGGAAATAGTACCCTATAAAACTTCTGAAATGAAATTACAGTTTGTCTCTCTCTCTCTGTTTCTTTTTTTTTTCTTGAGATGGAGTTTCACTCTTGTTGCCCAGGCGGGAGTGCAATGGTGCTATCTGAGCACACTGCAACCTTCGCCTCCCGGGTTTAAGTGATTCTTTTGCCTCAGCCTCCCAAGTAGCTGGGATTACAGGCATGCACCACCATGCCCAGCTAATTTTTTGTATTTTTAGTGACCCACCACGCCTGGCTGTCTCCTCTTTTTAGAATTAGGAGAACTGATTTTTTTCAATGCTAAACTGGCACTGTACTATGTTTTCAAGAAAGCAATATGGTGAAATGAAAGAAGCTGGATAGCATGTTTTGTTAGCTGGTGTCGAGTTCTTTAAGTTCCATGAGCCTATTGTGTCCTCTCTACATCTCAAAAAGAAGAGAGAAGAAACCTGCATCTAATTACTGAAGCAGTTTCATTCAGCAAATGTAATTGCATCACAGGCACATCTCAAATTAGAAATCTTGATCTTGGTCTCTGTCATTTCCATTTTAAACTGGGACTGAATAACCTGTTTTGCCACTCAAAATAATAGCCAGTGTCTCTTTCTTATTAAAAAATGTGATCTTTTGCTTGATTACCTAATTATGTCACCTGCACCTTACATGAGGCAGATAGAAGAGTCTTCCAGTCTGCCAGAGCAGATCTACCAAACTAGACTGCACATACAAATTACCTGGGGATCCTGATAAATTGCAGATTCTGAGTCTGCTTTCAAACAAGTCCTCAAGTCATGCTGATGGTATTGGTCCCAGGATCCTCCATTGAGTAGCAAGTTCTTAGAATTAAAAAGTGGGCAAGTATAAGGCTGGGTGCAGTGGCTCACGCCTGTAATCCCAGCACTTTGGGAGGCCAAGGCGGGTGGATCACCTGAGGTCAGGAGTTCGAGACCAGCCTGCCCAACATGGTGAAACCCCGTCTCTACTAAAAATACAAAAAATTAGCCAGGTGTGGTGGCACACACCTATAATCCCAGCTACTCAGAAAGCTGAGGCAGAAGAATTGCTTGAACCTGGTAGGTGGAGGTTGCAGTGAGCCAAGATCACGCCATTGCACTCCAGCCTGGGCAACAACAGCAAAACTCCATTAAAAAAAAAAAAAGGCAAGTTTATAAACATGGAAACGTGGACAATTGTAAGCAATATTAGAGAACTGTAGAAAACAATTTTTTACGTGATATGTTTAACCTATTTACAATAAAACCCATTAGGGTCCTAGGAATTTCTGGAACTGCTTTACTTGTGAGAAACATGATCCTAAGATGCCCATTTGTTTATCAGTACATCAATTTTCTCCTTCTTAAATTGGTATAATTATTTTCTTCCAAGAAGCCTAGCACACTTTTGTTGCTGTCATTGAAAGAGGGCATATAAGGGTTATGGCTGCTATTTGGAGAAATGCATTAGAAAATAAAAAGCTTGAAAAAGTCATATTACTGAGAAAAATATTGAATGAAAATAAGAAAGATTAAACTGAAATAAATAATGAGTCAGTAAGGTATGCACTGTTAAACACTTGATGAGATTTCCCAAGTATTGACATGCTGATAACTTGAAATAATGGGAGAAAAGGTCAATCTGAATTCTTAAAATGTTGAAGGCTGGGAATAAGAAGTAATATATCACAGAATCTGATAGTAAAATTTTTATTTATTTTATGGGAGAAGAATGGGAGACTAACAGACAATAGGAATAGGAAAGAATTAATAGAAATAGCAAAAAGAAGTGTATCTGCAATTAGTAATATAATACAAGAGGAAATTGTGTAGAGATATTTAAAGAAAGATTGATGAAATTTAGATTTATGGAGAAATATCCTAATAAAGACATTATTTATAATCAACTGTTCATAATTATTATATAATTCTGGCAGTTTTTAGCATATAAATGTAAGGCAGAATGATCTAATATAAAATGTATAAATGGGACAACATATAATTCTGCTTAGGAAATTGAATAAATAAAGTAGTGATTTAGGATTTGCATTAATATAAAAAAATTTAAAAAATGGTTTACATTTTGTTTGAAAAGGATGATAAATAGGAAAAGAGCAATTTAGTACATTGGTCACCAAAGAAATACAAATTGAAACAATAAGATGCCTTCTCACATCTTTGCCAGATTTGTAGGTACAAAAACAGTGGTAGTTGTATTGGTTGGAGAACAGAAAGACGACACTTTCATATGCGGCTGATTAGAGCACACATTGGTATCATTATTTCTGAGATGCAATTTGAAAATATATACCATCAGCCTCAAAGATGATTATGACCATGTTTCACTACTTTCTTGGAAATCATTATTAATGCATGTATAGATTGATATTTACTGTAGTATTACTTAATATAGTGAGTTGAGTACAACCTTCACTCCCAAAAAACATGAGGTAGGGGTGAATTAGTTAAATATACAATCACAACGAGTTATAACAAAATGCATTTACTTAAAATCACACTTATAAGACTATTAATGGCAATAAACATGATTTGATATAATGTTTTAAAAAATTAGGGGAATTCTATTCCTAGCGTTGTGGTAGACTAGATTTGCTGAATCACTATCCTGCTATATAAAATCTGCAAATACCAGATAAAATGTACATGTCATTTTTCAAAAGTATATTACTGACTTGAATAGAAATTAAGGTGAACCACATAGGCCAAGCATAAGGAGAATACATAAATCCAGAGAGGTATGCAGACCCCCAAACCAGAGGCTTCCATAAGGACAGTCCTGGCCCTAGTACCCTGAGCTTCAATTTTTATGACCACCTGGAATATGGGAAAGTGTGAGACAAAACCTAGTGCCTGCCCAGTATAACAGTCTTACAGGAGAAAACTCCTGAAAGCCAGAGATACGAAGGACTATAATTTCAGTGAAAGGATAAACTAGATAAAAACCTGTTCCTCAGGGGGAGACAACCAGGAAATTTTCCTGCCTCAAACTCGGTGCTATTTAGAGGAAAAATTACAAGGCCATCTTCACATGAATTTGTGGTTTAAATTTTCACTGTAAGTGTAATTAAAAAAAAAAACCCGCACATCAAACTGATAATTTATTTTATCATTATCCCATGTTGGTATTACCTCCAAACACAAGACGAAGGCAAAGTGTCTTTGGAGAAACCCACATTCACCCCACGTCTCAAAGAATGGCCACAGGTAAAATTTCATCCAAAATGAGAAAAAACTAAGACTCTTAGAAAACTCATGAGGAAATAAACATCATGAGCAGAAAGAGAATTATGCCCATAAAGATTTCAGATATTAGAATGATTATATTACTATAAAAGCTATGTTTAATATGTTTAAAAAATCAATGAGGTGTGCCAGGAATATAAATTGAGACAGTGTGTGTATCTTATATTAAGCAGATTGAAACTGAATTTAAGAGATCTTTTAGAAATAAAAAATATAATGAAAATTAAAAACTAAATGGACAGGTTAAACACAATATTGGATAGAACCAAAAAGAAAATAAGTGAGTTGGAAGTTAGACTAAAAAAATTATGCTGAAGACAGTACAGAGGAGGAAAGGAAAATTGATATGTGAAATAGAGGTTGAAAAATTAGAGTATCTAATCAGATCTGCAAAAGAAAAATTGAATTGGGGAAAGGTTATATTTAAGGTTATATTTAATATCTGAGGGGTTTTCATCATTGGAATTTATTCATGTTCAAGGAAACCTGGAAAGTTTTCTAACACATTAAAGAGCTTTAATTATAAGTTCCAAATTCTTCTTAGAAGAAGAGAACCAGCAGGCCCAGACATTTTTACTGGTGAGTTCTATCAAATATTTTCAAGAAATGGATTATTTCCATTTTATAAGAACAACTCCAGAATAAAAAAAGGTCCATTTGTTAGTTCATTTTATGAGGCCAATACAATCTTGATACCAATGTTATACGAGAAATGTGTAAGACAGGAAGATTAGACGCCAACTTTCCTCATGAACCTAATGGCAAACATTTTAAATTAAAAGTTATAAAATTAAGTTTAGAAACCTATAAAAAAGATAATATAGTATGAAAATTGTGTTTATTCCATGAATGCAAGGATTTCTAACAATAGAAAAAAATCTATGTATAATTCATCACATTAACAAGTTAAAGGAGGAAAAGCAAATCATCATTGTAGGAGAGGCAAAAAGTGAATTCAATAAAATAAAAATTTAACTTTGACAAATCTTGCTTAACAAACAAGAAATAGAAGAGCTTTCAGTGTTTGCTTATAAATCAGAAACTATTCTTGGACTTTCAAGCAGAGTTGATTTAATACAGGTGACTGATTACACAAGTGATGGAAGCCAAATCAGGCTTGGTGAGTCAGCAGCTCAAGAGCAAGAAACCAGTACTGCCCCTAGGACTAGAACGATAATGGGAGAAGGTGCTGTTACCAGAGCCAAGAGGCCAGAACTTCAGGCAGGTTGCTAGAGATAATGGGAATTGGGTCCATAGCGGGAGGGGCTATCTGGTGGGAAGTAGCCCTACAGAGAAGAGGCAGGCTTTTACGGCATCTCTCACTGGATAGCTTACTGGGAAAATGGAGGGCAAAGGAGACTGGAAAATAAATGTTATTTTCCTGAAACATAGAACAGAGTTGGAGAGTAATTTGGGAGGGATGTGGGGGCAAATTTATCAGGACCCAAGACATGATTAAAGCAGGCAGGGAGAAGAGATGCTGGTCAAAGCAGGTGGACTTTGCTGATATTTCAAAGTCCTAGTTTTAAAACTTGGAGGTAGATACATTATTATCTTATTACTAATCAGATATTTTATACATATTTAATATATTTATATATTAAATATTTATACTTCAAAACTTCTACAAACACTGTAATCTCATTATTGTTTTCTATACTATTATATACAATATACAAATACAGAAATATAGAAATGTACCTCAGTTTGAAAGAGAATTTGAATATGAGGCAAAAAGATACCCCAAAATTATAGTTACATTACAAGAACTGAATTTAAGAAGGAAGAAGCAAATTGCAAGAGATAAGACCAAGCCTCTTTATTAATGATCGTTCTAAATCCAAGTGGTATAAATTTAGGGATGCACATCTGGATCGCAATGCAACTAAGAAAGCTTGTGTGTCAATAACCATATTTATCCTATGTGAAGAAATGATAGTTTCATAGGAGAAGGTTAATTGGCATGGAGTCTGTAAAAGAGAAGTTTGGATAGATGATTGAGCTATATATTTGTCAAATAATATCTAAAGGTAAAAAGAAATCTAGTTCACAGAGGCGAATCTCTGATTTTTAAATTTGCATTAACAGAAATAACATTGGAAGGGAGTATAGTAAGATTTTAATAGTGACTGTTTCTGCCAATGGTTTCTGTTTTATTGTTTACTATTTTCGGTATATTTCCAATGTTTCTTAAGAAGTGTTTATTATTTAAAAAATGAGAAAACAGCAATGAGTAATTCAGTAAAATAAAATGTTTCAAAATTGTGACTGCTATGATTATGAGCCAATTATGAAAGAAAGAGACACAGATAGAAATAGGGTGACCAATCTTTCAACTTAGGAATGAAGGATTTTCTGGATGGGGAATTTTTGTTGCTAAAATCAGGATAGTAGGGGACATATTGGGACTGTGGGAAAACCCTACAGGGATTTATTTCCTAACTATGAATTTCTATCTTGGTCTAGAGACATGACTGTTCTCATAAATAGGTAGAGTAGATGTGGTATCTCTGGAATGAGATTTAAAATCTTTACATAGCTTGCCCTATTAAAAGTAGACACATGCTTGTGAGAGAATATCATATGCTTTTGAAAGCTAATGTCTTAACTAATTCGCTGCGATCAAAGCTCTTGAAGACTGTGATGTAACAGAGATTCTTAGGTATCAGTGAAGATATGGAGATGAAAAAAGGGAAGTTGAAAAAAGAAGCTGAGAGATAAGCATGGAAATCATTTTCCAACCTCATTTTTCCAATCTCCATTTTCCTGTATTGAGAAGTGAAAATATGTTTTCTAGAGATAAAGTTCTAGAAATGAACTCTGACATAGATATTTTAAAACCAATTTCAGAAACAAAATAATATGTGCACCTAGAGTTGTAATTTATGTCCTTTTGTCTGTCTTTATCCTGTAGTTAAGTTTCCCTTGGGATCCCTTAGGGAAAATGGAGTAGTACATTTGACAAGGCAGGACTTCAATTTTCTCTCTCCTTTTCCTTCTTTCTTTCTTTCTTTTCTTTTTTTTTCTTTCTTTCTTTCTTTCTTTCTTTCTTTCTTTCTTTCTTTTCTTTCTTTCTTTTTCTCTCTTCTTTCTCTTTTTCTTCTTCTTTCTCTTTTTTCTTTCTTTCTTTTTTCTTTCTTCCTTTCCTTCCTTCCTTTTTCTTTTCTTTCCTTCTTTCTCTCTTTCTTTGTTCCTCTCTCTTGTTTTCTCTTCTCTCTCTTTCTTTCCCTTTCTTTCTTTCTTTCTTTCTTTCTTTCTTTCTTTCTTTCTTTCTTCTTTCTTTCTTTCTTTCTTTCTTTCTTCTTTCTCTCTTTCTCTCTCTCTCCCTCCCTCCCTTCCTTCCTTCCTTCCTTCCTTCCTTCCTTCCTTCCTCTTCTTCCTTTCTCCTTTTTTTTTTTTGAGATGATCTCGCTTTGTCACCCAGGCTAGAGTGCAGTGATGTGATCATAGCTTAATGCAGCCTCTCTCTCCTGGGCTCAAGCAATCCTCCCACCTCAGCTTCCAGAGTACCTGGGGCTACAGGTGCGTGCCACCATGCCCAGCTAAAGGATTTGAATTTTCTTACATATCTTGGCCCCATAGAGTGGTTCTAAACCTTGGCTGCACATGTTTATTACCTGAGAAAAGTTTAAAATAACCTAATGCTCAGGTCACACCCTAGACTTTAGGGGTGGGACAAGCATTAATATTTTTTAACTCTCTTAGAATTAAGACCCACTAATGTTTTAGCACTGCAATTCCTATAAAGAGTACAGATGTGAGTAGATTTGTTACAGTATTGTTGTATTCATCTGTTTTCATGCTGCTGATAAAGACATACCTGAGACTGGGCAATTTACAAAAGAAAGAGGTTTAATGGACGTACAATTCCACATGGGTGGGGAGGCCTTACAATCATGGTGGAGGACAAAGAGGAGCAAGTTACATCTTACATGGATGGCAGCAGGCAAAGAGAGAGCTTGTGCAGGGAAGCTTCCATTTTAAAAATGATCAGATCTCATGAGACTTACTCACTAACACAAGAACAGCACAGGAAAGACCCATCCTCATGATTCAATTATCTCCCACTGGGCCCCTCCCACAACATGTGGGAATTATGGGAGCTACAAGATGAGATTGGGTGTGGACACAGAGCCAAACCATTCAATTGTCATCACTCAAGGCAGATGAGCATATAGAAATCTATCAGTTGTAAGGAATTGGACTACGTTTAAGAGAATAATAATTAAGTTAGAAGAAATGTTTGGTCCTGCTTAAGGGCTAGGATAGATGAGGCACAATAGAATCATGTGGTGAGCTTTAAAAATGCCCAGGCCCTACTCTGTGTCAATTAAATCAGAATCCAAAATCTCTGCTTGAGTGTGTCTAGTGTATTGGTAAAAGAAAACAGTGATTTTGATATGCAGCCAGTTAAGAGCTGGTATCCTCAAGGATCATGATGTGACACAGCTGTTTCAGAAGGGTCAATCTCCATACTCACACTTTAGAAGAGAAGAAAAGGCAAAATGACAAAACAATCAAGCAAAAGGGCTGGAAGAGCTGGTAGATAACAGGGTGTCAACTTGAATTAATTCAGCTATTTGGTAAAGATTAGCTGGAGTAAAATTTTACTTAAAGAAATTCCAGTTAGTCAAATGGGATGAACATCCTTTTATGGAAACGATATCACGCTTTTTGAATGATCTGAGAAAGACTGGAAGCATTAGAGGTGAAGTATATCCATTTGCTCGATGGGAAAAGATTTTGTTTTATTTAATTTACATAATGTGATATGCTTGGCCACCTGGAGTAGTGCCTGAAAGGGGATGTAAAATGGAAAATGTAGTCAGTGAGACTGATTAATAACCATGGACAGAAAAATAGGCCAAGTGGAAAAACTTATTCACATAATTGTTTCATTTTGCTGACTGCAAAAGGATTTGTTTTGGAAGTGATTTCTGCTATTTAACCTAGTGGATTGATAGATCACAGAAAGGTCTTAGAAATTACATTATGTAATTTTGTTCATAACATGAAATTAGCTTGAATCAAAAAATGTATACCATGTTTTGTATCTACCTTCTAAGACATTTGTCTTGAGAAATTAATGATTCTACAACATAAACAGTCATTGTGAAAGGAAGTAAACAGATAACAGAGGGCTTTCATAATAATCATGGACTCAAGATTATCAAATTTTAAAAAGACATACCTCATTTTCCTTTATTTAAACATAAAACAAATGAGAGGAAACAGAAATAGCTCATAATTTTATTTATCTGATAAAACATGCTGACATAAAATATAATTCATGCACCCAGTAAGAAAATCAAAAAATTAAATAAAGGTAAAAATGAAATATAAAATTCTCCTTCCTCTAGTTTCTTACCCCCAGACATCTAGAATCTCTCCTTAAGATAATCACTGTTGACAATTTCTTGAGTATCTTTTTAAAAATGACCTTAATACACATCCCCCACATAGAATATAGATCTTAAACAAGTTAGAAAATAAAATTTTATCTTTTAGTATTACACAAAATGATGTTCAGAACTACGCTTTGTATTTTTTTTTTTTCTAGAGACGAGGTCTCACTGTGTTGTCCAGGTTGGTCTCAGACTTCTGGGCTCAAGCAATCCTCCCGCCTCAGTCTACAAAAGTGTTGGGATTACAAGCATGAGATAAAGTCTCGCCTGGCCTAGGCTTTCTATTTTTGTTTACTAATTTACCTTCAAGATATTCTTACTTTTAAAAACTGTATTGTGTAAATATATTTTTTATTTAAACAATAGGCTACGAATAACATTAATAACATATCTTGGTTTATGTATTTTACAAGATTCTCCATGTGATAAATTCCAACCCGCGAAGTTGCTATAGAGCATATGAATTTAACATTTTTTAATTGCTGTGACCTAATATGATCCTAAAACATGGCCCTAGTTTATATTCCTATGAGAATGTCTAATACCTACAATCTTGCTAACATTGACTGCTATTGCATTTTAAAGACTCATTACTTTGATTGGATTGATGTTGAACATCTTCTGTTAATCCTGGCCATTTGCATTTCTTTTTCTACCTATTAATCTCCCTATGTATAGTATTGCATTATTTGTCTTTTTTGTCTCATCGATCGACAAAGATTAAAGTTATTGGCAGTAGGGAAAATGGAGAAAAAAATCAAAATTCAAATACCGTACAGTACGACATTTTGGAGAATAATTTGATTCTATATATTGAAGTTTAAATTGTTTTTAATCTTTGACCCAGTTATTCTATTTCTAGTAATTTTTCTACCCGAATAATAATACAGGAAAAAAACCTTTTAGAGAATATTCTTATGTTTGTGATACAATATTTACAGGCAACATAAATTCTCATCCAGAGATCAGAGTAAATATTATATAGTATATCTGTAGAATGAAATGTACCTTGCTGTTTAAATGAATAAATTAGTTATTATCATAAAATAAATGTCATGTAAAGACATTTATTTTGTGATATATACAATTAGAAAAACAAGTTATTAAAAATAACATGATTTTTTGTAAAATGTTTTTATTTTGTTTTTAATTGACATAATAATTGCACGTGTTTATGGGGTGCAGTGTGATGTTTTAGTGCATGTGTACATTGCATAATGATCAAATTTAAAAATTAATTGTATTGATAGGAAAAGTGTTTGGATATTTGTATACCTAAATGCTAACAGTGATGATCTCTGGAATGTGGAACTGCTGGTAGTTTTTCCCTTTTTCTTTTAGATATTTTTGTACTTATTTTTAATAATAAACATATACTAATTTTATAATAAAAATAACAATGAAGTCCTTTCCATTTTGAAAAATTAATTCCAATAGAAAAATATTGTACTCGAGCCACTTTCCAGGGTTTTCTTATTCTTAGTGCTGGTATAAGGTACCAGTGATATTATATTTTCAGATACATTTGGCTTTTCTGCCTTATGGTTGAAGATGAGCTTAGGAAGTTTTGCTGCCTAATTTTTGGGCGTTTGAGCCAATGCTTGGTGCACAAAAAGCACCACATCAACTTTAAAGAGAATATTCTGCTTCGTTAGACTGTATTCCCTACTTTTTATAGTATTTATTAGCACCAGAACTCTGTGACTGTTTCCCAAAGAACAAGAGAGAAAGATAAAGGAAAGTGAGAAGCAACAAAACTAGATTTAATTAATACTCTGGCTTGTCAGCAGCTTTCATGAAAGATTTGTTTGTTGAAGAAGTTGAACCTATCAGCTTAAACAGGGATTAACTCTGCCAACTCTGACAGAGCATGGACAATTAAGAGTTTATTGGAAATTAATTGAAAATAATACAGTGTTGTGAGATGGGAGGAAGATGATTTAAAGGAAATTATGCCAAGTGTTTTGAATCAGCCAAGGATAAACAAATGCAGACTATCATTTGATGGAGGTATTTTAAACTGATAACATGATTCGAAGTATAAGAATGGCAAATTGTGAAGAATGAATAAAATTACAGAGATAAATAGCAAAAATGTGAAACTAAAATAAAGAGGAACAGTGAGTAAATGGGGTTAGCTGAGAATATGGTTTAACAGGGCATACTGTATTCATTTATGAAGAAATTTCAATCCTCAAAATGCTACTCGTCTTAGTCTGTGTAGGCTACTGTAACAAAATACCATAAGCTGAGTAACTTATAAACAACAGAAATTTCTTACAGTTATGCAGGCTGGGAAGTCCAATATCAAGGCACATTTATCATCTGGGGTGAGGTCCACCCTTCTGGCTCATAGATGGCAACTTCCTGCTATATCCCCATACTTTGGAAGGGGCCAATGAGCTCTCTGGGATCTCTTTTATAAGGGCACAAATCCCATTCACGAGAATCTTGTCCTCATGACCTAATCACCTCCCCAAGGCTCTACCTCCTAACACGAATACCCTGGGGGTTAGGATTTCAATATACAAATTCGGGGGGACATAAACATTCAGTCTGTGACACTGCCATTTCGTCAGTAAGAATTTTCATGAACTCACTATTAAGATTTATGTTTATGTTTTTTATGCTGATGTTCTCACTTTATAATATTGTTTGTCTGCATAGTTTAAAGAAAAGGACAATGCCCAGTTAGAATAGGAGGTGTCTTTTGTTGGCCAGCAAAATATTTTAAGACACCTTGAGTGTAAATACATAAAGATCATTAAGGTAATATCATTTTGTTCTTGTTCTAGATCCACATGTTTCACTCAAGATCCCAGAGAGAAAACGTATGAAAACACATTAGAAGACAATAAACATCCTTACAATGCTAGCCAATGTTTATTATTGCTTTCTATGTGTGAGGAATTGTGTTAAGCACTTAAAAAGATGTCATCACTCATAATTATCATAACACCTGAAGAAGTAGGTGGTGTGATTTTCTCCAATTTAGATATTATAGGAACTGAAACAACTTGCCCACTAAACAGGCAATTGAAAGAGATAGGATTTCTATAGAAAATTCCCAGATCCACAGGTAGTGTTCCTATTCACATCATCAGTGTTCCCTTAGTGGTTTTGATATTACACCTAATACTATTTACTACACAATTAAAGCATCCACCCTATCATGGGATTTACTCTCAAGAATAGAGCACTGAGCGTGATAAATAGTATCCACTTTGGAATGCATGTTTCTATCCAGCTACTTAATATGATATAAGTTCATTGGACATTAAGGCCAGATTTCTTGACATGCTTTACCCTCAAATTAACAAGTTTGGCTCATTCAATTGTGGACCTTTAACCCTTAGGCCAGATAGTATATGAGTCCTAGAGTAGTGGAAAAAGGTAACTGAATTTACAAAATTTGACTCATCAAATTCTGTAATAATTCAATATATTGAGGAAACTTTAGGTGCATAGTAAAATTATAATTTCATATTGTTGCACAGACTCAGGCAGATGAAAGAGACTCCAATAGTGCTCATGTAGCACCCAGACAGTCAGTTGATCGTCTCTGTGCTGAAAGGATTTAAGAGTGAAGAATTTGCTCCAATGTATTTTTCAATATCTCATTGTTTTAAAATAATATTTGAAATAATACCTAGGAATCCAACTTACAAGGGATGTGAAGGACCTCTTCAAGGAGAAATACAAACCACTGCTCAAGGAAATGAAAGAGGACACAAACAAATGGAAGAACATTCCATGCTCATGGATAGGAAGAATCAATATCATGAAAATGGCCATACTGCCCAAGGTAATTTATAGATTCAATGCCATCCCCATGAAGCTACCAATGACTTTCTTCACAGAATTAGAAAAAACTACTTTAAAGTTCATATGGAACCAAAAAAAGAGCCTGCACTGCCAAGTCAATCCTAAGCAAAAAGAACAAAGCTGGAGGCATCATGTTACCTGACTTCAAACTATACTACAAGGCTACAGTAACCAAAACAGCATTGTACTGGTACCAAAACAGAGATATAGATCAATGGAACAGAACAGAGACCTCAGAAATAATACCACACATCTACAACCATCTGATCTTTGACAAACCTGACAAAAACAAGCAATGGGGAAAGGATTCCCTATTTAATAAATGGTGCTGGGAAAACTGGCTAGCCATATGTAGAAAGCTGAAACTGGATCTTACACCTTATACAAAAATTCATTCAAGATGGATTAAAGACTTGAATGTTAGACCTAAAACCATAAAAACCCTAGAAGAAAACCTAGGCAATACCATTCAGGACATAGGCATGGGCAAGGACTTCATATCTAAAACACCAAAAGCAATGGCAACTAAAGCCAAAATTGACAAATGGGATCTAATTAAACTAAAGAGCTTCTGCACAGCAAAAGAAACTACCATCAGAGTGAACATGCAACCTACAGAATGGGAGAAAATGTTTGCAATCTACTCATCCGACAAAGGGCTAATATCCGGAATCTACAAAGAACTCCAACAAATTTACAAGAAAAAAGCAAACAACCCCATCAAAATGTGGGCGAAGGATATGAACAGACACTTCTCAAAAGAAGACATCTGTGCAGCCAAAAAACACATGAAAAAATGCTCATCATCACTGGCCATCAGAGAAATGCAAATCAAAACCACAATGAGATACCATCTCACACCACTTAGAATGGCGATCATTAAAAAGTCAGGAAACAACAGGTGCTGGAGAGGATGTGGAGAAATAAGAACACTTTTACACTGTTGGTGGGACTGTAAACTAGTTCAACCATTGTGGAAGACAGTGTGGCGATTCCTCAAGGATCTAGAACTAGAAATACCATTTGACCTAGCCATCCCATTACTGGGTATATACCTAAAGGATTATTCATCATGCTGCTATAAAGACACATGCACACATATGTTTATTGCAGCACTATTCCCAATAGCAAAGACTTGGAACCAACCCAAATGTCCATCAATGATAGACTGGATTAAGAAAATGTGGCACATATACACCATGGAATACCATGCAGCCATAAAAAATGATGAGTTCATGTCCTTTGTAGGGACATGGATGAAGCTGGAAACCATCATTCTCAGGAAACTATTGCAAGGACAAAAAACCAAACACCGCATGTTCTCACTCATAGGTGGGAATTGAACAATGAGAACACATGGGCACAGGAAAGGGAACATCACACACTGGGGCCTGTTGTGGGGTCGGAGGCTGGGGGAGGGATAGCATTAGGAGATATACCTAATGTAAATGATGAGTTAATGGGTGCAGCACACCAGCATGGCACATGTATGAATATGTAACAAACCTGCACGTTGTGCACATGTACCCTAGAACTTAAAGTATGATAAAAAACAATTTAAAATATTCTGCAGGCACAGTGACTGTTTTGGCTTCTCTTAATTTACAAGGACCTTTGTCTTATAAGACTCTTTTTTTTAAGAGATGGGAATCTTGCTATGTTGTCCACTCTGGAGTGCAGTGGCTATTCACAGGCTTGATCATTGCATACTACAGTCTTGAACTCCTGGACTCAAGTCTCCCAGTGGCTGGGACTACAGGTGAGTGCCTACCACACCTGGCCTGATTTACAGATTTTTGACATCTATTATAGTTAAATGTATTTTCAGCATTTGCATATTAAAGGAATAATATTGATGCTTAACTTCATTAGTGATCAGGGAATTTCAAACTTAAAAAAATATTTTTTCATCCCTTATAGTATATTTAAAAATTCATTGCTGATAAGGATTCAGGGATGCCAACATTGTACATTGGTAGTGAGAATGTAAATTGGAAACTTTATGTAATCTGGCAGTATTTTTTTAAAAATCCTTTTGAACTTGCAGTTCTACTTTTGGGACTTGAATTTGTGGAAAGTAAAGCACCCGCGGGAAAGAATATTGTTGCCCCTTGAACAACATAGGGTTAGGGGAGCTGGCCTCCCACACAGTGAAAAATCCGCATACAACTTTTGACTCCGCCCAAACTATGAATAACCTATTGTTGACCAGAAGGCTTATTGATAACGTGTTACATTTAAGATATATTTTGCATGTTATGTGTATTATATACTGTATTCTTACAATAAACTAAGCTACAGAAAAGAAATCATAATCAAGAAAATTGTAAGGAAGAGAAAAATATATGACCCATTCATTAAGTGGAAGTGGATCATCCTAAAGGTCTTCATTATTGTTGTCTTCATGTTGAGTAGGCAGAGGAGGAGGAGGAGCTGGTCCTTCTGTCTTAGGGTAGCAGAAGTGGAAGAGGGGGACGGGATGGAAGGGGAAGCAGAAAAGGCAAGCACACTTGGTGAAACTTTACAAAAATACATCATTATTTCTGTCTATTTTGCTTTTTCATTTCTCTAAAAACATTTCGGTGTAGTACCCATCCGTCTTCCACCATTTGCCTTAGTTTTAGTTCCTGTATCATGGAAGGGTCTATGTCATAAAAGAAGTCAAAAGTAGTCTTGAATAATCAAAACCCTTTTGCCAGATTGTTGAATGCCAATTTGTTTTCTGGCACTGCTTTTCCTATGTCTTCTTCCTCATTATCTGGCACTGGTTAGGAAGTACTCATCTCCATCAAGTCATCTTTTGTTAATTCCTCTGGTGTGGTGTCTATTAGCTCTTAACTTCCTCTGAGATCCATATCTTGCAACCCTTCACTCCACACCTTTTTTTCCCTTCATATCCATACTTCTTTCCAGGGTTTTTTCTTAATTGGGTTTGTCATAATTCTGTAGTTATGCACAACATCTGGACACAAATTGTACTTCTGTCCAGCGGGAACTTATTGTTTTGAGTTTCATGGTTTTCATGACTTTTTCTATATCACCTGATGACATCTTCAAAGGTGTAAGCCTTCCAGACTTCCATGATGTTCTCTCTATTGGAGTTCTCTTTTGTAGTGTTGACAAACCTTTCCATAGAGTGCCATGTGCAGAGCCTTAAAGGTCCTTGTGACTCCCTTATCTAGAGGCTGAATTAGAGATGTGTTTGGGGGAAAAGGAGACCACTTCGGTGCCTTTGGTGTTGGACTCACGGGGTTCTGGGTGGCCAGGGGGCATTTTCCAATTAAACAACAACAAAAAAAATACTTTAAAAAGCAGTCCCTTACTGTCAAGGTACTTCTGACTTCAGGGACAAAGCGCTGATGGAACCAATCCAGAAAAAGCATTCTCATAGTCCAGGCCTTCTTGTTGTACAACCAAAAGACTGGAAACTAGTGTTTCTCTTTTCCCTCTCAAGACTCAGGGGATAGCAGCTTTATAGTTAAGGGCAGCCCTGATCATAAACCCGACTACATTTGCACAAAGCAGTAGAGTTAGCCTATCCCTTCCTGCCTTAAATCTTGGTGCTTGCTTCTCCTCCTTATGAATAAATGTCCTTTGGGGCTTCCCCCTCCCCCCCACCCCAGAATAGGGCACTTTCAGCTGCATTAATACCTGTTCAGGCAGATATCCTTTCTCCTCAATGTTTTTCTTAATGGCATTTGAGAATTCACTTGCTGGCTCTTGGTTGGCAGAAGTTGCTACTCCCATTATCCTGACATTTTTAAAACCAAACCACTTTCTAAAATTATCAAATCATCCTTTGCTGGCATTAAATTCTCCAGCTTTAGATCTTTCACCTTCCTTTTACTTTAAGTTGTCAAATAATGACTTCGCTATTTCTTGAATCAAATAAGAGTCTATAGGTATGTCTTTCTTATAGCAATTCTGTACCCACATAAAAGCTGCATTTTGAACATGAGATAAGAAAAGACAAGGTTTTCATGTCTGTTGGCATGAAATGAGGGCCTTATGAATTTCCCCCCCTTTTTTTAAGGGACCTTACACTGTATTCATTTATTTTGAAATGGCAGGCAGCTGCAGACCTCAATCTATAGGAAGCAATCTAACTTTTTCTCATAATGTCACAACTTTTCTCTGCTTCTTGGGAGCACTCCGAGCATCACTTGTGGCACTTTGTATTGGTCTCATGGTGTTATTCAAGATTTATAGTATTACACTAAGCACAATGAAAAGAGAACTGTGAGAGAACACACTATTTACTTAGATACAGAATTTACTGAAGAGACCAAGTGTTCATGGCAGATACTGGCAACAGGAGCTCACCACAGTAGCAACAGGGGGTGGCTACAAAATTATTATAATAGTACATACACTGGAAAGTAGACATTGAAGAATATTCCAAAAGATGCCAGGGTTGGAGGGGAGTGAGGGTTGAAAAATTATTATTGGGTACGATGTTCACTATTGGGGTGATGAGTACAGTAAAATCTCAGAGTTCACCACTAGCAATATATCCAAATAACAAAACAACCACATAATAAAAGTACGCTTGTACCTAGCACATTTATAAAAATAAAATAAAAATAATTATTCTGGTAGTACAGTATGTGCTACAGTTAATTGTATGCAGTTGTGGTTTAATACAGCATCTTTATGTTTGTTTATGTTTCTCTTGACTGCAAATGGTGACTTGTACGGTTTGTGTGCATACATTTTGATAAGTTTTAACTTTTTGTAATAGATTTGTGTATATTTTATAGTAATAAATGATAAAATAGATTAATATATACATATACTTTATGCATTCATGATGTACATAGCTTTTTCTTAATTTTTTTTTATATTTCTAGGCTATGCAGTTAGTCTGCTAGTTTTTTCAATTGCAATTCTCCAAAACTTTTTCTGATATATTTATTTTTTAAAAAAATATGAGTGTAAGCAGACCTGCACAGTTTAAACCCATGTTGTTCCAAGGTCAACTAAAAAATCTGAAATCTGAAATGCTTCAAAATTGGAAACATTTTGAGCACTGATATGATGCCACAGGTGAAAAATTTCACATATGACCTTATATGACTGGTGACAGCCAAAAGACAGTCAAAATTTTGTTTCTTACACAAAATTTTACAAATGCATAAAATTACCTTCAGGCTACATGTACACTGTATGTAGGGAACGTAAAGAAATTTAGACTTGGGTCTCATTCCTATCACATTATGATATGAAAATATTTCATAATCTGAAAAAATCCAAAATTTACACAATTTTTGGTCCCAAGCATTTCAATATAAGGGATACCGTACTCCAGAATGTTAGAATGTTTATGGCAACTTTGTTTGTAGTACAGGGGGAAAAAAACCATGATGAGTCTCCATCAGTAAAAAGATAGTTTAAAAACTTGTAGAATTTAGTCTTATACATATATTTACACATGCATATATGCACACGTATTATTTTTCTCTATATAGAGAAATTGTGCATTCATTTAAAGTGATATTTCCTCTTTTTGTTAATTGACTTGGAGAAATGTTCATACTGTATTGATAAGTTGGAAAATCAGTTTGTTTACATGAGGTAAAGTGGAAAAGTTAAACTACATTATAAAGTATATTATAGGCTTTTCAAAGGGCAAAAAAGTGTCACCTGAGATGAGGCAATGAAGTGCTCATGGCCATTCATCCCTGTTTTACAACAATAGAAAGAAAAGTTTGGAAAATGATGGATTTCTCAATAAAATTTCAAGGAAGTAGAAATAAATATGTTACTGTACTAATGTACTCATGTCTTCCTAAGAGAAATGGAACTCCAAATTTTTAGAATTTTTGAATAGGAATGACAGAGGAAAGAAAACAGAAGACTAGTGACTCCAGCATTGTCTGAAGCTGAGGACTGGGCTGTGGGTAACCCACAGGTGATATTACTTTAGCCTGAATAATCCAGACCTTATGATGTTTTGGCCTCTGTGTCCAATACTCTTGTAGATTTCTTGTCAGGCCACAATTCTTTGAGTGAGAGTAATTTTTTTTAGTAGGCAAAAATCCCTTGAAAGATCAATCCAGGGACATTTATAATAAGATAAGATTAGAAGGTAGACTTTAGGCTAGGGTTAGGGTTGGGAAAATCAAAACACATTGTTCTCTTTAGAGTGAGAAATTGGTTTATCCCAAACTTTGAAGGATAATATAACCTATAACCCTCTGGTTATGGGAAAGAAGAGACCTACATGTGGCCATCTTGGGAGCAGGGCAGAGAGCAGGCTGGAAGACCTTCTAGGATGGATATGGACTTGTAAAATGCAGTAGTTACAACATTTTCTCAGGGTTACATTTATCTTCCATCATTCCTGAACACTCATGTCATCATGAAATTAGAAGAGCTGATCCAATCCTATTGATAAGGAAAGAGAATCTCCTTTCCCCAAAGCGAGAGAGGTGGTAGCAGCAATAATCAGGTAATGGCCCAGAAGATGGGTGATCATACATATGGCTTGTGTGAGGCTTATGGAAGATAAAACAACCAAAATATTTCAGAAATGTTTATATGTTGTTTACAGTTCTACCACTACAAAGCCTTCTAGAATGTGAGACAGAATGGTGTGATGATTATTCTTAGTATAACCAGATCAAGTAAGATTTCACAGGTGGAGTTAAGAATTAAGAATTTTTTTTTTTTTTTTTTTTTTTTTAGTATTTATTGATCATTCTTGGGTGTTTCTCAGAGAGGGGGATGTGGCAGGGTCATAGGATAATAGTGGAGAGAAGGTCAGCAGATAAACACATGGACAAAGGTCTCTGGTTTTCCTAGGCAGAGGTCCCTGCAGCCTTCGGCCATGTTTGTGTCCATGGGTACTTGACATTAGGGAGTGGTGATGACTCTTAATGAGCATGCTGCCTTCAAGCATCTGTTTAACAAAGCACATCTTGCACTGCCCTTAATCCATTTAACCCTGAGTTGACACAGCACATGTTTCAGAGAGCAGGGGGTTGGGGGTAAGGTTGTAGATTAACAGCATCCCAAGGCAGAAGAATTTTTCTTAGTACAGAACAAAATGGAGTCTCCTATGTCTACTTCTTTCTACACAGACACAGTAACAATCTGATCTCTCTTTCTTTGCCCCACATTTCCCCCTTTTCTCTTCCACAAAACCACCATCGTCATCATGGCCCGTTCTTGATGGTCGCTGTCTCTTCGGAGCTGTTGGGTACACTTCCCAGATGGGGCGGCCGGGCAGAGGTGCTCTTCACTTCCCAGACGGGGCGGCCGGGCAGAGGCGCCCCTCAATTCCCAGACGGGGCGGCCGGGCAGAGGCGCTCCTCACTTCCCAGACGGGGTGGCCGGGAGAGGCGCTCCTCACTTCCCAGATGGGGCGGCCTGGCAGAGGCGCTCCTCACTTCCCAGATGGGGCGGCCGGGCAGAGGCGCTCCTCACTTCCCAGACGGGGTGGCCGAGAGAGGCGCTCCTCACTTCCCAGATGGGGCGGCCGGGCAGAGGCGCACTTCACTTCCCAGACGAGGTGGCAGCTGGGCAGAGGTGCTCCTCACCTCCCAGATGATGGGCGGCTGGGCACAGGCGCTCCCCACCTCCCAGACTGGGTGGCCGGGCAGAGGCGCTTTTCACATCCCAGATGGGGTGGCCGGGCATAGATGCCCCTCGCCTCCCAGATGGGGTGGCCGGACAGAGGCGCCCACTTCCCAGACGGGGTGGCCGGGCAGAGGCGCTCCCCACCTCCCAGACGAAGGGTACCCGGGCAGAGGCGCCCTTCACTTCCCAGGCCGGGCAGCCAGGCAGAGATGCCCCTCACCTCCCAGACGGGGCAGCGGCTGGGCAGAGGCGCCCACTTCCCAGACGGGGCGGGGCAGTGGCGCTTCCCACCTCCCAGAGGAAGGGTGGCCAGGCAGAGATGCTCCCCACTTCCCAGACGGGGTGGCAGCCAGGCAGAGGCTGTAATCTTAGCACTTTGGGAGGCCAAGGCAGGCAGCTGGAAGGTGGAGGTTGCAGCCAGCCGAGATTAGGCCACTGCACTCCAGCCTGGGCAACACTGAGCATTGAGTGAGCGAGACTCCGTCTGCAATCCCAGCACCCTGGGAGGTTGAGGCGGGCAGACCACTCGAGGTCAGGAGCTGGAGACCAGCCCGGTCAACAGGGTGAAACCCCGTCTCCTCCAAAAATACAGAAACCAGTCAGGCGTGGCGGCGTGCACCAGCAATCCCAGGCACTCCGCAGGCCGAGGCAGGAGAACAATGGGAACCCGGGGCAGGGAGGCTGCAGCGAGCCGAGACCACGGCAGTACAGTCCAGCCTTGGCAATGGAGGGAGACCGAAGAAAGGGGAGAAGAGAGGGAGAGGGAGAGGGAGAGGGAGAGGGAAGAATTTTTGATTCAAGAGTCTCATTCACCCTCTTCCTTCTTTGTTAACAGTTCTGTTAGGATCTGCCTTTAATTTGTCTTTTCCTTTAGGGCACTCAAAACAATACAAGGATTAAATGCCTTTCTATTGCCAAAGTTCTCTCCTTATTTGCCAGTTCTTTTTTTCATGTCCCAATCATAATCTTAATATCATTGATCACTCAAGCAACTAACCCTGAAGACTGCCCAGTCGCAGGAGCCAATACATCTTTTTATGTTTAAACTCAATCACTTCAAATGTTGATCTTACCTTGTATAATAGAAATCAGTCTTAGAGACTGTGGTGGGATGAGATAGCATTGTGGGTAATCTGGCTCAGCTATGGCTGAGTGGAAGAAACTTGCATCAGTTATTTATGATTAATACAGAGTATCCTAGATCGTAGTTGTAGACTGAATACAGACATTCAGCTCCCTCCCCCACTGAGCTCTCATAACAATGCAGGGACTGGAAAGAATGTCAGCATATGGGATGGGAGAATGAGAAGACGGGAGCTTCTTGGGCAGATATTACATAGCGAGGAAGCAGTGGATGAGAACATTCAGTGAGAGACCACAATGGAAGCAGAGAGTCTATCTGACCAGTGGAGGCAGAGACTCCAGGCTCAGAACCTTTGGTACAAAGAGTAACTACAGCAAATGGGCAAAGAAGAGATAGTGAATTTGGAGGTTATGTGCTTCCTTCTGACACATGAAAAAACTTCTGAAGCTTTTTGTGGGTGCAAAATGAAATAAAAATCTTTCCCCATTGGTATGAAAATAAGTTAATTAGCCTTAACAATGGTTTGTTTTTGTGTTACTAGTTTCCAGTTGTGGCTGTTTCTCTCAGTTTCTCTCTGTTTTGGTTTGTTTGTTTGTTTGTTGTTGTTGTTTTCCTTCTCTTAGGAAACTTTGGCAGATAATTGGGCACATAAATTGGTCATTTTTTAAACACTCTAGGTTAATGATTCTCATAGTCCCTAGACATCGGTATCAGTATTACCTGGCAACTTGTTAGATAAACAATTTCTCAAATTTTACCTACTGAGTCATATACTGCCAAGTGAGCCAAGGAATCTGTTTAATTAGGCTTTGCAGGTGGTTCTGATGCACACTCAAGTTGAAACACTGCTGAAGCCATAACTATTGGAGACAGTCTTGCATAGCTTGAAAAATGGAGAGCTCTAACTTTTGATAGGGCTTTGCTTTGTTTGTCTTAAGAAAGCATTAATGAGAATACCTTTGTGTTCGTTTGAAGTTCTGTGTACTTCTGAAAACTCTAAAGGTTTTCAAGCGTTTAAATTTCTCTAGCCCTTTTCTCAAACAAACCAGAAACTCCAAAAGAGGAAAATCTCATAGAAATATAAAAATGAGTTGAAATAAGTTGTGAGGAATATTCTATACATCAACAGTAAAGTATTACTCAACCTCAAAAATGACGTCTCTACCATAATCTATATTCTGACTGGATAAGGACTATAAACAAATAGAATATGAAAGTCTATAATAAAGCAGGGAGAAAATCATCACTGGCTCCGAATTTGATAATGACTTCTTGTTGTATGTATGTAAATATCTTCTGAACAAATTATTATACATTTTCTTATCTCTGGAGAAAATTAATGAATTAGGTTAAACAATTTCTTAAGTTTAATGGAGCTTCTGTTTTCCTTGGCTTATCTATATAAGCACAGGTAACTTGCTGAACTGCAGCTCAGAGGAAAAAAATTATAGAGAGGTTTAGTTCTGAGGTGAATTAATGGACTTTGTTGCTATGTCAGAAGACGAGAAGCAGGGGAAGGCAGGCGGGTAGGAGAATTGCATAACGCAAAGGACTTCTGTGCTTCAGAACAAAATTGAAGGTTTTTAAAAATTTGATTGAAATAAAGTTCAGTAATATTTTTAATCATGGGAAATCCTTGGATAAATGTATACGGCTTGATAATTTTGGTTTAAATTAATTATGTTTTTTCTCTGATTTTATCACAATATTTTCTGGTTTATAAAATATTTTAACTTATCAGAGCTTTCTAGATGTCCCCTACTGGATTTGTGGCTCAACTGAGTTGAATTATTAAACTAGTATTTTTTAAAACATTTGTTCATGTAACTTGAGATAGGGTTACAAATAATTATACCGTATAGGTAAAACAACACATACCCTACCTGGAAAAAAATTCAAATTTCATATCTAACACAATTTTAATGTAAATTTTTATATTTTAGTATAAATTCTCTGCAGTGTGTCAGTTTAAAATGAATTTTACTATGCTAGTTAGCTCTATGAAGTTGGCTAATATTTCATTGAAATAATTAGTGAAAAATCTTTGGATAGTCTCACAAAATTTTTAACATATCTTTGCTGCATATTTTTACACATTATAGAGTGGCTATCAAGTAGGACAATGAACAGTATGTAAAAGTACCCTTAGTTCTGATTAATGCACATGTTCTTTTATACTACTTTAAGAAATTAAGTCAGTTTGAGTATTTAGAAAAGTGCATGCAATATAATTAATGTGTTTTTGCTTATCAAGGCAAAGAAAGTAATTTTGTCTAAAAGGCAAATTGTACAGTTTTGCTAGAATATAAAACTGAATTTTAAAATACAAATTTAAGGGCATACAATAATTGTAGAATATCTGAGGGAAGTAAACTTCATTTGCTATAGTTTATAATACCTGCAAATAATGAGCTTAAATGAGCAATAAAATGTTTATAATTTTTTGGACTAACTTTACTCAATATTAATTAGTTTGGGCATAAAACATAAAAGAACTTTTGAGTCTTTTAGCGCAATTTATTAAATGAATGGTCTAAAAAAAGTCATATTAGTATTTGGGTTACCTTTTGATAAAATGATAAATCAATCTCCATATATTAGTCTTTTTTTTTTTTTTTGAGATGAAGTCTCACTCTTGTCCCTCAGGCTGGAGTGCAATGGTGCCACCTTGGCTCACTGCAACCTCTGCCTCCTGGGTTCCAGTGATTCTCCTGCCTCAGCCTCCTGAGTAGCTGGGATTACAGGTATCTGCCACCATGCCTGGCTAATTTTTGTATTTTTAGTAGAAATGGGATTTCACCATGTTGGCCAGGCTGGTCTCGAACTCCTGACCTCAGGTGATCCACCTGCCTCGGCCTCCCAAAGTGTTGGGATTACAGGTGTGAGCCACCACTCCCAGCCATATATTAGTTTTTTAGCAAAAATTTGACACTTGTATTCTCCACAGTGTCCTACTGGATTAGATATAGCTCTCCCGTACTAAATTGTTTCTCACCCACAACAATATTGCCATCACGGAGAAAAAAGATTTATAGTAGTTTACTTTGTACTCCTAGAAATCCTTTCAAGAAGTCTTAAAATGAATAAATACATATTTAAATGATAAACATTTATTTTTGTGAAAAAATAGTTAAGTTTCCCTGTGAGTCAGGTTTACCACATGAGTGATGAACCAGCTTTAATTAACAATATAACCATTCTCGTCTGTCACTGTAGGCTGTTCTAAAAAAAGAAAAAAGTTTACAAAAGCCTTAATTACCTCATGCTATTTGGGGAGAATTAAGCAATGAATGGAATGTTGCATTTAACAGGTTACAGAACATTTTTCTGTGTCCAGCATATAATTAACTACTGATTTTTAGACTGGTTTGGCACAATATAGATTTTCTGCCATTGAATAGAAACTAAAAAATTTGAAAGTCAGAAAATTATTTCCCAGGTTCTGAAATATATCAACAAAGATATTTTTAATTGACTATGTATGATTATTGATTTGAGATTTAATATACCTTGTCTATGAGAATTCTTTGTAACACTTCTGCAGTGTAATTTGTTACATAATGAAAATTCATTTTTCATAATAGAGAGTTACCAGAAGTCATCTTGTCTTTCTTGCTCCCAGCAAGTAGCTCTATTTCTTGGCCACGTTGAGGAATCAAAATCTAATGTAATCCTTCTAAATAGAATAGAGAACACCTAGAGTCACTGCTCCTATGACAAATCTTTGGATAACAACTCTCATGTGCATAAGACATTTTCTGATCTCCTCTGTACTTGAACTTGTAAAGAACTTTGGACATTAGAGTCAGAAAGTCTGCTATTCCTACAAAGACAAAAGGGAAAGCCTCTAAATTCCCTGAGTAGTGGGGATAATTAGCTTTCGCACTCATCTGCTGACCCCTGATTATCAGAAGACATTTTTATCTCTTTGGCATGCCCCATCACCTGCTGTCTGTCTCCAAGAGACCTGTAGATCAGAGCAGGCATTGTAAGGCAGGGACAGTTCCTGAAATTTCCAATTAACTGATGATGGGAAAGCTCAGAAACACAAACCCTAGGGAGTGGCTGCCTGGTACTGCTAATACCCCTGTTGAAAACAGGGGCACCTGGGCTACAAACAAACTCAAGACTTTGGAAGAAGGTGCAATAACATAATTCTGCCTTTCACATGTGAGCTTCCAATTTCCCTTGTGGCTATGAGCCACAAGGGCCCAAATTCAGTGGGAGGGTGGTTCAGGTCTACCATGACAATCTAGGATGGAGGAGACAGATGTCAGTTACCGGGAGCCCAGATTCTTGCCCTTTAGAAACATGTGCTGTTGCAGAGAGGAACCCACTACAGCTGGGATCCTGGACTGACACAGGGAGCAGGTAGTCCCTCCAGGGTCACCTGATTGATAGCAGGCCCTTCACATCTGCAGCCCCCACCTGTGACACTCTTTTTGATACCATATTCCCCAAATTTAACCCTCAAATTCAAAATAGTAAAACTACTGAGATGTTATTTATGAATACAATATCTCTGGGTTTCTCAGATGGCTACTGGGAAACTCCAAAGATCCTCCTCCTAGCTCTTAACAAGAAGATATATTAGACATAAATATAATGTTTTGCATTCTCCAGATATTTAATTTGCTCAAAACTATGCTCAATACAGTGGAAGCTGCTGTGTTTTTCAAGGCCATATTCTGAGAAAATAGCAATAAAATCATCTTAAATTAATTAAATGCAATAATTATGTATGATTATTGTGGCTATGTTACAATAATTGTGCACTTCTCAGGTTGGATTGAGGCATATTTATGTTCATGTGCAAAGACTGGTGCAATAAATGTCAACCAATTGATTAAAAAAAGTAAACTTGATAGATGCGAACCAAGATGGCTGAATAGGAATGGATCCAGTCTACAACTCCCAGCGTGAGAGATGCAGAAGACAGGTGATTTCTGCATTTCCAACTGAGGTACCGGGTTCATCTAACTAGGGAGTGCCGGATAGTGGGTGCAGGACAATGGATGCAGCACACTGTGTGTGAGCCGAAGCAGGGCAAGGCATCGCCTCACCCGGGAAGCGCAAGGGGTCAGGGAATTCCCTTTCCTAGCCAAAGAAAGGGGTGACAGACAGCACCTGGAAAATCGGGTCACTCCCACCCTAATACTGAGCTTTTCCAATGGGGTTAACAAACAGCACACCACGAGATTATATACCGCACCTGGCTCGGAGGGTCCTATGCCACGGAGACTTGCTCATTGCTAGCACAGCAGTCCGAGATCAAACTGCAAGGTGGCAGGGAGGCTGGGGGAGGGGCACCCGCCATTGCTCAGGCTTGAGTAGGTAAACAAAGCGGCCAGGAAGTTCAAACTGGGTGGAGCCCAACACAGCTCAAGGAGGCCTGCCTGCCTCTCTAGGCTCCACCTCTGTAGGCTCCACCTCTGGGGGCAGGGCACAGACAAACAAAAGACAGCAATAACCTCTGCAGACTTAAATGTCCCTGTCTGACAGCTTTGAAGAGAGTAGTGGTGCTCCCAGCATGCAGCTTGAGATCTGAGAACAGGCAGACTGCCTCCACAGGTGGGTCCCTGACTCCTGAGTAGCCTAACTGGGAGGTGCCTCCCAGTAGGGGCGGACTGACACCTCACATGGCCGGGTACTCCTCTGAGACAAAACTTCCAGAGGAACAATCAGGCAGCAGCATTTGCGGTCCACCAATATCCTCTGTTCTGCAGCCACTGCTGCTGATACCCAGGAAAACAGGGTCTGGAGTGGACCTCCAGCAAACTCCAACAGACCTGCAGCTGAGGGTCCTGTCTGTTAAAAGGAAAACTAACAAACAGAAAGGACATCCACACTAAAAACCCATCTGTACATCACCATCATCAAAGACCAAAGGTAGATAAAACCACAAAGATGGGGGAAAAACAGAGCAGAAAAACTGGAAACTCTAAAAATCAGAGCGCCTCTCCTTCTCCAAAGGAACGCAGCTCCTCACCAGCAACGGAACAAAGCTGGACGGAGAATGACTCTGAGGAGTTGAGAGAGGAAGGCTTCAGAAGATCGAACTACTCCAAGCTAAAGGAGGAAGTTTGAACCAATGGCAAAGAAGTTAAAAGCTTTGAAAAAAAATTAGACAAATGGATAACTGGAATAACCAATGCAGAGAAGTCCTTAAAGGACCTGATGTTGCTGAAAACCACGGCATGAGAACTATGTGACAAATGCACAAGCCTCAGTAACCAATGCGATCAACGGGAAGAAAGGGTATCAGCGATGGAAGATCAAATGAATGAAATGAAGTGTGAAGAGAAGTTTAGAGAAAAAAGAATAAAAAGAAATGAACAAAGCCTCCAAGAAATATGGGACTATGTGAAAAGACCAAATCTACGTCTAATTGCTGTACCTGAAAGTGACGGGGAGAATGGAACCAAGTTGGAAAACACTCTGCGGGATATTATCCAGGAGAACTTCCCCCCCGACAATCTAGTAAGGCAGGCCAACATTCAAATTCAGGAAATACAGAGAACACCACAAAGATACCCCCCTAGAAGAGCAACTCCAAGACACATAATTGTCAGATTCACCAAAGTTGAAATGAAGGAAAAAATTTTAAGGGTAGCCAGAGAGCAAGGTCGGGTTACCCACAAAGGGAAGCGCATCAGACAGACAGCGGATCTCTCGGCAGAAACTCTAAAAGCCAGAAGAGAGTGGGGGCCAATATTCAATATTCTTAAAGAACAGAATTTTCAAGCCAGAATTTCATATCCAGCCAAACTAAGCTTCATAAGTGAAGGAGAAATAAAATGCTTTACAAACAAGCAAATGCTGAGAGATTTTGTCACCACCAGGCCTGCCGCAAAAGAGCTCCTGAAGGAAGCACTAAATATGGAAAGGAACAACTGGTACCAGCCACTGCAAAAACATGCCAAATTGTAAAGACCATCAAGGCTAGGAAGAAACTGCATCAACTAACAAGCAAAATAACCAGCTAACATCATAATGATGGGATCAAATTCACACATAACAGTACTAACCTTAAATGTAAATGGGCTAAATGCTCCAATTAAAAGACACAGACTGGTAAATTGGATAAAGAGTCAAGACCCACCAGTGTGCTGTATACAGGAAACCCATCTCACGTGCAGAGACACGCATAGGCTCAAAATAAAGGGATGGAGGAAGATCTACCAAGCATATGGAAAACAAAAAAAGGCAGGGGTTGCAATCCCAGTCTCGGATAAAACAGACTTTAAACCAACAAAGATCAAAAGAGACAAAGAAGGCCATTACATCATGGTAAAGGGATCAATTCAACAAGAAGACCTAACTATCCTAAATATATATGCACCCAATACAGGAGCACCCAGATTCATAAAGCAAGTCCTTAGTGACCTACAAAGAGACTTAGACTCCCACACAATAATAAAGGGAGACTTTAACACCCCACTGTCAACATTAGACATATCAATGAGAGAGAAAGTTAACAAGGATATCCAGGAATTGAACTCAGCTCTGCACCAAGTGGACCTAATAGACATCTACAGAACTCTCCACCCCAAATCAACAGATTACACATTCTTATCAGCACCACACCACACCTATTCCAAAATTGACCACATAGTTTGAAGTAAAGCACTCCTCAGCAAATGTAAAAGAACAGAAATTATAACAAACTGTCTCTCAGAACACAGTGTAATCAAACTAGAGCTCAGGATTAAGAAACTCACTCAAAATCGCTCAACTACATGGAAACTGAACAACCTGCTCCTGAATGACTACTGGGTACATAATGAAATGAAGGCATAAATAAAGATTTTCTTTGATACCAATGAGAACAAAGACACAAAATACCAGAATCTCTGGGACACATTCAAAGCAGTGTGTAGAGGGAAATTTATAGCACTAAATGCCAACAAGAGAAAGCAGGAAAGATCCAAAATTGACACCCTAACATCACAATTAAAAGAACTAGAGAAGCAAGAGCAAACACATTCAAAAGCTAGCAGAAGGCAAGAAATAACTAAGATCAGATAAGAACTGAAGGAAATAGAGACACAAAAAACCTTTCAAAAAATCAATGAATACAGGAGCTGTTATTTTGAAAAGATCAACAAAATTGATAGACCGCTAGCAAGACTAATAAAGAAGAAAAGAGAGAAGAATCAAATAGATGCAATAAAAAATGACAAAGGGGATGTCAACACCAATCCCACAGAAGTACAAACTACCATCAGAGAATGCTATAAACACCTCTATGCAAATAAACTAGAAACTCTGGAAGAAATGGATAAATTCCTCGACACATACACCCTCCCAAGACTAAACCAGGAAGAAGTTGAATCTCTGAATAGATCAATAACAGGCTCTGAAATTGAGGCAATAATTAATAGCTTACCAACCAAAAAAAGTCCAGGACCAGATGGATTCACAGCCAAATTCTACCAGAGGTACAAGGAGGAGCTGGTACCATTCCTTCTGAAACTATTCCAATCAATAGAAAAAGAGGGAATCCTCCCTAACTCATTTTATGAGGCCAGCATCGTCCTGATACCAAAGCTGGGCAGAGACACAACAAAAAAAGACAATTTTAGACCAATATCCTTGATGAACATTGATGCAAAAATCCTCAATAAAAACTGGCAAACTGAATCCAGCAACACATCAAAAAGCTTATCCACCATGATCAAGTGGGCTTCATCCCTGGGATGCAAGGCTGGTTCAAAATATGAAAATCAATAAACGTAATCCAGCATATAAACAGAACTAAAGACAAAAACCATATGACTATCTCATTAGATGCAGAAAAGGCCTTTGACAAAATTCAACAACGCTTCATGCTAAAAACTCTCAATAAATTAGGTATTGATGGGACATATATCAAAATAATAAGAGCTATCTATGACAAACCCACAGCCAATATCATACTGCATGGACAAAAACTGGAAGCATTCCCTTTGAAAACTGGCAAAAGACAGGGATGCCCTCTCTCACCACTCCTAGTCAATGTAGTGTTGGAATTTCTGGCCGGGGCAGTCAGGCAGGAGAAGGAAATAAAGGGTATTCAATTAGGAAAAGAGGAAGTCAAATTGTCCCTGTTTGCAGATGACATGATTGTATATCTAGAAAGCCCCATCGTCTCAGCCCAAAATCTCCTTAAGCTGATAAGCAATTTCAGCAAAGTCTCAGGATACAAAATCAATGTGCAAAAATCACAAGCATTCTTATACACCAATAACAGACAAACAGAGAGCCAAATCAGGAGTGAACTCCCATTCACAATTGCTTCAAACAGAATAAAATACCTAGGAATCCAACTTACAAGGGACATGAAGGACCTCCTCAAGGAGAACTACAAACCACTGCTGAACAAAATGTAAGAGGATACAAACAAATGGAAGAGCATTCCATGCTCATGGATAGGAAGAATCAATATCGTGAAAATGGCCATACTGCCCAAGGTAATTTATAGATTCAATGCCATCCCCATCAAACTACCAATGACTTTCTTGACAGAATTGGAAAAATCTACTTTAAAGTTCACATGGAACCAAAAAAGAGCCCACATTGCCAAGTCAATCCTAAGCCAAAAGAACAAAGCTGGAGGCATCACACTACCTGACTTCAAACTATACTAGAAGGCTACAGTAACCAAAACAGCATGGTACTGGTACCAAAACAGAGATATAGACCAATGGAACAGAACAGAGACCTCAGAAATAATGCCACATGTCTACAACTATCTGATCTTTGAGAAACCTAATAAAAACAAGCAATGGGGAAAGGATTCCCTATTTAATAAATGGTGCTGGGAAAACTGGCTAGCCATATGCAGAAAGCTAAAACTGGATCCCTTCCTTACACCTTATACAAAAATTCATTGAAGATGGATTAAAGACTTACATGCTAGACCTAAAACCATAAAAAACCTAGAAGAAAACCCAGGCAATACCATTCAGGAGATAGGCATGGGCAAGGACTTCATGTCTACAACACCAAAAGCAATGGCAACTAAAGCCAAAATTGACAAATGGGATCTAATTAAACTAAAGAGCTTCTGCACAGCAAAAGAAACCACCAGCAGAGTGAACAGGCAACCTACAGAATGGGAGAAAATTTTTGCAACCTACTCATCTGACAAAGGGCTAATATCCAGAATCTACAATGAACTCAAACAAATTTACAAGAAATAAACAAACAACCCCATCAAAATGTGGGCGAAGGATATGAACAGACACTTCTCAAAAGAAGACATTAGTGCAGCCAAAAAACACATGAAAAAATGCTCATCATCGCTGGCCATCAGAGAAATGAAAATCAAAACCACGATGAGATACCATCTCACACCAGTTAGGATGGTGATCATTAAAAAGTCAGGAAACAACAGGTGCTGGAGAGGATGTGGAGAAATAGGAACACTTTTACACTGTTGGTGGGACTGTAAACTAGTTCAACCATTGTGGAAGTTGGTGTGGTGATTCCTCAGGGATCTAGAACTAGAAATACCATTTGACCCAGCCATCTCATTACTCGGTATGTACCCAAAGGATTATAAATCATGCTGCTATAAAGAGACGTGCACCCGTACGTTTATTGTGGCACTATTCCCAATAGCAAAGACTTGGAACCAACCCAAATGTCCATCAATGATAGACTGGATTAAGAAAATGTGGCACATATAAACCATGGAATACTATACAGCCATAAAAAATGATGAGTTCACGTCCTTTGTAGGGACATGGATGAAGCTGGAAACCATCATTCTCAGGAAACTATTGCAAGGACAAAAAACCAAACACCGCATGTTCTCACTCATAGGTGGGAATTGAACAATGAGAACCCATGGGCACAGGAAAGGGAACATCACACACCGGGGGCTGTTGTGGGGTGGGGGGAGGGGGGAGGGATAGCGTTAGGAGATATACCTAATGCAAATGACAAGTTAATAGGTGCAGCACACCAACATGGCACATGTATTCACATGTAACAAGCCTGCACGTTGTGCACATGTACCCTAAAACTTAAAGTACAATAATTAAAAAAAAGAAGTAAACATCAGTTGGTGACAAATAATAATATCTGCTTTGTGGGGAAAATTAAAGGCCCTGGAGAGGTATCAGGATGCACTAATTGTTCTTAATGTGTTCTGTCTTTTATGGTAATCACTGATTAAAATTTCATTAAATGAGTATGTATTATGCCTCAACAGAGAATGCCACTATCCCCCATTGTGATGTTGTTTGCTATGACAAAAAATTAACCAAACTTTACAGTTTTATTATCAACAACATCTCCTCCCCCTATCCCCGCTGCTTTTTTTTTTTTTTTTAGATGGAATCTCTCTCTGTTGCCCAGGCTAGAGTGCAGTGGTGTGATCTCAGCTCACCGCAAACTCTGCCTGTCGGGTTCAAGCTGTTCTCCTACCTCAGCCTCCTGAGTAGCTATATTCAGGTGCCCACCCCCACGCATGGCTAATTTTTCTATTTTCAGTAGAGACAGGGTTTCACCATGTTGTCCAGGCTGGTCTCAAACTCCGGACCTCAAGTGATCCACCTGCCTCAGCCTCCTAAAGTGTTGGGATTACAGACATGAGCCACTGTGCCCAGCCCTTCTTTCCCTTTAAGCATACCTAAAAGCCTTTCTACAAAGCGCCAATCAGAATTTAAGTCATCTGGAAGAAATATCAAAAGAGCTCCAGTAAAAACCGTAGCAGACACTGTTGATACTGTTGATACCACAGGAAATTGACTCATGGATATAGGCCTCCAAGAATAGGCTGACCTTGTCCCCACAAACAATATTCCAACTATACCAAGTAAATGAGTCAGGATTTCCAAGACACTCACAATGTAGAAGCAGATGAATTCATGAAAGCAGACTGCTTAACTCAAGACCAGCATGACAAGAGGTTGTTATTTAGGATTAAAGGACCTCAATAAAGCGATTTAATTGAGGTTAGTTTAATTTTCTACTTTAATGAACATGAGAGAAACCCATTTTCTTTCTTCTTAATCTATCTTTAACCTCCAATTAAATTTACAAATTATTGAATTTGTAAAAACTAAATAAAACACTCTGAATTCTTAGTGTTGAGGAAAAAAATACCTTGTAGAAATTCTTAATATAAAAACAAAGCTAATAAATTGCCAAGAAAAACATACAAATAATTATTTTGTAAAGAATTGTGACATACAATATTTGGTTTTGTCTATTAACATACTCTTAATTAGCAATATTGGTTAATTCTTACACAAAGTTTCTTTAATAAAAACATTTACTTTTTGTGACTATGTAGTTATTTGTATTGGTTCAATAAGAATTTGTCCTCCCTTCTACCTGAATATATAACTAATTAGAAAAATCTTTTTTTTTTTTTAGATGGAGTCTTGCTCTTTTGCCCAGGCTGGAGTGCAATGGCATGATCTCAGCTCACTGCAAACTTCCAGTCTTGGGCTCAAGCACTTTTCCCACATCAGCCTCCTGGGTAGCTGGGATTACAAGCACCCACCATCATGCTAGGCTAATTTTTGTATTTTTATAGAGACGGGGTTTCACCATGTTGGCCAGGCTGGTCTTAAACTCCTGACCTCAGGTGATCTGCCCGCCTTAGCCTTTCAAAGTGCTGGGATTACAGGCGTGAGCCACCTTGCCTGGCCAGGAAGAATTAATTTTTTAATAAAAAATTTATAGCTGTGCTACAAATTCAATTAAATTAGACAAGACAAATCCAGTAATAAGAATAATTTCTATGTTTTTCACGCAGAAGTGATGCCTATAACATCCTTCTAGGAAACCAGTCTGGTACATGCTGTATGGACTATGCAATCTCAGGCTTGGAGGTTAAAAAGAATGTCCTTTCTTGGCAGAGCAGGGACATCAAGACATCTGGATATCTTTTATTAAAAAGGATACATTTGCATTATAAATACTGCAGGTGAAATCAGGTAGAGGTGAGCTGACTGGTTTGGTCTGCTCTAAACTGAGCTGTTAAACATGTAAAAGTAAATTTAAACCACAAGGGCTTTATAAATCTATAGATAGACATAAACTTGTAAGCCTTAGTTTATTGTTTCGTCAAAAAAATACTAGGAGGTCATTAAATTAATATAATCAACACTTCTTCTTAGATCTGTGCAAATAAAATGGCTCAAAGTAAAATGTAAAATCAATAGTACTGATTAGGAACATTGTTCAGCAAATGTAGGTAGACAAACATGTCCTGTAGAGGAGGAAACATGACCACAAGATGAAGTGTAAAAACCAAAGTGACATCTGGGCCTGACACCATTGTCAGCCCGTACATCATGTCCCACTGCTGAAGAAACAGAGAAAAAAACCTCTGCACTCTGACATAAAGAAACAATAAAAGAGTCTCTCTGTTTACTTGCAGTCCTCCAAATGAATAAAACCTTGAGCATTTCCTGAGAGTTGCTAACTCCTTAATGAAAATTACTTTATCCTTGACTTTACAATGCTATTTATTGTCTGAAGATATGTCATGAACTTTTTGAATACAATAACCATGATAAAATTGCTGTTTTCTGCCATGAAGAGACTAATATAAAGCCTATAGTCTTCACAATACTGTTTGTTTTAAAAAATTCTATTTTTTAAATTTTTTGGGCCAGTTCTTTTGAAGACTGACTTCCTCACATTTCTTTGCAAGTAAATGCCTCCTGCTTATTTTTCCGACATGCTTTTGTTTCTGAGCCTTTCTTTCATGCTCTATACACACAAATCAGCAGGAGATGGTACCTGCAGCTATATTTGGAGTTTACTGCCTCAATGTTCACTTGCAATGAAAGAGAGTATTTCTGTTCTAGCTTCTTAACAAAAGACTAGAAATTCATGCTGAACCAACAAATTGTCCTCTATATTTTTCATCTGCAAGGAGGATTTAAATATTTCTAGCTCAGTATTTCAGCCCTGAAGATTATTTCACCCCCACTGCTAATCGTGACCTAATCTGTTTTTGTGTTGTTAATGCTCCTATATACTAGCCTGGTCAGTAATTCAATAACAGGCTTAATTTCTTAATATTTTAGGCCATGTGTTAATTTTGCTATTTCTTAGCCATTATTCCTCAATAGTTTTAAACTGCATCCCTGCTTACCCTCCCTTTTACTGGACAGGCTTCCTCTGTTTACTAATACAATTCCCCAAATTGATTCATCCACTTGTTGAAATACCTAATTTTAGGCCTTGCACTGACAGCTTGCCTAGGCTTATACTTGTTGTGTTTGGTGTTGTAGTCTTCAGATTCTAAAAACACCATCTAGACCTTACATTACCTCCAGCCAGGCCTATTCCCCCAGGGCCTGCCTTAAGGAGCAGATTTCTTTTCAAGTTTCATCTTCCTCCCATTTATTTCATTTCATGACAGTTAGAGAAGCTGTATACGAACATATGACAAATGGTAAGTTAGCAGAGAAAAATGTTATTTTAGGATAAGTTCAGGGAAAGCTTTTTGGAGGAAAGTCAGCTCACATTAGTCCTGATGATGGATAGTGGACTACAGATGATGGAATGATGAAGTGGAAACTCGGGTGGGTACATATGGACATTCCACATAGAAGCAGTGTGAGCAAAACCACCAAGACAGGAAATGAGATGGAATTGATAAGGCAATGCAAATAATTCAGGTTATTTAGATAATCAGTGTTGGGGGACGCTGGATTTATGGGAATCAATGGTTAATCAAAATGTGAGCAGCATTGGTTTGGTAATTCATGGAAGAGGTTATCATTCAACAGGGGGAGTGGCTTCTCAATTATAAACAAACATGTCTGAAGGTCACTGAACATCAAGGCTATCCTTCAGTTAAAATCTTATTAAAATTATACTGACCTCTGATGACCTTCAGAGAGCTCCAGCTAGATGGACTGATGATAAGAGAAATTCGAGAAGGCAATGGGACAAATCTTTCTGCAAATCTCTGTTATGTCATATATCTAAGGTTTCTGCTGGATCCAGTGATTTGTTTGTTCTGACTGTAGTACAAACCTATTGGAACAATAAATCTAGTTATAATAAATGACAGAGGGCATTCAAGCAGATGCAAGAAGCAAAATATACAGGTGTAAAGACAAACTATATTAGGCCTCCCATCAAGCTTCTCTAACATTTTCACACCACAGCCCTGCCTGACTTCTCTGTATCTGGGTAGGCCCCTTCTGTTTGTTAAACCAGTTCTCTGATGGTGACTACCTGATTCTCTAGTCCTCAAGTTCACTCATCCTTTTTATTGAGAATGACATTTTTAGACTACTAATAATGTTTATATATAAGAAAGAAACTGAGTTTTTATATAAATATATAATCTTTTCAAATAAAAGATTATAATCAAGGAACTGTAAATAATAGAAAAATTACATAACGTTTCCCTGTTTGGGGATTGGTTAAATGCAATATTATAGAAGCCTGAAAAAATCATGACTGTATTACAAAAGAATATAAAAATAATTGAAGGCTAGGAATTATGTCTACCAACTAATTCAGTCATTTGGCTGTTTATTCTCATTTGAACAGTAGTGGATTAAAAAAAAAAAAGACTTTCAACTTTCATCACATGGAGAAAAGGATCAAGTACACATTAGAGAAAGCTGATGGCAATGATTTCTAGTTTCAGTTTCTATTTTCTGTCAGTTAACCATCATTTTGGTAAACAACCTTTTTAAATGTCTTTTCTTTTAATTTTTAAATTTTTACTTTAAAGACAGGATCTCACTATGTTGTGAAGGCGTTGGCCTCAAACTCCTGGACTCAGGTGATCTTCCTGCCATAGCCTCCCTAGGTGCACACCACCATACCCAGCTATTAATGTCTTTATAAAAGCATTTTTAACCCTACTGGTCTAGCTATTGCATCAAATAAATAGCTAATTCCATTGGGGAAAGATTAGGGACTCATGAGTGAAAATAAATATTTTATTTGGATAATGGCTACAAAATTTTAACAGTCAAAATAAAGAAGAGATTAAAGCCATGATGATGACTTAAAAGATAAAGTTAGGTAGAAATGTGAACTAAGGGAAATGACTCAACACATTCAGCAACACAAAACTGTGGCCTAAATTCACTCTGACAGTTGTTATGCTATCTCCTGCTGCCCGAGTAAAGTAAGTTATGAACAAAACACATGAAGGGGACCAGGCAGACATATGGTCAAATGCTTTCTGTGCAATATGTCTGTCTCCATATTATCTTCTCTGTCTCATTGCACTTTGGACATTTTTATTCTTCCTGCGGATCTATTTTTGTGAAGCAATGTGATTTAAATGAAAAGAACACTGAATTCTCAGCCAGATATTTAAGTCCTAGTTGAAGATTTATCACCTAGTGGTTATAAGATTTGGGGCAAATTGCTTAATCTCTTTCTTTACCACTTCATTTGTAAGTTTTCTTGCCTCTCTAGAGGACTGTATTGAGGATCAATCAATGTTGAGTTGAAGGCAACATGGTTTAAGTTGGCTTAATGGAGAAGTGGTGAATCACTTAAACGGGTAGAACAACACACTGTAGAGGATGTTGGGCTGCACGAGGAAGTGTGGAAAAAAAAGCATGCCATGAAAATATCATCACAATCTCACATTTCTTCGTTTATTTTCACACTCTGAACACTTGCATGTGGTAAGGACTGTGCAAGGTTCTCAGGATACCCAGGTAAAAATCACCACTTCTGCCAGTCTTGACTTTGCAAGCTTGAGGAGCAGACCTGGAGAACTTTGGCTATTACCACACCAAAGTTGTTCCTTGCCTTCCCTTTGACATATGGTCTCAGGAAAAAATGAAAAGAGTAAAAAAAAAAAAGTGCTTCATTTTTGAAAGGAAAAGTCATAATTAATTTCTAGAAGGAGAAAGAAGAGATAACAGTGTGTGAAAAGGCTTAGAAAATGCTAGAGAACTACAGAAAGATAATGTGAGATTATGTCTAAGAGTAGCTTGGTTATTTTGCTTTTGTTGACAAAGTATACCCCCTTCATTTTCATAGTTCTCATAATTCTTTTCATGATTTTCTTGGTGGGTTTGTTTAGGAGAAACTATATTCTTTCTTTATTCATCTAACTCTCTTTTACTTCAAATGATGCTTCTTAGGATAATATTTTAAAAGGATATACATTATGCAATTTTTAATGCTTCTATACAGGACTGAAGGCCAATAATACCATGATGATAAGGCATGTAAAAAAATTTGTTCTGCAGAGAGTGGGATAGCGTGAGGGAAAACACAGTGCAGGATTCTATGCTGTTGCCCAAGATCCCAGACAGGCAAGTGAAATAATAGAGCAGACATTTCCTAAGGCTGTGGTAGATATGATTAGGAGATAGTGGGTAAAAATGGCCTTTAAACTATATACACATGAGAAGATAGATGTGAAGGCCCATTGCAAAGGCAACAAAATTATGCAAATATAAAATATCACTATTAAAATGTATGATGAATTGATGTGCCATGAAAACAAGTTCCAGTGCTGGGCCAGAAATCAGGAAACATGGGCTTTTGGTTTCTCACCATTAAAATGAAGAAGTTGGATTTATACCCAAGGGTACCTTGTGGGCTGTATGGCTTTTAAGTAACTGGTCATAACAAAAGTGAGAGGGACACAATCAGGTCAGTTTCAAACCAAGAATAAAATGGGAAATTAAAGAACTGAATTGGCTACTTTCTGCTCAAATGATTGTTAAAAATAAAGTTTAAAAAAAGCCCCAAGGACTATGCAGTGCAGTGAGCAGAGGCTCCCAATATTAAAAAGAAAATAAGGAAAATGGATTCCTGGTGATAGGGGTGGTGTGGGGGAAGAGAAATAGCGTGGCTGCAAATGGAACAATATGCAAAAGAAAAGTAGCTAAATATAGCTCTTTTTTGGGAAAGAGATTGTGTCTAAGTCCATCAGTGGAAAGGCAGAGAGAAGAAAAGAGTATATGAATAATCAGCAGAGAAAAGTGATCAAAGACCTGGGGTTCACAGACCCAGTGTAATAGGCCATACAGCCAGGAAGAACAGCAGCACAGGAGCACAGCAATAATAATAGGACCTGAGACAAGACGAAGCGGCAGAAAGAGAGAAATTGAAGAGAGTGTAGGAGAAAGGAAATTATTATTATCACTCTTATTGAAACTGTCTTTGCAAAATTATAACTGAGGAAATTATGACAGTGAAAGAAATCAGACCTAATTGACTCTATCTTGCTGTCCTTGTTCATTCCTGGGCATAGATCGAACTAACTTTGGGAAGGAATTCAGTTCATGGTTTGACTCTGAAACAAAATTGATAACACCCCATTCCCAAAAAGACCCCGTTCATGCCGAGGGTCCAATCTGCCTTCACAGCTAACAAATTAGCTACAAGATTAGAAATTACAATTTAGGGGTCAGGCAGCCTGTGGCTCCAAGAGTCTCAACCTTCCCAAATTGCTCCAGGGCGTAACATCACTATTGTAAAACCTAAGATCAGTGCTTGAGATATTTTGCAGACCCTGCACTCAGTGGATCAGCTGACACCACCCAGACCGGTAATCTGGCCCAACCAGTTCTGCCATCGCACCCAGGAACAGAAGACAGCAAGAAAACCTCCCCTCCCTGCCCGCCCCCCACCACCTATGATTCCATCTCCAACCTGACCAAACAGCACTCCCCACTTCCCAAGCCCCTACCTGCCAAATTATCTTTAAAATCTCTGATCCTTGAATGCTCGGGGAGACTGATTTGAGTAAAAATAAATCTCGGGTCTCCCGCACAGCCCGCTCTGTGTGAATTACTCTTTCTCCATTGCAGTTCCTCTGTCTTGATAAGTAAGTTCTATCTAGGCAGCGGGCAAGGTGAACCCACCCATTGGGCGGTTACATTATTAACCTCAATATTTTCCACGTGCCAAGGTGCTTACATTTACCTTTCAAGAAGGTGATGCTTTCTCTTGAGACCATAACATTAGAATTTCTTTCTTTCTTTTTTTTTCTTTTTTTTTTTTGAGACAGGCAGGGTCTTGCTCTGTCTCAGGCTGTGATCTTGGCTCACTGCAGCCTTGTTCTCTTGGGTTCAAGTGATCCTCCCATCTCAGCCTCCTGGGTAGCCGGGACCACAGTCATGCATCACCACGCCTGGCTAATTTTTTATTTTATTTTTTGGTAGAGACAGAGTTTCCCTATGTTACCCAGGCTAGTCTCAAATTCCTGGGCTCAAGCAATCCACCTGCCTCAGCCTCCCAAAGTGCTTGTATTACATGTGTTAGTCACTACACCTGACCAAGACATTTCTAATAGAAATAGATGTACTCTTAGGAGAAATATGAAGAGTTATCTGAGGCTAATTTCTGTTATAGCAGTTATTCAAAGGAAATTATAATTATATCCCAGGGAAAGGATAACAGAAGCAGAAGTAAACAAAACTTCTGAAGCCAAATAATAGTAACCAGTATGATAGAATGTAAGGTGGAAACTCCTATACTTATATGTATGTGCTAACAGTCTGGACTGTTAACAGAAGAAAAACAAACAGAAAAGAATGAAAAGAAAAGCAAGAAGCAAGTTACTAGCAAATAACAGTGCACTTGGATAAGACTATGAGGGCTATACTATATTTTCAGAAATGTTATCTCGGTTGAAATTCAAAACTGCCTTGTGATGAAATATGTCACCTTTTTCTGATCGTGTCAACATTCATTTCTCAAAACTTTAAAAATGGCAGTAGCATATGAACAAATTCTTGTTCAAAATGGGAATACATTTAAAATATAGGACATACCTTTAACATTTTAAAACTTTCCTTGTTACACAAGGAAGTTTACAGCAAAAAGTTAGAAAATACTGAAAGGGAAACACAAACCACCTATAAACTCATCAGACTTAACAATGGAAATTTAAACATATCTACAAAAGTAGAGTTTAATGACTCCCCTTGAACCCATCATTCATGTCCAAAATTATTGACACTCCATCAATCTTGTCATTGATTGTCCTACCACCTCCAATACACACAGTTTGCCAAAGTGGTACTAATATCAATCATAATATTAACCATAATATCAATCACAGTATTTTATCAGAAAGTACTTCAGTGCATATCTCCAACAGGTTTTTTTAAAAATGTAATCATAATGTCATTATCACACCCAAAAATGTTAACAATTATTCCTTAATGCAATTTCTCTGATTGTCTCAAAAATGTCTTTTACCAGTTTATTTGTGTGTGTGTGTGTGTGTGTTTCCCTAAATTAAGTATCTATAAGGATGGTTACAAATCAGTTTTTTAAGTGTATAATTGCTTCTCCCTCTGCCTACATTTATGATGTTTATTGTTGAGGAAATTTGGTCTATTCTCTTGAAGAATTTCCCTCTCTTGGATTGGGCTGATTGCTTTTTTTGTGGTGTCATTTGACTTACTCTCTTCCCTCATCCTTTATATTTTCTGCAAATTGCTAGTTAGATCTAGACCCTGGTGTATACATATATTATATATACATTATTTTTTTCAAAAACAAGATGTGCTCACTATAGATTTTGTAATTTGCTTTTACACTTCATGTACTATATAAATAAAAGAAAGCTAAAGCCAGAGAGGATAACCATTGATCCTTTTTAACTTTTGAAATTCTGAAGAATGAAGTAATTTAAGGTATGAAAAAAGTTTTAAGAGAAAAGGTTAAATGAAAGATTTTAAAATAGTCAATTTTCAAAATTACAGAATGCAATCAAATGGTCAAAGAAATAGAGACTAACAAAAGACAGAGGATGAAACTTAAATAATAATGGAGGTCACATAAAAAAAGAAATACAAGGAAGGAAAGAAGTGCTACATTGAGACTAGAAAATGTAGCTCTGAAGGTTCTGTGGTCAGGGTTTGTTCTGGCTCCCCAAAATTCTACTGTTTCTTGTTATTCTAAAGCCTTTGCACATCCATTTCTCACAAATGTAAATTTCTAGTTTTGTGAAATAAGTTAAATTCAAGGTAGAACTATACAGGGAAAGTGCATAAACTCCTGCTACTCACTTTCTCTGAGCTATCCTGGTTTCAGACATTCTCGTGGCTTGGTATTCCCACTTTTTTTCAGAGCTTTAGCTATGCCTGAGTAACTTTTCAAAAAGTTCTTTTATTCTCCCTTCAGGATAAATGGAGTTGTATGCATGGGTATTTGGGCTTTGAAGTTTGTTTCTTATGTATTAATATCAGTAAAAGAGATAGGGAAAACTCAGATTTATAAATGTTCATTTTTTAAGGAGGGGGCAAGGTATTGAGTGTTTTAACGGTTTAAAGCCAAAACTCTCAAAACAAATATGTCCACTATGCAACCTCATTTATTTGCTAATGTTTATCACTTAGCATGACTGACACAAAGGTAACATTCTGGCTTTCTCTCCAAGGGTGGTCCCCATTGCCACTCATATTCTTGCCATTGGCCATGTTGCCCTACTTTGATGTATAGAATATTCAGCCACGTTATATGAAACTCATCCTCATTTACATGTCACCACCCAGAAGTCGAGGACTGGAAAGAATTGACACAGACACATGGTTGCTAGAGCCTTTAATTTCATTAAAAAGTTACATAGGGTTGACTTGGGAAAGAGGTTTGTTGACACTCTACTGCCAAGTAGGGAGCAAAAGGTACACTATCTCTTTCCAGCCTCCATTTTGCTGTCTCTTAGCTGAGAGAGAACAGGAGTTAATTGGAAGGAACATTGGCAGCATTGGAGTAACTAGGGAGATTCTTCTGAAAATTGTTCTTTTTCTCTTTCCTCTTGTTATCCCCATTCTTACAGTACAACCAAATGATTCTTAACTAAGATAGCACACAAAGAAACACTTTTGCATTGAATCCACAGAAATAGATGACGATACATGCCATCTTGACCACCATCCCCTGTGAATCAATCAGTTCAAAGTCTTTGGTTGAAAACATTAGAAACTGACACTGGTCATAATCCCAGAAATTTGGGAGGCTGAGGCAGAGGGATTGCTTGAGACCAGGAGTTCAAGACCAGCCTGGAAAACATGGTGAGACCCCATCTCCCCCAACCTCGCCACCCCCCGTCAACACACGCACACAATTTTCAGGGATGATAGCACATGTCTGTAGTCCTGGCTACTCAGTGGAAGTGGAAAGATTACTTGAGCCCTGGAGATTGAGGCTGCTGCTCTGTAACTCCAGGTAGGGTGACAGAGCAAGACCCAGTCTCAAAAAAATAAAAAATAAAAATAAATAAATAAAGACATTTAAAGGAAGATACTGCTTAGATTACACAATTGAAGGAAAAACCGGATAACAAGGTCTCAGAAATTAATAAACTATAGCAGCTTGGGGCATCTCAATCAGAAACTTAGAGACAGTTTCTTTTGAGTGCTGTTGACGATTTCAAGACCATCTAAACATTCTATTCAGGTTTCGGATTACCAGGAGAGGGAGAATCTTGGTTATTTGCTATCTATTAGTTTGGAAGGGGCAGGGTACTACGATTTACAATCTAACTGCAGTGTGCTGTTAGTAAAAAAAAGGGGGAAGGGCTGCTGGAAAGACAACAGCTGATACTCAATCTATGACTAGTGGGCCTTTAGGGAAAGAAATTAAGAAGAATGGGGCAAGATCATTGTCTATTGATTCAGCTGATAGATTCTATCCTTAGCAATATAGTTGAAATGTGAGAAATGTTCAAAGATGACAATAAAAATATACACATAAGGCTTGAATTTTGTCACAGCATATATGGGAGAAATGCTAGCAAAAGTAGCAGAGGGTGCCAGTACTTTAAGGAGACTGCATTTCAAATAAGAAACCATTAGAGAAAATACCAATCCTTTGAAAATGATACTTCAAAAAATTAATAAATACAGATAAAGAAAATCAGAAAAGTGAAATATGAAGCATTGAAATGTATCATTAGAAACTAGATTAGTAACACTATAATAAATTAGAACATTAATTTAATCTAATGAAGTAGAAGAAAATTTCTAAATCATTTGTTGTTGAGACAGGGCAGCCTCATTTGTCTTTTCAACCTAAATGTCTCTTTCTCCACCCAAAATTTGCATTATTATTTAACATTGTTCAGGTCAATATAAGAAAACATGCATTTTTCTATTGCTGCTGTAATAAATTATCATGAAACTAGTGGCATAAAACAGCATAAATTTATCTCACAGTTCTGTAGATCAGAAGTCTAACAGGGATCTTAGTGGATTCAAATCAAGGTGGCGGCAGGGCTGCATTTCCTTCTGGAGGCACTAGGGAAGTCTTTTTCAGCTTTCGGAGGCCACCGACATTTCTTGGTTCATGGTTTCTTTCTTCTCCAAAGCTAACAATGTCTCATTTAGTCCTTCCAATGTCTCATCTCTGATCTTCTGTCTCTTTGAAGCTGAGAAGGGTTCTGCTTTTAGGGACTAATGTGATTAGATTGGAGCAATCAGGGCTATCTCCTTATTTCAAGGTAAACTGATTAGCAGCCTTAATTCCCTTTTGTCATGTAACAATATATTCAGAATTTACATCTTTGGGATGCCATTATTTTATCTACCACAACATGGAACAAAAGTGGAGGTAAACCTGGGACTATAATTATCAATATTTTTAGATAATAAGATTGGACACCTAGAAAACTTAAGGGAATTTGCAAACACTAATGAAATTAGCAACACAGTGGTTGCTTGGTATCTGGCGGAGATAGGAAGTCCCTGTCCCCTGAGGATATCAAAATCCATGAATTCTCAAGTCTCTTATATAAAATGACATAGTATTTGCATGTACACATCCTTCCATATACTTTAAATCACCTCTAGATTACTTATAATACCTAAAGCCGTATAATGTAAATGCCATGTAGTTATTATACTACATTGTTTTTTCATTTGTATTATTTTTTATTATTGTATTGTTATTTTTATTGATTTTGGGGAACATTTTTGATCTGCATATACAGAGGACCTACTGTAATTAAATCAAGTGATTTAAAACTGACTAAAAATATAAAAAATTTATGTAAATTTAAAAATTGGAAATAATTGATATTATGGCCTATTAAGAGTATGATGTTATATATATTTTTGTACTTTCTAAACTTTTCTATCATTAATATTATTTTTATTAAAGAAAAGTAATAAAATTTATTGCAAAATAAAATAATATTCAAAAAAGTGAAGAAGCATACTAAGTCCTGAGACATATGAATCAGAGTTAATTTAGAAGTTTAATGTCACTTCAAAAAAGTTACAGTGAGGAATATTTTTAATTTAATTAAAAACGTTAAATTTTAATAAAATATATTTAATAGAAAAAATAGGCCAAATGATTTAGGTTATTATTATTAATTTTTATTTTTATTTTAAGTTCTGGGGTACATGTGCGGGATGTGCAGGTTTGTTACAAGGTAAACATGTGCCATGGTGGTTTGCTGCACCTATCAATACATCACCTAGATACTGAGCCCAGCATGCATTAGCTTTTTTTCCTAATGCTCTGCCTCCTCTCACCCCACCTGCCAACAGGCTTCAGTGTGTGTTGTTCCCCTCCCACTGTCCATGTGTTCTCATTGTTTAGTTCCCACTTATAAGTGAGAATATGTGGTGTTTGGTTTTCTGTTCTTGTGATAGTTTGCTGAGGATAATGGCTTCCAGCTCCATCCACGTCCCTATAAAGGACATGATCTCATTCCTTTTTATGGCTGCATAGTATTCCATGGTGTATATGTACCACATTTTCTTTATCCAGCCTGTCATTGATGGGCACATGGGTTGATTCCATGCCTTTGCTATTTCAAATAGTGCTGCAATGAACATATGTGTGCATGTATTTTTGTAACAGAATGATTTATATTCCTTTGGGTATATACCCAGTAATAGGCTTGCTGGGTCAAATGATGTTTCCAGTTCTGGATCTTTGAGGAATCACCACACCATCTTCCACAATGGTTGAAATAATTTACATTCCCACCAACAGTGTAAAAGTGTTCCTATTTCTCTGCAGCCTTGCCAGCATCTGTTGTTTCCTGACTTTTTAATAATTGCCATTCTGACTGGTGTGAGATGATATCTCATTGTGGTTTTGATTTGTATTGCTTTAATGATCAGTGATGTTGAGCTATTTTTTATATGTTTGTTGGCTGCATGAATGTCTTCTTTTGAGAAGTGTCGGTTCATGTTCTTTGCCCACCTTTTAATGTGGTTGTTTGTTTTGTTCTTGTAAATTTGTTTAAGTTCCTTGTAGATTCTGGATATTAGCCATTTGTCAGATGGGTAGATTGCAAAAATTTTCTCCCACTCTGTAGGTTGCCTGTTCACTCTGATGATAGTTTCTTTTGCTGTGCAGAAGCTCTTTAGTTTAATTAGATTCCATTTGTCAGTTTTGGCTTTTGTTGTAATTGTTTTTGGTGATTTTGTCATGAAATCTTTTTCTGTGTCCTGAATGGTATTGCCTAAATTTTCTTCTAGGCTTTTTTATATTTGGGTTTTACATTTAAGTCTTTAATCCATCTTGAGTTAATTTTTGTATAAGTTGTAAGGAAAGGGTCCAGTTTCAATTTTGTGCATATGGCTAGCCAGTTCTCCCAGCACCATTTACTAAATAGAGAATCCTTTCCCCTTTGCTTGTTTTTGTCAGCATTGTCAAAGATCAGATGGTTGTATATGTGCATAGATTATTTTGAAAAATGAAGAGTATGATGAGGATTTTACTCTCAGATATAAAACATATTTTGAAGCTTCAATGCATACAACTGAGGTAGAAATATATAGAAACAAGCAATGGGACAGAATAGAGATGACAGAAATACGCCATCCCTACAACACCCATCTGAAACAAATAATACTGGTAGAGACACAACATAAGTCCTGGTTGAAGCCTGAAGGCAAGAAAATGTGCCTACTGGGTATTTGCTAAAGAGATACAGGGCTTGAAAGAGAAGAGAAATTCCAGAGTTAATTCAACTTGTTAAAAAACTAAACACTAGATGGAGATTTATTTCTTCTTAGCCAAAGTGTCGAGGTTTTTTTCTTTTCTTTTTTTTTAGAAAAGTTGTCTCCATAATTGAGATACATTTTAAAAATTAATTATTTTTTATTGACAAAAGAAAAATTATAGATAGATAGATAGATAGATAGATAGATAGATAGATAGATAGATAGAGACAGGGTCTATTCTGTCACCTGGGCTGGAGTTCAGTGATGTGATCATGGCTCACTGTAGCCTTGACCTCCTAATCTCAAGTGATTCTCCTGCCTGAGCCTCCCAAAGTGCTAGGATTACAGGCATGAGCCAATGGCCATCTGGCCAGTGCTGGGATTACACGTGTGAACCACCATGACCGGAGTAAATATTTATTCTGTACAGAATGATGTTTTGAAATATGTATACGTTGTGGAATGGCTAAATCAAGCTAAATAACGTGCATATTACTCTATAGGGATCTTCACAAAGTTCATCAAAAATGTATGATGATTCATTTTTCATACATTTCAGAAATGTATGACATTTCTCATACATTGTCAAATGTATGACAAATCTGCTCAGACAAGAGCAGACCTTGTCAAATGTATGACAAATCTGCTCAGACAAGAGCAGATTCATTTTTCATACATTTCAGAAAAAACTATGCATGAATTTCAATTTTTTGCACCGAAATAAATTCGTACTAACTTGTTATAACATGTTTCAACAGGAGCTAGTTTGAGGCACTAAGAAGAATAAAATATCAGATTAAAAACAGTCCCTATTTGACTATATCCAGAATCTACAAGGAACTCAAACAAATCATCAAGAAAAAAACAAACAATCCCATCAAAAAGTGGGCTAAGAACATGAATAGACAATTCTCAAAAGAAGATATACAAATGACCAACAAACATATGAAAAAATGCTCAACATCACTAATGATCAGGGAAATGCAAATGAAAGCCACAATGAGATGCCACCTTACTCCTTCAAGAATGGTCATAATTAAACAATAAAACAAAATAGATGTTGGCGTGTATGTGGTGAAAAGGGAACACTTTTACACTGCTGGTAGGAATGTAAACTAGTATAACCACTATGGAAAACAGTTTGGAGATTCCTTAAATAATTAAAAGTAGATCTATCATTTGATCCAGCAATCCCACTACTGAGTATCTACCCAGAGGAAAAGAAATCATGATATGAAAAAGACACTTGCACATGTTTATAGCAGCACAATTTGCAGTTGCAAAAATATGGAACCAGCCTAAATGCCCATCAACCCAAGAGTGGATAAAGAAAATGTGGTATGTATACACCATGGAATACTACTCAGCCATAAAAAGAATGAAATAATGTTATTCACAGCAACCTGGATGGAGTTGGTGACCATTATTCTAAGTAAAGTAATTCAGAAATGGAAAACTAAATATCATATGTTCTCAATTATAAGTGGGAGTTAAGCTATGAGGATGCCAAGGAATAAGAATGATATAATGGACTTTGAGGACTCAGGGGAAATGTGGGAGGGGGGCAAGGGATAAAAGGCTAGACATTGGGTACAGTGTACACTGCTTGGGTGATGGGTGCATCAAAATGTCAGAAATTACCACTAAAGAACTTATCTATGCAATCAAAAACCACCTGTTCCCCAAAAGCTATTGAAATATTAAAAAGAAATCAATGTAATTCACTGCAATGACAAATTATAACAGAAAAAAATAAACACATCAAAAGTTGCAGAAACAGTATTTGAAAAAATTTCACATTTGCTTATGTTTCTCTTATTAAATTAGAACTAGAGAACCTCCTCAATCTGGTAAACAAAATTTATCAAAAATTTGAAACAAGCTGCATAATTACCAGTGAAACTTTATCACATTTGAGTCAAAATTTACAAAGGACCTAGGTAAGGAAAAGAAAAAATACAACAACCATGAAAAAAGGAAATTATTCCTCCTACTACAAACTAAAAATTAAAAGTAAGAGAAAGAAGGTGTCTAAGATACTTAAAAAAAAAAAAAAAAGAAGGAAAGAAAGAAATGAGCCCCTATTAGAACAACATGAATTCTGGTAAAATTGAAGCAAGAACAAACATCCAGTTTATGGTGAAGCTTGAGTGGAAGAATGGTGAAATCACTGATGTTTTATGAAAAACTTATGAGGACAATATCCTTTTTCCCCAAATCAGCAATTTACAAATAGATAATTTGTTTGAAGAAGGAATTAGATGATAATGAAGATAAATTCCGCAGCGGCAGATCATCCACATCAATTTGCGAGGAAAAAATTCATTTTGTTTGGTCTCAATTTGTTCAGCTTACACAATTCTGACTGAAAAGTTAGTTTCCACTTGAAAGGTGCTACAACCATTGCACCCAGATCAGCTGAGGACAAGAGCAGAGCTTTCAACGGAAATTTTAAACAAGTGAGACCAAGATTCTGAAGCATTTCTTCAAAGAATTGAAACAAGAGATGAACCATAGCTTTATTAATATGATCCTGTAGACAAAGCACAATCAAAGCAATGACTACCAAGAGGCAGAAGTGGTCTAGTCAAGACAAAAGTGGACCGGTCAAGAGCAAAGGTCATGGTAGCAGCTTTTTGGGATGCTCAAAGCATTTTGCTTGTTGACTTTCTGGAGGTCCAAAGAACACTAATGTAACCAAGTCCAATCTTGTACCACTTGCTGCATGACAGCCAGTAAATCAAGAGACAAGGTTTTGGGGCAAGGAAAGCCACTTTATTAGAAGAGCCAGAAAACCAAGAAGATGGCAGACTAGCAACCTAAAGAACCATCTTAAGTTAGTACACCTTTCAGGCTCTTTTTATGTTAATGGAAGGGGAAGAAGAAGGGGTTGAGGTGAAGAGACAGATGATGACTACAGAAATTCAGGCACCAGTGAGGGTCCAAGGAGGTTGGGAAATTTTTTTATTCTTGGTCAGGTCACAATGTTCCCATAAGTCTTTAACAAACACTTTTACTTGTGCATGTACTCTCCTTATCTCTCCAGGAGTTAGTTTGAGGAAAAGCACTGTTACCATTTTCTCTAAAGTTGAACTGTAAACTAAATTATTCCTATAATTAGCTGGTCTACATGCAAAGCTAAACAGAGGCTTTTAACTTAAAGGATATTATCACTGGGGATGGTGAGAGGCAAAAAGGATTCAGTCATGCTAAGTCTCCCTCCACTGTTACAATAACATTTGTTTATGATGAGAATGTTTTGAGAAAGTTAGCCAAAGCTTTAGCGGAAAAATACCCAGAAAAGCTTCGTTATAGAGTCTTTCTCCACCACAACGATGCTCCTGCTAATTCCTCTCACCAAGCAAGTACAATTTTTTGAGAGTTTCAATATAAAATTTTTAGGCATCCACTTTACAGTCCTGATTTGTCTCCTTCTGACTTTTCTTTTTAATTAAAAAAAACGATTAAAGGACCCTCATTTTTCTTCAGTTAATAGTGTAAAAAAGACTGCATTAACATTTTTAAATTCCCAGGACTCTCAGTTCTTTAGGGATAAACTAAATGCCTGGTATCAACTCTTAAAGAAGTGCCTTGAACTTGATGGAGCTTATGTTGAGAAATAAAGTTTATATTTTATTTTTAATTAATTTTTTCACTAATTTAAAAAATTCTCCTCATATACCTATTTGTGTGTGTGTGTGTGTGTGTGTGTGTGTGTGGTGAGAATACTTAAAGCAATTTTAAAGGAAGAAATTTTTATTTTTGGAAGTTGTCAACTCTGGGAGAAATCATGAAGCCTGAAATACTTTGTGTTTCTTGAAAACATTTGATTTTTAAAAGACTTTTTTCTTATAATGTATAGGCCCTGGAAAAAACTTCTGACATTTGGGAAATCTTATTTTAAAACTCCAAATATCTGACAAGATTATTCAAACTCTCCAGTTTCTTTTTCTTCTATATTTTCTATTTGATATCTGTCAAAGCTTAACCAGCCAAAGACTACCCAGCTCAAACCTATAGTTTGACAAAATCAGATTTATTGATTTGCAGGAAAGGGAGCACATTCCAGAGAACCTCAAATGTGCACTCTACAAGATTTGGGTTCCTGCTGGAGGGTTATGAGCAAGCTCTAAGGGAATGGAGAGCATCTCTGGGTTGGATAATCTTTCTGTTGCAAGATTAGGAGAAGTGAGAATTAGCTAGGAACTGAGTACTGTCTTGAGATGAGGGCAGTTTAGCAACTGGATATCCCCAATAACAGATGTGACAAAGCAGGTCTGGGGGTGTCATGGGTAACAAAGCAGTGGTCACTCAAGGAGAGAATCATGATGGCATTTTATAGCTGCTACAAGACCTTGGAAAAAACATTTGCTGTTAACTTTGCAGCTGCCTTTATCCATCTGTCCTCCCTGCCTGATTAACAGCAGGGCTGCCTTTTTCTTTTCAGTCCTTCAGTCACAGAGAGGATTTTACTCGTTCACTTTAATAGAACCAACTTGACTTTATGATTCTCCTATTTGTTAGAGCTTCAGAAGACAGCCATGTCATTTGGTAACCAATCTTATTTTGACAATCCAACAGAAAAAATAGTGTGATTTTTGCACTTGTTATTCAAAATTAAGCTATGAAGACATAGATTAATGACTAGGAAAACTCAGTGTAAGACTGTCTAGAGTTTGGTTTCTAGTTTCAATATAAAGGAGAGAGAGAAATTAAAACCCTGGAGACAAGTTCTAACAGTGGATCAGCTATGTGGCCAGGGCACATGTACATGAAGTATATGAATATGTTTATGTATATTACATATTCATACCAGAATATGTAATATCTTGCATATTCTGCTGTGTAAGAAACAAATGATAAGATTGTGAATGAACATCTCTGAGGGGCTGCTGAAACTGGAACTGGGACAATGCAGAATTGGCACATGAAAGTGTTTACATAACTATTAGATAAAGTCAACATAAAATTCCTAGGTAAGCAAAAAAGCATCTGCCCAAGAAAAGAGCATAGAGAATAATCAAAACAATCTCTAAATGCACATACACTAAAATTAAAGGGTAGAAAACTGAGATGTGGATGAGTGAATTCATTATATAGACAAAGAATCTTATTAAACATTAAGGGAAAGAACTAGAATTACCTTCTGGGAAATGCAGGTGCTCTGGGATACCAACATTTTGAAAGCATAGCTATGTCCACATTTTAGTAGACAAACGATCTTGCAAAGTGAACTACATTATAGAAAAGAGAATAGAAAAGGCAGTAAAGAGAACACAGTGACAATCTGAGTGTGTCATCTTTATAATGTTATGTATTATTTGTGGACATCCTGTTGGTTTGTGGGAGAGAAAAAATATAACAGTTTAATCAGTGATGAAACATGTACAGTCATCTTACGTATGCTTTTATTAGACATTATCAACATTCGTGATTTCTATTTGTAGCATACAGGGAGATTTGTATTTCTCATTGTGAAATATTCTGTTGTAAGAGGGAAAGAAAGAGAGTAGGATAAAGAAAAATGTTCTAGGATTGACTGTTACTGAAATAGTTAAAAAACCTAACTAAGCCCCTGGTGCAATGGTAACATAAGGAATTTGCCTTTTTATGTTTGGATAAACTCAATTTTAAAATAGTGTTTAAAAATAACATTGTTAGCTAATTTGTGATTTATATGCATATAGATAGTATATCGAGTCTAAGAAAACACAAAGCTGAAATATTCTGGTTTAATTCACCTACTCACACTTTTTTTCTTTAACATTAAATGAATATAATTAAAATCAGTGACTTACAGAAAAGTGTGTTAAGACTTATAAGAGGCTGGGTGTTGTGGTGCACACCTATAATCCCAGTACTCTGGGAGGCTGAGGTGGGTGGATCACTTGAGGTCAGGAGTTTGAGACCAGACTGGCCAACATGGCGAAACTTCGTATCTACTAAAAATACAAAAATTCACTGGGCATGGTGGCAGGCACCTATAATTCCAGCGACTCAAGAGACTGAAGCAGGGGAATCACTTGAACCTGGGAGGTGGAGGTTGCAGTGAGCAGAGATCATGCCACTGTACTCCAGCCTGGGTGACAGAGTGAGACTCTGTCACACACACACACACACACACACACACACACACAACTTATAAAGGAAAATATTTTTTAAATACTTGAAATAATTATACTATGAAGAAATATGATTTACTTGTCATAAAGAGCAAATGTTTACACTAAGAAGAGAAAAAATTTCGCTAAACTTTTGTGACATGAACAGACAAACCTGAATTTTTAAAAGATATTCACAAATAAAATATAAGCTAGTTGATTTAGAAAAGGTGACTGCCAAGAATTAGATATGAGCTTTGGCATGTGAGATTGTTGATAAAATTACATTCAATTCATGAAAATGGAAATTTCATATCACTCAGATTAGTAGATAATTTGTAAGTATTCTTTGAATGCTAACTGCATACACAATAATGTGCAAGTTTACCTTTCAGAAGGAAAAAATTTATTGGTTATTTATAATGATACATCCAAAGGTAATCATAAAAATAAAATAAAATAGCATTGACTAATTTTATAAACACTGAAGGAAAACAAAATAGAAGAGTAACCATGGCAAGAGCTAAATGGAACACAATTCTTCCTGATGGCTTAAAACACTTTCTTTTGTGTACTTTCATTTTCTTATTTGCAATGGATTCCTTAGGTATTCATAAAACGTGTTTACAACCTTCCTGGTTTGATATGAGGTTAACTCCTTTATCATGGAATTTTAATATTAATGATAGTTTTGGAAAATACTTCTCTGAAAAGTTATTTTGAGAAGAAAGACTTTCTATGTATAAATATCTAAAACCAGCAATTATAGTGGATCTCAGGGGAAGTTTGAGATCTTTTTCTTCAGAGTAGCTAAAGAGCCTTTCAGCAGCATATCCAAAGAGCCTTTCAGCAGCATGTCTCTGGGGACTGCATTGAGGAGCTGAAATTTCCCTGGAGAATATAATAAGAATAAAGACAAAATTTTTATTTTGGCTTCGGAAGTGACAATACTTCCTTCTGGAGTTTAGAGAATTCAACTTGAATTTAAAGTCGGCCATTTCTTCCCTAACAACGCTTGGATTGCTAAAGGGAGAACAAGTAGAAAGAATACTGAGACATCATAAATATAGCAAAATAAAACAACAACATTTTTTTCTCTCCCACCACCAAATTTTCATTATCATCACAAATATTTAGTATGTTTTTTCTTTTTAAGAAAATCTTTTTTCTTTTTTTTTTTTTTTGGTTTATATCATTAAATATACTGAGTTTTTTTTCATTTTTACTTTCCATGCTCCATTCTATCACAAAAGTTGGCAACAAATAGAACTGGGCTGAATCCATCATTTATAAATAATGGTAGTGATAAAAATAATTTTCGTTTGAATAGTTCTTTACAGTTTTTGAAGTACTTAGCTCTATCTTGTCTCATTTCACAAAATCCTTTGAGGTATGTACGACACTTGATCCAATATCCTTTTGACCTATGAGGAGATCAAGGCACAGATTTGTTGGTGACAAGTTAAAAATCAAGATGATTTTTACTCATTAGGACGAGTAAGCCTCTGGTTCCTAGCCTCAAGTTCTGAACCACAGTTCTGAGCCACAGGCTATCCTACGATGCTCCTTCTGTGCCTGGGGCCTCCTATGGCAGGTGTTTAGCTAGAAATTCTGGGCCTTTTATTTATTTATTTTTTTTTTGAGACGGAGTCTCGCTCTGTCGCCCAGGCTGGAGTGCAGTGGCGGGATCTCGGCTCACTGCAAGCTCCGCCTCCCGGGTTCACGCCATTCTCCTGCCTCAGCCTCCCAAGTAGCTAGGACTACAGGCGCCCGCCACTACGCCCGGCTATTTTTTGTAGTTTTAGTAGAGACGGGGTTTCACCGTTTTAGCCGGGATGGTCTCGATCTCCTGACCTCGTGATCCGCCCGCCTCGGCCTCCCAAAGTGCTGGGATTACAGGCGTGAGCCACCGCGCCCGGCCTCTGGGCCTTTTATTAAATGAATCTGAAAAGAACATCTTTACATCTACTAAATATGAAATAAAGTTATGTTGAGACCTGAAAAATCCAGGTGCTACATGGGAGACTGAGTGAGATGTAGCTACAATTAAGGCATGCCTGACTCTGCCCTTTTCCCACTGCCTTCTGAGTAGACTAGAGAAATACAACTAATTGATCTTAACTAAATAATTAATTTTGAGCAAGAGTTACTTTTCACGGGCTTAGGACTCTCAGCTGAAATGAAGACTACAAATACAGCACCTAGTATAATAGCTGAGTAGATATCCTCAGTTGAATTATGTCCTCTGATTCTATGACTTCCAGATTCGCCTCTTGGGAGCTTTCTAGTTTCCAGGCCTCCAAACCTTGCTACGGCTCCTTGTGGATAGACCAATGCCCTAATTTCCCTTTTTTTTTTTTAGTTTGCTTTGTTTTCCCAGGGAAAAGAGAAGGAAAATTTCCTATCTTGAAGCAGCGTATGATCTAAAGTAGCAGCTCTCAATCCTGACTTTTAAAAATATACTCACATCTGGGTTCTATTCCAGAGATTCTGATTTAATTGTGCCCAAGCAACAATATTTTTCAAAGCCCTCAAATGATTTTAGTATGTAGTTTCCTATCTATTCCCAGTAAATCATAATATAATAGCTATATTTTAGAGAGGCTCCAAAGAAAACATCACAGGGTAATGCAACACTACATGCATTTAAAACTTTAAAAGAACACAGATGAAGAAGACATAAATACTGAGAAAATGCCAATTTTGAAAAGGGATTCAGGGTTGTAATGGGATTATTAATGCAATGGGTTTTTAATTGAGTGGGGTCCACTGTTCTCATTGTCTCAAACTAAAAAGAAGAAGACTTTACAAATTGTGTTTTTTTATTTTTAATTTATGTGGGTACGTAGTAGGTGTGTATATTTATGGGCTACATGAGATATTTTGGTACAGGCATCCAATACAAAACAATCAAGTCATAAATTAGGTATTCATCTTCTCAAGCATTTATCCTTTGTGTTACAAACAATCCAATTATACTCTTTCAGTTATTTTAAAATACACAGTTGATTTTATCATTGACTATATTTCCCCTGTTGTGTTGTCAAATATAGCTTATTCTATTTTCTTTGTACACATTAAACATCCTCACTTCACCTTCAACTTCCCCACAATTCCCCAACTACCTTTACCAGCCTCTGGTAACCATCCTTCTATTCTCTATCTCCATGAGTTCAATTGTTTTCATTTTTAGATCCCACAAATAAATAAGAACATGTGATCTTAGTCCTTCTGTGCCTGGCTTATTTCACTTAACATAACGACCTACAGTTCCAACCGTGTTGTTGCAAATGACAGGATCTCATTCTTTGTTATGACTGAACAGTACTCCATTGTGTATATGTACCACATTTTCATTATCCATTCATCTGTTGGTAGACATTTAGGTTGCTTTCACATCTTGGTTATTGTAAACAGTGCTGTAACAAACATAGGAGTGCAGGTAGCTCTTCAATATACTGATTTCCTTTCTTTTGGGTACATACCCAGAAGTGAGATTGCTGGATCATATGGTGGCTCTATTTTTGTTATTTGAGGAACCCCCAAACTGTTCTTCATAGTGGTTGCACTAGTTTACATTCCCACAAAAAGTGTATGAGGGTTCCCTTTTCTCCATATCCTCGCCAGCATTTGTGATTGCCTGACATTTGAATAAAAGCCATTTTAACTGGAGTGAGATGATGTCTCATTGCAGTTTTGATTTGAACATCCCTGATTGTTAGTGATGTTGAACATCTCAATATATGCCTGTATTCAGATATTTCAGACATTCTTTTGAGAAATGTCTATTCAAATCTTTTGCCCATATTTTAATTGAATTATTAGTTTTTTTTCTTATACAGTTGTTTGGGCTCCTTATATGTTATGGTTATTAATCCCTTGTCAAATGGGTAGTTTGCAAATATTTTCTCCCATTCTGTGGGTTGTCTTTTCACTTTGTTGATTGTATACTTTTGTGTGCAGAAGCTTTTTAACTTGATGTGATCCCATTTGTTCATTTTTGCTTTGGTTGCCTGTGCTTGTGGGGTATTACTCAAGAAAATTTTGCCCAGACCAATGTCCTAAAGAGTTTCCCCAAAGTTTTCTTATAGTAGTTTCATAGATTTAAGTCTTTAATCCATTTTGATTTGATTTTTGTATATGGCAAGAGATAGAGGCCTAGTTTCATTCTTCTGCATATGAATATCCAGTTTTCCCAACACCATTTACTGAAGAGACTGTCTTTTCCCCAGTGTGTGTTCTTGGCACCTTTGTCAAAAATAAATTCACTGTAAGTGTGTGGATTTGTTTCTGGGTTTTCTATTCTGTTCCATTGGCCTATGTGTCTATTTTTATGCCTGTACCATGCTGTTTTGGTTAACATACCTCTGTAGTATAATTTGAAGTCAGGTACTGTGATTCCTCCAGTTTTGTTCTTTTTGCTGTGGATAGCTTTGACTACTCTGTGTCATCTGTGATTCCATATAAATTTTAGGATTGCTTTTTCTATTTCTGTAAAGAATGTCATTGGTATTGTGACAGGGGTTTCAATGAATCTGTAGATTCAATGAAATGAATCTACAAAAAAATGGAATATCTTTCCATTTTTGTGTGTCCTCCTCAATTTTTTTCATTAGTGTTTTATAATTTCATTGTAAAGATCTTTTATTTCTTTGGTTAATTCCTAGATATTTAATTTTGTTTGTGTCTACTGTAAGTGGGATTACTTTTTAAATTTTTTTTCAAATTGCTCACTGTTGACATACAAAAATGTTAGTAATTTTTATATGCTGACTTTGTATCTTGCAACTTTACTGAATTATTTATCAGTTCTAGTAGCTTTTTTTGGTGGAGTCTGTAGGTTTTTCCAAATATAAGATCATATCCTGTACAAACAAGGATAATTTGACTTCTTTCTTTCCAATTTGGATGCCTTTTATTTCTTTCTCTTTTCTGATTGCTCTAGCTAGGACTTTCAGCACTATGTTCAATAACAGTGATGAAAGTCAGCATCCTTGTCATGTTCCAGATCTAAGAGGAAAGGTTTTCAGATTTTCCCCATTCAGTATCATACTAGCTGTGGGTCTGTCATATATGACTTTTATTATGTTGTGTATGTTCCTTTTATACCCAGTGTTTTGAGTTTTTTTTTTAATCATGGAGGGATATTGAACTTTATCAAATGCTTTTTCAGCATCAATTGAAATACTCATAGGGGTTTTGTCCTTCATTCTGTTGATAAAATGTATCACATTGATTGGCTTACATATGTTGAACCCTTTTTGCACCCCTGGGATAAATACCATTTGGTCATGATTAATGACCTTTTTAATGTATTGTTGAATTCATTTTGCCGGTATTTTGTTGAGAATTTTTGCATGAATATTCATCAGGGTTATTGTCCTGCAGTATTCTTTTTTTTTTTTTTTTTAATGTGTCTTTGTCTAGTTTTAGTATCAGGGTAATAATCGCTTCGTAGAATGAGTTGGGAAGTATTCCCTCCTCCTCTATTTTTCACAAAAGTTTTAGTAGGATTGGTATTCTTCTTTTAATGTTTGGTAGAATTCAGCAGTGAACTATCAAGTCCCAGGCTTTTCTTTACTGGGGGACTTTTTATTATGGCTTCATCTTATTACTTGCTATTGGTCTATTCAAGTTTCAAATTTCTTCATGATTCAATCTTCATAGGTCATATGTGTCTAGGAATTTATCAGTTTCTTCCAGATTTTCCAATTTATTGGCATCTAATTATTCATAGTAACTAGTATTGATCCTTGGAATTTCTGCAGTATCAGTTGTAATGTCTCCTTTTTCATTTGTTTATTTGCATATTCTCTTTTTTTCTTAGTCTGGCTAAAGATTTGTCGATTTTGCTTATCTTTACAAAATACAGCCTTTTTGTTTTGTTGACCTTTTGTATTGCTTTCTTCGTTTCAATTTCATTTATTTCTGCTCTGACCCTTATTATTTCTCTTTTTTTCTCCTAATTTTAGGTTTGCTTTTTTCTTGCTTTTCTAGTTCTTTAAGATGTATCATCAAGTTGTTTATATGAAGTTTTTCTTCTTTTTTGATGTAGGCACTTACAGCTATAAATTTCCCTCTTAGTACTGCTTTCAGTGTGTCCCATAGGTTTTGGTATGCTGTGTTTGTGTTATTATTTGTTTAAAAATTTTTTCAATTCTTTCTTAATTTCTTCATTGACCCACTGGTCGTTGAGGGGTATATTGTTTAATTTCCATGTGTTTGTATAGTTAAAATTCCTCTTATTGACTTGTAGTTTTATTCTATTGTTGTTAGAGAAGATGCTTCATATTATTTTATTATTTTGAATGTTTCAAGATTTGTCTTGTGACCTAATATATGGTCTATCCTTGAGAAATATTCATGTGCTGAGGAAAAGAATGTGTATTCTGCAGCAGTTGGATAATATGTTCTGTAATTATCTATTAGGTCCATTTGTTCTATAATGCAGATTAAGTCTAATGTTTCTTTGTTGATTTTCTGTGTGGGAGATCTGTCTAATGTTGAAAGTAGTGTATTGGTCTCCAGTTATTACTGTATTGGGGCCTATTTAATCCTCGAGCTCTAATAATATCTCCTTTATATATCAGGGTGCTCCAGTGTTGAGTGCATATATATTTACAATTGCTCTATCATCTTGCTGAATTGAATCCTTTATCATTATATAGTGACTTTGTTTGTCTCTTCTTACAGTTTTTGTCTTGAAAATCTATTTGTCTGATATAAGTATGGCTACTCCTCTTCTTTTTTGGTTTCCATTGGCATGGAAAATTCTTTTATATCCCTTTATGTTTAGTTTATGTGTACCTTTATAAGTGAAGTGCGTTTCTTGTAGGCAACAGATTATTGGGTCTTGTTTTTTCATCCATTCAGCCAATCTATGTCTTTTGTTGGAGAGTTTAGTTCACTTACATTGAATGTTAGTATTGTTAAGTAGGGACTTACTCCTGCTATTTTAAAATTTATTTTCTTGTTGTTTGCAGCCTTCTCATTCTTCTTTCCTTCCTTCTTGTTTTCCATTTAGTGAAGGTGATTTTCTCTTCACTAAAGAGAAACCACTCTTCACTAGTGGTATGCTATAATTCCTTGCTTTTTATTTTTTGTGTATCCATTGTATGTTTTTTAATTTGGGGTTACCATGAGGCTTTCAAATACTATCTCATAACCCATTATTTTCAACTGATGACAATGTAACACTGATTGCATGTACAAACAAACACACAAGAAGAAAATTAATAAAAACTCTACACTTTCACTTTGGCCCCCTGATTTCTGTTATTTCTCTTTATGTCTTATTGTACTGTCTATGTCTTGAAAAGTTTTAGTGGTTATTATTTTTTATTGGTTTATCATTTAGTCTTTGTACTTAGAAGTAGTTTTCACACCACCATTACAGTGTTATACTATTCTGTATTTTTCTGTGTGCTTACTATTATCAGTGAGTTTTGTACCTTCATATGATTCCTTCTTGCTCATTAACATTATCTTCTTTCATATTGTAGAATTTCCTTTAGTATTTCTTGTGAGACAGTTCTGATGTTGATGAAGTCTCTCAGTTTTTGTTTGTCTAGGAAAGTCTCTATTTCTCCTTTATGTTTGAGGATATTTTCACCAGATATATTATTTCAGGATAAAAGGTTTTCTCTTTGGCATTTTAAATGTGCCATGCCACTGTCTCCTGGCCTGTAAGGTTTCCACTGAAAACTAGCTGCCAGATGTACTGGAGCTCCATTGTATGTTATTTGTTTCTTTTCTCTTGCTGCTTTTAGGATCTTTTCTTTATCCTTGACCTTTGAGACTTTGATTATTAAATGCCTCGAGGTAATCTTCTTTGCATTCAATCTGCTTGGTTCTATTACCTTCTTGTATTTGAATGTTGATATACTTCTCTACATTTGGGAAGTTTCACTGGAATTATCTCTTTGAAAAAACTTTCTAACACTATCACTTTCTTTCCTTCCTTTTTAAGGTCAATAATTTAGATTTTACAAATTTTGCTTTGGTAGAAGGGAGAAGGTTTGACCTAGTCACAACAGGTTAGAGACATAAAAGAACATTGATAAAATAAAAGTGGGAGAAGATCTATAAGAAATAGTGATATTCAGATTTTTAAAATATGAGTTGGACCAGAAATATGAACTAAGGAGGAGGTGAAGATGTGTGATGTAAATGGGACCTGTGGGGAGGGCCTTGTAACTCTATGTGAAGATGTTTCTATAATTACTCCACCTGTTTCTTAATATTTCAGAATCCGGTTCTTACAAGAGTAAATAATGGCTTTTCTGTCTTAGAAAAGGAAAAACAAATGTCGTTATTAACTTAATTGCTTTTTCCTAGATAGCTTTCAATACTTGGCAGAGGGATGTAGTAGAAATAATATATACTTGGGACTCAGTCAGACCTGAAATCGTAGCCTCACTCAGGCCATTTACTAGAGTGAAAAAGGATCTTGAAATATTCAACTTTCTTATCTACAGCTTCAGACCATTTGCTCAGTAAGGAAAAACATCTGTTGCCTTAAAATTCAGTAGGACAGGAAGATAAAGATGAATAACAGCTAATTTTCAATAGTTCTTACTTTCAATCTGGACCTTTGAGCATAAGAAGAGCAAGCTGTCTGGGGTGTAGAGCAAAGGGTGTCTGGTACAACCATTTTTCTATTCCATGGTGATATTCCATGAAGGTCACTAGGCTACAGTAGGAGAAGCAGGGAAGGAAAAGAATGGTAGTCTCTTTGTAAGAGGTCTGGGGAGAGGAAATCTTATAGACAAACAGTGGTGCACATGCCCTGTGAAGAGCTTTAAAATATTTACCTGGGCCCTCCTGCTGAGATTGTGGTGTAATACAGAGTGAGGCACATGCATGCATACACTTTGAAAGTCTCCCATGTAGTTTTGTCATGCAGTCATCCTAATGTAAGACATAGCATCTGACTGAGAGTGGGCACCCAATAAATGTTGGCCTTTCACTTTCTTCCTTTTCGCTACTTCCACCATTACCCTCATGCTTTCATCATGTCAGATATATATTGCTGCAAAAGCATCCTCACTAGTTTCTCAGGCTTTAACTTGGCCAGATAAAATTATTGCTTTTCTGTTGTCATCACCATGACTAAAAGCCACTGATGAATTTACTTCCACTTTTAAAGTCCCACAACTCTAAGTTTAATATTTTTAACAAATTCATGCCAACCTGCCTACTCTATCCTAATGAGCCCTTCAAATTATCTGCCTTAGGTAAATTCAGCTAAATAAAATTAACCATAATACACAACATCTCTTGTTTATTCAATTAATAGGTTTTATCATCTTTGAAATATCTTGTGCTTGTTACTTTATGTTTACTATCTCATAAATCCTCACAACAACCCTAGAAAACAGAATGGTAATGTTATTTTATCAAATAATGTTTTGTCAGTTTTATAAAGAAATAACTGTGCACTGGGCCTTTTGAAATCTTGTTCTTCAAAGTGTGGTCTGGACTGACAGCATAAGCATCACCGTTAGAATTGCAGAATTTCAGGTTCCACTCTAGACCTACTGGATCTGAAACTCAAAAAGGCAATTTAACAATATTCTTAGGTGATTCGTTTGCACATGACAGTTTAAGAAGTTCTGCAAATGTAAGTGCTTTGTTGGTTTAGCATACACTGCACATAAGGCTCTCAGCTATCTGTTGATTGAAGCCAACTAGTATTATGCTATAGAGAAGTGACTAGTGGTGACTGTAGTATATAAATAAAAATATTCATAATGTATATTTATTTTCTATGAAGAAAAACATTAGGCATTTTCTGTTTATCGTATCATCCCGTAAGCAGCAACAACAACAACAAAACACTAACTTGATTCATTTATTTTTGGACTATAAAACCTCAAAGATCCATTAGATGAAATATAAGGAATTTCCAGATGAAGGATCACTAAACTTGGTTAGTTTCATGACTCCTATATTACGGGCACTCCCTAAAAACTATCATTATAAACTTTTAAAGAAAACTTGAGATGAAAGCTTCTTAACAATCTTACCACCTGATTCTAAAAATTAACTATAGGCTATAGTACTATGATATCTTCTTTTTAGATAGCCAAAGAATAAATGCCATTACTGAGTTTGATTACAAATAGTTACACACTAACTAATGCTAAATAAATATTGCAAAAGAATTTCTATACACATCACTATCTAATACTACTGCCATAGTCCATTTTTGCTGCTATGACAGAATATCTGAGACTCGGTAATTTATAATAAAAAGAAGTTTACTGGCTTAAAATTCTGGATGCTGCAAAGTCCAAGATCCAGGGGCTGGCACTGTGTGAGGACCTTCTTGCTGTATCCTCCCACAGCAGAAAGTTAAAAGTACAAGGGCAAGAGAGAAAGAAGGGAGTAAACTTGCCCTTTTATAGCAATACCAATCCCACCCATGAGGGTGAAACCCTCATGACCTAATCACTTGTTAAAGGTCCCACCTCTTAATATTGTTAGAATGGCAATTAAATTTCAACTTGAGTTTAGAAGGGGACCAACATTCAAACCATAGCAATTACCACTAATTATTATTATAATAATTTGCTTTAACCACCTATTATGGAATGAATGATTGTATCTCCTCAGAATTTATAATTTGAGGCCCTAAACCTCATTATGACTATATTTGGAGGTGGGGTTGAATGAAGATATAATTAAGGTTAAATGAAGTCATAAAGGTGGGGTCCTGATCTGATAAAATTAGCATTTTTATAAGAAAAAACTCCAGAAAGCTTGCTCTCTCTTTCTGGCATGTGAAGACACAGTGAAAAGGCAGCCTTCTGCAAGCCAGGAAGACAGTCTTCACCAGAAACTGACACTGCCTTATCTTGATCTGGGACTTTCCGGCCTCTAGGACCGTGAGAAAATAAATTTCTGTTGTTTAAGCCATCCTGTCTATGAAATTTTGTCATGGCAGCCTGAGCAGATTATTACACCAGCAGTTATCAGTGTTTCCTTCTGCTAACATCATAAAGAGAATGGAGTTAACTGTAGGTAGTTTCATTTGGCAGAACTTTGACTCTTTGCAAATATGTGAACCAAGGTTTTCTTCAAATCACTGAAGAAGTTTCCCAGAGTCCCCACAAGTATACAAGTTCTTTAAAGAGACATACTTTGAAGTCTCACTTATTGAGCATACAACTTCTAAACTTACCTGGTTTCACCTCTTGCAAAAGATTAAAAACCAAAATAATGAAAAGTATAGTTTGAGCATCACTAATCCCAAAAATCTGGAATCCAAAATGCTTCAAGATCTGTATCTGTTTGAGCACTGACATGTTGCCGCAAGTGGAAAATTCCACACTGGATCTCATACAATGAGTTGCATGTATTACTAAAAACATTGTATAAAATTACCTTTAGGCTATATGTATACAGTGCATATAAAACATAAATAAATTTTGTGTTTGGACTTGGGTCCCAACCCCAAGATATCTCATTATGTATATGCAAATACTTCCAAATCTTAAAAAAAAAAAAAGAAATTTGAAACACTTCTGGTCCCAAGCATTTTGGATAGAGAATACTCAACCTGGATTAGAAGTCTCAACCTGCGTTAGAGCTCAATCTGTGCACCTCAGTGCCATAGAAGTTGGTGGATTTCTATAGGAGGAAGAAACATAAAATCTAAAATATAGTTTAATAACTATATTTTAAATATAATATAAATTTAAAACATAATCTAATATATTTTATATAAAATGTAAGTTTATATTTATAAATTATAAATATAAAAATTAAATATAGACATAAATTTATATTTTATAAACATAAAAATATAAATATATTAATAAAATAAATATATAATAATATAAATTTAAAATATAGTTTACTAAAATAAACTTTAATAGTGGCTATTCAGAAAAAAATCATCAAGACAATATAAATGTATTGATTACTCTTGGTTTAAAAATGCAAAAATGAGATAACTTTAATGATAATGATCCCATCTAACATTACTAAAACTCTATAAGGGAAGGGACTGTGTTCTCTGTTGTAGCTCAGGGATAGCTCAGTGCCTGGGCAAACACAAGTGGCTAGAATTTATATTTATAGAATGAAAGATAAAATAAACAGTGTTGCATCTTGAGACTGCAAGCGTTAGTTATCTGGAAAATTTACTTATATGTATGATGCAAATCTCAGTTCTTGACTGTTTGTTTACTTGTATTTCTGTAAGAAGTAGTTTATTCGTGGAATATCAACAGTGAAAAGTTGTTTTACTAAGGTTTATATGCCATTATTTCTTTGTAGTTTCTTTCATTTACTGAGTACACACAGTACAAATGCACACAGTATAAAATTCTAGTGCTCCTTCCATAAAGTTTCCTAACCACCCACTGCTTTCCTTAGGGGCAAACACAATTCCTTGGTATTTTTGATCCATTCCTAACTACTAGTAAATGCAAGCAAAATTTAACTTTATTTCATTTATTATTGCTTAGTGGATGTTGCTCTAAAATAAAAGCAGCTTTTCTTTTTTATGATGTAAACTTGTTGTAATTAGAATAATTTGCATCCCACAGATGAAAGGCTGTCCAAAAGTCAATGATCCAGAAGTATTCTTTGAACATTAAAGTAAAAATCTGAATTGTTGTATTTTATTACTCCTTGATGAAATTGGACTTGGCAGGAGCAGAGTCCGGATTAATGCCAAGTTTATTCCCAGAGTTTGCAACCAGAGAGCAGGCTGTACCAAAAATCAAGGAGGCAACTTCTTGCAAGAGCACTGGGCCAGAGCTGGGCATTGCTAAGGGCTGGACAGAAGAAGGGAACTAACATTTATTCATCAGTAATAATCAATATAATGTGTTATAAGGATTCCTGGACCTTGGCTCAAGACACCGGAGAGTTCCCTGACTTTCTTTCTGAAGACCTGCTTTATCTTAAGAAATTGCCTTAGTTTCTCTGGGAGATGCTATCTTACCTATAAAATAAATGTTCAAAGATGTCTTGCAAGACTAATATTCTATAATTTCCAAAAAGGCTGGACATAGGTTGTCTTAGCAATTACAACACTTCTTCATTGACTATCAAGTGTCATAGAATCTAAAGTATTACTATTTTGTTTGGACACAGGATCAATGAGGCTTTTGTTTTGTTTTTTGTTTGTTTGTTTGTTTAGAGACAGGGTCTCACTCTGTCACCCAGTCTGGAATGCAGTGGTGCAGTCATAGCTGATTGAAGCCTCAAACTCCCAGGCTAAGCTATTTTTCTGCCTCAGCCTTCTGAGTAGCTAGGACTATAGGCACAAACCATTGTGTCCGGATTTTGTTTTTTAATTTTTTATAGACACTGTGTCTCACAATGTTACCCAGGATTTCATGAACTCCTAGTCTCAAGTGATCCTCTTGCTTTGGCCTTCTGAAGCACTGGGATTACATGCATGAGCCACTGTGCCCGGCCCTACAAGGTTTTAAAGTGATGTTGAACATACGCATGACTACAAACACAGCCAACTCAAAGCTGGAGAATGTATCACACTCCCTGGTTTCCACTTAACCTCCAAAATATAGGATTCTAAATGTATGCTTCCATGATTTCTACATCTAGGCTTTCACCAAAGTCAGGTGATTTGATGTGTACATCCTACTTTTTGGCTCCCCAGAAGTTTGTTATACTTTGTGTGACTCTAAGTATATATATCTGCATGTGTAGACTTTTTTTTCTTTGCCACAGTCGGGAGCAACGGTGTCTTCTTGGATGGTATCCTCTAATGTTGGGAAGCAGTAGATTAAAAAAAGAACTGTATCAGACAAAGCTGTGATTGGAACCTTGTCTCTACCAGTTACCACTTTGATCTAAATCTTGGTTTTCTTCTTCGCAAAATTTAGTAAATAATAGTAACTTTTAAGAGTTGATATAAAGATTAAATGAGATTATCATTTAAAACATTTAGCTCAGCTCCTGACATCAAATAAAACTTTAGTATATTCTTGTTATATTTATTATGATAATGTTCTTGGAGGCCAGGCAATTTTCTCTTTTTTCAATGTGCTTAGAAGTTGTCCCAAGAAATACATTTTGGTTTTCAGTTGGGTAAGAATTTGGTTGTTAGAGTCATACCAGAGAATTTTCATTTACATTAATGTTCCTTTTATTTTATTTTTTTAAGTAGCAGTTTCATTGAGATAACATCCATATATTAAATGATTCACTCATTTGAAGTTTCGATTCAGTGATTTTTTATTGTAGTCACAAAGTTGTATAACCATCACGACAATCAATTTTAGAACATTTTTAAAAAGAAAAAAGAAATCCCATGCCCATTAGCAGTTACACTCCTTTATTTCATTTTGCCTGTAAAAGTGAGAAAAGTGTCATTCTCTTACTTAGACTGCTCTTGGAATAAATAAATGTTGAATTAATGGGTGGTGATAGGAGGTAAGTATATAATGCAAATAAGTTTGAGATCAATACACAAATATTTCAACAAAATAGATACAATAAAATTCATTGAGTTCTTTTCAAATCAGAGTAACAAATTCTATGGAAAGGGAACATAGTATTTTATTTGACAGATAATACTATTATCATATTATCTATTATTCTTTTTGGCAATTGTCACAAAAACATTCATAATTTTTGACTTAGTAATGGTCTTCTGGGAGTACATCCTTAAGAGATACTTAAAATTTGCAAAAAGATTTTTGCAAGAGTTAGGCTTATGATTAGGACATAAAAAGACATGAAAGATCTTCCTTCACTCCCACTGAAACGATGTTACCCAATAAACCAAACCTTTCATTCTTTTGTTTAAAAACACCATTTTGTAAAAATTCTGTTGCACAGGTACAAATAAATGTAAAAGAACTAAATTACTTCAGAGAGACAAAATATTTGTAGGTAAGCAATAGATGGAGAACATTTCACCTGGTGCAGTTGCTGAGGCTAGGTCAGCATAGGTAAAAAAGCAAACTTCCAAACCAAAGATAATCTTTGCTTTGAGGAAGAGAAACCTGCTTTGAACCTCTGAGCTGGTATGAAGGCTTTACATATGACAAAGCTTCAATGCAAAGAAAATGCACTTCCCCAAATAATCCTCTTACATGAGTATTTTACTGAGTGATCAAATATTGGGGTCAGGCCTGTAAAGGGAAGGATTTTATATTACCTTGCGATTTCATATTTAAAAGTCTCTTATTTTCATTGTTTTCTGAATTCAGAAATCTTGGGGTTGGTCTTCAAGACACAAAGTTGCATGGTCTCACTGTGCTGCAGTCCTGCAAAACAGTGACAGGACACGGGACACCTGAAACTGTCGTATATTGCTTTTCGAATGTAAAATGCTACAAGTACTTTGGAAAACGGCTTAGCAGTTTGTTATAAAATTAAACATACACCTGCTCTAGAACCCAGCAATTCCACTCTTATTTGCCCAAGAGAAATGAAAATCTATGTCTGCAAAAAAGACTTGTGGAAGAATGCAGCTTTATTCTTCTCCAGTGTCCCCAAAGTGAAAAGAACCCAAATGTCCTTTAACACATGAAGAGGTAAACGAATTCATCAGTGGAATACTATTCAGCAATAAAGAAAAACTACTGATACATATGACAACATGCACAAATCTCAAAAAATATTATGTTGAGCCTAAGAAGACAGACATGAAAACTTATACTGTATGATTCATTCACATTTCATTTTAGAACAGGACAAACTAATATGTGGTGATGGAACATTGACAAGTGGTTGCCTTGGGATAGAGAGTGGGGAGGAGAGTGGGGTTAACTGCAAAGGTGCTCAAGAGAATTTCCTAAGGTGATAAAACTTTTCTATCTCTGTATTGGTGGCTATATGGAAGTGTGCATTTGTCAAAACTTATTGACTCATACAATTAAAATTGGTATACTTTATTATATATAAATTAATCTCAATAAAATTAACTTTTAAAAAGTTACAAATTCATATAAGTCTTCTAAACAGTAATTTGCTGAAAACTATTAATTTATGTGTTCCTTAATACAGAAAAACAACCCAATAAAGAAACTGGAACAAGCTATATAAATACTAGCAGCTGGGCAATGGCATAGCCAAATTATGATACCTTAGTGTTCAATAACATTATTCAGGGAAGTTGAATTACTAACACCATGTAGTAATATGGCAAATGTTTAGGATATCAACATAAACATTTAACTAGACTAAAAACTAGAATTTTATTGATTTCTGACATTGAGATTAATGGGACTCATAAATTTAAGCTCTACAACCATGGGAAAAAATCAGTCATTAGTTTTAGTTGATTCTCTACTTACTGATAATGTATAACCAAAATAACAATAATAACTAGAAATTACAATGTCAGCAAAACTAAGGTAGTAGAATAGATCAAGCATGTTTGGCTTAAGTGATTACATTTGTAAAAGTTAATTGTCATTCTTTTTCAGTAAGAGTAATAAAAGCTTTGTGGAAATTTGGCCTGTTAAAAATTCTCATTTCTAGCCTTATTGTAAATATTAATATTTGTAAATATTTTTCTAGTTTATTATATTACTAAGTAAATCATACAGCATAATGTTTATATATTTGTGTTTTCTGTATAAATGATAGTATTATTAAAATTTAACAAGCTCTTCAGACTGTATATTTTATTAATATATTAGTTTATGTTTATTTCCAAGTTTAGCAACAGCCAATACTTGTGAAGAAATATAATATATTACCGTTTCTGACCAAGTTCTAATATTACAATTAAACATTAGTGAGAACAAAACAGAATCCTACAACTTGGAACAAATTCATTTCTCACTTATAGACTATTTCTAGGTAGAAAATTCCAAAACCCCCAAAACATTTAAGGGAAAAATACAGAAAATACATGTCAGGTTGCTAGAAACCATCAACTTATTATCATAAGACCTCTGCTTCTTTGTATAAAACTGTAAAAGATAGACTTGCATTTCATTCTTATTTGGTATGGAATAAAATATCATGAAAAACAGCAGTGATATTTTAGCATGCAAAAATACTCAGTAGCAATTCACGTGTTCAATATTCTTCTTACCCTCAGAAAATTAACCAGTACTGATTTCAGTTGTGTTTGTACCTGTAAACCGTGCTGAACAATGACTTCATGCTGTGCTTGTAAAGCAGCTATAAGTGAGACAGGATAATATATGTGAGCTTGATTTACATTTTGGCATTCAAGGGCACAAGATAAAGAATAACTGAGATTTGGACTATTGTGGGAAGTCTCCAGAGTGGTCAGTGATCAAGTAAAGTGAGGCTCAGGATTATTTTTTTATGCATGGTGAAGGGTGCAGCTGAATTGTGTCACTGCAGCAACATTTAATAAGTAAAGGTAAAGTCATTTGGTAAAGTACTGTATTAGATGTCAGATCAAATCTAAGATAGCCACTACCATGATGAGAGAGAGAGAGAAAGGTAATATTTTTTTTTTGCTCAAACTAGAGCTTTCTCAAATCTAAGGTTGCTTTCTCAATGTAGCCATTTAGAAAGCCATCTAGAATGTTCAGAGTTTAAAAAAACAGACAACTGACAGTTTTTTATTCCTCCCAATGCATTGTCTACAAAACTCACTCTCACTGTAAGTCATGTCAGATGAGACTGGGCGTGTTTGGGGTGGTGTGGCTATAGACTAGAAGTTCTGACAGTGCCCCACATAACAAATGTCTCCACAACTGAAGAATCACTATTAACTGAATTACTCGAACATCTATTCTTAGTTACAAGATTCCCAGGTACAATCTTCTATTTTGCTTTGGGAAAATAAGTGTTTTCCATGAGTATGTTCAACTGGCAAGTGAAAGAAAGGATCAATAATAACATACATATAGTAAAGTAGATACTTTTCTTTGACATGGCAGAATTTCATGAGGAGCTGAGGTTTTAGGATTAAGCTTTCAAAGTAAGTCTATTTTTGTTGTTAAATACGACTGTTAATACATTGTATGTGGTTTACAGAAATGCAAATGGATCTATTAAACATGATGGGTTTCTCTGCAATGGAGAAGTCTCTGCAGACAACATAACAGTCAGAGTTTCACATTAAAGTCAAGACCCAGGCATGATTATTTATATATTTAGCAAATAGTGAGTAACTGCTGGAATTGTTAGTATACCACAAGGGCCATGGAGAATAAAATCAGTCATGTTTCCTACTTTCATTGAACTCATAGTCTAATGGGAGAAGACAAATGTTAATAAAATAATTATAAAAATAAGCATGTAATTAACAATCTTGAGATAATGGAAGGGTGAGCATTTTAAGAATGTGAGAGTAGATGTGAATGAGCAGGTATGAGTTTTCTGAGGAACTAATGGTATGAACTGAGGTTTGAAGAATGAGTGGGAAGACCTAGGCAAGGAGAGGTGTCCTAAGGTGAGATAAATGCCAGTGCCCAGGACCTGGGGCAACAGAACATAAAGTATTCAAGAAGCTGAAAGTCCAGAGAGGCTGGAGCTCAGTGTGAAGGGTTGAGTGAAACCTGATGATTAACCAAGCAGGGAGAAGAGCTTGCAGGGTCTGGTAGCCCACATCAAGGGATTTTATCCTAAAACTCATAGGTAAATATTAAAGGGTTTTAAGGAGGAGAAGAGCATGGTCATATGCTGAAAAGATTTTTGTATCAGAATAGAGGAGTTGTCAGCTGTCAGTGTATCAGACTAGAGGCATCAGAGGGGTTGTCAATTGGCAGGGTGGAAAATAGTATTAAGTTGGTGCAAAAGTGATTGCCGTTTCTGCCGTACTATTAATGGCGAAAACTGCAGTTACTTTTACATCACTATATTACTTTGACTAGGGTGATGGCATTGGAAATGGAGAGATAAATGGATTTGGAATACATTTAGGAGGCATAGTTAATAGAGTTGGGGAAAAGATTCGGTATGAGAGCTGAAAGAAAGTACAAGGGGTGGGTGAAAAGAGACTCTTAGGTTCCTGGCTTGTGAAATTGGAGGGATGGTGGTGCCAATTACTAAGCTAGTGAATCCCGAAAGAGGACAAGATGGTAAGTTCAGCTTTTGCTTTTTGTTGTTTATTTATTTAGAGTTAAAGGATGACTTTGGGACAGGTTAAGTGGAGATATATAGAAGAAAAAAAGGATATGTTAATTTAAAGCAAAAAGATATCTATCCTGAAGGTGTAAATTTGGGAGTCAATACATGGAGATAGTAATTGAAGCCTTTGGCCTTAATAAATTGCTGAGAGAAAGCATATAGAGGAGAAAGAAATACCTGCTCTTGAAGTATTTAATATGTAGGTATAAGAGGATACATTTGAGAAAGAAATTGAGTAGTTACAGCCAGAATACAAGAAGAAGACAAGGAATGAACAGAAAACAATGAAGCCAGGGGAAGAAAGGAGCGGTCCACAGGTACAAAAGTTACAAGGAGCCGGGCACGGTGGCTCACGCCTGTAATCCCAGCACTTTGGGTGGCTGAGGAGGGTGGATCATGAGGTCAGGAGTTTGAGACCAGCCTGTCCAACATGGTGAAACCCCGTCTCTAATAAAAATACAAAAATTAGCCGGGCGTGGTGTTACGTGCCTGTAATCCCAGCTATTTGGGAATCTGAGGCAGGAGCATAGCTTGAACCTGGGAGGTGGAGGTTGCAGTGAGCCAAGTCCATGCCATTGCATTCCAGCTTGCGCAAAACTCTGTCTGCAAAAAAAAAAAAAAAAAAAAAAAAGTTATAAAGAGATTAATTAAAATGAGGTTGAAAAATTTGATGGGTTACAAACTTAACAGGGGAGAGAATGGGGATAGAGAAGGAAGTGGGTGGGGATGAAATGGAGACTCAATATTGGCCACTGGTTCAAGAAATTTGGCTGTGAAGAGGTAGGGGTAGAAGAATTTTAAGGGGTGAGGTTTTCTGTTTTGGGCCTTTATTTTTTGTAGTTTTTGTTTGTGTTTGTTTTATTCTGCTTGAATTGAAATACTGAGAAGCCATGGAGATATTTAAAAGCTGATGTGGTTGGGGCAAGGAATAAGGGTAATTGATAATGTCGGGCTTCTGAGAAGACAAAAGAGAAGTTGATCTGAAGTACCAGTGAAGACATTGGCCTTCCACAGGAAGAGGCTTAGTTTCTTTATTTTACTTTGAAGAGGGAGAAGAGGACTGTAGAAGGAGACAAGATTGCTGGATTTATTTGTGGGAAATTTAGGTAACTCCTATCTAATGGCTTTTTCTTTCTTTTGAATGAGGGAGAGGCCATAACCAGATGTTTGATGTTAGACATAGTTTCCTACCTTTAAAATGGAATATTTTGAGAATTAGTTGCGGCAATTAATGTGAAAGCACTGCAATGACAGGTTGTTGTTTACAGCACTCATTTCCGTTGTGGAAGTGCATGTTTAAATTTAGAGATTCTTAAATTCTTTTTAACAGACTTTTTTTTTGACATTATAGTCTTGTTTCCAAATCCTTTAGAATGGAAGCAATATTATCTAAAGATATTGTGAGAAAATAAGTATATGTAAAATATTCTATTTTGTTGAAAATTACAACATAAATTTTATATATTATTTTCATTTATTATTCATAAAAATGAAGGGATAGCAATCCTCATTCATAGGCATTAAATCAATCCCTTATGGCAGTTTATTTTTGTGTGGAAAGTTAATGGTGTCATGTAAAGTGCTTTAGAGTAACTCCAGTACAATAATTCCAAGTTCTATAAAATATCCATCACATTTACATGAAAACACCACAAGATGACCAGCGTCTTTATTCTGACATTCTTCCACTTCAGATCATTTTATATCCTTAGGACCAATATGTTCGTTTTGTTTTGTTTTGTTTTGTTTGCATTCTCTTGGAGACCAAGTTTGGTCAATTCTAACATGTGAGATGAAAAAGAAAATAGAACAAAAGAAGTGGCTCACTCTTGGCCAAATTATTTTAAAAATTGCATTCATATGTACCTGGAAAGATTTTTATAATTCATGTTTTAGAGCCACCCTTTAAATAGTTTTGTAATTCCTTTCCCAAAATATTTTTAGGGGCTACCTGTTTCTGTATAAATTTAGCAATGCTGCTCATTGCTATAATTATAGCAGCCCACTCCTATTATAATTTTATTATTTATATTATTTCAAAAGACACTACCAACAATTAAACACTTTACTCAGAAATATCATAATTAAAACAAGATTATAGAGTACTTCAGTCTTTGGGATGATCAGAATGTAGTGCAGTGTACTGAGAACTATTTATGAAGCCTATTGTAGCCGACTCTGCACTCTGCCCGTGTCACCTAAGCTCTTAGTATTGCAGTCCACACCAGTAGACTTCTAAGGACAGCATTTATGTGTCTTTGTCTGAGTGTTTTCTCTGGCAGCCTGAGGCCACTCTGCTGTTGCCAGTAGCAGGCTGGAAGTATGAGGAAATTTTCACCCTTCAGGAGCAGCACTCGACAGGATTTAAATACCCAGCTCCCTTGCCCCGCAGTCAGGACAAGGCTGAGGTACATTTTCTACTTGGCTCCCAAAACCCCAAGTGGTAACTTGCTTAATGATACACTCTTGTCATTGGGTTAAGTTATTGCTATTGTGTTATTAAAGTTGCCTCTATTTCCTGTTTCACTTTCTCACTCTGCTATTAGTATTTCCTGGAGTCATCTCCCATGGAACTATTTTCTCTTGAATCCCTTTTTCAGGATTTACTTGTCAGGGAATTCAAAGTAAGCCACTTATCACATTTTCTCATCTGTAATTTCTAATATTACTTTAAAATTCTAAGTACGGTGGAGAAGAAGGAGCACAGAAAGGGCACATGATGCCAGCATTTTCAGAAAAATTAATCTCATGTCCATTGTGACCAGATACAACTCTTGGAAATATCTGAAATCACATATATAAATTATGGAACAATGAAGGTTATTTTTGTTTGTGATTATAGTTCATTTTCACCAGTATATAAAAAGAAAAATCTCTACCATACAATGTATCTATTCATTCAGTCAAAAATATTTCTTGAGCACTTACTAGATCCTAAGTACAGTGCTAGGTTGTGAGGGTAAAATGGTGAATAATACTGATATCATGCCTATACTCATGAATCTTATAGTGTGATGTGTAACTGGTAATTAATCTGTCTTCACTCAAGTTAAGCTACGGTAAATGGTATGACAGAAAATATGGGGACCTCATCGAGTACGTGACAGAAGGAATTGATTTAATCTGGGTGTCCAGAGTATCCTTCCCTAAGGGAGTGAAGTTTGGGCTAACAGGTGAATAAGGAGTTAGCTAGAAAGGGGATGGAGACACATCTGCAAACAGCAGAGAATTCCAAGGCTCTGAAACCCGAGTTATCCTGGAACTTTAGAAGAACTGGAAGATGGTCACTGTGGCTGGCATAAGGGGACAAGAGAGAACAATGTACCTGGAGCTTTCTTGCAGGCTCTGTTAAGATAATGATAAGAAATTTGTGCTGTGCACTGTGGTTCACACCTATAATCCTAGTACTTTGGGAGGCCAATATGGGCAGATTGCTTGAGCTCAGGGGTTCGAGACCAGCCTGACCAATATGACAAAACCCCGTCTCCACAAAAAATATAATAATTAGCTGGGTGTGGTGGTGCGTGCCTGTGGTTCCTGCTGATTGGAGGGTGAGGTAGGAGGATTGCTTGAGCCCAGGAGGCAGACGCTGCAGTGAGCTGAGATCCTGCCTTGGGAAATTATTAGATAATTTAAATTGAGAGGTAAAATAAGATTTATAGTTTTAAACAATCACTCTGGACAGTGTATTAGAAAACAAGCAGAGATCACTTCAATGTTTAAGTAATTTGTGCTAAAGCCTAAAGCTACAACTCAGATAGTTAGAAATGTCAAACTATTTTAAAATATGTTGCTTCAACCTATTTATTAATATGTTGAGATTGCAGTGTCTCAAATGCTTACTTGAGAATAGATATAAAGGTCTAAATTGAGTAGTCAGTCACAATGTTAGGATTATTTCTTTGTTCCAAATTCAAAGGCAGTCTTATTTGCATTCAGTATGTATTTTTTTTTTTTTTTTTTTTTTTTTTTTGAGTGCCAACCAGAAGTTCAGCTATTGAAGAGTATAGCAAAGGGAAAGGCCAACAGCAAAACTGTATTTTCCACATTTGCAAATCACTGCAAGATCTGGTCTTTCAGAATAATTTGGATTAGGTGAAGTATGGCATCCTTGTCTTGTGTATGAATTACAGAGCTATCATTCTGCTACAGTTATGATTACCTTCATTGTAAGACAGAAGGCTGAGCAATTTAAAAAGTTCTATAATACAACATAAAAATTTATGTGAAATCACCAATCACCTCTCTATTTTCTGTTCTTCCCCTCCTCCTTCCTTCTTCCACCTCACCCTCCACACCCCCCCTTCCTCCTCTGTCTTTGAACATATGACAAAATACATTTGATAATATAAAAAAACCACAAGCTATGCTATTTCAATAACTCTACAATGTAACATTAAAGTAATTATTTGATTTTACCTTTTAAAAACCCTAACTTCAGTCATATTTTGGACAATAATTCTAAATCTTAATGAGAAAATAAAATATAGCTTTTTAATGATTTGCAATCATTGATAATCAACTGTTAACAGACTACAGCATTTTTTTTTTTTTGCTTCTATGTGAATAATCTACTTTGTCTTTAATTCAGATTATATATGTAGGATGCTGGAAAATGTTATGTAAGAAGATACATTTGTAACCAGGTGTGATGGTGCCTGCCTGTAGTCTCAGCTATTCTGGAGGCTAAGGTGGGAGGATTGCTTGAGCCCAGGAGGATGAGGCTGCAGTGAGCCATGACTGCATCACTATACTCCCATGTGGGGGACACAGTGAGACCCTGTCTATAAATAAATAAATGCATAAATAAGACATTGTATTTAAACAAAATTTGATTTAATAAGTTTTCCTCAAGTTGCCTAGTCACAATGGTATTTCATAGCATGCTTTATTTATTTTTCTTTTGTTTTACTTAGCTAAATCAATTTTCTAGGCGTGTTTTACGAGAAATGCAGTTGGATAAATTCCTTAAATTTTCTAAATGATTCATGTATGACTGTGTAAAGGTAGCTAGTTTATGATAATTTTTTCACTCCTTGAAAATGACTATAATATTTAACTGCTGTGAAACGAAACTGTAAATTACAATCTACCTGGTGAAGAAAGAAGAAAAATCTGTCAAAACACATTCAAAATTGTTAAAGATATAAGTGGATGTGTCTGGCTAAAGTAGATTTAGACCTCTTAAGCTTTCCTTAATTTTAGAAAGAAAAAAGAGCTTGATTTTTTATGTCAAAACGGAATAAAATAAAGCAAATAAGGCATTAACTTGACCAGTCTCTCTGCCATTATTTATTTTGATTATCCATCCATATCCTTTATCTAATCAAATTATATAAAATTTTAATGTGAAGAAAGAAATTTTACTGCAAGAGGAAAATAAACTTTACTAACAGATGAAACTAAACTGAAGGGAGTTCATAAATAAATGTTTTATTGCGATACCGTAATTAGCAATGATAATAGCAATACATAAAGCATAATATGGGAGTGAAGTGATTTTTCTTCCTTCTTGGCTGTAAAAAATGTTTTTAAGGGGCATTATACCTTTCCACTCTTAATGTAATCTTGAGCATCAGCTCAGGTACCTTTTCTAAAAGCAGTAAGCACTTAACTAGGCATCCTATGGAAATACATCAGTAGCATTGCTCCAGGGGAACTATGCATTCCAGTGAAAGGACTAAGCAGTCATTAGCATCTTTTATGGAGGTCTTCTTGACTACTTTACAGGAAAACAATGAGAATCTTCAGTAAATTGCTTGGGAAAATTACTTTCAAATGAAAAAAGCATATTTGCAACTCAGGAAATTGAATGAAAATGCCAATTAATCAAAATTTCTGTCTAAGAAGAGATTAGACTTCAAGGTCAAGATGGCAAAAAGAACACATGTGAAAATACCCCTTCTTGTGTGCATTCTCTTTCTCTTTCTGTATATGTACATACATGTATACATCTCTTCCTTCTATGTATACATTATAGATCTATCTATCTGATAGATATTTCCAAGGTTAAAACAAGAAGGTAAAGTGTCCTAGATGTCTGGTTGCCAGAAACAGACAAGGAACATATAGCAGTGAGCCAGATGCTATTAGGCCCATGCAGTGATTATTATCTAGCAAATTCATGGTGGCTAAGGCCTCAGCACCTGCATAGAAAGAGGAGCCAAGAATCCAAACCCTGTATACAGAACTTGGAATCATTGGTGAAGTCAGGGATGGAATACATTAAAAGTGACAAAGGGAAATACTTCATAATGATAGAGTGAACAAACAGTCAAAATCTTGCATATACCAAACCAGAACTTCATAATATGTAAAGCCAACACTGACAGAATTGCAGGAGGAAAGTCCCAAATCTGCAATTCCAGTGGGATATTTTGACTCAATAACTAAGAAGTTGATAAATTAAGCAGACAACCAACAGGTATTAAAATATCCAAGCTTGAGTAATACTTTTAAGCCAATGAACATTTTAGAGAACTATTCCCCCAACTAATAGAGAATGAGTGATTTTTAAGTACATACTTTGCATCTTTATAAAAATTAATCATTAAATCATTACTTTTTCCAAAGTTTTAAGAAATTCAAACAAATTTAGCAGTCTACAACTCTTTAATCAAAATAAATAGAATTAGGAATCAGCAACCAAAGATATCTAACAAAACATAATTTTCAAAATAAAATATGTCTAAATAATACATGTTGCTGATCAAATCACAATGGAAATTTTTTAATATTTAAAAATAATAAATAATAGAAGCATTTTATGTTCTAACTAGTGGTCCTAAGTCAAAATTTGGATAAGTATGTATAATTTCATATTTATTCATTAAAAGATAAGACAAATTGAGAATAAATAAATTCGGTGTTCAAAAAGCTAGAAATGTGAACTGAAAGAAAGTAGGGGAAGAAATACCAGTTTTAAAAAAGAAGATAATAAAATAAAAAATAACAAAAGTAGCAGAAGCAACCACAATCAAAAATCAGAAATGAGGATCAATCACACTAAGAGATAATTCATTGCAAAAATAAGTAAAAAACATTCTTTTAAGCACGTTAAATTACACAAGAGAAAAAGGACCAAAAAACAGCTTTAGGGTTGAAAATAAAGACATAAACTGAATCTACATTAGACTTTTAAAAAATTATGAGAGAATATAATGCATAAATGTGTATCAACCAATTGGAAAGCACAAATGAAATTATAATTTTCTAAAAAGATTAAATTACATAAATCAAGGCAAAAGGAAAAAACCAAAACAAACAAATGTATGTCTGTAGTTCCAGCTACTCAGGAGGCTGAGGTGGGAGCATTGCCCAGAAGTTTGAATCCAGCCTGGGTAACATAGTGAGACCTCATCTCTGAAAAACAAAGATGTATAAAAAACCAATCTATTTCCCTCAGAAGGAGACTTCAACTCAAGTACTCAAGTATCTGAGTGCAAGTGGCTTATGTAAGAGTTGATCTCTGGAAGTACTGACAGGGGAGTGGAGAAGCCTGGCTGGTACGTACATCAGTCTTTTGATGATCACTGGGGGCATCTGGGGCTCTGTCCCACTGGAGACCTGTGGAAGACTGTGTGGAACACTCCTCAGGAGCAAGGAAAACTGAGGTATTTATTCACAAGTGCTCATCTCTCATTTGTTAAGGTTTTCTTCTAGGTGTGTTAGTTCTCCAGAACTTTTTGGCCTGGTCTGCCCAGGAGCCAAAGAGAGTTCTCAGCCAGAGAAATCCACGGGCTTGTAGTAAGTCGTTGTTGTTATGCACAGTGTAGGTGAGTTATAGGTGCGGCACAGCCGTTTATGTTTTTAAAAACTGTCTCAGCAGAGTACCTAAGGGAAAGTGGCAATGGGGACTCCTCACCACAAGGTGCTCAACATGGAAAGCCTCTGTCCCTGAGGGCCTGAGAGTCCTCCCTACACCTCAACCTATTAGCACTCAAGTCTTGTCATTTGATATTGGAGCTAAGAAGTAGGACAGATCACTTTGGCTTAAAGTAATGAGCATAATTTTTTTTTTTTTTTTGAAATGTGAACTATGAGCAAGGCAAAATTTGAGTGGGTACCAATAAATGCAGAGGACATTCCAGGTAGAGAAGAAATACGTACATAAGATGGCAAAAGGGCAAAAATGAGAAGGCTCCGCATATACTTTTATATTGAGTGATACAGATTGACTGGAGTAGAAAGCTTGATTATGTAGGTGGTGTGTACCGCAAGAAATTTCAGGGGATGGTGATGGGAAAGATCTGCAGTATAACTTTACCTTTCCTTTAACATTGTTAGCCACTTTAGATAAGGAAAAAACAAAGAAAGTGGCTTTAAGGAAAGATAAATCTTTCAGTGAAGTCCAAAGGTGGATATTAGGGCAAAGAGTTGATATTTATGAACTAATGTAAATATCTATAAGCAAAGTGACAAATGCCTCTATTTGGGTGAGCTATAGTGGGGAATGGAAAGAAAGAAACAAATAGAAGAGAATCATATGGAATTTTAGAAGTGAAAGGTGTTTTAGCATGCCACTTCCCCTACAATTATGAAGATCAGAAAGGGGAAGTGTCTTATCTTTAGTCAAAGGGCTAGTTAGTAGCAGTGACAAGAATAGATTTTGAAAACTTGACTTTAGGCAAGGCTATTTTTAAATTCAGAGGCTCCTTCTTCCAATAATAAACAAATGATTGAACAGCGGTTGTCACATTTAGGATTTCTCTTCTCCTTTCTGGTTTGAGGCTTAAGAAAGGAAATAAGAAATAACTGTCAATCTTCTCGTCTCATATGAAGAAGTTTTTTAAGCTTGGTAACTGGTTGGACATGAGATTTGGAATCAAATAAAAACTGAAAGACAAATGTATACATATATTTTTTTCTCGACATACATACCTCAGTTTCTTTTTATTATTATTATTATTATACTTTAAGTTTTAGGGTATATGTGCACAACATGCAGGTTAGTTACATGTGTATACATGTGCCATGTTGGTGTGCTGCACCCATTAACTCATCATTTAGCATTAGGTATATCTCCTAATGCTATCCCTCCCCCATTCCCCCACCCCACAACAGTCCCCGGTGTGTGATGTTCCCCTTCCTGTATCCATGTGTTCTCATTGTTCAATTCCCACCTATGAGTGAGAACATGCGGTGTTTGGTTTTTTGTCCTTGCGATAGTTTGCTGAGAATGATGGTTTCCAGCTTCATCCATGTCCCTACAAAGGACACGAACTCATCATTTTTTATGGCTGCATAGTATTCCATGGTGTATATGTGCCACATTTTCTTAATCCAGTCTATCGTTGTTGGACACTTGGGTTGGTTCCAAGTCTTTGCTATTGGGAATAGTGCCGAAATAAACATACATGTGTATGTGTCTTTATAGCAGCATGATTTATAATCCTTTGGGTATATACCCAGTAATGGGATGGCTAGGTCAAATGGTATTTCTAGTTCTAGATCCTTGAGGAATCGCCACACTGTCTTCCACAATGGTTGAACTAGTTTACAGTCCCACCAACAGTGTAAAAGTGTTCCTATTTCTCCACATCCTCTCCAGCACCTGTTGTTTCCTGACTTTTTAATGATCGCCATTCTAACTGGTGTGAGATGGTATCTCATTGTAGTTTTGATTTGCATATCTCTGATGGCCAGTGATGATGAGCATTTTTTCATATGTTTTTTGGCTGCACAAATGTCTTCTTTTGACAAGTAGACACTGTTCATATCCTTCGCCCACTTTTTGATGTGGTTGTTTGCTTTTTTCTTGTAAGTTTGTTGGAGTTCTTTGTAGATTCTGGATATTAGCCCTTTGTCAGATAAGTAGATTGCAAACATTTTCTCCTATTCTGTAGGCTGCCTGTTCACTCTGATGGTAGTTTCTTTTGCTGTGCAGAAGCTCTTTAGTTTAATTAGATCCCATTTGTCAATTTTGGCTTTAGTTGCCATTGCTTTTGGTATTTTAGACATGAAGTCCTTGCCCATGCCTATCTCCTGAATGGTATTGCCTGGGTTTTCTTCTAGGGTTTTTATGGTTTTAGGTCTAACATGTAAGTCTTTAATCCACCTTGAATGAATTTTTATATAAGGTGTAAGGAAGGGATCCAGTTTCAGCTTTCTACATACGGCTAGACAGTTTTCCCAGCACCATTTATTAAATAGGGCATTCTTTCCCCATTGCTTGTTTTTGTCAGGTTTGTCAAAGATCAGATAGTTGTAGATATGCGGCATTATTTCTGAGGGCTCTGTTCTGTTCCATTGGTCTATATCTCTGTTTTGGTACCAGTATCATGCTGTTTTGGTTACTGTAGCCTTCTAGTATAGTTTGAAGTCAGGTAGCATGATGCCTCCAGCTTTGTTCTTTTGGCTTAGGATTGGCTTGGCGATGCGGGCTCTTTTTTGGTTCCATATGAACTTTAAGGTAGTTTCTCCCAATTCTGTGAAGAAAGTCATTGGTAGCTTGATGGGGATGGCATTGAAACTATAAATTACCTTGGGCCGTATGGCCATTTTCACGATATTGATTCTTCGTACCCATGAGCATGGAATGTTCTTCCATTTGTTTGTATCCTCTTTTATTTAATTGAGCAGTGGTTTGTAGTTCTCCTTGAGGAGGTCCTTCATGTCCCTTGTAAGTTGGATTCCTAGGTGTTTTATTCTCTTTGAAGCAATTGTGAATGGGAGTTCACTCATGATTTGGCTCTCTGTTTGTCTGTTATTGTTGAATAAGAATGCTTGTGATTTTTGTACGTTGATTTTCTATCCTGAGACTTTGCTGAAGTTGCCTATCAGCTTAAGGAGATTTTGGGCTGAGACAATGGGGTTTTCTAAATATACAATCATGTCGTCTGCAAACAGGGACAATTTGACTTCCTCTTTTCCTAATTGAATGTCCTTTATTTCCTTCTCCTGCCTGATTGCCCTGGCCACAATGTCCAATACTAAGTTGAATAGGAGTGGTGAGAGAGGGCATCCCTGTCTTGTGCCAGTTTTCAAAGGGAATGCTTCCAGCTTTTGCCCATTCAGTATGATATTGGCTGTGGGTTTGTCATAGATAGCTCTTATTATTTTGAGATATGTCCCATCAATACCTAATTTATTGAAAGTTTTCAGCATGAAGGGTTGTTGAATTTTGTCAAAGGCCTTTTCTGCATCTATTGAGATAATCATGTGGTTTTTGTCTTTGGTTCTGTTTATATGCTGGATTACGTTTATTGATTTTCATATGTTGAACCAGCCTTGCATCCCAGGGATGAAGCCCACTTGATCATGGTGGATAAGCTTTTTTGATGTGTTGCTGGATTCAGTTTGCCAGTATTTTATTGAGGATTTTTGCATCAATGTTCATCAAGGATATTGTTCTAAAATTCTCTTTTTCTGTTTTGTCTCTGCCAGGCTTTGGTATCAGGATGATGCTGGCCTCATAAAATGAGTTAGGGAGGATTCCCTCTTTTTCTATTGATTGGAATAATTTCAGAAGGAATGGTACCAGCTCCTCCTTGTACCTCTGGTAGAATTCGGCTGTGAATCCATCTGGTCCTGGACTTTTTTTGGTTGGTATGCTATTAATTATTGTGTCAATTTCAGAGCCTGTTATTGATCTATTCAGAGATTCAACTTCTTCCTGGTTTAGTCTTGGGAGGGTGTATGTGTCGAGGAATTTATCCATTTCTTCTAGATTTTCTAGTTTATTTGCATAGAGGTGTTTATAGCATTCTCTGATGGTAGTTTGTATTTCTGTGGGATGAGTGGTGATATCCCCTTTGTCATCTTTTATTGCGTCTATTTGATTCTTCTCTCTTTTCTTCTTTATTAGTCTTTCTAGCAGTCTGTCTATTTTGTTGATGTTTTCAAGAAACCAGCTCCTGGATTCATTGATTTTTTCAATGGTTTTTTGTGTCTCTATTTCCTTCAGTTCTGCTCTGATCTTAGTTATTTCTTGCCTTCTGCAAGCTTTTGAATGTGTTTGCTCTTGCTTCTCTAGTTCTTTTAATTGTGATGTTAGGGTGCCAATTTTAGATTTTTCCTGCTTTCTCTTGCGGGCATTTAGTGCTATCAATTTCCCTCTACACCCTGTTTGAATGCATCCCAGAGATTCTGGTATGTTGTGTCTTTGTTCTCGTTGGTTTCAAAGAACATCTTTATTTCTGCCTTCATTTCGTTATGTACCCAGTAGTCATTCAGGAGCAGGTTGTTCAGTTTCCATGTAGTTGAGCAATTTTGAGTGAGTTTCTTAATCCTGAGTTCTAGTTTGATTGCACGGTGGTCTGAGAGATAGTTTGTTATAATTTCTGTTCTTTTACATTTGCTGAGGAGTGCTTTACTTCCAAGTATGTGGTCAGTTTTGGAATAGGTGTGGTGTGGTGCTGAAAAGAATGTATATTCTGTTGATTTGGGGTGGAGAGTTCTGTAGATGTCTATTAGGTTGGCTTGGTGCAGAGCTGAGTTCAATTCCTGGGCATCCTTGTTAACTTTCTGTCACGTTGATCTGTCTAATGTTGACAGTGGGGTGTTAAAGTCTCCCATTATTATTGTGTGGGAGTCTAGGTCTCTTTGTAGGTCACTCAGGACTCGCTTTATGAATCTGGGTGCTCCTGTATTGGGTGCATATGTATTTAGGATAGTTAGCTCTTCTTGTTGAATTGATCCCTTTACCATGATGTAATGGCCCTCTTTGTCTCTTTTGATCATTGTTGGTTTAAAGTCTGTTTTATCCGAGACTAGGATTGCAACCGCTACATTTTTTGTTTTCCATTTGCTTTGTAGATCTTCCTCCATCCCTTTATTTTGAGCCTATGCATGTGTCTGCATGTGAGATGGGTTTCCTGAATACAGCACTCTGATGAGTCTTGACTCTTTATCCAATTTGCTAGTCTGTGCCTTTTAATTGGAGCATTTAGCCCATTTACATTTAAGGTTAGTATTGTTATGTGTGAATTTGATCCTGTCATTATTTTGTTAGCTGGTTATTTTGCTCGTTAGTTAATGCAGTTTCTTCCTAGTCTCGATGGTCTTTACAGTTTGGCATGTTTTTGCAGTGACTGGTACCAGTTGTTCCTTTCCATGTTTAGTGCTTCCTTCAGGAGCTCTTTTAGGGCAGGGCTGGTGGTGACAAAATCTCTCAGCATTTACTTCTCTGTAAAGTATTTTATTTCTCCTTCACTTATGAAGCTTAGTTTGGCTGGATATGAAATTCTGGGTTGAAAATTCTGTTCTTTAAGAATGTTGAATATTTGTCCCCAGTCTCTTCTGACTTGTAGAGTTCCTGCTGAGAGATCCACTGTCAGTCTGATGGGCTTACCTTTGTGGGTAACCCGACCTTTCTCTCTGGTGCCCTTAACATTTTTTCATTCCTTTCAAATTTGGTGAATCTGACAATTATGTGTCTTGGAGTTGCTGTTCTCGAGGAATATCTTTGTGGCGTTCTCTCCATTTCCTGAATTTGAATGTTGGCCTGCCTTGCTAGATTGGTGGGGAGGGGCAGTTTTCCTGGATAATATCCTGCAGAGTGTTTTCCACCTTGGTACCATTCTCCCTGTCACTTTCAGGTACACCAATTAGACGTAGATTTGGTCTTTTCACATAGTCCCATATTTCTTGGAGGCTTTGTTTGTTTCTTTTTATTCTTTTTTCTCTAAACTTCTCTTCACGCTTCATTTCATTCACTTCATCTTCCATCACTGATACCCTTTCTTCCCATTGATCACATTGGTTACTGAGGTTTGTGCATTTGTCACATAGTTTTCATGCTGTGGTTTTCAGCAACATTAGGTCCTTTAAGGACTTCTCTGCCTTGGTTATTCTATTTATCCATTCATCTAATTTTTTTTCAAAGTTTTTAACTTCTTTGCCATTGGTTCAAACTTCCTGCTTTAGCTCGGAGTAGTTTGATCTTCTGAAGCCTTCTTCTTTCAACTCATCAAAGTCATTCTCCGTCCAGCTTTGTTCCATTGCTGGTGAGGAGCTGCGTTCCTTTGGAGGAGGAGAGGCACTCTGATTTTTAGAGTTTCCAGTTTTTCTGCTCTGTTTGTTCCCCCATCTTTGTGGTTTTATCTACCTTTGGTCTTTGATGATGGTGATGTACAGATGGGTTTTTGGTGTGGATGTCCTTTCTGTTTGTTAGTTTTCCTTCTAACAGACAGGACCCTCAGCTGCAGGTCTGTTGGAGTTTACTGGAGGTCCTCTCCAGACCCTGGGTATCAGCAGCAGTGGCTGTAGAACAGCAGATATTGGTGAACTGCAAATGCTGCTGCCTGATCGTTCCTCTGGAAGTTTTGTCTCAGAGGAGTACCCGGTTGTGTGAGGTGTCAGTCCGCCCCTACTGGGGGATGCCTCCCAGTTAGGCTACTTGGGAGTCAGTGACCCACCTGAGGAGGCAGTCTACCCGTTCTCAGATCTCAAGCTGCATGCTGGGAGCACCACTACTCTCTTCAAAGCTGTCAGACAGGGACATTTAAGTCTGCAGAGGTTATTGCTGTCTTTTGTTTGTCTGTGCCCTACCCCCAGAGGTGGCGCCTAAAGAGGTGGAGCCTACAGAGGCAGGCAGGCCTCCTTGAGCTGTGTTGGGCTCCACCCAGTTTGAGCTTCCAGGCCACTTTGTTTAGCTACTCATGCCTGGGCAATGGCAGGCACTCCCCTCTCAGCCTCACTGCCGCCTTGCAGTTTGATCTCAGACTGCTGTGCTAGCAATGAGCGAGGCTCTGTGGGCTTAGGACCCTCCAAGCCAGGTGTGGGATGTAATCTCCTGGTGTGCCATTTGTTAAGCTGTTGGAAATGTGCAGTATTAGGGTGGGAGTGACCTCATTTTCCAGGTGCCATCTGTCACCCATTTCTTTGACTAGGAAAGGGAATTCCCTGACTCCTTGTGCTTCCCGGGTGAGGCGATGACTCGCCCTTCTTTGGCCCATGCATGGTGCACTGCACCCACTGTCCTGCACCCACTTTCTGACACTGCCAAGTGAGATGAACCTGGTGCCTCAGTTGGAAATGCAGAAATCACCCATCTTCTGCATCGCTCATGCTGGGAGCTGTAGACTGGAGCTGTTCCTATTCGGCCATCTTGGCTCCACCCTGGCAAATGTATATTTTTAAGCCTTAGTAACTGAGAAAACAAAACTGATTTTGATTGAGAAAATTAAACTCCTTTTGCTGAAGTAAAGACATCACCTCTGAAAGACAGACTCCTCACTGAATTTGAGCTGGCAACAGGTTATACACGTATGTATGCTCCACATTAAGATGGAACATATGGCGAGGAAGATTTGAAATTAATCTGCTTAGAGGTGCCAATTTTAGTCATATGTCCATTGCTTTTGGATGTGTTTTTAAAAATTATTTTATTTAGTCAACTTCTCTTCTCTATCCTGAAAGACTTAAGATTGAACAGAAATTTTGTAGCTATTTAACTTTAGACTGTTTGATTAATTTTTAAGACCCAGTTGCTACATAATACCACCTGCATCACATTTATAATTTTATAGTTAGACAAAGTTATTTTTTTTTTAAATTTCACAGTGTAACATTTGAATGTCTGGAAAATATATGTAGATATCTAATTCCATGATATTGACAAATAAATGATACATTGTCTTTGGTTTTCATCAAGCACAAATTATATAACCTTCTTATTCTTTGGAGAATATTTAATATCTTAAAATAATTATTTTTTAAGTGTGTATGAATATCTGCCCTATTGACTGTGTCATAAAAGTAATTTTTTCTTTGAATTATTATATGTCTCATTTTCTTCCTCTTTCCTTCCTTTCTTTCTTCCTTCCCTCCCTCCCTTCCTTCCTCTCTTTCCTTTTCTTCTTTCCTTTTCTTTTTTCTCTCTTTCTTTTTCTCTTTCTCTTTCTTTCTTTCTTTCTTCTTTCTTTCTTCCTTCCTTCCTTTCTTTCTCTCTTTCTCTCTTCCTCTCTTTCTTTCTTTCTTCTTTCTTTCTTCCTTCCTTCCTTTCTTTCTCTCTTTCTCTCTTCCTCTCTTTCTTTCTTTCTTTTTCTTTCTTTCTTTCTTTCTTTCTTTCTTTCTTTCTTTCTTTCTTTCTTTCTTTCTTCTTTCTTTCTTCCTTCCTTTCTTTGTCTCTTTCTCTCTTTCTTTCTTTCTTTCTTTCTTTCTTTCTTTCTTTCTTTCTTTCTTTCTTTCTTTCTTTCTTTCTTTTCCTTCCTTCCCTCCCTCCCTCCCTTCCTTCCTTCCTGCCTTCTCTTCCTTTGTTTCTTTGTTTCCTTCTTTCTTTCTCTTCGATTTTTCTTTTATTTGTTGCTGCAACCTCTAGGTTATCCTAATTGCTCCTTATTTTTTTCCCACCACATTAAACTTTTATTGCTATCAGTGTGTATTTGTTAAGTATGTACTTTGAATAGAGAATGGAATACAGTACATGTTTAGAAAATGCTTGTTTTCTAACACATATGAGTTGAAGTATTTTGAAATGTAACAAACAACAAAATAAAGCTTCTAATATATATCAGGCATTCTACCAGCATTTTCTTTATCCAGAAAACAGCTTATAAATTAAATATTACTAATGACACATTAAAGAAAAAGAAACTAAGATACATACAGATTAAATAACTTGCCAGTATTTATATGATTATTAAGTGCAAACCAAGATCTTTATTCATTTATTCATTCACAAATTCAAAGATTAGGAAAAATTGATCCTGCATTTCGGCATGACAACACTTGTGTTGGTGCTCACCAGGCTGCCCACCACTCCTCATTGTCTTCTCCTGGACATGCTTTCTTCATTATGGAATCTGCCTAGTCTCCCAATGAGCCCAGTAATTGCCCAGTAGACCTAGGCTAACCTTGTTATTCCAAAAATCCTTCTAGGATAGTTCCCAAAGTTGTAAACTTCTAAAAAGTTTCAACATTGATATGGAGTTCCAAAAAAGCCAAGGACAAATCTGTGTGGCTCCTTGGAATGTCCATTTTTGCATATAGTTATCTAGGAAGGCTTATGAAGCCTCTTCTACTACAAGAATCTCCTGATGAATAAGAAAGTAAGAAGGAATTACAAGGTTATCTGCATTTGTGAATTACTCATAGTTATGAAAAACTACAAAAGAACTATAGGGAATGATTGTTCTAAACCTATTCATCCTCCAATTTAATAACTCATAGAGAATTGAGATATTAATTCATTCAATGACAAGTATTTATTCAACACTCATTGTGAACCTTGCACTTTGCAATGTGCTGGAGATTCCTTGGAAAACAAGCTGAGTATAATCTCTGCCCTCATGCAGCACAGGTTGGTGGGGGAACAAAACAATACACAAGTAAGCAAATAAAAATATATTACTGCAGATTGTGAGAAGTGATGGAATAGAGTGCTGTGACAAGAAATTGTATAAAAGGCTTTATTTTAGTTTTGGTGGTCAGGGAAGGTACCTTTGAGGATATGACATTGGAGCTGAGACTAGAAAGATGAGAGGGAATCAGGGGATAGGGAGGAAGAATTCTAAGGACAGCTAATTGTAAGAGCAATGTGAAGTGGGGAGAAAGTCTGGGCCTGTTCCAAGAGTGAATAGAAAGCTAAAATAGATGAAGTTTCCTGAAAAAGGAGGATAGCAGCAGAAAATGAGGTAATAAATTATTGCCAACAGTTTATTTCATAAATTTAACTAAAATTTCCTGGCATATTTACAGACTACAAGACGCCCAGCAGATTCTGCCAGCTTTCTATTGTTTAAAAGTGAATAAAAAGACAAACACACCAATAAAAAAAAAAGGATAAAAGATTTGAACAGACACTTCACAAAAAAGATACAAGATGGCCAATAGCATATGAAAAGATGCTCAACATCATTATTCAGAAAGAAAATACAAAATAAGACTACCAGGAGATAACACTACCCATATAAATAGATACAGCTATAAAAACTAACAATGTCATGTTGGGAAAGATGTGGAGCAACTGGAACTCTTGCACATTGCTTGTGGGTACAACTACTTTAGAAAATAATGTGGCAGTATCTTATAACAGTACATGTACACTTAACTTAGGATACAGCAATTCCACTACTACATATTTGCCCAAAATAAGTAAAAACATGTATCTACAGAAAAGCTTGCACATGAATGTTCATAGCAGCTTCATTGGTAAGAGCCAAAAATGAGAAGTAATGCAAATGTGCATCAACATGTGGTACATGAATACAATAGTATATTAGCAATAGGAAGGACAAACTCATACACACATGTATATGGATGAGTCTCAAAAATGTGCTGAGAGAAAGAGCAGATATATACACAACATGTACACATGTACATAACATGTCATACATACATAACGTGTGTGTGATGATTGTATTTATATGAAATTCTAGAATGGACAAAACTGTATAGTGACAGGAAGTGAAAGCTGATGAGGCCAGCAGTTGCCTGGGTGTAAGGGTAGGAAAATGTTACTGCAAAAGCTCACAAGGGAACTATTTGGGGTGATGCAAATATTCTAAATCTTGATTGTGATGGTGGTTACATGGATATAGGTATTTGTCAGGACTCATTAAACTGTAAAGTGGGTACATTTTTAAAAATGGGTACATTTTCTTATATGAATACTACACCTCAATAAAATTTGTTTTAAAAAACAGTCAATGGATTTGTTTCTGTTAACGTTTATCATTATTGTTTATAGGATCTTTTCTCCATAGTAAACTAAATAAAATGTTTCCTGTATTTCTTTTAAAATATTGACTAATTATTTTATTTTTCACCAGTCCTCATTAAGGTTTTCCTTTTTTTTAAATTGTTAGCATTTTATATTATATGGTACAGAGCTATGAGAAAAATAAAGCTTTCTTCTGAACTAGATTAATTGACTGGCATTAAGGAGACTTTTGCCTTATATATATATTTTTAATTTGGGGTATTGTTGTTGTTAAGGAGTGAAAACTATGGATATTCAGGGAAAATTATACTGAAGGACTTTTAATTATTCTCATATTTTAGATTTCTTATATGTTTAAGATTACATATGCCTAAAGTGAATGTTTTAAAGTTCCCTAAAAACATTTAGCCTGGGTCAAAGCTTAAGTCCTAATACTTTCTTGAAAAAGTAATGCTAGGGTAGCAACAGTGAGGGGAAAAGAAGTGATTCAGGGAAGGAGAAAATGTAGTACCTCATCCAGGAATCCACATCTTTAGAACAAAGCACATTTTGCTTCCTCACTAACACTAAGGACATATCCCAAGCAGGTCGTAAGGTAACCCCTGCTACTTAGGAAAGTGTGAGATAGAAAGACAGGACAGGAATTTATCTGCTGGCTTTTTTTTTTTTTTCTCATTACTCTAAGTTTGTGTGGAGGTAAAGCAACTCCATCTTGAATGCTACTCAGAGGTGTTGACTGATTTACCACAAATTCTGTCCTTGAGCAAATTACTTCAATTGTCTTACAAATTCCTTTTGAAGCACGTGTACCCTTTCCCTATGGTAAAAAAAAAAACCCTGGGTCGGAGGCAGAATGGTGCAGGGATCCACCATATCTTCTCACCACCACCAGAGATATGGCTAATATTCCTAAGTCAACTGAAGAATGACAAGGTTCGCAAACTGTCAACTGAAGAATGACAAGGTTTGTAAATTTGGAGAGGAGAGCTTTATTTCTCATAAAGGGCTGCAGCCTTCGGGGTGCCATTCTGACAGGCTGGGAATTGTAGCCTATAGCCAGAAACCAGAAACACACACTTCCAGGGAGGGAAAACTGGAACAGGAATCTATGTTGGGCAGAGTGGCAAGTGTACACATTCCATAAGGTATGGGAGGAGTCATGTATATTTGTGAAAGGAGAACTATGCTCATGTGCAATTGAGCGTCTCGGCCCTCATGGGTCCCACATACAAAAAAAACAGCAGCATTGGCTTGATCCGAGGGTAGAGTTTTCAGCCCTCTGATGCCAAAAGATGAAGCAGAGGACATGAAAATCCTTACTGCCCATTCTTCGTAGACTAGTCAGGACTACTCCAGGGTCAGTGGTCTTTTTTCAGGTGGTTGGTTGATATCTGTGGTGGAGTCCTTTGAGAGGGCTGGTTTCTTTTTAGCCCCTAGGAAAGAAAGCCTAATGGTGGTTAACCATTAGTAAGGGAGGGGGTCTAATGAGTTGTGTCCAACCTCCTATCCTGTCATGGCTAAGAACTCAGTTTTCAAGGTTTCTCTGGGGTCCACCTTGGCCAAGAAACGGTCCATTCATTCTGTTGGGGGGGGGTGTAGAATTTTATTTTTAGTTTACACTATTAAATGTTTTTTTTTGAGAAACTGGATTTGTCAACCTCTTTCTTCTGTCTCTCACTGCTGAACAATGAGGCATCACACCCCATACTTCTGAGTTGTGTCATTAGCTGCTCGGGAAGTTCTGTCTCAGGCTTTCTACAGAACTTCATCTGATTATGGACATGACGGGAAGAACCACAGCCCCCATGCGTCCCTTCAATGTAGGTCTGGACACCTGGGCTGCTGCAGGTCCCTTCGTTACTAGGAAGTGAGGGCTGTGCTGGAGCCCAGCTGACACCTGAGAGGGCTGAGACAGCCAGCAGTGTAAGCAGATGAGGCCCCAGAGGGACAGTGATGTGGAAGTGTTCCAATGAGCAGGCTATCGAAGCAGACTTGAATGTGGGGATCTGGACAGGTGCACACAGTGGATTCTATGCTCTGAATTAGAACAGTCTAGAAGGCAATTGAGCATTGGAAACTGTAACGTAACTTGTCCTTTCAATTTTTTTTTTGGAAATTTCATAGTGGTGGTAAGAAAAGAAAGGAAAATTTTTCCTTCTGGACTGTTTTGGGAAAGTAAAATTCCCAGTTCACTGCTTCAAGCTAATAAGGATATTTAGAAAATAATTGTGGATTTATCCTAAAGAAAAAAATCTACAGGCCTTTCTCATGAAGGTTCAAATTAAATTACTTTTAATGTCATTATTATACTCTGTATCCACCCTGAGTCCACTTACACTACTTTGTCAAATGACAGAATTGTACATTTCAGAGTATTAATCTGCAAGGACCAATATTGAGGTTCTGGTTTGTTCACATTTGCAGCACAGTCCTCAATTAAAAATGAAAAAACAGAAAGAACCACTGTAACATCTAACATCATTTTTATGTATGCAAGATGCTGTGCTAACATAAGTTATTATTATTATTATTATTATTATTATACTTTAAGTTTTAGGGTACATGTGCACAATGTGCAGGTTTGTTACATATGTATACATTGCCATGTTGGGGTGCTGCACCCATTAACTCGTCATTTAGCATTAGGTATATCTCCTAATGCTATCCCTCCCCCCTCCCCCCACCCCACAACAGTCCCCAGAGTGTGATGTTCCCCTTCCTGTGTCCATGTGTTCTCACTGTTCAATTCCCGCCTATGAGTGAGAACATGTGGTGTGTGGTTTTTTGTCCTTGCAATAGTTTGCTGAGAATGATGGTTTCCAGCTTCATCCATGTCCCTACAAAGGACATGAACTCATCATTTTTTATGGCTGCATAGTATTCCATGGTGTATATGTGCCACATTTTCTTAATCCAGTCTATCATTGATGGGCATTTGGGTTGGTTCCAAGTCTTTGCTATTGTGAATAGTGCCGCAATAAATATATGTGTGCCATGTGTCTTTATAGCCGCATGATTTATAATCCTTTGGGTATATACCCAGTAATGGGATGGCTGAGTCAAATGGTATTTCTAGTTCTAGATCCCTGAGGAATCACCACACTGACTTCCACAACAGTTGAACTAGTTTACGGTCCCACCAACAGTGTAAAAGTGTTCCTATTTCTCCACATCCTCTCCAGCACCTGTTGTTTCCTGACTTTTTAATGATCGCCATTCTAACTGGTGGGAGTTGGCATCTCATTGTGGTTTTGATTTGCATTTCTCTGATGGCCAGTGATGATGAGCATTTTCTCATGTGTTTTTTGGCTGCACAAATGTCTTCTTTTGAGAAGTGTCTGTTCATATCCTTCGCCCACTTTTTGATGTGGTTGTTTGCTTTTTTCTTGTAAATTTGTTGGAGTTCTTTGTAGATTCTGGATATTAGCCCTTTGCCAGATGAGTAGGTTGCAAAAATTTTCTCCCATTTTGTAGGTTGCCTGTTCACTCTGATGGTAGTTTCTTTTGCTGTGCAGAAGCTCTTTAGTTTAATTAGATCCCATTTGTCAATTTTGGCTTTTGTTGCCATTGCTTTTGGTGTTTTAGACATGAAGTCCTTGCCCATGCCTATGTCCTGAATGGTATTGTCTAGATTTTCTTCTAGGGTGTTTATGGTTTTAGGTCTAATATTTAAGTCTTTAATCCATCTTGAATTAATTTTTGTATAATTGTGTAAGGAAGGGATCCAGTTTCAGCTTTCTACATATGGCCAGCCAGTTTTCCCAGCACCATTTATTAAATAGGGAATCCTTTCCCCATTGCTTGTTTTTCTCAGGTTTGTTAAAGATCAGATGGTTGTAGATATGTGGCATTATTTCTGAGTTCTGTCCCATTGATCTATATCTCTGTTTTGGTACCAGTACCATGCTGTTTTTGTTACTGTGGCCTTGTAGTATAGTTTGAAGTCAGGTAGTGTGATGCCTCCAGCTTTGTTCTTTTGGCTTAGGATTGAGTTGGCAATGCAGGCTCTTTTTTGGTTCCATATGAACTTTAAAGTAGTTTTTTCCAATTCTGCGAAGAAAGTCATTGGTAGCTTGATGGGGATGGCGTTAAATCTATAAATTACCTTGGGCAGTATGGCCATTGTCACAATATTGATTCTTCCTACCCTTGAGCGTGGAATGTTCTTCCATTTGTTTGTATCCTCTTTTTTTTCATTGAGCAGTGGTTTGTAGTTCTCCTTGAAGAGGTCCTTCACATCCCTTGTAAGTTGGATTCCTAGGTATTTTATTCTGTTTGAAGCAATTGTGAATGGGAGTTCACTCATGATTTGGCTCTCTGTTTGTCTGTTATTGGTGTATAAGAATGCTTGTGATTTTTGTACATTGATTTTGTATCCTGAGACTTTGCTGAAGTTGCTTATCAGCTTAAGGAGATTTTGGGCTGAGACAGTGAGGTTTTCTAGATATACAGTCATGTCATCTGCAAACAGGGACAATTTGACTTCCTCTTTTCCTAATTGAATTCCATTTATTTCCTTCTCTTGTCTAATTGCCCTGGCCAGAACTTCCAACACTATGTTGAATAGCAGTGGTGAGAGAGGGCATCCCTGTCTTGTGCCAGTTTTCAAAAGGAATGCTTCCAGCTTTTGCCCATTGAGTATGATATTGGCTGTGGGTTTGTCATAGATAGCTCTTATTGTTTTGAGATATGTCCCATCAATACCTAATTTTTTGAGAGTTTTTAGCATGAAGGTTGTTGAATTTTTGTCAAAGGCCTTTTCTGCATCTATTGAGATAATCATGTGGTTTTTGTCTTTGGTTCTGTTTATATGCTGGATTACATTTAACGATTTTCATATGTTGAACCAGCCTTGCATCCCAGGGATGAAGCCCACTTGATCATGGTGGATAAGCTTTTCGATGTGCTGCTGGATTCGGTTTGCCAGTATTTTATTGAGGATTTTTGCATCAATGTTCATCAAGGATATTGGTCTAAAATTGTCTTTTTTTGTTGTGTCTCTGCCAGGCTTTGGTATCAGGACGATGCTGGCCTCATAAAATGAGTTAGGGATGATTCCCTCTTTTTCTATTGATTGGAATAGTTTCAGAAGGAATGGTACCAGCTCCTCCTTTTACCTCTGGTAGAATTCGGCTGTGAATCCATCTGGTCCTGGACTTTTTTTGGTAGGTAAGCTATTGATTATTGCCACAATTTCAGAGCCTGTTATTGGTCTATTCAGAGATTCAACTTCTTCCTGGTTTAGTCTTGGGAGGGTGTACGTGTCGAGGAATTTATCCATTTCTTCTAGATTTTCTAGTTTATTTGTGTAGAGGTGTTTGTAGTATTCTCTGATGGTAGTTTGTATTTCTGTGATATCGGTGGTGATATCCCCTTTATCATTTTTTTATTGCATCTATTTTATTCTTCCCTCTTTTCTTCTTTATTAGTCTTGCTAGCAGTCTATTGATTTTGTTGATTTTTTCAAAAAAAACCAGCTTCTGGATTCGTTAATTTTTTGAAGGGTTTTTTGTGTCTCTATTTCCTTCAGTTCTGCTCTGATTTTAGTTATTTCTTGCCTTCTGCAAGCTTTTGAATGTGTTTGCTTTTGCTTTTCTAGTTCTTTTAATTGTGACGTTAGGGTGTCGATTTTGGATTTTTCCTGCTTTCTCTTGTGGGCATTTAGTGCTATAAATTTCCCTCTACACACTGCATAATGGTAATGGGATCAATTCAACAAGAAGAGCTAACTATCCTAAATATATATGCACCCATTACAGGATTACCAAGATTCTTAAAGCAAGTCCTTAATGACCTACAAAGAGACTTAGACTCCCACACAATAATAATGGGAGACTTTAACACCCCACTGTCAACATTAGACAGATCAATGAGACAGAAAGTTAACAAGGATACCCAGGAATTAAACTCAGCTCTGCAGCAAGCAGATCTAATAGACATCTACAGAACTCTCCACCCCAAATCAACAGAATATACATTTTTTTCAGCACCATACCACACCTATTCCAAAATTGACCACATACTTGGAAGTAAAGCACTCCTCAGCAAATGTAAAAGAACAGAAATTATAACAAACTGTCTCTCAAACCACAGTGCAATCAAACTAGAGCTCAGGACTAAGAAACTCACCCAAAAGCACTCAACTACATGGAAACTGAAAAACCTGCTCCTGAATGACTACTGGGTACATAACGAAATGAAGGCAGAAAAAAAGATGTTCTTTGAAACCAACGAGAACACAACATAACATAAGACACACATAACATAAACACAACACAAGACACAACATACCAGAATCTCTGGGACACATTCAACGCTAACATAAGTTTTAAATCATAGCTGTTCAACACTTTAACCAATATTTAATAGAGTTTAAATGGAGATATAATTCTCATAAGTGAACTACATTTTATTTTTATTTATTTACATTTTAGAGACAGGGTCTCACTCAGTTTCCCAGGCTGGAGTGCAGTGGTGTCATCATAGCTCACTGGAGCCTCGAAATCCTGGGTTCAAGCAATCATCCTGCCTCAGACGCCTGAGTAGCTGCAGCTACAGGCAAGTACCAGGACACCCAGCTGATTTTTAAATTATTATTATTATTATTTTTAGTAGAGACCAAGGTTTCCCTGTGTGACCCAGGCTGGTCTCCAACTCCTGAGCTCAAGCAGTCCTTTCACCTTGGCTTCCTGAAGTGCTGGGATTACACGCATGAGCCACCAGGTTTGGCCTTAAACAATGTATTAAATGCTACAGCATTTGTAAGTAAACTAATCTTACTTAACTTATAATTTTTGACATATCAACACTTTTCCATGTAGAGTTTTATAATTGTTTTGTTTCTTTAAAGTACACTTGTGCTAGTGTTTGATAGAACCCCTTTAGTTATACGGTTCTAAGAAAAAAACTGCATAGTCTTAGCAAAGAAGAAAAGTTCGAGCATCAGTAAAACCTTATATGCTGCTTCTCCATTTGTCCTGAAAATTTGTTTTCATTTTAGGGCAAGCACATCTGCATGTACTTTCCTGGTTCTTTCAGTTCCCAAGTATTCTAATTTTATTTTATTTTTTTCCATCAAGAATAAACTAGAAAAAAACACCTTGTTTCAGTTTTTGTAATGCTAGAAAACTTTCATTATTTCAGAGGAAAATTCTGGGGCACATGTAAAGTCATGGGTTGCCTTGGGAAACAAATTCTATTAAACATTCCAGGTCTATTTACCGCAAGTAAATATAATCAGCATGAATTGCATAATTGTGCATAAAATGCCAGATATTTTATACAAGTGGGAAAAGATGAGATATGAGAAAGTAAGACTAGAGAAATAAGGTTACAAAACTGGTCAGTGACCAAAGGAGGTCTAGAATTTGGAAAATCGATGGCTGACTACATTTTTGTTCTCCCCAAGCCCATTTTATTGCAAGGAAATTTTTGCTTAGATCTGACCTTAAACTTCAATGAAGGGAGACAAAAATATTCCCTATAGGCTAATTTAGAGTTATCTCAGCAGTGTTTACCTCCATCCAGCAGTGTTTACATTTCATTCTAAGGTTGGGAAAGCAGGGATTTCTAGATCAAAACTCCACAACTTTGAGTCTTTAATCAATATACAAGTTAGTTTCAGAGAAATTATCCTATTTGATTACAATTCATGTTCTGTGCTTTGGATTCATTTCTATAATTAAAAATTATACCAGGCACTTTTCACTGGATACACATACCTTTGCACACACGTGCTTGTGCACACACACAGCAGCGTATACACTCAGATGACATCACAAATCTTGGTCATGAAAAACTGGGTAGGTCTTCCTAGGACAAAATGCAGATAATGGATAACAAAGAGAGACTGTATTTGTGTCACCATTCTTTATATCCTAGGTGAGATTACTCCTGTCTCCAATTCTCAATTATTAATTCTGATTTTTTTGCACATGAATTACTCTGAAAGTTACAATATGAAATTGGGTAGAAAATCCTTAATAACAATACTGACTCATTGGTAATTAAATATGGAGCTTCCATATTTAATTCAAGTAATTCCCAAACTTGAAAGGAAGAATTACTAATGAGGGTTTTTATGCATAGGATAATACACTGTTTACTAATGTTCAAACCACACAAATACTTGTGAAGCTACAAAAATTTAGTCAATAGATTTAAAATCTATTATTAAAATATGTTATCAGCCCAGCTAAGTGATTACAAGCTCACACTTGTAATCCAAGCACTTTGGGAGGCCGAGGTGGGAAGATCACTTTAGACCAGGAGTGGAGTTTTGACACCAGCCTGGTCAACAGTGAGACCCAGTCTCTACCAAAAAAAAAAAAAAAATTAGGCATGGTGGAGCATGCCTGTAGTCCCAGTTAGTTGGGAGGCTGAGGTGGGAGAATTGCTTGAGCTCAGGAGTTCGATGCTGCAAGGAGCTATGATTGCATCATTGAGCTCCACCCAGGGCTCTGTAAGACCCTGTCTAAAAAATTAATTTGAAAAATTAATTTAAAAGACAAATAAAATATGTATAAAACACTTCATATGTTCCAAAAGAAAAAGTAAGATAATAAAAATCTGTATGCTAATTATCCAGCTTAAAAAGAAATCAATCTGAAAACAGCTAAAGCCGATTACAACTCTTTAATAGCATCATGCTTTCTTCAACTTCTGAGGCTACCACTTTTATGAAATTTTTTATTATTGCCATGAATGTAAGATTGATTATCCACACACATGTGTACTTATACATAGATTAAAGGCTTATACAATTATATATTTAAAACATTGTGCTTTATACATTTTTGGCATTTGTTTTTGTTCAACTTTAGATTTGTAAGGTTCACCCATATTGGTGTCTATAGTTTGGATTTATTCATCTTCTCTGTTATGCAACATTTTATTATATGGATCCAGCACAATTATTTATCAATTTTCCAATTGATGGATCTTTCAGATATTTTTCTATTACAAAAAGTGCTGCAATTATTTTATTTACTAGATGGGTTGCTGTTCCTGTGACTTGCAAAAACCTAGGCAAGTTTTTTTTTTTTTTTAATTCTATTTGTGGATGTTTATCTATGGTCTGTCATATTTTTTTCAAGCAGATTTATTTCCTTCCATCATTTATGAATTCAAATTCAGAATTATATGTATATATACTGCCATATATTTCATTTACATAAAGGAAAGAAATGAGATATTTTATAAACCAAATTAGGGAAGAACTCAGAGAGGGGCAGAAGAGAAGAAATTGTTTGGTTAGTTGGTTTTAATTATTTTACTTTTTCCCCACTGCTCTACCCTTGCTACCTTAAACTGTACCTAGAAAGTGCTTAATACATTTTTATTGAATTAATGAATAAATTTATAAATATTATTAGTATTTTATAGTTTGGGAGTCTAACTTAAAATAGCTTCTGTTTGTTTTTTTTGTTGTTGTTTCCCAACTTTCTATTAAAATAAGAAAAAGACAATGCTCACACTACCATTAACACCTAGGATGACAGTAACTCTACTGCTAGAATCTGAGAAGAATATTTGTCATCCCTAGGCTGATACAACCAGTTGGAAAAATGCAATGGTTAATCCATTGGTGAGAGAACATCTGAAGTGGCACTTTGCTATCTTCTAAAGGTGGGTTGAGAGCTGTGGTGCGTGAGAGCCAGACTGCTCATAATTGTTTGTCAAGTCAAGAGCTACATTATCAGGAATTTTGAAAGCTGCTTGTTAAACTACTTAAATCTTGAAATCAGCCAGGGTGAGAGTGTTTACTCCCATTTCGAAAGGATCATCAGAGGCTACAAATCAGGACTCCCTCATTTTGTTAAACATTTATGAACACATTACTCATCCTATCTTTACTTCCTCCCTCTGCATTACACCAATCAGAATTCTAAATATCCGTTATGCTACTACACATGTACTGCTTTTAAGGCAGCAGGAATATTTTTGAGCCCTTCACTTGTGCTTGTCTTTTTTTGTTGTTCAACTGGATACTATAAATTCCAGAAAACAATGTGGGGAGAAATAGAGCAAGAGAGCCTACATTGGCACAAGGTGCCAATAAGTTGTGGGTGAGTTTAAAGTCTTATAGGTCAGACATGATTTGGGGAGGGGATGGGTGGACCAGTCAAGCCCACCTTGAATAGAATTGCATTCCCAAATCATACAGCTACTTAGTAGAGAAGCAATGGGATGGATGTTGGAAACCAACCAAGATGCTTACTTCAGCCTGGCTTACCCTACTGAAATGGACCCATTCTATCCGCTCAACCTGATTTCTCAGGATTCTATAATATGCACCAAAATTAGGCTATTTTCACAATATTCTTATTCTTCAAACTGTTTCCTTTACATGGATCACGACCTCATTCACCCTCATTTACCTATTTACCTTTGATCTTCCTTTTCCTGTCTAGTCTGATCTCTTCCTCCCCATACCCCTTTAGGAAAATTACCTGTCAGTGCAGCCATGTTTATGCTTCTGTGCATTAAAAAAAAGTTGTACACTGATATGTATTTTTCTATATTCTCTTTTAAATTATCTTTCTATATCTCACATTCTTGAGACTCTAATCTTTTTTTTTTCTTTTTTTTTTAGACAGAGTCTTGCTGTGTCGCCAGCCAGAGTGCAATGGCACGATCTCGGTTCACCACAACCTCCGTCCCTTGGGTTCAAGCGATTCTCCTGCCTCAGCCTCCTGAGTAGCTGGGACTACAGGTGCTCACCACGCCCAGCTAATTTTTGTATTTTTAGTAGAGACGGGGTTTCACCATGTTGGCCAGTATGGTCTCAATCTCTTGACCTTGTGATCCACCCACCTCAGCCCTCCAAAGTGCTGGGATTACAGGCGTGAGCCACCGCTCCGGGCCAAGACTCTAATCTTTCTATAGTGTTTGCTTAACCTAATTCATGATAATTTATTTCTGCGATTTCCATGTTTTCTTTTTTAATTGCTACTTTATTTTACTGAGGGTTTTCCCTGCATTTTATCTGAGAGAATACTTGTGGCCTGTCTTTAAGAAACAGCTTTGAAGTAGATTTACCAGGTGACTTAATGGTAATCCCTGTCTTAGGAATAATATGATGTATATTGTTAAAATTAACAGTATATTCATTTTAACCTCAAACCTGGGATAGCCGAAGGACTAAAATTTCTCTTTGGAGATATATACGTGTAAAACATAGAGCCTAGACAGAGACAGACAAACTTCCTTGCTATCTTCCTGTGATGCTGGGCAATTTAAAAATTTAATCATCTATCAAATGTGTAGACTTTTGAGGGCCCCTGTTCTGCTCCATTCTCTCAGTTCCCGTTCTTTGTCATGCATAGGTTGCATAGGCCATGCATGTCCTCTGTCTCATCTTGTAAATACAACCTGAGTTTTGAAAATACCGGGAGGAAAAGTACATCGCCTCAGGTTCCACTCACATGCTTACCCTTTGGTTTTTGGTTTCCATCTTATTTCTGGTACCTACAGGTTTCCTTTTCTTTGTTGAAAACGTAGCTATGCATTTAAAATGTTTTGTTATATGTTACCAGCCCATTTTGTTATATGCTAACCATGTTACATGTTACATTTAGTTATTTACACTTTTAGAGTTTCTAGTTATCTTAATCAGCCATCCTGCTAAAAATTGAAGTTGCATTTTATATATCTTTAAGAATCATTTGGAAAGATAATTTATCTTTTTAATGGGAATAACAATGACTAGCAAGCTTATTTTGATAAAATTAGATGCTGTTTTGTATACTGCTAAAATATAATATTTTTAAAATGTGCACCACATAAAATGTGTGACTGTATATTTGTGATGGCTTTTAATTTGTAGACTTCTTCCTAAATTTAATAAATCGATTAAAAATGTGACTTAATGTAAAGTAAAACTAAAAATGTCACAAGAGTATATGGAGACAAGATATACTAGAAGAATACAGCTTTGTGGACAATTTGGGGAAAATATGACAGGATTTTTTTCTCAATGTGTATGACTTAAATCGTACCCTAGCTAAAAAGTGAGGTGTACAGGTAGTTGGATAAAGTGCTGCCAGCCTGCAACAACGCTGACATAGTAGTCACATTTCATTGTAGCCTCATAAACATTTACGATGCTTCTAATATATGTCAGGCACTTTTCTCAGACCAGGGCCTTCCAAAATACCATGATTGTTCTTAAAGATCTTACTTACTTACTGGAGAACCCAGTGTGAGAACAGCATATAAAAAATGCAAATCCATAGTGACGATGCAGTACTAATAGCACGTAGAAGGGATGGACGCAAGATAGGGAAGGTAAGAGCTCACTGAGGAGATTGCACCCTAGCAAGAGCTTTAAAGATAATTAAGGTTTTGACATGTCAACTCGTAAGTTTCAGACTCAGTGAAAGCATCCAACATGATGCACACCTTCCTGGAAATGATACTTAGTTGAGATGATCTATATCGAAGAGTTATGTTAATATGGATTCAGAGTCACTGCCAGAGAATCTTGAAAGATGAGTCCTTGCTGGTTAGTTTGATTTACCTATTCATCAAGAAGAAACAAATTCAAAAACTGAAGCGGGTCTCCCATATAAGAGAAGAACAATGAATTAGAAAATGTAAAATTTAAATGCTAGGGTTTGTTAGTTGCTGACAGAAAGTTAAGAAGAAATGTGAGTTAGCTGGTGTAGACACCTGCTTTGCACCAATGCAGATGAACGTAGCATGTCGTTGGATGGTTGTATGATCAGTACTCAATAATAGGCTTCCTTCTTTGTATATTTCATTTTTGGAGTGGTGGTTTCAATTTTGGCCTCTGGAGTCTCATGCCTTAGACTTGAATCCCAGCTTCACCACTTATAAGTTCCATGACCTTAGGATAAATTACCTAACCTCTAAATGCCTCAGTTTACTCATCTGCACAATGGGAATAACGATAGCATCTGCCTCTGGTCCTTGTGAGGATTAAGCATGTGAATGTGTATAAAATATTTAGAAAAGAGGGTGGAATGTAGTAAATATTAGCTATTTCAATTATTGCTACATGGATAGTCTGCCCTGGTTTTCTCCCTCATCCCTGTTATAAAAAATAGCTGTTCAGAGTTCACTTAGAAAAAAGTCCACATAGACACAAAAAAATCCACATAGACACAAAACAATTCATCATTTATTCACTTACTCATTTCTTCCTTCTTCAGGTTCTACATTCTTAATGTACAGACTTTGCTTCTAATTATTTAGATATAACTTATAGTTTGATCGTTATAATTAGCAGATGGGTAAAGGAAAACAGAAATGTGGTATATCTACATTTGAAGCATCTCAGCAGGAAGTCAGTATTTTAGGAAAAATTATAAGGCTTGTAAAAATCACAAAGTGATGATTTTCATATATGCATAAAGATAGGTAAAGTGCTGATGATAGCACCACCTGAACAATTTTAAATTTAGCTTACAATGGGAGGAGGGAATATTTTTCACATTTAATAAGTAGTTTTTCAAAAAAAATGTAAATATAGCCAATCAAATACAAATCCCAAATAGTGTATTATTTCTGAAATATATTAAAAAAAGGTCAAAACAAATTTGTACACAGCTCTGTAGGTGAAATAGATGATCTGCACATGATTAAATTAGGCATAAGGCAATGAGGAAGAAAATACATTCTATGTTAAGATTTGCTTGTGGTTGTATTACTTATTTTTCCTGTGAATAGGAAAGAAGAAAGATCCTCTGAAGTTGAACTAAATTTCTGTAACAAAATATTTGACCTAATTGGGTTAAATGTTCTTTCCTTCTTTCCTTCCTTCCTTCCTTTCTTTTTACCTTCCCTCCTTCCTTCCTTTCTTTTTTCCTTCCCTCCTTCCTTCCTTCCCTCCTTCCTTCCTCTTTCTTTCCCTTTCTCTCTTTCTTTCTTTCTTTAAAAAACCAAAATGTCATATTTTCAGAAAGAATCTCCATTTCTCTATGTTGGTGAAAAATATGTAAGTTTTGGCATTTTTGTTCAGTTTCATTTTGAAGTATGTTGATTCTGTAGAAGTCTTCTGATATATTCCCCAAAGGCATTTCTTTTTCTTTCTTTCTCTTTTTTTTTTTTTTGCTTCCACTGAGTTTGAGAATCTTTATTAATCATGAAGCAGTCCTTAATCCCACCCACACCTAATATTCTAGCTATTTCTTACACTCAACTAGCTTGTTTTGTCCTTCCCCATTGCAATTTCAGATCTGTTCCCTTCTATGAGAGAGCTCTATATTAAACTGCATTAAGTACATTTTCTCCTCAACCCCACTTGATACTGGTTATGACTACTCTAAGTCATCCCAGCACTTATACCATAAGTTTAGATAAACTGTTAATTTGTACTTACTTGTTGTTCATATGCAGTAGGTTTGGCTTAAAAAAATAACAAAACTCTTCTTATATTCACTTTATAAGTAAAAATATTTTAAACTCTTGAAGAGTAGAAACTATGCCATATTTATTTTGTGCTTTCTTTTTCATTCCCTGAATCTTTACATAAGAAATAAAGAATGAGTATTTTATTTCATCTCTAAATTCTTACAGCACTACATTAACTGTTAAACAAAATAAAGCAGAGAATTGGTCAGTATAAACTCTACCTATAAAAGTCAATGTCCCTTTGACTCTTGCTCTAATGATGATGATAGAGTCTCTTAGTTGACTGGATTTGCTCTAAGAGTCTGTAAGAATAAAGTTTATTTTATTCATTTAGGCAATTCCTTTTTCTAAGACAGCATGTGCTTGTGTATCAAACCAGAAAGGAGACAGAAAGAGTCAAATGAGTTTGTTTTCATCGTGTAACTTAAAAATAGGCAGACATTTAATGATTTATTTCGTTTTGATCTTTAAATTCTCAGAACAGTCTTCTCTCTTAGTCCTTTCTAGCTAAGAGTCTATTTTCTAACTTTCTCTGTATCCAGCAAAAACCAAAAAACAAACAAAAAAAGTCTATATCTAAACATTGTCCAAAGGTGTTTGTGAGATACATTTAGCAGTACAATAAGGAAGGTTATTATTGTGAGAAAAGAGAGACATAGTCAAGATGGTGATATAGAAGGCTCCACCCTTCATCCCCCTACCCCTACAAGGACAGCAACTTAGCAACTATCTACACAGAAAAAAACACCTTCATAATAACCAAAAATAAAGTGAGCACTCACAGTACCTGGTTTTAACTTCATATTGCTGAAAAAGGCACTGAAAAGATAGCAAAAACAGCCTTGAATCACCAATGCCACCCCTCCTCCACCCCTATCCTTCACTGCCCCTTCACCCCAGCAGCCGTGTGTTGTCGAGAGCATCTCTGGGTGCTGTGGGAGGGAGAACACAGTAATTGTGAGGCATTGAACTCAGTTCTGTCCTATTAGAGTAAAAAGAAAAACCAGACCAAACTCACCTGACACCCACCCATGGAGGGAGCATTTAAACCAGCCCTAGCCAGAGGGGAATTCCTGAGCTTAGTGGTCCAAATTTGAGTTCCCTCAAACCTTGCCACTGAGGGTTACAACACTCCATGTCTCTAAGTAAACTTGAAAGGCAGTCTAGACCATAAGGACTGCAACTCTTAGGCAAGACCTAGTGCTGAACTAGGTCCAGAGACAGTGCACTTGGGGGGCACGTGACATACTGAGACATCAGCTGGGGCAGCCAAGGGAGTGCTGGCATCACCCCTCCCCTAACCCCAGGCTGCACAGCTCACGGCTTCAAAAGAGACCCTTCCTTCTGCTTGAGGAGAGGAGAGGGATAAATGGGGAGGACTTTGTTTTGCATCTTGGATACCAGCTCAGCCACAGCAGGATAAGGCACCAGTCAGAGTAGTGAGGCCTCCGTTCCAGGCCCTAGCTCCCATCTGACATTTTTAGACACACCCTAGGCCAGAAGGGAACTCATTGCTTTGAAAGGACCCAGCCCTGGAAATATTTATCACTTGCTAACAGAGGAGTCCTTGGGCCCTGAATAATCAGCAGCAATACCCAGGCACTACGTCAAGGGCCTTGGGTGAGCCTCTGAAATTTGCTGGCTTCAGGTAAGACTCAGTACATTACCAGCTGTGGTGCATATGAGGCAAAACTGCTGCTTGAGAAAAGCAGAGGGAAAAGTAAAGGGGACTTTGTCTTGCACCTTAGGTACCAGCACAGCCACAGAGGGGTAGAGCACCAAGTGGGGTCTTGAGATCCCCAATTCCAGTACTTGGCTCTTGGATGACATTCCTGGACACTGCCCTGATGGGTGAGTCCCAGGCCAGGCAGCATTTATCACAAGCTGACTTAAGAGCCCTTGAGCCTTCAGGGAACATTGGTAACATTAGTGGTAGTCTGGCAGAACTCCTCTTGGCCTGGGGGTGGTGGTCACTAGGGGGTGATGCTCCTCTGCCTTTGGAAAGGGGAGAGAAGAGTGGGAAGGACTGCATCTTGTGGGTTTAAATGCCAGCTCAGCCACAGTATAAAAGAATACCAGGTAGACTTCTAAGGTTTTTGAATCTAGTCCCTGACTCCCAGATGGCACCTCTGGACCCATCTGGGATCTGGGGGACCTTGCCACCCTGAAGGGAAGGACACGAGCCTGGCTGGCTCTGACACTGGCAGTTTGTAGAGCTCCAGGGCCTTGAACAAACATAGGCCGTTGCCAGAGAATGGCTACAGGAGGCTTTGGGTAGACAGTGCTGTGCTGGCTTCAGGTCTGACCCAGTGGAGTCGTAGTGGTTGTAGCCACAGGGGCGTCTTGCCAGCCCAGCTTTAGGTGGCTCAGAACAGAGAGAAAGACTCTGTTTGAGAGAAAGTAAGGACGGAAAACAAGAGACTTTTCCTAGTAATTCAGATAATTCTTCCAAATCTTGTCCAAGACTGTCAAGGCGGTACTTCTACCATTCTGCAAGAGCCACAGCATTAATGGGCTTGGGGTGCCCCCTTAAAGCTTAGGTCACAGCTTAGATCACAACACCCATGTTCTTTCAAATATCTGGAATGGCTTCCCAAGAAGGACAGCTACAAATAAGGCCAGGCAATGAAGACTACGATAAATACCTAACTCTTCAATGCTCAGACACCGAAGAGCAACTACTAGCATCAACACCATTCAGGAAAACATGACCTCACCAAATGAACTAAATAAGGCATGAGGGATCGATGCTGGAAAAATAGAGATATGCGACCTTTCAAGCAGAGAATTCAAAATAGCTGTGTTGAGGAAACTCAAAGAAATTCAAGTTAACACAGAGACAGAATTCACAATTCTATCAGATAAATTTAACTAAGAGATTGAAACAATTGAAAATAAGCAAGCAGAAATTCTGGAGGTGAAAAGTACAAGTGGTATATTGAAGAATGCATCAGAGTTCTTTAATAGCAGAACTGATCAAGCAGAAGAAAGAATCAGTGGGCTTGAAGAAAAGTTATTTGAAAATAGACAGAAGAGACAAAGATAAAAGCATAAGAAACTATGAAGCACACCTACGGGATCTAGAAAATATCCTCAAAAGGGCATATCTAAGAGTTACTGGCCTTAAAGAGGAGGTAGAGAAAGAGATAGGGGTAGAAAGCTTATTCAGAGGGATAATATCAGATAACTTTCCAAACCTAGAGAAAGATAACAATATCCAAGTACAAGAAGGTTATGGAACACCAAGCAGATTTAAGCCAAAGAAGATTGCTTCAAGGCATTTAATAATCATACTCCCAAAGATCAAGGATGAAGAAAGGATCCGAAAAGCAGTAACAGAAAATAAACAAATAACATACAATGGAGCTCCAGTATGTCTGGCAGCAGACTTTTCCAAGGAAACCTTTCAGTCTAGGAGAGAGTGGCATGACATATTGAAAGTGCTGAAGGAAAAAACTTTTGCCCTAGAATAGCTTATCTGGAGAAAATTTCCTACAAACATGAAGGAGAAATAAAGACTTTCCCAGACAAACAAAAGCTGAGGGATTTCTGGGGGATTTCATCAACACCAGACCTGTGCTGCAAGAAATGCTAAAGGGGACTACTTCAATCAGAAATAAAAGGACATTAATGACCAATAAGTAATCACTTGAATGTATAAAACTCACTGGTAATAGAAAGTACATAGAATATCATAACACTGTAACTGTGGTGTGTAAACTACTCTTATCCTAAGTAGAAAGACTAAATGATGAACCAATAAAAATAGTAACTACAACATCTTTTCAAGACATAAGCAGTACAGGCTGGGCGCGGTGGCTCAAGCCAGGAGCACTTTGGGAGGCTGAGGCGGGTGGATCACCTGAGGTCAGGAGTTCAAGACCAGCCTGACCAACATGGGGAAACCCTGTCTCTAGTAAAAATACAAAACTAGTGGTGGTGCATGCCTGTAATCCCAGCTACTCAGGAGGCTGAGGCAGGAGAATCACTTGAACCCAGGAGGTGGAGGTTGCAGTGAGCCGTGATGGCACCATTGCACTCCAGCCTGGGCAACAAAAGTAAAACTCCATCTCAAAAAAAAAAAAAAAAAAAAAAAAGACATAGGAAGTACTATATGATAAATAAAACAACAAAATAAAGTGGAGAGTTTTTGTTAGTTTTCTTTTTGCTTGTTTGTTTATCCAAGCAGTGTTAAATTGTTATCAGGTTAAAATAAGCGTTTATAAGATAGTATTTGCTAGCCTCATGGTAACCTCAAACAAAACAATATACAATGGATACCAGAAAAGGAAAAGCAATAAACTAAATCATATCACCAGAGAAAATCACCTTTACTAAAGGAAGAGAGAAAGGAAAGAAAGAAGGAAGAGAAGACCACACACACACAAAAAGACACAGAAAATAAATAACAAAATGGAAGGAGTAAGTCCTCACTTATCATTAATAAAATTGAATGTAAATGGACTAAATTATACAATCAATAGACAATAGCCAATGATCTGTTGTCTACAAGAAACACACTTTACCTTTAAAGATACACATAGACTCAAAATTAAAAAATGGTAAAAGATATTCCATGCCAACGAAAACCATAAAAGAACAGGAGTAGCTGTACTTATATCAACAACTATAGACAAAAACTATAAGAAGAGAAAAAGAAGGTCACTATATCATGAAAAAGGGGTCAATTCAACAAGATGATATAACAATTGTAAATATATATGCACCCAACACTGGAGCACCCAGATATATAAAGGAAATATTGTTAAACCTAAAGAGAGAGAGAGAGAGATAGGTCCCAGTATAATAAAAGCTGGAGACTTCAACACCCCACTTTCAGCATTGGACAGATCTCCCAGACAGATAATCAACAAAGAAATATCAGAGTTAATCTGTATTATAGACCAAATAGATCTAGTAGATAGTTACAGAACTTTTCATCCATGAGCTGCAGAATACACATTATTCTCCTCAGCACATGAATTATTTTCAAGGACAGACCATATGTTAAGTCACAAAACAAGCCTTAAAACATGCTAAAAATTGAAATAATATCAAGCATCTTCTCTGATCACAATGGAATAAAACTAGAAATTAATAACAAGAGGAATTTCTGAAACTATACAAACACAGAAATTTAACATATGCTCCTGAGTGACCAGTGGGGCAATGAAGAAATTAAGAAGGAAATTGAAAAATTTCTTGAAACAAATGATAATGGAAACACAACATACCAATATCTATGGGATATAGCAAAAGCAGTGCTAAGAGGGACGTTTATAGCTATAAATGCCTACATCAAAAAAGATGAAAAACTTCAAATAAACAATCTAATGCTGTATCTTAAAGAACTAGAAAAGCAAGTGAAAACCAAGTCCAAAACCAGTGAAGAAAAGAAATAATAAAGGTCTGAGCAGAAATAAATAAAGGTGAAAACAATACAAAAGATCAACGTAACAAAAAGTTGGTTTTTTATAAAGTTAAACAAAATTGCAAACCTTTAGCTAGACTAAGAAAAAAAGGGAGAGCATTCAAACAAATAAAACCAGAAATTGAAAAAAGAGACATTACAACTGAATCTGCAAAAATTCAAAGGATCATTAGTGGCTATTATGAACAATTATATGCCAATAAATTGGAAAATCTAGAAGAGATAGACAAATTCCTAGATACATACAACCTACCAAAATTGAACCAAGAAGAAATCTAAAACCTGAACAGACCAATAACAAATAGCAAGATCAAAGCTGTAATAAAATATCTCCCAGTAAAGAAAATCCCAGGACCCAATGACTTCACTGCTGAATTCTACCAAACATTTAAAGAAAAACTAACACCAATCCTCGTCAAACTTTTCTGAAAAGAAAGAGGAGGAAGGAATACTTCCAAACTTATTCTATGAGGTCATTTTTACCCTAATACCAAAATGAGACAAAGACACATCAAAAAAAGAAAAGTACAGGCTAATATCTCTGATGAATATTCATGTAAAAATCCTCAACAAAATGCTAACAAACCAAATTTAACAATACATTAAAAAGATCATTCATCATGATCAAGTGGGATTTATCCTTGAGATGCAAGGAAGATTCAAAATATGCAAGTCAATCAATGTGATACATCGTATCAACAGAATACAGAATAAAATCTATATGATCATTTCAATTGATGCTGAAAAAGTATCAGATAAAGTTCAACATTCCTTCATGATAAAAAAGAAACCATCAAAAAACTGGACATAAGAGGAACGTACACAACATAATAAAAACTGTATGTGACAGACCCACAGCTAGTATCATATTTAATATAGAAAAACTGAAAGGCTTTCCTATAAGATCTGGAACACATTAAGGATGCCCACTCTCACCACTCTTATTCAACATGGTACTGGAAGTCCTAGCTAGAGCAATCAGACAAGAGAAAGAAATAAAGGGCATCTAAATTGGAATGGAAGAAGTCAAATTATTCTTGTTTGCAGATGATGTGATCTTATAGCTGGAAAAACCTAAAAGACTCCACTAATAAACTCTTAAATCTTATGAATAAATTTAGTAAAGTTACAGGGTGCAAAGTCAACATACAATATTCAGTGGCATTTCTACATGCCATCCATGAACAATCTGAAAAAGAAATTAAAAAGTTGTCCCATTTATAATAGCCACACATAAAATTAAATACCAAGGAATTAACCAAAGAAATAAAAGAACTCTGCAATGAAAACTATAATACACTAATGAAAGAAATTAGAGGGGGCATCAAAAAATGGAAAGGTTTTTTATGTTCATGAGTTGGAAAAATTAATATTGCTAAAATGGCCATACTACCCAAAGCAATCTACAGATTCAATGCAATCCATGTCACAATACCAATGACATTCTTCACAGAAATAGAAAAAAACTACTCTAAAATTTATATGGAATCAAAAATGACCCAGAATAGCTAAAGCTATCCTAAGCAAAAAGAATAAAACTGGAGGAATTACATTACCTGACTTCAAATTATACTACAGAGCTATAGTAACCAAAACAGCAAGGTATTGGCATAAAAACAGATACATACACCAATGGAACAGAATAGAGAACCCAGAAACAAATCCACACACCTATAGTGAACTCATTTTTCACAAAGGTGCCAAGAATATAAATTGAGGAAAAGACAGTCTCTTCAATAAATGATACTGGGAACACTAGATATCAATATGCTGAAGAATGAAGCTAGATCTCTATCTCTTGCCACATACAAAAATCAAATAAAAATGGATTAAATACTTAAATCTAAGACCTAAAAGCTATGAAACTCCCATGAGAAAACTTTGGGGAAACTCTCTAGGACGTTGGTTTGGGCAAAATTTCTTGAGTAATACCCCAAAGCACAGGCAATCAAAGTCAAAATGGACAAATGAGATCACATCAAGTTAAAAAGCTTCTGCACAGCAAAGGATACAATCAGCGAAGTGAAGAGCAACCCACAGAATGGGAAAAAATATTTGCAAACTGTCCATCTGATAAGAGATTAATAACCAGAATATGTAAGGATCTCTAACAACTCTATAAGAAAAGACTTAATAATCTGCTTAAAAAATAAGCAACAGATGGCTGGGCGTGGTGGCTCACGCCTGTAATCCCAGCACTTTGGGAGGCCTAGGTGGGCGGATCACCTGATGTTGGGAGTTTGAGACCAGCCTGACCAACATAGAGAAACCCCATCTCTACTAAAAATACAAAGGTAGAAACTCTTCAATAGATCTTAGAGGATCTTTTAATATCTGGCCTCAGATTTCATCCTTATTCTTGGATTTCTCCATCACTTTCTTCCCTGCCCCCACAACTCTAATCTCCAACTACACTGAATTACTTTTAGCTGCTTGAACCTGCTCATTCACTTGTGTTTGTGCATTCTTTTTCTTACTTCCCAGCATTTGCACATATTTCCCTCTAACTAAAACACTCTTTTCACTACTCTTTATCTGTCTCTCACTTATTCTGCAGCACTCACCTCAGATGTTATTTCCACTGGTAAATCTTAACTGACTCCTCAAGGCAAGTTATTTGAAGAATCCTATTTAAGACCCCAATGCAGTACTTACATACCATTTAATTTATAATTGGGTGCTCTACCATGCTGCCTTTTCTTACCAATAGTATCTTTTTGCTTATTTTATCTCTGGGACTTAGCACATTATCTTACTTATAAAAGGTACTAATAAAATGTGTTGGAATGCATTAATTTTTACATTTTCTTTTAGCTTTATTATTTTGAGAAGATTAGGCCACTTGCTTTTTCCTTTTTTCTTCTCTTTCTTCCACTTCCTTCTTTGAATTCTTGTAAAATCTCAAAATCTCTTCCTTTTTTTTTTTTGCCTTTGCTAGCTCTTCCATTCAATGGAATTAAAGGAAATTAAGTGTATCAAATAAATCTTAATAAGTAATAGAAATTTATCACAGTTATATTATGCATAAAGCATTTGAGATTTAAAACAGTTAATATGAATCGGTACCAAGATATTAATTTCTAATACCAGTGCCGTTGCTCAATAATAGCTGCTTATGTATCAGGTTTAGGTATATTCTTGAAAAGTCATTGTCGTCTATGCCTAGGGTGCCTCCAGCATCTCCTTTCTGAAGAGAGTAGGTAGGCTTTCCCTTTATTCCACTATTAGCTTTCTGATTCTAAGGTAGTGATTGCAATCTTACATCTTACATTTCTGACATCAGGAGAACATGTCTTCATTATTTCACTAACTCAGAAGGGGAAGGTAATAAAATTTTATTTATAGTAAGCATCTTTCTATACCAAGCTCAAGGAAAGACTACTTAGAGAAAGGTTTAGGGAGCATGAAATGAATGTTATCAGTCAAACCGAACAGACTTACACAGCCTGGGGGCTCTTTCCTCCTCTCATATTTATGATCCTATCCTGATCAAGGACAAAATAATGTATAGATACATTAAGTCGTTCAAGATCATATTTGAATACTTGATCCACTCACTAAATCTTATAGTTTATTACTCAATGTAGTCCTTCCTCAGTTCTTTCTGACTCAATTTCCTGATTTGTAAATGTAAACTTCAAGTCCTGATAATTCAGTTAATTTCTTACAGTTTAGTGAAGCTGTCTTCATTATATATCTATTTGATAAAGCTATATGGCCCAAGATGATATTTTAAAATTCTGTATAAAAATATATGTTGTAAAAGCACCACAAATCTGCTCTTAAGAATGGCAGTTAAATCTTTGCTATTATTTATATTCTGAGACTGGGAGAAAAGGGGAATGGGGAGGGGGGTTGGCAGTTGTTGTTTACACTAATTGACAATATCTGTCTTCACTATAAAGCAGTTAAGAACATTCCCCTTTATCTCTAAATTCAGAGTAAGTATAAGTACATTGGGAAAGAGACTGTGTTAAAAGAAATGGAAGGACGTAGCATATTTTCTGAGACAATGAATAGCTTAAGTAAGGATTATTATTATTATTTGATTAAAGTTTTCAATAGCTATGGATGCTAACATTCCATCTTTGGAACATTGTTATTTTTGGAGATAAATGTTTACTTTTCAGAAAGTAATATTTTTAATGTAAAAATACCTGATTACTTTTACAGGACTTAAAATGCGGTGGAATCTCATAGGTAACGTCAGGTGAAAGAAGAGCTCTTGTTTCTAGAGAAAGGGATTGTTTTAGGATGGAGGTGTCTTAGAGAAATGAATACAAATAGGCATTAAAGAGAAAGTTTCTTCTACAAGATTCAAACTATCCCTTACCAACTCCATGAGAAACAGTTACAAATTGTTTTCAGTCCTGCATATTAAAATAACTTGCACTTAATAGGAAAAAAGGAAAAAAGTGGGTCTTTATTTAACAAGAATTCCAAATAAAATCAAGCACAGAAATCATATTTGAAATTACCACTAGAGGGCAGAAAATAGGGGGAAAAGAATACACATAATAGTGGATTTCAGGAATCTGAATTTTTAAGTCCCTGGAACCTCTGAAGACAACTTTAATAATAACAATAGTTAACATTTATGAGGTGCCTACTATGTGCCAAGCACAGTTGTAGAAATTGTATAATATATAATATTAATTAAATTGATGAATACACACACACACACACACACTCACATATTTAATTTCACAACAATCCTATAGGTAGGTACTATCAGTATCTCCATTTTGTAGATGAGGAAACTGAGGTTAAATAATTAGTGCAAGGGTATGAGGTAAGTAAATCCCCAGTCTGCACACTTAATTCTTACTTCTTCCTATGGATGACAATCTCTTTTTTGTGTCATATTTTATTACAAAGTGTGTACAATCATTCTCTAACCCGTGAGAGGAAGCAAGAAGTTTCTTCTAGTATGATGAATTTCCTAGTTTGCTTTTACTGCATTGCCTGGCAAGCCAGGAATTTTGCGAACAGTCTCATATACACACCTTGGGAAACAGAAGTCTGAAAATGTATTTTATTGATGCTGCAAACTACTGTAAAGTTTTATGGACAATCTGAACTAATAAACAGGACCTGTGATGGTATCACTATTAACAATGTTAGGAAGAAGCTGAACTCAGAATGAGAGAGTAGCTGCATTAGCCAAACACTGAAGAGTTAATATCAGAAAGGAGCACTTCCGGTAGGCACTGGAAGACACTCGGTGTAGGGAGAGCAGAGACCCCAGCCTGTCAGCCAGCCACATGGCAGTGTTGGGAGGAGGGAGAAAATTAAACCAGAATGGTTAAGTCTTGATTGTTAAACCAGAGGCCCTCTGTATCCTGCTCCATTTGTAACCTCATCAGCTGCATACAAGCTAGGGCCTGGATTTTAACCCCTGCCCCTGAGGAGCCCACAGATTGTTCCAATGTTGTAAAAGAAAGGCAATAAACTAAAACCTAGTCAGCAGAATTAATGGACCACACAGATAAGGGTCTAAAATATGCATGGCCACAATTTTCAAGAAGATGCCATCTTATTTTCAAATAAAATTCAGACTTTCTTTTTAAGAAATTAGCCACTGTATTCAAAAATATATATGGAAGAATAAAGGTCTATGAATAGTTTATTTACATTTATTTAAAGAAAAGCAGCCAGGCGTGGTGGCTCACACCTGTAATCCCAGCACTTTGGGAGGCTGAGGCGGGTGGATCACCTGAGGTCAGGAGTTCGAGACCAGCCTGACTAATATGGTGAAATCCCATCTCTACTAAAAATACAAAAATTAGCTGGGCATAGTGGCGCGCACTTGTAATCCTAGCTACTTGGGAGGCTGAGGCAGGAGAATTGCTTGAACCTAGGAGGGGGAGGTTGCAGTGAGTCGAGATCGCACCATTGCACTCCACCCTGGGTGACAGAGTGAGACTCTGTCAAAAAAAAAAAAAAAAAAGAAAGAAAGAAAAGCAAGGAATGGGGACACATCTTGCTAGACATAATATAAAGTACAAAGTCATGATAATAATAATAATAATAATGAAACCAGTGTGGTATTCATCAAAGACAGAAAGAAAGATGACATAACAGAGAGCTCAGAAATAGACACAAACATGCAGTTATAAACGTGTGTGTTAATTTGATTTATAATAAAGTTGAACTATAAATGATTTGGGGAAACATAGATTGGTAGATAGCATTGGAATATTGAAAAAAATTAAGTAAAGGCCATATGCCACACATTAAATTAGTGAAAAGTAGAATTATTAAGAAGGAAAAAAAATCTTGAGAATATAAGTGTTACCTGGAGGTAATGGAAAATCATGTTGATTATGACCCTAAGAGGATGAACTAAAAAGGAAAGAAGGAAAGAAGGAAGGAAGGAAGGAAGGGAGGGAGGGAGGGAAGGAGGGAGGAAGGAAGGAGGGAGAGAAAAAAGAAATTATGGATTTGATTACATTACAATTAAAGGTTTATTTTAATGAAGAAATAGAGACAAAGTTAAACAGTTGTTGACTAATTCAGAAGAGATATTTACAATGTATAAAATAAATAAATATTCTAGATTGACATCTAGATTAGGGAAGGAATTCATGAAAATCAACATGGAAAAGACAGAAAATCCAGGTGGGAAGAAAAGGGCAAAGGAAAAAGTTTAAAACACTGACATTCCCAAAATTCAATATAATTTGCAGGGATATCCAGTAAGTCCTCACTTACTGTTGTCGGTGAGTTCTTGGAAACTGTGACTTTAGGCAAAATGACAAATATTGGAACCAATTTTACCATAAGCTAATTGATATAAACAGGAGTTAAGTTGCTATTTCTGGCATATTTCTGGACACAAAAACATCAACAAATTTCTAAATAAAGGCCCCGAACACTTCTTATAATTAAACATTGAAATAAACTTGACCTATACATACGTATAAGAAAGATGAATAGAAACAGGTAAAGTAATTATTTACTTAATTTTTGGTGAATCAGTGAGTTACAGCAGTCATAGCGGTCATGGGTTAAATCAAAGAATAAATGTTGCAAAGTGAAAGTCTTAATCAGGACATCCTAGCACTATGCAGCTCTAAAACAATCACAAATATGGCTCCATGAGGGCTTTTGTACCTCATTGTTTATTGTCGAGCATTTGTAGGATTATTGTATAGTTAACTAATTTTTATTTTAAAATAATTTGTATTCATTCATTCATTCATTCATTTATTCATTTATTTTTTAACTTGCATATTCCAATTCAGGGGCATGGGTGGCCAGAGTCTATCCCGGCAGGATCCAACCCTGGACAGGATGCTATTCTATCACAGGGCACACTCACATACACACCCACACCAGCTCATCCTGGAACAATTCGACATACCAATTAACTGAACATGCACATCTTTGGGACGTGGGAGGAAACTGGAATATCTGGAGAAAATCCATGCAAACATGGAGAGAACATGCAAATTCTACACGGAGAGTGGTCTCGTGTGGGAATCCATTTGTTTTCTCACTACGGTTGTTACCAAGTGACATTGAATTAAATGATGTTATTCAAGGACTTGCTGTAAATGAATCTAAGAGGTGAGAATAGTGATGGGTACAGGGATCAGGGATGAAAAGGAAAAGTCAATATCAACCAGCAAAGGGTCTTGAATGTGCTGATGATACTCTTCAGAGTATAACTAACTCAATTTTCTGCAACCAAATTTCAAAAAACTAAGAAAAATACAACAGTTTGAAATGAGGGATATGGAAAGTTCTACGAGGATAATTTGATAATTTTGTTTTTATATACAACATTAAATTCACATTGTTATGCTTACAAATACATGGAATGCTACTAATTTATTTTGAAAATCTGTTACTGTTGAGGAAGTATTTTGAATAGAAAATTATCTCGACAAGTTAGTGGGTGCAGCGCACCAGCATGGCACATGTATACATATGTAACTAACCTGCACAATGTGCACATGTACCCTAAAACTTAAAAGTATAATAAAAAAAAAAAGAAAATTATCTCATGTACTGTAATAAAAATACTTCAAGTTTGGGGTATTGGGCAGAAGGGACCTTGGATTATGAGTAAAAGGCAGGATTTTTTGTTTTAGGAGAATTGATTGGTATTCTAACTGCATTCATAGGTTGCTGCTGGGGGTGCAGGTGACCTGTGATGCAAACATTGGTTGTATATATGCATACAAGTGCATCTCAAAAGATGCTAGGTACCTAAATGTGAAACCAAAAACATGTGAAACCAAAAATATTCCTAAGTAGCCACTATTTTGTATCCTCAGTGTTTTTGTCTTTGATGTAGAATTAGTTACTACTAAGCCAATAAAAGTAAATGAGAAATGAAATCATATTTTGGTCAATTACATCATTCGGGAATAATAAACATTACTACAAAATAAAATTAAAATAATTTTTTACTCTCCATCTAGTTTTACAATTCGACAAATTCAGGTTGCCCGAGGAATAATAAAATATTTTTAGCCATTGTGCTATTTTCATGATTTTATTAAAATGTAAATTCTCAAAGATCTGAGATATTCTGAATCTTTTATGGAGATTGTTTATGTTTTAAAATTTTCTTGTCATCTGTTTTTTACAAGAATATATGCTTATGAAGAGATGGCACACTTATGCTGTAACACAATGGAGTTATGGAATATATGGATAGCCCATTTCACGGTTAACTACTTTAATTTTATTTTTTTCAAGAAAACTGTATCAGTTGTCCATCAATTAATTGATTAATCCAACAAACATTTTTGATCACTTTAACATATGTGGATATGTACTGAACATTGGAAATTTAAAAAATACACACCACACACACATACACACAAATACACTATTCCCTGTTTGTGTAGAGCTTGCATTTAAGACAACTTTTTAGACTTTAAATGAAAGAAAAAAAGTTACCTTTCCATGACATTTTAACTGTTGATCCTCTGCAGTAAGCCAAATAAGCCTATTACATCTTCCGCATGTGAACTTTTCAAAAATCTCAAGGGTCACCAGAATCTTCCTCATATGACTATTATGAATGCACCCTAAGATCACATTTCATTTCCTCCAAGACCTTCTTAAAACGCAATACCCAGCATTGAATGTAGATATTGTCTGTCAAATACAGTGAAATTATTAAATGTGAGAAAACAGGTAGTATACTTTCTTCTAAAGTAGCCTGGTAGGTGAACAATACAGTCAGTCCTTGTACCCATGGGTTCTGCATCCATGGATTTCATCAACCATTGATCAAAAGTATTTTTTAAAAAATGAGTGGTTGCATCAGTATTGAACATATACAGACTTCTTTCCTTTGTCATGATTTCCTAAATAATACAACAGTATAGCGAACTATTTATGTAGCATTTGCAATGCATTAGATATTATAAATAATCTAGAGATGATTTAAAGTATATAGGAGAATGTGTGTAGGTTATATGCAAATATTATGCTATTCTATTTTTTTATGGTTTTTTTCTTTTTCAACTTTTATATTAGAAGCAGGGAATACATGTGAAGGTTAATAAAAACGTATATTACATGACACTGAATTTTGGGGTATGACTGAACCCTTCACCTAGGTAATGGACATAGTATCCAATGGGTAGTTTTTTAGCTCTTACTCCCTCCCCCTCTCCCCACTCTAGTAGTCCTCAGTGTCCGTTTTTCCCATCTTTATGTCAGCATTTACTCAATGTCTAGCCCTGCTTATAAGTTAGAACATGCAGTATTTAGTTTTCTGTTTCTGCATTAGATTGCTTAAAATAATGGCCTCCAGCTGCAACCATGTTGCAGCAAATGACATGATCTCATTTTTTATGGCTGCATCGTATTCCATGGTGTATATGTACATATTTTCTTTACCAAACCACTGTTGATAGGCACCTGGGTTGATTCCATGTTTTTGCTATTGTAAATAGTGCTGCAAAGAACATGCAGGTGAAAGTGTCCTTTGATAGAATAATTTATTTTCCTTTGGGTGTATACCCAGTAATGAAATTGCTGTGTCAAATGATAGTTAAACTCTTAGGTCTTTGAGAAGTATTCAAACTACTCTCTGTAATGCATAGTGGCTGGACTAATTTACATCCTCACCAACAGTGTCTGAGTGTCCCCTTTTCTCTGCAACCTCACCAACATCAGTTATTTTTTGACTTTTCAACAAAAGCCTTTTGGACAGGTGTGAGATGGTGTCTCATTATGGTTTTGACTTGTATTTCTCTGATAATGAATTTTGATTAGCATTTTTTCATATGTTTGTTGGCTGCTTAAATGTTGTCTTTTGAGAAATATCTGTTTATGTCCTTTGTCCAATTTTTAATGGGGTTATTCATCTTTTATTTGTTGATTTCTTTAAGTTTATTATATATCCTGGATATTAGGCTTTTGTTGGATGCATAGATTGCAAGTATATTCTTTCATTCTGCAGGTTGTCTGTTTACTTCCTTACAGTTTCTCTTGCTGTGCAGAAGTGTTTTACTTTAATTAGGTCCCACTAATCAATTTTTGTTTTAGTTGCAATTGCCTTTAAGGACTTAGCCATAAATTATTTGCCATCGCTGATATCAAGAAGTGTATTTCTTTTATTTCTGTTTTCTGATTGCTCTGGCTAGGACTTCCAGTACTATGTTGAATTGGAGTGGTGAGAGTGGACATCTTTGTCTTGTTCCATTTCTCAAAGAGAATGGTTCAGCTTTTGCGCATTCAGTCTGATGTTGGCTGTGGGTTCGTCATAGATGGCTCTTATTATTTTGAGGTATGTTCCTTTGATGCCTAATTTGTTGAGGGTTTTTAATCATAAAAAGATGTTGGAGTTTATCAAAAGCTTTTTTTGCATCTGTTGAGATGATCATATGGTTTTTTATTTTAATTCCGTTTATGGAGTGAATCACATTTATTGATTTGCATATGTTAAACCGATCCTGCATCTCAGGGATAAAGGCTACTTGATTGTGATAAATTAACTTTTTGATGTGCTGCTGAACATGGTTTGCTAGTACTTTGTTGAGGATCTTTGCATCTATGTTCATCAGTGATATTGGCTTGAAGTTTTCTTTTTTGTTGTTGTTGTGTGTCTGCCAGATTCTGGTATCAGAATGATGCTGGCTTCATAGAATAAGTTAGGGAGGAGTACCTCCTCCTTGATTTTTTGGAATAGTTTCAGTAGAATTGGTACCAGTTCTTTGTATGTGTGGTAGAATTCATCTGTGAGTCTATCTGGTCCAGGCTTTTTTTTTGTTTGGTAGGTTTCTTTAAATTACTGATTCAATTTTGGAACTTGTTATTTGTCTGTTCAAGTTTTCACTTTCTTCCTGGTTCAATCTTGGGTGGTTATGCATGTCCAGGAATTTATCCATTTCCTCTAGGTTTTCTAATTTGTGTGCTCAGAGGTGTTCATAATAGTCTCTGAGGAGCTTTTGTATTTCTGTGGGATCAGCTGTAATGACATCTTTGTCGTTTCTGATTGTGCTTATTTGGATCTTCTTTCTTGTTAATCTAGCTAGTGGTCTATCAATCTTGTTTCATCTATCAAAGAACAGACTTTTGGTTTCATTAACCTTTTGTATAAGTTTTTGCATCTCAATTTCATTCAGTGCTCTAACTTTAGTTAATTTTTTTTCTTTTGCTAGCTTTGGGGTTGGCTTATTCTTTTCTTTCTAGCTCCTCTACGTACACTGTTAAATTGTTAATTTGAAATCTTTCTAATTTCTTGATGTAGGAATTTAGCGCTGTAAACTTTCCTCCCAATACTGCTTTAGCTGCATTTCAAAGATCAGCAACAACAGGTGTTAGCAACAGAAGTTGTTGCTTCCTATCTGCTCCTCAGATCTGCCAAATGTCTCCCTTATGGTCCACCCTAACATACAAGTAAGGGAATGCTGGAAAATGTAGTTCAGCACAGCCAAGTAGACACATTAAAGCCTAAATAGTAATGATATACAGTAGTCCCTTGATATTCATTGGGGATCGGTTCCAGGCACATCTTCGTTATAACTTTCTGTAATTTTTTATTTACCTATCACTCCCAACAGCAGGACAGTAATATCCTTGTTGAAGAGACAAAGCTTAATTCCATTTTGTACTTTCTATGGAATCACAACTCTTGGCACTAAATAGGCATTCAGTAATTATTTACTGAATGTACAAGTTTAATTTAGAAGGAAAAAAGGAATTTAAGAGATGAATAAGATAGCATGATGGTTAATATTAGGTGCCAGCTTGATTGGATTGAGGGATGCCTAGATGGCTGGTAAAGCATTGTTTCTCTGTGTGTCTGAGTGTGTTTCCAGAAGAGACTGACATTTCAGTCAGTGGACTGGGAGAGGAAGACTCACACTAAATGTGGGTGGGCACCATCTAATTGGCTGCCGGCCAGCTAGGACAAGGCAGGCAGCTCTCTTTCTTCTTTCCATGCTGGTTGCTTGCTTCTGCTCTTCCTGTCCTTGGACATCATACTCCAGTTTCTTTGGTCTTTGGACTCTGAAACTTGTACCAGCAGCTTCCCCAGGGCTCTCAGGCCTTCTGCCACAGACTGAAGGCTGCAGTGTTGGATTCCTGGTTTTGAGGCTTTTGGACTTGTACTGAGCCACTACCAACTTCTCTCTTCTTCAGCTTGCAGAATGCCTATTGTGGGATTTCACTTTGTAATCATGTGAGCCAATTCTTCCTAATAAACTCCCTTTCATATACACATATTTCCTATTTGTTCTGTTCCTCTGGAGAACCCTGACAAATACAGATGGGAAAAGGTGTATTAGGCAGTGGAAGCAAGGAAGGAGCAGGATAAATTGGGCCAAATTAGAGACAAACTCAGTACTATTTAATTTCCTTTAAGAAATTCATATTATAGATGTATATAGGTAGACAACTAAACCAATCATATTGGACCTTCAGAAGTTTCAATAAAATGCCGTAGAAACATGATAGTGGGAATAGTGGGAAACTCTCACCCTTGAAATAAATACTTATTTTAAAAGGCCTAAAATGCTGTTGTTGGCCAGTTGTGGGGGCTCACACCTGTAATCCCAGCAATTTGAGCGGGCGAGGCAGGATCGCTTGAGTCCAGGAGTTCGAGACCAACCTGGGCAACATGGCAAACCTCTGTCTCTACAAAAAATAGAAAAAATAGGCAGGCATGATGGTGTGTGCCTGTAGTGCCAGCTACTTAGGAGGCTGAGGCAGGAGGATCACTCGAGCCCCGGAGGTCGAGGCTGCAATGAGTTGTGATCACACCACTGTACTCCAGCATGGGCAACAGAGTAAGACCTTGTCTCAAAAAAGCAAACACAAAAACATGGAGTTATCTTCTCTGGTATTATATCTGGTTTTGAACAGTTTGGTACAACTTTTATTTGAACTGGATAAGTCATATTTTTCAATCAAAAAAGTATGTGAATATTTACTTGTGTTCTATTAAGTGAAGATTTTTCATACTGATTTATTTTCATTATTTCTTTATTTCTCTCTTTCATCTTGTATTAATTTTTTTTGTCCTATAATATGCCTGGAGGGAGAGAGAAAAAGGGGGGAAAGGAGATGGTGGGAAAAAGGGATGAAGGGAAGGAAGGAGGGAAAAATTTTACATTTTCTTCCCAAAGATTCTGATTAAGTAGATCCGAATTAGACTGTACTTACACCTGTGCTTTTAAGACATTTCAAAAATTGATTTTGATAGGCAACAGGTTGGAGAACTGTCAACTAGAGGACATGGTAATGAATTGATGGTCAAATGAACATGCCCAAAACTATAAAAAATACTAACTGTGAGTCTGGTATAAGCTACTAATCTACTATTTGAATATTAGTGACACCTATAGTTGGGATTGCGCCAGCAAACACTTGTCCTGGTCTGGATCACATTTTACTACTGTCCTCTGTTTCACCTGTAAATCAAATACCAGTAAATATTCTGACTTGATGGGTGTTCAGCAGGCTGCTGTTTTTGAAAAGATGTTGATGTTATAATTTTATAGTTTCTTAATATCTTTGTCTGCAATTAAAACAATGTGGAGGCACCAAGAGTTTATCAATTTATCAATTATATTGCTGTTGATCTATTTATTTTCTGTGTTAATCAGATCATAAGCTTATAAATACAATAGTATACATGAGAGAAATGTATCAACAAGGGTTGCTCTTAAAAAAAAAGAATATTGTGAAAACTGGGTAGGTATGGGGTAGTAATGAGGAGAAGGATCTCTTCAAATGGAATAGAGATGGCTCAAAATTGGAAGCTAATTTCCATGTTCTCACACCCTCGACTCTGTTCCACCACCAAGATAAAATGCTGCTGGCTGCTTATCTTCACAGATACTGTCATCTTTCAGACTATGTGCTATTTGTCACTATTTCTCACATCAAGAATAACCTGGACTATTGCTCTGAATTATTCCATAACAAAATGTAGAAGATAGGAAAAGCCTAAGAAAAACAACTATACAAAATCTGAAGTCACAAAAGTTTTCAAAGTCAATACTGACTTGAATACAACGTAGAAGTGTTTAAGAAGAACATGACATACTCTTGAGTCCTGATTTTTAAACCAAATTACTACGGTTGGTTATAATGTTAAAATTATACCTAGCTCCAGTGGTTACATTTTGAGATGCCTTTATTTTCAGTGGTTTAACATTATTTTCTAGTAAAATATCTTTAAAAATCAACCAATATGAGTGCTTCACTAATATGTAGTTTTCGAACTACTGTGTATTTTTGCTTTGCCTTATTTAGGCACATAGTTTGATTTAAGAAAGGGGTTGAATTAAGCTCAGGTTTTGATCTTAGCCTGAGAAGGTTAGAGTTCAGATGGAACAGCCACTGTTATTTGAAAGGATTATGTTGCTATTTTAGTACCACTACTGGATTCATATGCAGAAAGGTTCTAATAATTTTGAAGTTGTATACATAGTTTCATATTTTAAAGTGTGATACACACTGAATTGTGTTATTTTGTGAGGAATCTGGACTTTTAGTCAAATATTTCTAATATTTCTAATTTCATTTTTTGTGTATACATATTAATTAAACTGAAAATTTTGTCATATACATGAATTTGAAATTATATGTATATGAACATATATATACATATGTATGTGCATTTGTGTAGGACTTGAAATGAATTTATGTATTTTAGGGCAATCTCATGTGCTTTCCAGGCCATGAGGGCATTACTGTTCTGTTCTTTGAAATTTTCTGAATACTCTTTTCTGCAGACAAAATGGGATTGAGGAAAATACTCTAGACAAAGTACAATAAAGCATTTTAGAGACCAATTATAATTTAGTCCAGTAAAAGGTAGAAAATAGATAACTACAAATAATCCTAAAACCTGATGTGCAGTAGTATGTGATTATTTTAATATAATGCTGATGAAATTCCCCATTAGATGGGAATATAGGGAAAATACCATTTTGTATTCCAAATACATTTATATACAATGCAGAATGTAGCAGTATAGCTATTTGATGGATATATGTAATATTGAAAGTTAAATATTGTAATTTTGATAAAATAGTTTTGCATTTACTTCCCTTAAATTTAGTATTAGATATATAAAGTGCAGAGCCTACCTAATAGGGAATAATCAGTAATTGCATATATGACACACACATGCTTGAGCACACACACACGCTTGAGCACACACACACACACACACACTTCCACAGTGTAAGAGCCAGGCTGTATTTGCAACCTTGGGAAATTTAAACTACAGAGAAAAACGTGGCTGTTTCTTTCAAGTAAACAATAATTGTGAGTGCAGAGAGGCTAATCCAGTCAGGTACTAATGCTCATGAAATTGTGTAGAAAGTGAAAAGAATAGTGTAAATTATGGAATAAAGCAAATTCAACTAAAGAGCTTATTTAGTAACAGATTATCAAGAGTCCATCTTCTCTTCTGCTTTTCTCTTTCTCTTCCTTTGTATATAAAAGATGTTGCCTATCTTCCCATCTACAAACTTGAGTTATTTAGAGAAGTGAAACTGAAAGGCAGAAGTCTAGAATTTCCTCAAGGAGTAATATCTCATTTCAAACTATGCCACTTCAAAGATAAATGACTGTTGAAATAGGAAACATAAGTAGTGTAAGGCCTTCAATGGGTAAAATCAGTTATTTGAAATTACTCTAGAAGTTGCAAAATACTTTAGCTTCTAAGATGAGATAAGGGCTAATTAAGAATTTTTTTGCTATATATTTATGGAGCTACTTCTGGTAATACTTTAAAGTAAAAATGTTTAACTTTTAATATCACATTTTTTACGTTTTCTAAAGTTTTATTGTTTCATTCTTACTGAAATTAAAACATTCTTTAAAGAAATGTTTTATTTACTAAAAATAAAGATTCTGCAAAAAACTTATAGATAGCATATATAGTAATCATAAGCAAAAGACAAATTTTAGTTCTGCCAACCTGAGAAAAATTTAAATTAGCCTTCCAAAAGTATTCATTTTCAGTTTTAGAGAAAAAGTTGAATAAGTAAATGGATGTATGTATGCATATGTTTGTGTATGTGTGCCAGTGTGTATACCCAAAATGTCTCTGTGTTTTAGTGCTCACTCTCAAATATATGATATGAATCGTCCAGCGACATATTTAACTCTATACATGAGTAACTTTAATATCTTTCTTTGAAATCTTTTGAATAATATCTAATAAATATAGAAATTCAATGCATGTTTATTACTTATGCATTATAATCTTTTAAATATTAATGTTCCAAATAATCTATATTAATAAATGCTGGATGAAAGAATGCATCTCTTGGGAATCAACACATGTGAACTATTAGTCATCATTTGTCACTTTCAAATAACGTTATTCCATTCTCTAAATCAGTGGCTTCCAAAGTGATTTGTATGTATTTCAGGGGATGTTCCAGAATGTTGTCTACAGGGCAAGAAAAAAAATAGAATTTGCATTTGGATGTATTTTTATATAAAAAATACAAAGTAAGTCTTTAGTAGTTAATTTAAATTTTTTTTCTTTTTTAAATTATATTTTAAGTTTTAGGGTACATGTGCACAACGTGCAGGTTAGTTACATATGTATACATGTGCCATGTTGGTGAGCTGCACCCATTAACTCGTCATTTAAAATTAGGTATATCTCCTACTGCTATCCCTCCCCCTTCCCCCCACCCCACAACAGCCCCGGTGTGTGATGTTCCCCTTCCTGTGTCCATGTGTTCTCATTGTTCAATTCCCACCTATGAGTGAGAACATGTGGTGTGTGGTTTTTTGTCCTTGCGATAGTTTGCTGAGAATGATGGTTTCCAGCTTCATCCATGTCCCTACAAAGGACATGAACTCATCATTTTTTATGGCTGCATAGTATTCCATGGTGTATATGGGCCACATTTTCTTAATCCAGTCTATCATTGATGGACATTTGGGTTGGTTCCAAGTCTTTGCTATTGTGAATAGTGCCGCAATAAACATACGTGTGCATGTGTCTTTATGGCAGCATGATTTATAATCCTTTGGGTATATACCCAGTAATGGGATGGCTGGGTCAAATGGTATTTCTAGTTCTAGATCCCTGAGGAATCGCCACACTGACTTCCACAAAGGTTGAACTAGTTTACAGTCCCACCAACAGTGTAAACGTGTTCCTATTTCTCCACATCCTCTCCAGCACCTGTTGTTTCCTGATTTTTAACGATCACCATTCTAACTGATGTGAGATGGTATCTCATTGTGGTCTTGATTTGCATTTCTCTGATGGCCAGTGATGATGAACATTTTTTCATGTGTCTTTTGGTGGCAATAAATGTCTTCTTTTGAGTAGTGTCTGTTCATATCCTTCGCCCACTTTTTTATGGGTTTGTTTTTTTCTTGTAAATTTGTTTGAGTTCATTGAAGATTCTGGATATTAGCCCTTTGTCAGATGAGTAGATAGCAAAAATTTTCTCCCATTCTGTAGGCTGCCTGTTCACTCTGATGGTAGTTTCTTTTTTGTGAAGAAGCTCTTTAGTTTAATTAGATCCCATTTGTCAATTTTGGCTTTTGTTGCCATTGCTTTTGGTGTTTTAGACATGAAGTCCTTGCCCATGCCAATGTCCTGAATGGTAATGCCTAGGTTTTCTTCTAGGGTTTTTATGGTTTTAGGTCTAATGTTTAAGTCTTTAATCCATCTTGAATCAATCTTTGTATAAGGTGTAAGGAAGGGATCCAGTTTTAGCTTTCTACATATAGCCAGCCAGTTTTCCCAGCACCATTTATTAAATAGGGAATCCTTTCCCCATTGCTTGTTTTTCTCAGGTTTGTCAAAGATCAGATTGTTGTAGATATGTGGCATTATTTCTGGGGGCTCTGTTCTGTTCCATTGGTCTATATCTCTGTTTTGGTATCAGTACCATGCTGTTTTGGTTACTGTAGCTTTGTAGTATAGTTTGAAGTCAGGTAGCGTGATGCCTCCAGCTTTGTTCTTCTGGCTTAGGATTGACTTGGAAATGTGGGCTCTTTTTTGGTTCCATATGAACTTTAAAGTAGTTTTTTCCAATTCTGTGAAGAAAGTCATTGGTAGCTTGATGGGGATGGCATTGAATCTATAAATTACCTTGGGCAGTATGGCCATTTTCACGATATTGATTCTTCCTACCCATGAGCATGGAATGTTCTTCCATTTGTTTGTATTCTTCTTTATTTCGTTGAGTAGTGGTTTGTAGTTCTCCTTGAAGAGGTCCTTCACATCCCTTGTAAGTTGGATTCCTAGGTATTTTATTGTCTTTGTAGCAATTGTGAATGGGACTTCACTCATGATTTGGCTGTCTGTCTGTTATTGGTGTATGAGAATGCTTGTGATTTTTGCACATTGATTTTGTATCCTGAGACTTTGCTGAAGTTGCCTATCAGCTTAAGGAGATTTTGGGCTGAGACAATGGGGTTTTCTAGATATACAATCATGTCATCTGCAAACAGGGACAATTTGGCTTCCTCTTTTGCTAATTGAATGTCCTTTATTTCCTTCTCCTGCCTGATTGCCCTGGCCAGAACGTCCAACACTATGTCGAAAAGGAGTGGTGAGAGAGGGCATCCCTGTCTTGTGCCAATTTTCAAAGGGAATGCTTCCAGTTTTTGCCCGTTCAGTATAATATTGGCTGTGGGTTGTCATAGATAGCTCTTATTATTTGGAGAAACGTCCCATCAATACCTAATTTATAGAGAGTTTTTACCATGAAGTGTTGAATTTTGTCAAAGGCTTTTTCTGCCTCTATTGAGATAATCATATGGTTTTTTCGTTAGTTCTGTTTATATGATGGATTACGTTTATTGATTTGCATATGTTGAACTAGCCTTGCATCACAGGGATGAAGCCCACTTCATTATGGTGGATAAGCTTTTTGATGTGCTGCTGGATTCAGTTTGCCAGTATTTTATTGAGGATTTTCGCATCAATGTTCATCAGGGATATTGGTCTAAAATTCTCTTTTTTGTCGTGTCTCTGCCAGGCTTTGGTATCAGGATGATGCTGGCCTCATAAAATGATTTAGGGAGGATTCCCTCTTTTTCTATTGATTGGAATAGTTTCAGATGGAATGGTACCAACTCCTCCTTGTACCTCTGGTAAAATTTGGCTGTGAATCCATCTGGTCCTAGACTCTTTTTGGTTGGTAAGCTATTAATCATTGCCTCAATTTCAGAGCCTGTTATTGGTCTCTTCAGAGATTCGACTTCTTCCTGGTTTAGTCTTGGGAGGTGTATGTGTCGAGGAATTTATCCATTTCTTCTAGAGTTTCTAGTTTATTTGTGTAGAGGTATTTATATTATTCTCTGATGGTAGTTTGTATTTCTGTGGGATCGGTGGTGATATCCCCTTTATCATCTTTTATTGCATGTATTTGATTCTTCTCTCTTTTCTGCTTTATTAGTCTTGCTAGAGGTCTATCAATTTTGTTGATCTTTTCAAAAAACCAGCTGCTGGATTCATTGATTTTTTGAAGGTTTTCTTGTGTCTCTATTTGCTTCATTTCTGCTCTGATCTTAGCCATTTCTTGCCTTCTGCTAGCTTTTGAATGTGTTTGCTCTTGCTTCTCTAGTTCTTTTAATTATGATATTAGGGTGTCAATTTTGGATCTTCCCTGCTTTCTCTTGTGGGCATTTAGTGCTATAAATTTCCCTCTACACACTGCTTTGAATGTGTCCCAGAGATTCTGGTATGTTGTTTCTTTGTTCTTGTTGGTTTCAAAGAACATCTGTATTTCTGCCTTCATTTCGTTATGTACCCAGTAGTCATTGAGGAGCAGGTTGTTCAGTTTCCATGTAGTTGAGTGGTTTTGAGTGAGTTTCTTAATCCTGAGTTCTAGTTTGATTGCACTGTGGTCTGAGAGACAGTTTGTTATAATTCCTGTTCTTTTACATTTGCTGAGGAGAGCTTTACTTCCAACTATGTGGTCAATTTTGGAATAGGTGTGATGTGGTGCTGAAAAGAATGTATATTCTGTTGATTTGGGGTGGAGAGTTCTGTAGATGTCTATTAGGTCTGCTTGGTGCAGAACTGAGTTCAATTCCTGGATATCCTCGTTAACTTTCTGTCTCATTGATCTGTCTAATATTGACTATGCGGTGTTAAAGTCTCCCATTATTAATGTGTGGGAGTCTAAGTCTCTTTGTAGGTCTCTAAGGACTTGTTTTGTGAATCTGGGTGCTCCTGTATTGGGTGCACATATATTTAGGATAGTTAGCTCTTCTTGTTGAATTGATCCCTTTACCATTATGTAATGGCCTTCTTTGTCTCTTTTGATCTTTGTTGGTTTAAAGTCTGTTTTATCAGAGACTAGGATTGCAACCCTTGCCTTTTTATGTTTTCCATTTGCTTGGTAGATCTTCCTCCATCCCTTTATTTTGAGCCTATATGTGTCTCTGTACGTGAGATGGGTTTCCTGAATATAGCACACTGGTGAGTCTTGTCTCTTTATCCAGTTTGCCAGTCTGTGTCTTTTAATTGGAGCATTTAGCCCCTTTACATTTAAGGTTAATATTGTTACATGTGCATTTGATCTTGTCATTATGATGATAGCTGGTTATTTTGCCTGTTAGTTGATGCTGTTTCTTCCTAGCCTTGATGGTCTTTACAATTTCGCATGTTTTTGCAGTAGCTGGTACCGGTTGTTCCTTTCCATGTTTAGTGCTTCCTTCAGGGCCTCTTGTAAGGCTGGCCTAGTGGTGACAAAATCTCTCAGCCTTTGCTTCTCTGTAAAGTATTTTATTTCTTCTTCACTTATGAAGCTTAGTTTGACTGGATATGAAATTCTGGGTTGAAAATTCTTTCTTTAAGAATGTTGAATAATGGCCCCCACTCTCTTCTGGCTTGTAGAGTGTCTGCTGAGTGATCAGCTGTTAGTCTGATGGGCTTCCTTTGTGGGTAACCCGACATTTCTCTCTGGCTGCCCTTAATATTTTTCCCTTCATTTCAACTTTGGTGAATCTGACTATTATGTGTCTTGGAATTGCTTTTCTCGAGGAGTATCTTTGTGGCGTTCTCCGTATTTCTTGAATTTGAATGTTGGCCTGCCTTGCTAGATTGGGGAAGTTCTCCTGGATAATATCCTGCGGAGTGTTTTCCAACTTGGTTCCATTCTCCCCATCACTTCATGTACACCAATCAGATGTAGATTTGGTCTTTTCACATAGTCCCATATTTCTTGGAGGCTTTGTTTGTTTCTTTTTATTCTTTTTTCTCTAAACTTCTCTTCTCACTTTCTTTCATTCATTTGATATTCCATCACTGATACCCTTCTTCCCATTGATTGAATCGGCTACTGAGGCTTGTGCATTCGTCACATTGTTCTCGTGACTTGGTTTTCAGCTCCATCAGGTCCTTTAAAGACTTCTCTGCATTGATTATTCTAGTTAGCAATTCATCTAATTTTTTTTTAAGGTTTTTAACTTCTTTGCCATGGGTTCGAACTTCCTTCTTTAGCTTCGAGTACTTTGATCATCAGAAGCCTTGTTCTCTCAATTCGTCAAAGTCATTCTCTGTCCAGCTTTGTTCCTTTGCTGGTGAGGAGCTGTCCTTGTTTGGAAGAGGAGATGCACTCTGATTTTTAGAGTTTCCAGTTTTTCTACTCTGTTTTTTCCCCATCTTTGTGGTTTTATCTACCTTTAGTCTTTGATGATGGTGACGTACAGATGGGGTTTTGGTGTGGATGACCTTTCTGTTAGTTTTCCTTCTAAGTCATGACCTTCAGCTGCAGGTCTGTTGGAATTTGCTGGAGGTCCACTCTAGACCCTGTTTGCCTTGGTATCAGCAGCGGAGGCTGCAGAGCAGCAGATATTGGTGATATCCGCCAACAATGTTGCTGCCTGATCATTCCTCTGGAAGTTTTGTCTCAGAGGAGTACCCAGCCGTGTGAGGTGTCAGTCTGCCCCTACTGGGGGGTTCCTCCCAGTTATACTACTCAGGGGTCAGGGACCCACTTGAGGAGGCAGTCTGTCCATTCTCAGATCTCCAGCTGCATCCTGGGAGAACCACTACTCTCTTCAAAGCTGTCAGACAGGGACATTTAAGTCTGCAGAGGATTCTGCTAAGACCATTGGAAAAGCTCAGTATTAGGGTGGGAGTGACACGATTTTCCAGGTGCCATCTGTCACCCCTTTCTTTGACCAGGAAAGGGAATTCCCTGACCCCTTGCTCTTCCCAGGTGAGGCGATGCCTTGCCCTGCTTTGGCTCACACTCGGTGTGCTGCACCCACTGTCCTGCACCCACTTTCTGACACTCCCCAGTGAGATGAACCCTGTACCTCAGTTGGAAATGCAGAAATCACCTGTCTTCTGTGTCGCTCACGCTGGGGGCTGTAGACTGCAGCTGTTCCTATTTGGCCATCTTGGCTCCACCCCCTTAATTTAATATTTAAAATGTTCACATTTTCATCCTTATTACTTGAATCTGTAATAATGATTCTTAAATCATTATTATTATTATTATTATTATTATTATTATTATTATTATTGGGCACATTGCTACATGGAATAAGGACTAAATTTACCTTCTTCCCTTGCAGCTAGATGATGATATTCTGATATATGAGATGCAAGAAGATGTGATGTGTGGGACATCCATGAAAACTGATTAATGAGACCTGACACAAATTAGAGATCACAGCCTACTACCACCACCACCATTTTTCTCCTCTAACTATCCTATTTTTTGTGACCTCTAGCATGACCATGATGCCAAGATCTCTAGCAGCCACATTGTGACCTGAGGTAAATCTGAGTATGAAAATTATGTGCCAGGATGGTGTAGAAAGAGGATTTTGGATCCTATTGACAATGAGAAGTTGGTCTTCCTACCTCTGAACCTCTTTATGTAAGAGAAGTAACCTGAATTTTTAAAGCCATTATAATTTCCATTTTCTCTTACCAGCAGACAAACACAGTCCTAATTTTATAGAGACCTAATGTATTCTGGACCTCAGAAAGAGATTCCTGGAGGAAATGTTGTTTTCAACCACTAACTCTGCTCATTTCAGGCCAAGTAAGGCCTTATATAGGCAGTCTGACCACTGCCAGAGTTGCATAAGTTCTAAATTTGAAATAAATCCCTTACTCTATATCACTTATAGTGGATCTGCTTCTCTGATAAAACCCTCACTAAGACAATTATCATTGACTGTTTGTTTTTCCTGTGGTAAATATATCATTACTGTATAAAAATAACCTTTTAACTATTAACTCAGTTGGCCCAGTTTAGCATCTTTTCCATCTTCCATTATCAATTTGATAATTACCATCTTTCATAATAATTCTCCTTCAGGATTCACAATACATGTATGTTGAATGTTAAGGCCATACTTCATTGATATTTACACTTTGACTCAATGGTGAGAGAAGCTGCAGTATCTGAGAAATAAATAATTTGTATGTGGGAGGTGTGATTTTATAGCTAGATTATAGTTCAGTTTCTAGTTATTTCTTTTAGAGAGATTTCTCTTGGTCATATCTTTATAGAAGTATTAAGAGATTTAGTTTTGCTGTTATTATATTAATAGTTTAAAAAGCAGCTTTCTATGAGGTATGGCATCAGGTGAAATTATTCTTGCTGTGTTCTCAAATAATCTTCATGCTAAGTTTTTGGGCCTCATTGCAGCCCCTGAACACTTATGCCTCTTTGTACCTCCTCTGTATGATGTAGTGAATTTTTTGGACCTTGGAATCATACACAGGCTTTCTTGGCTGTTTTATACCAAAGGACTTTCACTAAATTCCTGAGAAAAATTTAGCACATCCGATGCTGTTTTCCAATGCTAACCTTGGAGTTTGCAATTTGCCCAGACAAAAATACCATAGCTGATGGTGATGATGATGTCAATATTTTTTTAAAATGCAATTTAAAAAATGGTTCAATATAAGTTATCTCATTTAATCCTCTGAACAATCTTGTGATGTGATTTTGAACAGGAATATCAAGACCTCAGGATCTGGCATCAAATTCTGGGGTTTGAATATTACTTCTATCACAAACTATTTATATTACTGCTTATATGCCCTCCAGTAAGTGACAGTCTTTCTATTCCTTCTTTTCTCCACTTGTAAAATCAGAAAAATGACAATGATGAGAGCACCAAACTTATGAGCTTGTGAAGATTAAATGTGGGTATGGGTTTTTATTAGTTTGAGAGACATTATATTTCCATTTGTTGTCACTCTCTCCCTTCCATCAGGGTAGGACCTTTCTTCAGTGCATTACTTTGTCCCCTGAACTTAGAATGGTACCTGGAATATCGTTGGTGCCCAATAAGTACTTGCTGAGTAAATGACTGAATAAATAAATGTAATCTGTCAATATTTTCATCTGAAGATACGATATCTGTTTTTTACCTTAGTTTTTCAATCATCTAAAAGGTAGTATGCACATTTGAAAGGTAGTCATTGTTATTTTCTTACACCAGTACTTGCACTTTTACAATATGTAGCAATAATCATAAACAAAGTGTCATGAGAGAGAGAATGAACTTAAATCTGTAATTGCAATTTTTCTTCACCATAGCCTCCATTGTGTGTCATGTGTCTTGGCTATGTCAGGATGGAAAGCATTGCTTTTTTCTATTTACAGGACCAGAATTAAATCCATGTTTCTTGGCTGACCATTTGGTTAGTTTTTGTTTGTTTGTTTTTTCATGAAATGTTTATGGTGGTTGGGCTGGAATAGGTATAACATTTTATTTATTTATACTCAGCTGAAACTAAGAGTAACATATACATCATAGTATCATTTAAGTGGAATATTTCAGACCAAGAAGTGGGGACAAGAACAATAGTTGTGTAATAATACGATGTACCATTTTACATTATTTGAAAGTGCTGATGCCTGCATCTATAGCATGAGTCAAGAAAGAGAGGTAATGAAAGAGATTTCAAATGACTATCAGATAGGCTTTAGTATTACATAGGATAAGACAGACAGGATTGGTCAGGGTATGCTGGAAAATATTTTTTATCTTATTTTATTGGCTTTATTTAAATTTTATAAAAATTCAAACCATACAGTACTTTATAATAAAATTGGCAGCCTTTCCTACTGTATCTCTATTCCCAGTGCAACTGTGGAAGTGGCACTGATAGGTATGGTTTTAGATACTTAGAAATTTTTCTAGACACACACACACACAATTTATATGCAAAATACTCATATGCATGTCATATTTTTTCTTTATTTGACAAGTTATAATGGATATTCTTTTATAGCATACATAGCAATGGACTCATCTTTTTAAAGACTGCCTAGAATTCTGTAGTTATAATACAGTCATTCATGTAACTAATTCTCTAAAAACAAGCCAGATGATATTTACTAAGAACTTACTATGGATCAGGCACAGCTCTAATAGTCTAACCTCATCTAATCTCAATATGTTCATGAGTTAGGAATGGTTGCTATTTCCATATGTTCCCAATGAGGAAACTGAAGAACAGAGTTTAAATAATGTGTCCTAAATTACAGAATTATTAAACTGGTACTGGAATTATGCAAAGATAATCAGGCATCAGAGTTTGTGATGTCAACTGTTATGTGATACTGCAATGAACATTGTGTAAACCTTTGTAAACTAGTGTGACACGGTTTGGCTGTGTCCCCACCCAAATCCCATCTTGAATCATAACTTCTACAATTCCCATGTGTCATGGGAGGAACCTGGTGGTAGGTGATTGAATTATGGGGGTGGGTCTTTCCTGAACTGTTCTCGTGATAGTGAATGAGTCTCACAAGATCTGATGGTTTTAAAAATAGGAGTTTCTCTGCACAAGCTCTCTCTTTGCCTGCCTCCATCCATGTAAGATGTTGACTTGCCCTTTCTTGCCTTCTGCCATGATTGTGAGACCTTCCCACTCATGTAGAACTGTTAAGTCCATTAAACCTCTTGTTCTTCCCAGTCTCGGCTATGTGTTCATCAGCAGCATGAAAATGGATGAATATATACTGTAACAATTTTTAAACAATAGATGTGGATTGCTGGGTCAGAGATTTTGCATATTTTATATTTTGATAGTTTTTTCCATTTTGCCCTCTAACAAAAGTGGAAACAATGTGAACTTACTCTAACAGAATATGAATGCATTCCTGGCCAGGTGTGGTGGTGGTTTACACCTGTAATCCCAGCATTTTGGAAGGCCTAAGTGGGTGGATCACTTGAGGTCAGGAATTCGAAACCAGCCTCCTGGCCAACATGGTGAAACTTGAAAAAAAAAAGAATATGAAATGTGAAGGCATTCCTTTCTCTAAACTATTGCCAATGTCAGATACATTTATTCCTAAAATCAGGTCTCTGAAAATTGGTGGATAGTAAAATTAAAGGTTATATCAGAATGGTTTCCTTTAAAAAATACAGAAAAAATACATCCTAATAAGTTGGAAAAAAGTGTTCTCATCATGTTACATCAATCTAAATTGTAAAGGGTTTGTCAAAAACAAATGTATAGGATTTTATTCATTAAAAAAATCATTATGGCTAATGCTTAATGGAGCAGATGAGTTTGGTTTATTAGTATTGTCTGCCATTTTCTCCAAGATCCCAATTTTTAAAATTCTTTCATATGATGTCTTGGTTCTACTCAGCAAACTTTTGGACTTTTGTTATTTTTTGTTAGTTTGTCATATATTTTTTAGATAGTGCTTTTGCTATAGTAAAACATGCCTTCAATGTGGTAAGATATGTCTTTTAAAAAATTATAGCCAATAAATATCAACTTGACTTCAACGGTTGATCCCCTTTTGCTACTTCTGTACCTGGAAAACTCCTTGAGATGGTAACTGGTGTTTTCCAGTCATGCTTATGCTTAAGAACAAAAACAAAACAAAATTGAAAGCAACAAAGCAAAAGAATTTCACTCATGAAATACACAATTTTAATTTTGCAAAGCATCAGCTGTGAATGCTTCAACAGCATGGCATTGTGTGAGAGTGTGGAAACATGCCAGGGGATTGAATTTGCATTCTTTTTTTTTGTGGGGGGGGGGGTGATAAGATGTATTTTAATTTGACTACGGGAATGTTCCCTGAATTAAATTTCCAGGCTCTAACTAAAAAGCTTGGACTTTTGGTTTAAAGTTTGTTATTCTAAAATGAATGTCTTGGAGGAGCCAAGATGGCCAAATAGGAACAGTTCCAGTCTACAGCTCCCAGTGTGAGTGACGCAGAAGATGGGTGATTTCTGCATTTCCATCTGAGGTACCAGGTTCATCTCACTAGGGAGTGCCAGACAGTGGGCGCAGGACAGTGGGTGCAGCGCACCATGCATGAGCCGAAGCAGGGCAAGGCATTGCCTCACTCAGGAAGTGCAAGGGGTCAGGGAGTTCCCTTTCCTGGTCAAGGAAAGGGGTGACAGACGGCACCTGGAAAATCGGGTCACTCCCGCCCAAATACTGCGCTTTTCTGATGGGCTTAGGAAATGGCGCACCAGGAAATTATATCCCACACCTGGCTCGAAGGGTCCTACACCCACGGAGTCTTGCTGATTGCTAGCACAGCAGTCTGAGATCAAACTGCAAGGTAGCAGCGAGGCGGGGGGAGGGGCATACGTCATTGCCCAGGCTCACTCAGGTAAACAAAGCAGCCAGGAAGCTCAAACTGGGTGGAACCCACCACAGCTCAAGGAGGCCTTCCTGCCTCTGTAGGCTCCACCTCTGGGGGCAGGGCACAGAAAAACAAAAAGAAAGCAGTAACCTCTGCAGACTGAAATGTCCCTGTCTGACAGCTTTGAAGAGAGCAGTGGTTCTCCCAGCACGCAGCTGGAGATCTGAGAACGGGTAGACTGCCTCCTCAAGTGGGTCCCTGACCCCTGACCCCTGAGCAGCCTAACAGGGAGGCACCCCCCAGTAGGGGCAGACTGACACCTCACGTGGCCGGGTACTCCTCTGAGACAAAACTTCCAAAGGAACGATCAGACAGCAGCATTCGTGGTTCATGAAAATCCACGGTTCTGCAGACACCACTGCTGATACCCAGGCAAAGAGAGTCTGGAGTGGACCTCTAGCAAACTCCAACAGACCTGCAGCTGAGGGTCCTGTCTGTTAGAAGGAAAACTAACAAACAGAAAGGACATCCACACCAAAAACCCATCTGTACATCACCATCATCAAAGACCAAAAGTAGATAAACCACAAAGATGGGGAAAAAACAGAGCAGAAAAACTGGAAACTCTAAAAAGCAGAGCGCCTCTCCTCCTCCAAAGGAACGCAGTTCCTCACCAGCAACAGAACAAAGCTGGAAGGAGAATGACTTTGACGAGTAGAGAGAAGAGGGCTTCAGATGATCAAACTATCTGAGCTACAGGAGGAAATTCAAACCAAAGGCAAAGAAGTTGAAAACTTTGAAAAAAATTTAGACGAATGTCTAAGTAGAATAACCAATACAGAGAAGTGCTTAAAGGAGCTGATGGAGCTGAAAGCCAAGGCTTGAGAACTACGTGAGGAATGCAGAAGCCTCAGGAGCCGATGCAATCAACTGGAAGAAAGGGTATCACTGATGGAAGATGAAATGAATGAAATGAAGCAAGAAGGGAAGTTTAGAGAAAAAAGAATAAAAAGAACCAAACAAAGCCTCCAAGAAATATGGGACTATGTGGAAAGACCAAACCTACATCTGATTGGTGTACCTGAAAGTGACGGGCAGAATGGAACCAAGTTGGAAAACACTCTGCAGGATATTATCCAGGAGAACTTCCCCAGTCTAGCAAGGCAGGCCAACATTCAGATTCAGGAAATACAGAGAATGCCACAAAGACACTCCTCTAGAAGAGCAACTCCAAAACACATAATTGTCAGATACACCATAGTGGAAATGAAAGAAAAAATGTTAAGGGCAGCCAGAGAGAAAGGTCGGGTTACCCACAAAGGGAAGCCAATCAGACTGACAGTGGATCTCTCGGCAGAAACTCTACAAGCCAGAAGAGAGTGGGGGCCAATATTCAACATTCTTAAAGAAAAGAATTTTCAACACAGAATTTCATATCCAGCCAAACTAAGCTTCATAAGTGAAGGAGAAATAAAATACTTTACAGAGAAGCAGATGCTGAGAGATTTTGTCACCACCAGGCCTGCCCTAAAAGAGTCCTGAAGGAAGCACTAAACCTGGAAAGGACAACCAGTACCAGCCATTGCAACAACATGCCAAAATGTAAAGACCATCGAGTCTAGGAAGAAACTGCATCAACTAACGAGCAAAATAACCAGCTAACATCATAATGACAGGATCAAATTCACACATAACAATATTAACTTTAAATGTCAATGGACTAAATGCTCCAATTAAAAGACACAGACTGCCAAATTGGATAAAGAGTCAAGACCCATCAGTGTGCTGTATTCAGGAAACCCATCTCACGTGCAGAGACACATATAGGCTCAAACTAAAAGGATGGAGGAAGATCTACCAAGCAAATGGAGAACAAAAAAAGATAGGGGCTGCAATCCTAGTCTCTGATAAAACGGATTTTAAACCAACAAAGATGAAAAGAGACAAAGAAGGCCATTACATCATGGTAAAGGGATCAATTCAGCAAGAAGAGCTAACTATCATAAATACATATGCAACCAATACAGGAGCACCTAGATTCATAAAGCAAGTCCTGAGTGACCTACAAAGAGACTTAGACTCCCACACAATAATAATGGGAAACTTTAACACCCCACTGTTAACATTAGACAGATCAACGAGACAGAAAGTTAACAAGGATACCCAGGAATTGAAGTCAGCTCTGCACCAAGCAGACCTAATAGACATCTACAGAACTCTTCACCCCAAATCAACAGGATATACATTTTTTTCAGCACCACACCACACGTATTCCAAAATTGACCACATAGTTGGAAGTAAAGCTCTCCTCAGCAAATGTAAAAGAACAGAAATTATAAAAAAGTGTGTCTCAGACCACAGTGCAATCAAACTAGAACTCAGGATTAAGAAACTCACTCAAAACCACTCAACTACATGGAAACTGAACAACCTGCTCCTGAATGACTACTGGGTACATAATGAAATGAAGGCAGAAATAAAGATATTCTTTGAAACCAATAAGAACAAAGACACAACATACCAGAATCTCTGGGACACATTCAAAGCAGTGTGTAGAGAGAAATTGATAGCACTAAATGCCCACAAGTGAAAGCAGGAAAGATCCAAAATTGACAGCCTAACATTACAATTAAAAGAACTAGAAAAGCAAGAGCAATCACATTCAAAAGCTAGCAGAAGGCAAGAAATAACTAAAATCAGAGCAGAACTGAAGGAAATAGAGACACAAAAAACCCTTCAAAAATTAATGAATCCAGGAGCTGGTTTTTTGAAAGGATCAACGAAATTGATAGACCACTAGCAAGGCTAATAAAGAAAAAAAGAGAGAAGAATCAAATAGATGCAATAAAAAATGATAATGGGGATATCGCCACTGATCCCACAGAAATACAAACTACCATCAGAGAATACTACAAACACCTCTATGCAAATAAACTAGAAAATCTAGATGAAATGGATAAATTCCTCGACACATACACTCTCCCAAGACTAAACCAGGAAGAAGTTGAATCTCTGAATAACAGGCTCTGAAATTGTGGCAATAATCAATGGCTTACCAACACAGAAGAGTCCAGGAACAGATGGATTCACAGCCGAATTCCACCAGAGGTATAAGGAGGAGCTGGTACCAGTCCTTCTGAAATTTTCCAATCAATAGAAAAAGAAGGAATCCTCCCTAACTCATTTTATGAGGCCAGCATCATCCTGATACCAAAGCCGGACAGAGACACAACCAAAAAAGAGAATTTTAGACCAATATCCTTGATGAACATTGATGCAAAAATCCTCAATAAAATACTGGCAAACTGAATCCAGCAGCATATCAAAAAGCTTATCCATCATGATCAAGTGGGCTTCATCCCTGGGATGCAAGGCTGGTTCAACATATGAAAATCAATAAATGTAATCCAGCATATAAACAGAACCAAAGACAAAAACCACATGATTATCTCAACAGATGCAGAAAAGGCCTTTGACAAAATTCAACAACCCTTCATGCTAAAAACTCTCAATAAATTAGGTATTGATGGGACGTATCTCAAAATAATAAGAGCTATCTATGAGAAACCCACAGCCAATATCATACTGAATGGGCAAAAACTGGAAGCATTCCCTTTGAAAACTGGCAAAAGACAGGGATGCCCTCTCTCACCACTCCTATTCAACATAGTGTTGGAAGTTCTGGCCAGGGCAATTAGGCAGGAGAAGGAAATAAATGGAATTCAATTAGGAAAAGAGGAAGTCAAATTGTCCCTGTTTGCAGACGACATGTTTGTATATCTAGAAAACCCCATTGTCTCAGCCCAAAATCTCCTTAAGCTGATAAGCAACTTCAGTAAAGTCTCAGGATACAAAATCAATGTACAAAAATCACAAGCATTCTTATACACCAATAACTGACAAACAGAGAGCCAAATCATAAGTGAACTCCCATTCACAATTGCTTCAAAGAGAATAAAATACCTAGGAATCCAACTTACAAGGGATGTGAAGGACCTCTTCAAGGAGAACTACAAACCACTGCTCAATGAAATAAAAGAGGACACAAACAAATGGAAGAACATTCCATGCTCATGGATAGGAAGAATCAATGTCATGAAAATGGCCATACTGCCCAAGGAAATTTATAGATTCAATGCCATCCCCATCAAGCTACCAATGACTTTCCTCACAGAATTGGAAAAAACTACTTTAAAGTTCATATGGAACCAAAAAAGAGCCCGCATCACCAAGTCAATCCTAAGCCAAAAGAACAAAGCTGGAGGCATCACACTACCTGACTTCAAACTATACTACAAGGCTACAGTAACCAAAACAGCATGGTGCTGGTACCAAAGCAGAAATATAGACCAATGGAACAGAACAGAGACCTCAGAAATAATGCCGCATATCTACAACTATCTGATCTTTGACAAACCTGGCAAAAACAAGCAATGGGGAAAGGATTCCCTATTTAATAAATGGTGCTGGGAAAACTGGCTAGCCATATGTAGAAAGCTAAAACTGGATCCCTTCCTTACACCTTACACAAAAATTCATTCAAGATGGATTAAAGACTTAAACATTAGACTTAAAAGCATAAAAACCCTAGAAGAAAACCTAGGCATTACCATTCAGGACATTGGCATGGGCAAGGACTTCATGTCTAAAACACCAAAAGCAATGGCAACAAAGCCAAAATTGACAAATGGGATCTAATTAAACTAAAGAGCTTCTTCACAGCAAAAGAAACTACCATCAGAGTGAACAAGCAACCTACAAAATGGGAGAAAATTTTCGCAACCTACTCATCTGACAAAGGGCTAATATCCAGAATCTACAATGAACTCTAACAAATTTAGAAGAAAAAAACAAACAACCCCATCAAAAAATGGGCAAAGGGCATGAACAGACACTTCTCAAAAGAAGACATTTATGCAGCCAAAAGACACATGAAAAAATGCTCATCATCACTGGCCATCAGAGAAATGCAAATCAAAACCATAATGAGATAGCATCTCACACCAGTTAGAATGGCAATCATTAAAAAGTCAGGAAACAACAGGTGCTGGAGAGGATGTGGAGAAATAGGAACACTTTTACACTGTTGGTGGGACTGTAAACTAGTTCAACCATTGTGGAAGTCAGTGTGGCGATTCCTCAGGGATCTAGAACTTGAAATACCATTTGACCCAGCTATCCCAGTACTTGGTATATACCCAAAGGATTATAAATCATGCTGCTGTAAAGACACATGCACACATATGTTTATTGCGGCACTATTCACAACAGCAAAGACTTGGAACCAACCCAAATGTCCAACAATGATAGACTGGATTAAGAAAATGTGGCCCATATACACCATGGAATACTATGCAGCCATAAAAAATGATGAGTTCATGTCCTTTGTAGGGACATGGATGAAATTGGAAATCATCATTCTCAGTAAACTATCGCAAGGACAAAAAACCAAACACTACATGTTCTCACTCATAGATGGGAATTGAACAATGAGAACACATGGACACAGGAAGGGGAACATCACACTCTGGGGACTGTTGTGGGGTGGGGGGAGTAGGGAGGGATAGCATTAGGAGATATACCTAATGCTAAATGATGAGTTAATGGGTGCAGCACACCAGCATGGCACATGTATACATATGTAAGTAACGTGCGCATTGTGCCCATGTACCCTAAAACTTAAAGTATAGTAATAATAATAATAAAATAAAAAAATAAAAGAATAAATAAAATGAATGTCTTTATAGTAAAGGAAAAAACATTCATGTCTTCAATGTAGGAATCCAAATATCATAAATTATGCATTAATTTAAAGGCTGGTTTATTGTCAATCTTTTTAACATTTAACAAATCAGTGACAAATGATGTTTAATTTATATATACCTTATCAGTGGTGATACACATCACTTATCGTCTATTTATCCATCCATTTATTTATTTTTTATTTATTAACCATATTAATTTTTCTTCCAGGAGATTACTGTTTTTATCCTTTCCTTTTCCCTTTCTTGTTTTTTTCTTATTAAAAACTTTGTATTGCTTATGGAAGTCTTAGGCATAGAAGGAAGGACTAATTACTGAGAACAGAACAAGGTGGGCACAAGAATCCCCTCTAAAGACAGAACTAAGGCAAGAATGAATGTTATCCTCATGTGTGGCTTGAGAACCAGCCTGGTGGTGAGTGGAGGTGAGAGATTTCAGACATCAAGAAGGTGGTCACCACTCTGCTCCTCCAGGCCTTCTAAGATATGGAAAAGCTGCTGTGACAAAGAAGCCATGCTCTGTCGGACCCGGGCTGCAGACTTGATATGTCAAGTGGTACAAGGCACTTTGACATGTAGGGTGTGGAGAAACTGCAGTCTTCAGACTTCATCCTGCAAATCAGATGGGCCTGATGAGCATTTGACCAGTGCAGTTACACAGAGCCCTACGCTCAGAAAGATGCTGAGTCTGGTTTAACTCTGCTGTTATTATCTGAACATTCTTAACAACTTTTTCTTTGACTTGTGCTTTCTAAGCGGAGTTTAATGGGATAATGGAACATGCACATGAGCAGAGGAGATACATTCAGGGCACATGTACACTGTGCTTCATTGACACTCCACTTGCAGATTGCCTTTGCAATGCGCCATATGCACAGAATTTCAGTGGACCACTAGGCTTGGGAATTCAGTGAGACTTAAAGTAAATAAAAGGTAAGCATTTTATATATGGGACTGAGTAAGAGGAGGGCGATGGAACAGGACACTGACAGCTTTTAGAGCCAGTGTATTCCTTTGAACACAACCTTGCTTCAAATGCAGAAAGAAAGCAGTGGCCTTTCATGATATCTGAATAACCAAAGAAGCCTATCACACCCTTTCTTAATTAAGTTGTGTTCTTATATTGGCCAAGCACTTACATAAAAAATGATGACACAGAAGGAAAGGGAAAAATAGGACAGCCCATAGTTCCTTTTCCTTTCAGTCTTTCCTTACTTGCCTGTAGCAAAAGGTAGAGAGTGTTGGTAGAATGTGCATGTATCGAGAAGTAAAATAAAAACTGTTGCACTGCTTTGGTGCAAAATTTCTTCTTATTTGGTAAGAGGAAAATACACATGCATGTATGAACTATGAAATATAAATTGTATAATTTCAGTAATTATACATATAAATTAAATGCTCTTATATCAGCATCTAAATGTGGTATTACACAATACAAAGATGAATGGTAAAATTCTTTGAAGTAATCAAAATTTTCTTCTTCACTTAGAATGACATTAAATAGCAAATAAAAGAGACATGACAAAACAATGCGGAGACTGTGGGAGAAAGGTAACAGCTTGATAGTTTAATACGTTTAGTGGAACTTTTTTTGTGCTTTTTGAATAAGGGGCCCCACGTTTACATTTTAAACTGGGTCCTGCAGATAACGGAGCTGTCTCAGCCCAGTTGATTGACGTCCTGGAGAGGATCCCTCAATGGCAGAGAGCTTGGTGACATGTTCTAGATGTTGCTTCAGGCGTTTTTGTTTGACTGTGTTTCTTGACTCCCTCATTGTGACAAACTTCTCCAGATTCTCTCAGGGCTTTTGAGGCCAACTCATTCACCCTCATTACCATTTCCCTGGCCTATCCCAAACTTATGCTGTTGCCTTGTTTCTCCAAGAAAGGCCTCAGCATTTCCAAAATGCTTTTCAAAGCATCACCAGGACAATAGAACTCTTTTTTCTTGGCTATGGAGTCCTGCCGAGCCACAAACAGATGGAAAATATAATTCATCCCCTCAAAGATCTGGAAGATACTAAGTGCCACAGCATTTGCTCTGCACCTGGCTCTTCTATGGACCCGATCATCCAAATGAACTTACGGGTCACTTTTTGGGTGTATTTGTGCCAGTGATTTTGCTGATGGGTCTATTTGTCCTTTTATTTCTGGTTCACACGGGAGCTCATTATGGTAGTTATAAAATTAGATTTGTGGTGTTTGGAACCTAGCAAAGAGATCCATGAAATTGCAATAGACTACTTAATTATCCAAATTTTTAAGACTAACCTTAATTCATTTATGTATTGTTTCAACGGCACCGCATCTCACATTTTTTTTTCAAGTGGGTATTTTATATTTTGTGCTGATTAACCCCTTGTAAGTGATACATTGCACATATTTTCTCCTAATCTGCATTTTGTTGTTACTTTGTGGCATCTTTCAACATGTATAAACTTTCTTTTAAATTTTGTGTAATGAAAAAGTTTAGTCTTTTTCTGTATTTATTTATTAGAGATGGAGTCTCACTCTGTCACCCAGGCTAGAATGCAATGGTGCGATTTCCACTGGCTGCAGCCTCTGCCTCCTAGGTTCAAACAATTCTCCTGCCTCAGCCTCCTGAGCAGCTGGGATTACAGGTGCCCACCAACATGCCCAGATATTTTTGTATTTTTAGTAGAGATGGGGTTTTACCATGTTGGCCAGACTGTTCTTGAACTCCTGATCTCAAGTGATCTGCCTGCCTCAGCCTCCCAAAGTGCTGGGATTACAGGCATGAGCCACTGTGCCAGGCCTCTGTATTCTTAAATTTTATGCCTATGAAGGCTTTTCTATACCAAAAATAACTTTAAAATTCTTCTATAGCATTTGAACAATGTTATAGTTTTATCCTTAGAACTCTAATGAATTAGAATTTATTGTCTGATAAATGTATAAGAGAAACATCTAAATTTACTTATCAAACTAGATAGATTCTTAAACAAACAGCTACTTATTGGATAATCTAACTCTTTTTAACTGTTTTGAAATATGATATTTGCTATATGCCAAATTCTTGTGTGTATATATGCCTTCTTTTTCTCTCTATTCTTTCATTAGACTATTTGCTTTTTCTTGTACTTATATCACACTGTTGAAGTTATTACAACTATGTAGTATATTATGATATCTAGTAGGACAAATTCTCCTTCAATATTCTTCAAAAATTCCCTGGTTATTGTCTTGATTTACATTTTACAGATATTTTAAGATCAATTTTTATAATAAAATTCTTTTGGAATTTAAATAGAAATTGTATTAAATTTAAAGATTTACTTGGGGAGATTTGGCATCTTTGTAATGTTGAATACTTTCCATCTTGTAATACCTTGCCATTTTATTGGATCTTAGAAAATTTTAACTTTTCCTTCACAACTTTAGTTAAATAAATTTATAAGTATACCCTTATTTTATCTTTGTTAGAGAAATTTTAAAATAAGTATTTGTCATTTATTTCTGTAAATTAAAAAAGATGTAAATTTGTCTTATAACTGGCCACTTTCTTAAATTATTTCATTTATTCCAATAGTTTTTCTACTGATATTCCAGGCTTTTCTATGTAGGAAATCACATAAGTTGCAATTAATGAAGATTTTTGTTTCTCTCTAATATCTAATTTAAGTTCTTATTTGTCAGGACTTCCATGTAATGATCATAGTACTTGATTTTAAACAATAGGATAAGTCAGACTCTGGTTAATTTTGACAAAACATAAAAAATAGTTCAAAGGAAAACTATCGAACCACATTTGGAAAACAAGTACACTAAGCAGTCAGAACCAAATGCAAAATGAATCCATCTGGTGAACATATTACTGCTATTGCTATTGAACAGCTGGCATTCCCAGCACCACAATACTGCCTTTTTGTTCCTTGGGAAGCCACAGTGCCTTCTCTTCTGTCCTTGCTTCATTGCACTATTTCCAATTCAAGGTTGTGTTTGAATATCTGACTGGCTAAGCCCAGGTCATATGAACATGCCAAAGTGGCAAGGGAAATTGGGAAAAGTGTGTTTTTCCACAAATCAGAGTTCTTCTATTTGTGGGAAATTTTCCAAATCATAGGATCAAGGTTTACATGTTGAGCAGAAAAAAAAAAAATTAACAAAAACATTTCATACCCTTTAAAATATATTGAATAGTAATGGTATGATTCATTTTGTTTCTTACTTTCATTGAAATTTCTATTGTATTTTACCCTTAAATATGTTTTTGTTGTTTATCCATACTATAATAATATGACAGAACTTTCCTTTTATTTTTATCTTACTGAAGAGTTTTTGTTGTAACCTTAATAAAAAATGGATGCTAAATTTTTATCAAATATATTTCCAGCATGTATGGAGATAATTATACATTTTCTCTATTAATATAAAATAGCAAATTGCATGAATATATTTCCTAATGTTGAATTATTTCCTTGTATTTTAAAATATATCCCACTTGACCTTATGCTCTATTGTTAAGTCAATATTCAATGTTTACAGTATTTGGCCTATGGAACTATTTTTCACAGCTGATAATTTTAGTGTATTATGAATATTTTTGTTCCCGCCTTTTATTTATCTTCATGCTTTTTCTTTTTGTGTGCTTCCATTGCTATTTCCTCCACACACCTCCAATCATTCAATAGCTTTTAAGTACACTTTTCAATAAGGTAAATCACATCAGCTAAACAGACATTTCAATTATTTTCTTGGAAACAGTCTCTTGGAAAGCCCCTTTCTGAGGGTCTGGATTGATTGCATTCTAGGCCAGAAATGGAGCTATCATTCTAGGACTTTCGTTTTCTGTTATGCTTTGAATTCCCTCTGCCTCTCTTCTGGCTTGGATCTGTTACTTCTGGCCCCATCCTCTTATCTGATGTTTTGCCTTGTTTTGTCCTAGTGAATCATGAGGTCAGGTTCAAGGGACAAAGGCAGAGGCATGCACAGGGGAGCCCTCAGCAAGTCACATGGCTCCAATGTGAGCTGAATGTGCTCTATTTTCTGGAGCCTATTTATCATCCTGGCATCTCTCTTCAACATAAGATGATTCCTATTCCTATATCCTTCTCTTTAATTTGATTTACTCTCTCCGGTTTAGGGAATACATTCCCCAGGAGCTTGCTGAGAAAAAAGATGCATGGGAATTTTTTTTGAGACAGTTTATATTTTAATATGTTTTTATTCTATCCTCATATTTAACTGACATTTCAATAGGGCCTAGGTTGGAAACATTTTCTTTCAGAATGTTGGAGGTATTTCTTTTCCATTAAGGAAGTTGAAGCCATTTTAATTTCTGACCATTCCATATTCCTTCCCCCTTCTATAAAACCTGTGTGACTTTCTCCTTCTCCACAGAGTTCTGAAATTTCACAGTGATGTGCTTTGCCATGGGTCAGTTTTTATCCATTTTGCTGAGAACCTTGCAGAAGCCCTCACTTTGAATTGCCTTCAGTTTAGTGAATTTTTGAGTTATTCATTGTTGATTTTTGTCCCTCTATTTTCTTTATCTTTCTGGAATTTCTGTTATTTGGATGTTGGGCCTCCTGGACTAACCCACTGATACTACCTTTTTTCTGTTCTCATAACCATCTCTTTGCCTTTCTGTTCTAATTTCGGTGAGATTTCCTCAACTGTATTTTCTGAAATGTCTATTTCATTTATCCTATGATGTTTTAAAATCTGATCTCCTTTTTTTCCCCTGGATGTCCTCGTCATAGTTCTTCTCGTAGTTGCAATGTAATCTTTTACTCTCAGGATTTTTATAATAATTTCTTGTAAAATTTCTTCTCTCTGTATATTTATTACTAACAAATCATGTCTCTTCTGTTTTGGTTTCTCTTTCCATATTAAATAATTGTTTGGGGTGTTTGGCAATCTTTAGTTGTTTATTTTGTTTAAGATCAAGGAGATTAAAATTTTATTTTAATCATTCTGAGCAAGTGTGTGGGACTTTTTGACTTTGAACTTCACTTGAAGGTTATCTTAAGTAACATGCTTTTGAGGACCCTTGGGCTGCTCATATGCACTTGAAAATATTCCTTCAATGTCCTCTCTCAAGAGTAAAGGTAATGGTCATTTAATAAAGGCTTCAGTACTCAGCATTCGTTGTGTGTTTAAACACTAGTCTTTTTATTTTCAGTACATTTCCTGTATGGTCAACCTCCCCATGATGTCACACTGGGCCCTGTGCTTGGAAGGGCCTCATGCTTAATTTAATTATCTGCTGCTGCCATCTTGAAATTGTTAGTAATTTTTGAATGATGGACTCACATTTTAATTTTGCACTGAGTTGCACAAACTATGTATCCAGTCCTGGGTACCCGTATCATCAAGTCTGAAGTTCTAAGACTAAAGACCTTTGGTTTTTACCCTCTCCAGTTTTCTCCGAGGGTGGGAGAGGGACATTTGTCCAACAGCATAAAATGAAAGTAGGGACTCCACTGTTTGTAATTTGAACTTCACACAATTTTCCTTATTCTAGCACTGAATTTCACTCTTCTTTCCTCCCCTTTCCAATAAGGCAGCTGTGCCTAAATCTAGCTTTCCATGGATACCAAAGTTGCAACCTGGGTAGTTTCCTCTACCACTCCAAAATGTGGCTGGTGACTGAAATCCAGACTGCCTGTTGGTAAGCCATCTTTGATTCTCCTGTGAAAAATGTTCCTCTCTATCAACAGTGGGATGAGGTCCTTGAATGGTGATCCCACACTGTGTGTCTAATAGAGCACCTTGATCTTCCATGCCTCTTTGTGTAATCAAGGGAGGTATTAGGAAACACATGCTTTTCTTTTTTGTGAACACATACCTTGTAAGTTTTGCCATTAAAATCTGTTCATTAACCCATTAGAGTGACTTGGTAATGTTCTTCCTGAGCTCCACTTTACAACAAGACACAGCTCCAAATGGATTCATTTTGCACATTTTGGTCAAGGAAAAAATATTACTTTCATATAATATATAACAATAGTAACAACACCAACAACAATCATTACAACAAGTATTTACATATTTTATTTTATAGTTTGTAGCACTGCCAAAACTTTTCTTTTGAACTGTACAACACTGGCAGACTGTATTGTTTACCTACTTTACAGGAAAGGAAACTCCTGTAAAGTAAGTAAATGGTTAAGTGATTATTCTCGGTTTCACAAAAAGAGTAAGTGATAGTGCTGAGGCTCAAAACTGCTGCTTCCAAACATCCTCTTACCAGTGTGAATATGCAAACCTGTCTCATCTCCAGGCAGAAGATTTTCTGTTTTTGTTTTTCATGACCTCTTTACTTTTGCTAATTTTCTTCACTGAGGGAAGCTAATCTATCTGCCTTTCCCTTTTGGTTATCAGTTTCCATAAACAACAATGCCTAGGTTTATTACTTAACCACTTTGTTTACCAACCATTAATTGTCCAGAATAAAAACCAAGCTGCTTTGTATCAGAAACTAGAATAATGTTGCTATTTATTTCTTTATTTTGCCACATCTTCAAGAAGACATATAGAGCACCTACCATGCTGGTAAAACTAAAGTATGTTTTCTCTGCAACCTTTAATGAAACAGAAATGAGGATATTAGTAACACTATAAATGGATAAATATCTAATTTTAGAGTGTGCTACTCTGTTCTCAGGCTGCTAATAGAGACATACCCGAGACTGATTAATTTATAAAGGAAAGAAGTTTAATGGGCTCCAGTTCCACATGGCTAGAGGCATCAAAATCATGCTGTAATATGAAGGAAGAGCAAAGGGAAGGCTTACATGGAGTGAGGCAACAGAGAGTGTGCAGGGAACTCCCCTTTATAAAAACCATCAGGTTTTGTGAGACTTATTTGCTATCACAAGAACAGCATGGGAAAGACTTGCCCCCATGATTCAGTTACCTCCCAGGGGGTCGCTTCCATGACACGTGAAAATTATGAGAGTTACAATTCAAAATGAGATTTGGGTGGGGGGCACAGCCAAACCATATCATTCCACCCTTAGCCCCTCCCGAATCTCATGCCCTCACATTTCAAAACAAATCATGTCTTCCCAACAGTCCACCACAGTTTTAACTCATTTCAGCATTAACTCAAAAATCCACAGTTCAAAGTCTCATCTGAGATAAGGCAAGTCCCTTCCACCTATGAGCCTGTAAAATCAAAAGGGAGTTAGTTACTTCCTAGATACAATGGGGGTGTAGGCATTTGGTAAATACACCTGTTCCAAATGGGAGAAATTGGCCAAAATGAAGAGGCTACAGGCCCCATGCAAGACAAAATTCCAGCAGGGCATTCAAATCTTAAGGCTCTGAAATGATCTCCTTTGACTCCATGTCTTACATCCAGGTCACACTGATGCCAGAGGTGGGTTCCCATGGTCTCAGGCAGCTCTGCCCCTGTGGCTTTGCAAGGTATAGCCCCACTCCTGGCTGCTTTCATGGGCTGGTGTTGAGTGTCTGTGGCTTTTCCAGAAACATGGTGCAAGCTGTCGGTGGATCTACCATTCTGCGGTCTGGAGGATGCCGGCCTTCTTCTCACAGCTTCACCAGGCAGTGCCCCAGCAGGGACTCTGTGGGGGCTTCAACCCCACATTTTCCTTCCACACTGCCCTAGCAGAGGTTCTCCATGAGGGCTCCTACCTGCCACAAACTTCTGCCTGTAAAGGCAGGCATTCCCATACATCCTCTGGAATCTAGGCAGAGGTTCCCAAACCTCAGTTCTTGACTCTGTGCACCTGCAGGCTCAACACCATGTAGAAGCTGCCAAGGCTTAGGGCTTGCACCCTCTGAAGCCATAGCCCAAGCTGCACCTTGGCCTGTTTTAGACATGGCTGGAGCAGCTGGGATGCAGGACACCAAGATCCTAGGCTGCACAGAGCAGGGGGCCCTTGGCCCAATCCACAAAACCATTTTTTCTTCCTTGGCCTCCAGTCCTGTGATGGGAGGGGCTGCTGGGATGGTCTCTGACGTGCTCTGGAGACGTTTTCTCCATTGTTTTGGTGACTAACATTTGGCTTCCCGTTACTTATGCAAGTTTTTGCAGCTGGCTTGAAATTCTCCTCAGAAAATGTTTTTGTTTGTTTATTTGTTTTTCTACTGCATCATCAGGCTGCAAATTTTCCAAATTTTTATGTTCTGCTTCCCTTTTAAACATGTTTCAATTCCAAACCATATCTTTGTGAATACATAAAGCTGAATGCTTTTAATAACATCCATGTCACCTCTTGAATGCTTTGCTGCTTAGAAATTTCTTCCACCAGATCCCCTAAATCATCTTTTTCAAGTTCAAAGGTCCACAAATATCTAGGGAAGGGGCAAAATGTTGCCAGTCTCTTTGCTAAAGTACAGCAAGAGTCACCTGTACTCCAGTTCCTAACAAATTCCTCATCTCCATCTGAGACCACCTCAGCCTGGACATTATTGTTCATATCACTATTAGCATTTTGATCAAAGCCATTCAACAAATATCTAGGAAATTCCAAACTTTCCCACATTTTCCTGTCTTCTGTGTCCTGCAAGTCTCTAGGAAGTTTCAAACTTTGCCATGTTTTCCTGTCTTCTTCTGAGCCCTCCAAACTGTTCCAACCTTTTTCTGTTACCCAGTTCCAAAGTCACTTCCACATTTTTTTGGTATCTTTACAGCAGCATCCCACTCTACTAGTACCAATTATTTATTGTATTAGTCTGTTCTCATGCTTATAATAAAGATACCTAACACTGGGTGATTTATAAAGGAAAGAATTTTAATGGACTCACAGTTCCACATAGCTGGAGAGGCCTCACAATCATGGCAGAAAATGAAGAAAGAGCAAAGGGAGGTCTTACATGGCAGCAGGCAACAGAGTGTGTGCTGGGGAATTTCCTTTTATAAAACCATCAGATTTCATGAGACTTATTCAGTATCATGAGAAAAGCATGGGAAAGACCCACCCCCATGATTTAGTTACCTCCCACTGGGTCCCTCCCATGACCTGTGGGAGTTATGGGAGCTACAATTCAAGATGAGATAGATGAGATTTGGTGGGGACACTGCCAAACTATATCATAGAGACTAGTTACTTTTATATAACTTTTTTTTTTTTTGAGTCAGAGTCTTAATCTGTTACCCAGGCTGGTGTGCAGTGGTGCAATCTTGGCTCACTGAAACCTCCACCTCCCAGGTTCAAATGATTCTCATGTCTCAACTTCCCTAGTAGCTGGGACTACAGGCATGCACTGCCACACCCAGCTAATTTTTGTATTTTTAGTAGAGACTGGGTTTCACCATGCTGGCCAGGCTGGTCTCAAACTCCTGACCTCAGGTGACCCACCAACCTCAGCCTCCCAAAGTGCTGGGATTACAGGTGTGAGCCACCACACCTGGCCAAGTTTTATATAACTTTTAAAATTTATTCCTTTAAATATTTAAACACAACTGTTAAAATGCCATGTAAAATAATATATTGACTCTATTTGGAGATAAAACTGCATAAATTCAAACACTTGAATAAAAATTAAGACTTTCACATCATTATTGTGAAAAATGTCCTCCTCATCCCTTTCCCACTCCCTCCTTGTAAAGGTTGAGATAAAATTTCATGTATAAGGACTTTTATATCTCTGATTTCACCTTCTATAAATTGCTTCATCTCTAAAATGCAAACACAAACTGGATCTCATGAGATTCAGTTCAGCTATGAAATATTTACTTCCATCAGGCTAACTATTCAGATTACTTAATTTTCCTTTTCTGTTTGTGTGTTTTGTTAGCCACCATTCCACATAACTTTAATTAGATATATCACTTCTTTGAGGCAGTTTGAAATAAGGGAAACAGCACAGAATTTTTAAAAATAATACATGAGTAATTTATTTAAGTGACTGGATTACTTTATTCCCAAAAATGTGGAAGCAGCGTGATATTCTGAAATAAAGGATGGTTTAATTTGAAAGGAAAGTGAGTCATAATAATTAGATTAAGTTTGCAAATGCATCAAAGATTCAAACATAAGAAGACAAAGCAAAAAATACTAGAAGAAAACATAAAATATCTTTACTTTAAATGTTTTTTAAACAAAAGCATAAGATTTGTTTTTTAAGGCTGGTTAATCTGAAAACCAAAATAATTTTTGGTTATAAACAATGTCACAAGACAAAAGACAAATTGGGAAATGTTACTAAGGAACTCTAAATAGAAAATGGAAATCAATGACCTGAACAGTTAGTTCATTAAAAAAGAAATACATATGCTATTATGTGCATTTGTCCTACTTTTATATTTGGGAAATTAACTGAATTATGTGTGATGTCTTCCCACCCAAGTATAACACAACTACTTAAGCTAGCCTCTGACAGTCACACAAGCACCCATTTAACACCCTTATTCATCAGTTAACATGAAGAGAAAATGGGCTCTGAGGATTTTCCAGTTTTGCTAATATAGGTGATAATAAAGGCCTCTGATTTTTGTGAGTTGCAGTGATTTCAAGGTTCACTTCCTGATACAAAAAGGCTTGGTGCTTTCTGTAGGATAATTTATTTTTATTTTTATTTTTATTTTTTTCTTTTTTTGGCCTCCCAGGTTCAAGCAATTCTCCTGCCTCAGCCTCCCGAGTAGCTGGGACTACAGTCATGTGCTACCACGCCCAGCTAATTTTTGTATTTTTAGTAGAGATGGGGTTTCACCATGTTGGCCAGGATGGTATTGATCTCTTGACCTCATGATCCTCCCACCTCAGCCTCCCAACGTGCTGGGATTACAGGCATGAGACAATGCACCTGGTCGATAATTTTAATATTTTTGGATTCCTGGCATCTTATGCTTGGTGGACGCAATGGCTACAGTGGTAATATACTCTTTAGGTCAGTTTTTTGTTTGTTTGTTTTTTTAAATGTAGTTTTACAATGTTGATCTTGGCTATGTAGAATTATTTTCTTCTCTAGCCCATATGATGATTTGTTTTCTTGTCTGGCTAAACTTGCCAGAATGGATTGTCTTCTTTGCTATTAACAGTCACAAGTGACATGGTAGTATGTAGGTAGTGAAAGAAGAAGGACATCCACAAAATTAAATGTGGGATTATTCTAGGGGCATAGTGGAACTTCTTCATCAAAGAGAAAGGCCAGGATGATACAGCTAATGGCATTTGAAAGCATGTAATGACCAGGCAACTAATTCAAATATCATTTAGAATGAAGTGTCATTGATGGGAAGGCCTTAGATTTCAAGTGCTGCTAAGGGTGGAACTTGCTAAGCTTGAGAATTCAAGGACTGTGAGATTGTCTGCTTATTTCCAACTGTGCTGGAGAGCCTAAAGAAGAGTATGATCATGTAAAGTTCTGAAATCTTGGCTAAAGTCAGTGTTAGAAAAACAAAAGTTTCCATCTAATGCTGAATAATATTTTGTCATTTGCAGCTTCAAAACTTAAAGTAACTAATAATCAAACTAAAAGATTTAACTTTGGAGTTTTTGCATTATACAGAGTTGAATTTGAATACTCTGTAGTTCTCTTATGTGAAAGGAAATGTATTTACTGAGAGAGAGTTGGGCTGTGAAAATTGGAATGGGCACATATGGGAGGCAGTTCCAAGATGGTAGAATAGGAACAGCTCTAGTCTACATCTAGCCCCCAGCATGAGTGATGCAGAAGACAGGTGATTTCTGCATTCCCAACTGAGGTACAGGGGTTCATCTCACTGGAGTTCATTGGCAGTGGGGGCGGGACAGTGGGTGCAGCCCATCAAGTGTGAGCTGAAGCAGCATGAGGCATTGCCTCACCCGGGAAGTGCAAGGGGTCAGGGAATTCCCTTTCCTAGCCAAGGGAGGGGGTGACAGACGGCACCTGGAAAATTGGGTCACTCCCTGCACTTTTCCAATGGTCTTAGCAAGTGGCACACCAGGAGATTATATCCCCCGCCTGGCTTGGAGGGTCCCATTCCCATGGAGCCTCACTCATTGCTAGCACAGCAGTCTGAGATCAAACTGCAAGGTGGCAGTGAGGCTGGGGGAGGGGCACCCGCCATTGCTGAGGCTTGAGTAGGTAAATAAAGCCCACCACAGCTCAAGGAGGCCTGCATGCCTCTGTAGAATCCACCTCTGAGGACAGGGCATAGCTGTACAAAAGGCAGCAGAAACTTCCGCAGACGTAAAGGTCCCTATCTGACAGTTTTGAAGAGAGTAGTGGTTCTCCCAGCATGCAGCTGGAGATCTGAGAACAGACAGACTGCCTCCTCAAGTGGCACCCGGACCCCCAAGTAGCCTAACTGGGAGGCACCCCCTAGTAGGGGCAGACTGCCACCTCACACAACCAGGTACCCCTCTGAGATGAAGCTTCCAGAGGAAAGATCAGGCAGCAACATTTGCAGTTCAGCAATATTCTCTGTTCTGCAGCCTCCACTGCTGATACCCAGGCAAACACGGTCTGGAGTGGACATCCAGCAAACTCCAACAGACCTGCAGCTGAGTGTTCTGACTGTTAGAAGGAAAACTGACAAACAGAAAGGACATCCACACCAAAACCCCATCTGTACATCACCATCATCAAAGAACAAAGGTAGATAAAACCACAAAGGTGGGGAAAAAACAGAGCAGAAAAGCTGAAAATTCTAAAAATCAGAGCACATTTCCCCCTCCAAAGGAATGCAGCTCCTCTCCAGTAATGGAACAAAGCTGGATGGAGAATGACTTTGATGAGATGAGAGAAGAAGTCTTCAGATGATGAAACTTCTCTGAGCTAAAGGAGGAAGTTTGAACCCAATGCAAAGAAGTTAAAAACATTAAAAAAGATTAGATGGATGGCGAATTAGAATAACCAGTGTAGATAAGTCCTTAAACGACCTGATGCAGCTGAAAACCATGGCAAGAGAACTACGTGATGAATGCACAAGCTTCAGTAGCTGATTCGATGAACTGGAAGAAAGGGTATCAGTGATTGAAGATCAAATGAATGAAATGAAGTGAGAAGAGAAGTTCTGAGATAAAAGAGTAAAAAGAAGTGAACAAAGCCTCCAAGAAATATAAGACTATGTGAAAAGACCAAATCTTCGTCTGATTGGTGTACCTGAACGTGATGGGGAGAATGGAACCAAGCTGGAAAACACTCTTCAGGATATTATCTAGGAGAACTTCCCCAACCTAGCAAGGCAGGCCAACATTCAAATTCAGGAAATACAGAGAATGCCACAAAGACACTCCTCAAGAAGAGCAACTCCAAGACACATAATTGACAGATTCACCAAAGTTGAAATGAAGGAAAAAATGTTAAGGGCAGCCAGAGAGAAAGGTCCGGTTACCCACAAAGGGAAGCCCATCAGACTAACAATGGATCTCATGGGAGAAACTCTACAAGCCAGAAGAGAGTGGGGGCCAACATTCAACATTCTTAAAGAAAAGAATTTTCAACCCAGGATTTCATATCCAGCCAAACTAAGCTTCATAAGTGAAGGAGAAATAAAATACTTTACAGACAAGCAAATGCTGAGGGATTTTTGTCACCACCAGGCCTGCCCTACAAGAGCTCCTGAGGGAAGCACTAAACATGGAAAACAACAACTGGTACCAGCCATTGCAAAAACATGCCAAATTGTAAAGACCATCAAGGCTAGGAAGAAACTGCATCAACTAATGTGCAAAATAACCAGCTATCATCATAATGACAGCATCAAATTCATACATAACAATACTAACCTTAAATGTAAATGGGCTAAATTCTCCAATTAAAAGACACAGACGGCAAATTGGATAAAGAGTCAAGACCCATCAGTGTGCTGTATTCAGGAAACCCATCTCACATGCAGAGACACACATAGGCTCAAAATAAAGGGATGGAGGAAGATCTACCAAGCAAATGGAAAACAAAAAAAGGTAGGGGTTGCAATCCTAGTCTCTGATAAAACAGACGTTAAACCAACAAAGATCAAAAGAGACAAAGAAGGCCATTACATCATGGTAAAGGGATCAATTCAACAAGAAGAGCTAACTATCTTAAATATTTATGCACCCAATATAGGAGCACCAAGATTCATAAAGCAAGTCCTTAGAGACCTACAAAGAGACTTAGACTCCCACACAATAATAATGGGAGACTTTAACACCCCACAGATCAATGAGACAGAAAGTTAACAAGGATATCCAGGAATCGAACTCAGCTCTGCACCAAGTGGACCTAATAGACATCTACAGAACTCTCCATTCCAAATCAACAGAATATACATTCTTCTCAGCACCACATAATACTTATTCCAAAATTGACCACATAGTTTGAAGTAAAGCACTCCTCAGCAAATGTAAAAGAACAGAAATTATAACAAACTGTCTCTCAGACCACATTGCAATCAAACTAGAACTCAGGATTAAGAAGCTCACTCAAAACGGCTCAACTACATGGAAACTGAACAACCTGCAACTGAATGACTACTGGGTACATAATGAAATGAAGGCAGAAATAAAGATGTTCTTTGAAACCAATGAGAACAAAGACACAACATACCAGAATCACTGGGACACATTTAAAGCAGTGTGCAGAGGGAAATTTATAGCACTAAAAGCCCACAAGAGAAAGTGGGAAAGATCTAAAATTGACACCCTAACATCACAATTAAAAGAATTAGAGAAACAAGAGTAAACACATTCAAAAGCTAGCAGAAGGCAAGAAATAACTAAGATCAGATAAGAACTGAAAGGAGATAGAGACACAAAAATCCCTTCAAAAAAATCAATGAATCCAGCAGCTGGTTTTTTGAAAAGATCAACAAAAATTGATAGACCGCTAGCAAGACTAATAAAGAAGAAAAGAGAGAAGAATCAAATAGATGTAATAAAAAATGATAAAGGGTATATCACTACCAATCCCACAGAAATACAAACTACCAAAAGAGAATACTATAAACACCTCTACGCAAATAAACTAGAAAATCTAGAAGAAATGAATAAATTCCTTGACACATACACCCTCCCAAGACTAAACCAGGAAGAAGTTGAATCTCTGAATAGACCAATGACAGGCTCTGAAATTGAGGCAATAATTAATAGCCTACAAACCAAAAAAAGCCCAGGAACAGATGGATTCACAGCCGAATTCTACCAGAGGTACAAGGAGGAGCTGGTACCATTCCTTCTGAAACTATTCCAATCAATAGAAAAAGAGAGAATCCTCCCTAACTCATTTTATGAGGCCAGCATCATCCTGATACCAAAGCCTGGCAGAGACACAACAAAAAAAGAGAATTTTAGACCAATATCCCTGATGAGCATCGATGCAAAAATCCTCAATAAAATACTGGCAAACCGAATCCAGCAGCACATCAAAAAGCTTATCCACCAAGATCAAGTTAGCTTCATCCCTGAGATGCAAGGCTGGTTCAACATACACAAATCAATAAACGTAATCCATCACATACATAGAACCAAAGACAAAAACCACGTGATTATCTCAGTAGACACAGAAAAGGCAGAGATAAAAATGATTACAGCATAATGGGTTAAGAGTTGGGATAAGGATGTATGCAAGATGCTGGGGAAGCCGGAGAAGAAGCTCTTGAAGAAGGACAACCAGAAAAGCTTTCCAAAGGGAAGGGTGCATAGGAATTGAACCGAGAACTACTCATCAGAGCTTTGGGCAAAGCTACATCAAACATGTAAAAAGAAGATGAAAAATGAAATAATCAGAGGTAAAATCAATGAGGTACATAGGACAGCCAACTTTGGAGGAACTTCAAGTATCTCTTGATAGTTCGAGTTTTGGTGCGGGAAGATGTCGAAAGGTAAGTTAAAGAGTTATTTAAGGCCCACATAATGAAAGATCTTAGATACTGGATATCATCCTTATAGCAGGGATGAGCCATCCTAAAGCTAGAAAGTAGAAATAAAATTCTGTGTGGGGACTTCAAATGGCAATTCTAAGGCGTAGCATGAGGCTTTATACTTATTTAAATTAAGGCAGGCCACAGAAAGTCCTAGAGCAAATAGCAATGCATTCAGTTGTCCTTTATTCAAAAATCCAAATAACAGTGCTGTAACTAACAGTTACTGGTATTATTATTATTATTGTTTTACAGAAGGTCTGGAAGTAAGCATCTCAGGGCTGGCAGCTCAGTTCAATAATGTCATCAAGGAACCTGGTTTCTTCTTTTCCTTCCACACTCATTCTTGACATTGTTCGGGTATAGAACCATTTTTTAGTTTTTTTTTTTTTTAAGTGTAAGTAGAATCACACTCTATTAGTTTTCTATTGCTGTGCAACAAATTATCACTAACTTAGTGGCTTAAGACAACAGAAATTTATGATCTGACAGATTTTATGAGTAAAGAGTTCAGGCACAGTTACTGGGTGTTATGCTCGAGTCTCAACAGACTGCAATCAAGGTGTTAGCTCAGGCTGTGATCCCATCTGAGACTTTGGGGGCCTCTTCTAAGTTCATTAGTTGTTGGCAGAATTCAATTCCTTGGGGTTGTAGGACTAAGGTGCTCAGCTTTTGAAGGTTACCCCTTTTCATAGGCATTTCACAATGTGGCTATTTACTGCTTCCAGACAAGCATGGGGGCCTCTCTCTCACTAGGAATTTCTCCATCCAGTTGGCTAAAATGGAGTCTTATTGTGTCTGGAATTGGTGGGTTCTTGGTCTCACTGACTTCAAGAATGAAGCCTCGGACCCTGGTGGTGAGTGTTACAGCTCTTAAGGTGGTGCGTCTGGAGTTTGTTCCTTCTGATGTTCAGATGTGTTCTGAGTTTCTTCCTTCTGGTGGGTTCATGGTCTTGCTGGCTCAGGAGTGAAGCTGCAGACCTTCACGGTGAGTGTTACAGCTCTTAAGACAGTGCATCTGGAGTTGTTCATTCCTCCCGGTGGTCTCGTGGTCTTGCTGGGTTCCGGAGTGAAGCTGCAGATCTTCGTGGTGAGTGTTACAGCTCATAAAAGCAGCGTGGACCCAAAGAGTGAGCAGTAGCAAGATTTATTGCAAAGAGTGAACGAACAAAGCTTCCACAGTGTGGAAGCGGACCCGAGCAGGTTGCCAATGCTGGCTCTGGCAGCCTGCTTTTATTCTCTTATTTGGCCCCACCCACATCCTGCTGATTGGTAGAGCCGAGTGGCCTGTTTTGACAGGGTGCTGATTGGTGCGTTTACAGTCCCTGAGCTAGATACAAAGGTTCTCCACGTCCCCATCAGATTAGTTAGATACAGAGTTTTGACACACAAGTTCTCCAAGGCCCCACCAGAGCAGCTAGATATAGAGTGTCGATTGGTGCACTCACAAACATTGAGTTAAACACAGGGTGCTGATTGGTGTGTTTACAAACCTTGAGCTAGATACAGAGTGCCAATTGGTGTATTTACAATCCCTGAGCTAGACATAAAGGTTCTCCAAGGCCCCACCAGAGCAGCTAGATACAGAGAGTGGATTGGTGCACTCACAAACCTTGAGCTAAACACAGGGTGCTGATTGGTGTATTTACAATCCCTGAGCTAGACATAAAGACTCTCCATGTCCCCACCAGACTCAGGAGCCCAGCTGGCTTCACCTAGTGGATCCTGCACCAGGGCTGCAGGTGGAGCTGCCGGCCAGTCCTGCGCTGTGCGCTTGCACTCCTCAGCCCTTGGGCGGTCGATGAGACTGGGCACTGTGGAGCAGGGGGCGGTGCTGGTCCGGGAGGCTCGGGCTGCACAGGAACCCACGGAGGCCGGGGAAGGCTCAGGCATGGCAGGCTGCAGTTCCAAGGCTTGCCCCGCAGGAAGGCAGCTAAGGCCCAGCGAGAAATGGAGCACAGCACCGGTGGGCTGGCGCTGCTGGGGGACCCAGTACACCCTCCGCAGCCACTGACCCAGGTGCTAAGTCCCTCATTGCCCGGGGCCAGCAGGGCCGGCTGGCTGCTCCGAGTGCAGGGCCTGCCAAGCCCACGCCCACCCGGAACTCCAGCTGGCCCGCAAGTGCTGCACACAGCCCCGGTTCCCGCTCACGCCTCTCCCTCCACACCTCCCTGCAAGCTGAGGGAGCCGGCTCTGGCCTTGGTCAGCCCAGAAAGGGGCTCCCATAGTGCAGTGGTGGGCTGAAGGGCTCCTCAAGTGCCACCAAAGTGGGAGCCCAGTCAGAGGAGGCACTGAGAGGGAACGAGGGCTGTGAGGACTGTCAGCACGCTGTCACCTCTCATTATCAAATATAACCTAATCAAGGAGTGACTACCCCAGTATATTCACAGGCCTTTCTATGCTCAAAGGGAATGAATTATATAAGTTGTGATATATATTATATGATATATATTATATACAGCAGTAATCTTGGGGGTCATCACAGAATTTTGGCTATACCATCCCAGGACTTGTGTTTGTATTTTTGTTTTTTTTTTTTATTGTTTGTTTTCTACTAATGGATCATTTGTAAATTCTCACCTTTATTTTATTACTTTATATACCACTTGTGGCTGACATATGTTTTTCTCTAGTGATTTTTAATCAAATATTATTTTTAATAAGACATAACCTACATCCACATTCCCAATCTCATTTCCACATTTTCCCAGCACCTTGTCACTCACTTTTATTCAATGATGGCTCATATACCGAAAGGAAAAACAAATAAAGATGTTTGTAGCATTAAACAAACACAACACAAATTTCGGCTAAAAAAAGGTGAGTTTTTCCTATACTAATTTTTAAAGAATAAAAGCAGAGTTAACCACAAATGCTATATATAAGGCTATTTGTAGGTAATAAAAAAGAATTGTAATCTCACTGGGACAGAAGATATACTCACACGACAAACTGAATAACAATAAAATATTTAAATTGAAATTTAAGCCAACAGTGGAGGTCAGGTCACAAGGCTGTAAGTTATTACTTGTCACATTAATCCTATAGACAAACTAAGTTTAGAGGAGAATGTTTGGATTATTTATTGTGGTGACATAAACTACCCCAAAACTTAGTGGCTTACAACAACAGCAATTTTATTATACCTCACAGTTAAGTGGGCCAGAAGTTTGGGCAGAGCTTAGCTGGGCAGTTTTTCTGCTTCAAGTGGCATCAACTGGATCACTGTGTGGTACTCAGCTGGAGGCTTGCCTTGCCTGAAAGCTCCAAGGAGCGTCCCTCACAAATCTGGCACCTCACTGCTCCTTGGCCTCTTGGCCTCTTTCTTTCTCTCTCTGCATGGCATCTCATTGTTAAGGGATGTTAAGGGATGTTAAAAAAATTGAAAATGAAGGCCACTGTTTGGATATACTCTCAGAACAACCAACCATAGCCATAACAAAATGTAAGCTATGTTGATCTCTCTGAAATGCAAGTTCTAACCATAAACAAACCATAAGCCTTTCTTCCATGTCAGTATGATAAATTTGAGTCAATCAGCTACAGAAAAATAAGCTTCTACAGCTCTATGTGCTCTAAAAGGGATACAAATTTATAGTAGCCACTTACAATAGAGTTCAATGTCTCTCTCACTGATGCTTTATAAGCTGTGCTGTAACACTTGTGAGATGAGCTTCTTAACACGTTCAGTTTGAAATCTCCTGGTTTTTGAAATGTTCTTTGGTAGGCACAATAAACTCCTATATTCCTGTTTTACTTGATCTGATTTTATTTTTAACAGTTTCTGGTGTCAAATATGAGATGTAAACTAGATCCTTGATAAGTAGATTGTTGATAAGCTCCAAGACAGGTGAGTAACCTGATGCCGGTACCACAGAGCCCATGGTGCTCACTGCTTTCTTGCTGAACACGGAGCTCAAGGGTACTCTCAGATCCAAGATGTACTCTCTGCATTTCAAGCTCTTCAACTTTGTTGTGCATACCTGTGCTGTGTGAAAGCTTCTTGATAAGTCATCCTTACATTTGCAAGAGGATAAAACCCATTATTCCCTGTGTCTGTAACAGGAGACAACCTGCCATTCCATTGGGTTTCTGGACAGCAGTACAAGTACAAGATTCCCTATAGATACATTCATTTGAGGAAATCCAAGGCAAAGATACTTTCCACCTGGTCCATAATCCCTTCCCTACATATGTCTGAACCCCCTGCTTCCTATATTTATAACAGCTATGGATCACGATCTTGTGTCTTTTTTTTTGTGTGTGAAAAATTGGTGATCTTTATAAAGGACAATGTGAGGCTGCAGTGGCTGCTTTGGGTAACCTTCAACTTAGATAAAATAGTTCATTCTGAAAGCACTCTTGAAAAGAAATGACCCAGAACCTCTCAAAGACAATGGAATGCAGTCTTGGACTGGTAGGCAGAGGCTTTTAATAGACAGAATGACTCACAATAACCTCTCCAAAATAATCTCTACTGGTGTGCAAATAATAATTTAAAAGCTAAAACTCAGCCTGACTCTATAGACCCTTCTGTGAATCCCTCTGCTTCATTTTATCCTCCAGTAATTGATTTTTCTGAACCTACTAACCCCTTTAATGTTTTGGCTTTTCCACCTAAACCTCTCCACACTAGCTTCCTTTAAAAAATTAGACACTCAAATGAGCCAGGAGTACCTGTTAGAGCTGAATTTAAACCTTGGCCTTACACAGAACTCTGAGCCATTATAAAAGATTTTGTGATATTAAAAAAATACAACCAAATTTACAGAAGAATTTAAAATTTTTTTAGGGGGTCTATAATCCATGCTTTTAATTTGTACCAATTTGTCAATGTGATAGTATGCACAGGAGGTAACTGAAAATGGCTAGAAAAACCAAACCCCATTGGGATAATCCATCTGGATATACTGAGGATCCTGCTAAGCATGCTTTTAAATAAGAAATGCAGATGGACAGGAAAATGGGCCAACAACTATTAGACACTATTCCTGAAGCACTTCCAATGAGAATAGGCTGGACCATAATCTAACATTATAAACAAATGAATCTGTTGCAGACTATCATGCCCATCTGTAGACAGTTTTCACATAATGCTGTCTTTAAAGGCCAGGATGATAAAGTGGCTAAAACAGCCCATTTTGTTCCTGGATTGCATACAGAAATAAGTGACTTACTGAAGAAATCTAAACTAAAATGAGGGGTAGTTCTCACAGAACTGCAACATCTAGTAGAGCATGTTGAAGGGATATTAGATTAAAAAAAGAAGCCATCAGGTAAGCAAACCAATGACTCTACAATTACAACAGTTGCAGGGAATTTGGTCTATCTTTAAAAAATCTTATTCCCAATTTTGCCTCCATTGATAAAGATGCTTAGGGTTACTGGAAGCAGAAGGGGCATTGGCAAAAAGACTGCCCATAGCTAAATAAGGGGAAATTGGAACAACCCCCACATCCTTTTAACAACTCTTAATGTTGATAGGGTTCCAAGGAATTGCCCAGTAAGCTACTTCCAATAATTACTTTAAATCAATGAGAAGAAACCAAACATAAATGAAGAAATTTGTACTGTGACACCAGAACAACTCTTTCTACTTTGGAATCCACCATGATATATCAGGAACTTTCTCAGGATAATAAAAGTTATCTCAATGGCAGGAGTTTCAAATCAAGTTCAAAGTGTTCCTTTAACAGAATTCTCAACTGTCACCTTTGGCCCTTTTTCTGAGAATCATGCCTTCCTTTTATGTGATATTGCTCCTCTGAAGCTCCTAGATAAAGATCTGTTTTCCTAAATAGGAATCTTAATAAAATTATCCTCTGGAGAAATGACCCTAGAAATCTAAGATTTATCAGACAATAAAACATTGTGGGTTCTCCAAGTCCAAATTGACTATCCTAAGGAAACTATTAAGTTCCATAAATGTATAGATATACATCTTTCTGAAATTCCTGATACTCTATGGGCTTCTACTCTACAGATGTGGGAAAGATCAAACACATCAGATCCATTGAAATTGTGATTGACCTTTTTAAATTGCTTTATTTTCTTTTTCATTTTTTGTTTTTTGAGACGAAGTCTCACTCTGTTGCCCAGGCTAGAGTGCAGTGGTGTGATCTCGGCTCACTGCAACCTCGCCTCCCGAGTTCAAGTGATTTTCCTGCCTCAGCCTCCTGGGTAGCTGGGATTACAGGTATGTGCCACCATGCCCAGCTAATTTTTGTACTTTCAGTAGAGATGAGGTTTCACCATGTTGGCCAGGCTGGTCTCAAACTCCTGACCTCAGGTGATCTTCCCACCTTGGCCCCCCAAAGTGCTGGGATTACAGGTGTGAGCCGCCGCACCTGGCCTAAACTGCTTTGTAAGTTACCCTGATACCCTCTGAAAACTGAAGCAACGCAGGGACTCACTTTAAGAGTAGAGGACCCAATAAATCAAGGAGTAATTATTTTGTATACTAGTCCTTGTGACCTTCTTATCTTACCTGTCAAGAAAACCCATGGACAGGGATGGAGATTTGTACAGGGCCTTAGAGCTACAAATAAAATTATGTATCAAGATTCCCGGCCAGGCGCTGTGGCTCACACCTGTAATCCCAGAACTTTGGGAGGCCGAGGCGGGTGGATCACGAGGTCAGGAGATCGAGACCATCCTGGCTAACACAGTGAAACCCCGTCCCTACTAAAAATACAAAAACAAAATTAGCCAGGTGTGGTGGCGGGCACCTGTAGACCCTAGACCCCAGCACTCAGGAGGCTGAGGCAGGAGAATGGCATGAACCCGGGAGGCGGAGCTTGCAGTGAGCCGAGATCGCGCCACTGCACTCCAGCCCAGGTAACAAAGCGAGACTCTGCCTCAAAAAAAAAAAAAAAAAAGAAAAAAGAAAAAAGATTCCCAGTGATACCAAATCCAAACACTTTGTTGTCAAAGGAATCAACTGAATCTGAGTGGTTCACTGTAGTAGACTTATATTTTGTATATATATTTTAGCATTCCAGTAGACAAAAAGAGTGTTAATATTTGTTTGTTTTCACTTGAAAAAATCAACAATGTACTTTGACAGTAACACCTTAAGAATTAAAGGCTCCTTCATATTTCTCACAAATTTTATATCAAGATTTGAACATTGCAGTTTCCCAGACATTCCACCTTGATTCAATATGTACGTAATTTGCTTCTTTGTTCTTCATCTAAAGAGGACGTACAAATTGACCAAATATATGTATTATAACAACCAGCTTATAAGGGCCATAAGACCTCTTGAGATAAGCTTCAATTCTCACAAGAAGTGGCGCATTATCTAGGTCATGACTTCTCTGCAAAAATAATCTTTCTGTCTCCAGAAAAAATAAATGCTATTCAAAATTATTCTAGACCTGTGACTAAAAAGCAACTCAGAGGATTCCTCAGACTTTCATGATAGACCAGGTCACAACACTGGCCTCTCCACTCCATGAACTAACTAAAAATAGCAATCAGAACCCTTTTCTTTGGAAAGCAAAATAGTAGGAGGCCCTTACTGAACTAAAACAGGTTTTGCAAAATCCTCCTGTGTTATGACTCTCCAATTATTCTAAACCATTCACATTGTTTATTCATGAATGAAACAATCAGACTCTAGGGGTCCTCACTCAAAAACTTGTAGGACAAAATAGGCCCATAGACTAGTATAGTGTACAGTTATGTCTGGTTGCTACAGCATATCCAAATTGTTTAAAGGCAGTAGTTGCAGGTGCCAAATAATACAATCTTTCTCAGAACTTGTTCAAAGCAATAACTTATGCCTACACCTTTCACATGCTGTAGAAATCTTGCTAAATCCTGAATGTACCCAGCATTTCTCAGACAGCAGGATAACATTTTATGTGATTCTGCTCCTATCACCTTCAAATCTGCATATACTTTGCTGCAATTCTTTCTTTAAACTCTGCTACCATCTTACCTTTACCCAACAAAAGAGAGACTTATAATTGTGTTAAACTGATTTCCCAAAATTTGACTCCGAGATTGGATTTACAAGAAATTCTATACACCAATCCAGAACTGTTGCTCTATGCTGATGGTTCCTATGCCAAAAATTTTGAAGGAAAATACTAAGCTGGGCATGCTGTTACAATCCAACATGAACTATGATAAAAAGGAGATCTCTGGGCAGGATTCCTGAGCCAAGATGGCTGAATAGGAAGAGCTCCAGTCTACAGCTCCCAGTGTGAGCAATGCAGAAGATGGGTGATTTCTGCATTTCCATCTGAGGTACTGGGTTCATCTCATTAGGGAGTGCCAGACAGTGGGCACAGGTCAGTGGGTGTGTGCACCGTGCACGAGCTGAAGCAGGGTGAGGCATTGCCTCACTTGGGAAGCACAAGGGGTCAGGGAGTTCCCTTTCCTAGTCAAAGAAAGGGGTGACAGATGGCACCTGGAAAATCGGGTCACTCCCACCCGAATACTGCGCTTTTCAGACGGGCTTAAAAAGTGCCGCACCAGGAGATTATATCCCACACATGGCTGGGAGGGTCCTATGCCCACGGAGTCTCACTGATTGCTAGCACAGCAGTCTGAGATCAAACTGCAAGGCAGCAGTGAGCTGGGGGAGGGGCACCCGCCATTGCCCAGGCTTGCTTAGGTAAACAAAGCAGCCAGGAAGCTCGAACGGGGTGGAGCCCACCACAACTCAAGGAGGCCTGCCAGCCTCTGTAGGCTCCACCTCTGGGGGCAGGGCACAGACAAACAAAAAGACAGCAGTAACCTCTGCAGACTGAAATGTCCCTGTCTGACAGCTTTGAAGAGAGCAGTGGTTCTCCCAGCATGCAGCTGGAGATCTGACAATGGGCAGACTGACTCCTCAAGTGGGTCCCTGACCCCTGACCCCTGAGCAGCCTAACTGGGAGGCACCCCCCAGCAGGGGCAGACTGACATCTCACACGGCCGGGTACTCCAACAGACCTGCAGCTGAGGGTCCTGTCTGTTAGAAGGAAAACTAACAAACAGAAAGGACATCCACACCAAAAACCCATCTGTACATCACCATCATCAAAGACCAAAAGTAGATAAAGCCACAAAGATGGGGAAAAAACAGAGTAGAAAAACTGGAAACTCTAAAGAGCAGAGTGCCTCTCCTCCTCCAAAGGAACACAGTTCCTCACCAGCAATGGAACAAAGCTGGACAGAGAATGATTTCGACGACCTGAGAGAAGAAGGCTTCAGACAACCAAATTACTCTGAGCTATGGGAGGAAACTCAAACCAAAGGCAAAGAAGTTGAAAACTTTGAAAAAAATTTAGAACAATGTATAACTAGAATAACCAATACAGAGAAGTACTTAAAGGAGCTGATGGAGCTGAAAACCAAGGCTCGAGAACTACGTGAAGAATGCAGAAGCCTCAGGAGCTGATGCAATCAACTGGAAGAAAGGGTAACAGCGATGGAAGATGAAGTGAATGAAATGAAATGAGAAGGGAAGTTTAGAGAAAAAAGAATAAAAAGAAATGAACAAAGCCTCCAAGAAATATGGGACTATGTGAAAAGACCAAATCTACGTCGGATTGGTGTATCTGAAAGTGACGAGGAGGATGGAACCAAGTTGGAAAACACTCTGCAGGGTATTATCCAGGAGAACTTCCCCAATCTAGCAAGGCAGGCCAACATTCAGATTCAGGAAATACAGAGAACGCGACAACGATACTCCTCAAGAAGAGCAACTCCAAGATACATAATTGTCAGATTCACCAAAGTTGAAATGAAGGAAAAAAATGTTAAGGGCAGCTAGAGAGAAAGGTCGGGTTACCCACAAAGGGATGCCCATCAGACTATCAGCAGATCTCTTGGCAGAAACTCTACAAGCCAGAAGAGAGTGGGGACCAATATTCAACATTATTAAAGAAAAGAACTTTCAAACCTGAATTTCATATCCAGCCAAACTAAGCTTCATAAGTGAAGGAGAAATAACATACTTTACAGACAAGCAGATGCTGAGAGATTTTGTCACCACCAGGCCTGCCCTAAAATAGCTCCTGAAGGAAGCGCTAAACATGGAAAGGAACAACTGGTACCAGCCACTGCAAAATCATGCCAAAATGTAAAGACCATCAAGACTAGGAAGAAACTGCATGAACTAACGAACAAATTAACCAGTTAAACTCATAATGACAGGATAAAATTCATACATAAAAATATTAACTTTAAATGTAAACAAACTAAATGCTCCAATTAAAAGACACAGACTGGCAAATTGGATAAAGAGTCAAGACCCATCAGTGTGCTGTATTCAGAAAACCCATCTCATGTGCAGAGACACACATAGGCTCAAAATAAAAGGATGGAGGAAGATCTACCAAGCAAATGGAAAACAAAAAAAGGCAGGGGTTGCAATCCTAGTCTCTGATAAAACAGATGATAAACCAACAATGATCAAAAGAGACAAAGAAGACCATTACATAATGGTAAAGGGATCAATTCAACAAGAAGAAGAGCTAACTATCCTAAATATATATGCACCCAATAGAGGAGCACCCAGATTCATAAAGCAAGTCCTGAGTGACCTACAAAGAGATTTAGACTCCCACACATTAATAATGGGAAATTTTAACACCCCACTATCAACATTAGACAGATCAACAAGACAGAAAGTCAACAAGGATACCCAGGAATTGAACTCAGCTCTGCACCAAGCAGACCTAATAGACATCTAAAGACCTCTACACCTCAAATCAACAGAATATACATTTTTTTCAGCACCACACCACACCAATTCCAAAGTTGACTACATAGTTGGAAGTAAAGCTCTCCTCAGCAAATGTAAAAGAACAGAAATTATAACAAACTATCTCTCAGACCACAGTGCATTCAAACTAGAACTCAGGAATAAGAATCTCATTCAAAACCGCTCAACTACATGGAAACTGAACAACCTGCTCCTGAATGACTACTGGGTACATAACGAAATGAAGGCAGAAATACAGATGATCTTTGAAACCAACAAGAACAAAGACACAACATACCAGAATCTCTGGGACACATTCAAAGCAGTGTGTAGAGGGAAATTGATAGCACTAAATGCCCACAAGAGAAAGCAGGAAAGATCCAAAATTGACACCCTAACATCACAATTAAAAGAACTAGAAAAGCAAGAGCAAACACTTCAAAAGCTTGCAGAAGGCAAGAAATAACTAAAATCAGAGCAGAACTGAAGGAAATAGAGACACAAAAAACCCTTCAAAAAATTAATGAATCCAGGAGCTGGTTTTTTGAAAGGATCAACAAAATTGATAGGCTGCTATCAAGACTAACAAAGAAAAAAAGAGAAAAGAATCAAATAGACGCAATAAAAAATGATAAAGGGGATATCACCACCAATTCCACAGAAATACAAACTACCATCAGAGAATACTACAAACACCTCTACGCAAATTAACTAGAAAATCTAGAAGAAATGGATAAATTCCTTGACACATACACTCTCCCAAGAGTAAACGAGGAAGAAGTTGACTCTCTGAATAGACCAATAACAGGAGCTGAAACTGTGGCAATAATCAATAGCTTACCAACAAAAAAGAGTCCAGGACCAGATGGATTCACAGCTGAATTCTACCAGAGGTACAAGGAGGAACTGGTACCATTCCTTCTGAAACTATCCCAATCAATAGAAAAAGAGGGAATCCTCCCTAACTCATTTTATGAGGCCAGCATCATCCTGATACCAAAGCCGGACAGAGACACAACCAAAAAAGGGAATTTTAGACCAATATCCTTGATGAACATTGATGCAAAAATCCTCAATAAAATACTGGCAAACCGAATCCAGCAGCACATCAAAAAGCTTATCCACCATGATCAAGTGGGCTTCATCCCTGGGATGCAAGACTGGTTCAATATACACAAATCAATAAATGTAATCCAGCATATAAACAGAACCAAAGACAAAAACCACATGATTATCTCAATAGATGCAGAAAGGCCTTTGACAAAATTCAACAACCCTTCATGCTAAAAACTCTCAATAAATTAGGTATTGATGGGACGTATCTCAAAATAATAAGATCTATCTATGAGAAACCCACAGCCAATATCATACTGAATGGGCAAAAACTGGAAGCATTCCCTTTGAAAAGTGGCACAAGACAGGGATGCCCTCTCTCACCACTCCTATTCAACATAGTGTTGGAAGTTCTGGCCACGGCAATTAGGCAGGAGAAGGAAATAAATGGTATTCAATTAGGAAAAGAGGAAGTCAAATTGTTCCTGTTTGCAGACGACATGATTGTATATCTAGAAAACCCCATTGTCTCAGCCCAAACTCTCCTTAAGCTGATAAGCAACTTCAGCAAAGTCTCAGGATACAAAAACAATGTACAAAAATCACAAGCATTCTTATACACCAACAACAGACAGACAGCCAAATCATGGGTGAACTCCCATTCACAATTGCTTCAAAGAGAATAAAATAACTAGGAATCCAACTTTCAAGGGATGTGAAGGACCTCTTCAAGGAGAACTACAAACCACTGCTCAAGGAAATAAAAAAGGATACAAACAAATGGAAGAACATTCCATGCTCATAGGTAGGAAGAATGAATATCGTGAAAATGGCCATACTGCCCAAGGTAATTTACAGATTCAATGCCATCCCCATCAAGCTACCAATGCCTTTCCTCACAGAATTGAAAAAAACTAATTTAAACTTCATATGGAACCAAAAAAGAGCCCGCATAACCAAGTCAATCCTAAGCCAAAAGAACAAAGCTGGAGGCATCACACTACCTGACTTCAAACTACACTACAAGGCTACAGTAACCAAAACAGCATGGTACTGGTACCAAAACAGAGATATAGATCAATGGAACAGAACAGAGTCCTCAGAAATAACGCCGCATATCTACAACTATGTGATCTTTGACAAACCTGAGAAAAACAAGAAATGGAGAAAGGATTCCCTATTTAATAAGTGGTGCTGGGAAAACTGGCTAGCCATATGTAGAAAGCTGAAACTGGATCCCTTCCTTATGCCTTATACAAAAATCAATTCCAGATGGATTAAAGACTTAAACGTTAGACCTAAAACCATAAAAACCCTAGAAGAAAACCTAGGCATTACCATTCAGGACATTGGCATGGGCAAGGACTTCATGTCTGAAACACCAAAAGCAATGGCAACAAAAGCCAAAATTGACAAATGGGATCTAAATAAACTAAAGAGCTTCTGCACAGCAAAAGAAACTACCATCAGAGTGAACAGGCAACCTAAAAATGGGAGAAAATTTTCACAACCTACTCATCCGACAAAGGGCTAATATCCAGAATCTACAATGAACTCAAAGAAATTTACAAGAAAAAAACAAACAACCCCATCAAAAAGTGGGCGAAGGGCATGAACAGACACTTCTCAAAAGAAGACATTTATGCAGCCAAACAACACATGAAAAAATGCTCACCGTCACTGGCCATCAGAGATATGCAAATCAAAACAACAATGAGATACCATCTCAACACCAGTTAGAATGGCAATTATTACAAAGTCAGGAAACAACAGGTGCTGGAGAAGATGTGGAGAAATAGGAACACTTATACACTGTTGGTGGGACTGTAAACTAGTTCAACCATTGTGGAAGTCAGTGTGGCGATTCCTCCGGGATCTAGAACTAGAAATACCATTTAACCCAGCCATCCCATTACTGGGTATATACCCAAAGGACTATAAATCATGCTGCTATAAAGACACATGCACACATATGTTTATTGTGGCATTATTCACAATAGCAAAGACTTAGAACCAACCCAAATGTCCAACAATGATAGACTGGATTAAGAAAATGTGGCCCATATACACCATGGAATACTAGGCAGCCATAAAAAATGATGAGTTCATGTCCTTTGTAGGCACATGGATGAAATTGGAAATCGTCATTCTCAGTAACCTATTGCAAGAACAAAAAACCAAACACTGCATATTCTCACTCATAGGTGGGAATTGAACAATGAGAACACATGGACACAGGAAGGGGAACATCACACTCTGGGGATGGTTGTGTGGTGGGGGGATGGGGAGGGATAGCACTGGGAGATATACCTAATGCTAGATGACCAGTTAGTGGGTGCAGTGCACCAGCATGGCACATGTATACATATGTAACTAACCTGCACATTGCGCACATGTACCCTAAAACTTAAAGTATAATAATAATAAATAAAAAAAAAGAAATTGTGCTACATGTATACCATGGGATACTATGCAGCCATAAAAACAATGAGATCATGTCTTTTGTGGGAAGATGGATGGAGCTGGAAGCTACTATCCTTAGTAAACTAACACAGGAACAGAAAACAAAATATTGCTTGTTCTCACTTATATGTGGGAGCTAAATTATGAGAACTCATGAACACAAAGAAGATAACAACAGACTCTGGGGCCTATTGGAGTGTGGAGGGTGGGAGGAGGGAAAGGGGCAGAAAAAATAACTATTGGGTACTAGGCTTCATACCTGAGTGATGAAATAATCTGTACAACAAACTCTGATGACAAGAGTTTCACATGTATTCTCAAACGTGAAATAAAAGTTAAAAACAAACAAAGCTGTCATTCAAGAATAGTGTATCTAGCAAACTTATTATGAAGATGATATAAAATGTTTTCCAGGCAAAGAAAACCTGAGAGAATTCACCACTACCTGATTCATCTTACAAGAAATGCTAAGGGGAATTCTTCCTTCTGAAAGTAAAAATGGTTAATGTTCAAAAACAAAATTATGGTATAAAACATGTTGGTAAAATTACGTTCATGAATAAACTTGAGAGGTGAAGCCAGCTGGGCTTCTGGGATGGGTGGGGATTTGGAGAACTTTTCTGTCTAGCTAGAGGATTGTAAATGCACCAATCAGTATTCTCTAAAAATGGATCAATCAGCACTCTGTAAAATGGACCAATCAGCAGGATATGGGTAGGGCCAAATAAGGGAATAAAAGCTGGCCACCCGAGCCAGCAGTGGCAACCCACTCAAGTTCCCTTCCATGCTGTGCAAGCTTTGTTCTTTTGCTCTTCATAATAAATCTTGCTGCTGCTCACTGTGTCCGCACTACCTGTATGAGCTGTAACACTCACTGTAAGGGTCTGTGGCTTCATTCCTGAAGTCAGCATGAACACGAACCCACCAGAAGGAATAACTCTGGATACACCACCTTTAAGAGCTGTGACACTCACTGTGAGGTCCGCGGCTTCATTCTTGAAGTCAGCGAGACCAAGAACCCACTAGAAGGAATAAACTCAGGACACACCTTGCCGACCCAGATGGGACTTTCACCAAGTGATGGGAAACACTCAGACACCAACAGGCCCACCCTTGCAATGCATCCTAAGCCATTGGGACCAATTTGACCAGCAAACCCTGAAAAAGAGGTGGCTCATTTTTTTTGGCAATATGGCCTGGCCCCAATATCATCTCTCTGATGGGGAAAAATGGCCACCTGAGGGAAGTACAAATTACAATACTATCCTGCAGCTTGACCTTTTCTGTAAAAGGGAAGGCAAATGGAGTGAAATATCTTATATCCAAGCTTTCTTTTCATTGAAGGAGAATCCACAACTATGCAAATCTTCTAATTTATATCCCACAAGAGGACCTGTCAGCTTACCCCCATATCCTAGCTTCCCTATAGCTCCCCTTCCTATTAATGATAAGCCTCCTCTAATATCCCTGCCCAGAAGGAAACAAGGAAAGAAATCTCCAAGTGACCACAAAAACCCCCAGGCTATCAGTTATGTCCTCTTTAAGCTGTAGGGAGTGGGGAATTTGGCCCAACCTGGGTACATGTCCTCTTCTCCCTCTCTGATTTAAAGCAGATCAAGGCAGACCTGGGGAAGTTTTCAGATGATCCTGATAGGTATATAGATGTCCTACAGGGTCTAGGGCAAACATTCAATCCCACCTGGAGAGATGTCATGCTATTAGATCAAACCCTGGCCTTTAATGAAAAGAATGCGGCTTTAGCTGCAGCCTGAGAGTTTGAAGATACCTGGTATCTTAGTCAAGTAAATGATAGAGTGACAGACGAAGAAAGGGACAAATTCCCTACCAGTCAGCAAGCCATCCCCAGTATGGATCCCCACTGGGACCTAGACTCACATCATTGGGACTGGAGTCACAAACATCTGTTGATCTGTGTTCTAGAAGGACTAAGGAGAATTAGAAAAAAGCCCATGAATTATTCAATGAAGTCCACCATAACTCAGGGAAAGGAAGAAAATCCTGCTTTCCTTGAGTGGCTACAGGAGACCCTAAGAAAATATACTCCCCTGTCACCTGACTCCCTCGAGGGTCAATTGACCCTAAAAGATAAGTTTATTACCCAATCAGCCGCAGATATCAGGAGAAAGCTCCAAAAGCGAGCTCTGAGCCCTGAACAAAATCTGGAGGCATTATTAAACCTGGCAACCTTAGTGTTCTATAATAGGGACCAAGAGGAACAGGCTGAAAAGGAAAAGTGAGATCAGAGAAAGGCCACAGCCTTAGTCATGGCCCTCAGACAAACCTTGGTGGTTCAGACAGGACAGAAAATGGAGCAGGCCAATCACCTGTTAGGGCTTGTTATCAGTGTGGTTTGCAAGGACACTTTAAAAAAGATTGTCCAATGAGAAACAAGCCGCCCCCTCACCCATGTCCATTATGCCAAGGCTATCACTGGAAGGCTCATTGTCCCAGAGGACAAAGGTTCTCTGGGTCAGAAATCCCCAACCAGATGATCCAACAACAGGACTGAGGGTGCCCAGGGCAAGCGCCAGCTCATGTCATCAACCTTACTGAGCCTCAGGTACATTTATCTATTGAGGGCCAGGAAATTGACTTCCTCCTGGACACTGGTGCATCTTTCTCAGTGTTAATCTCCTGTCCCAGACAGCTGTCCTCAAGGTCCATTACCATCCGAGGAATCTTGGGACAGCCTGTAACCAGGTATTTCTCCCACCTCCTCAGTTCTAATTGGGAGACTTTGCTACAGATGTTAAGTATGCTTATCTAATCCTACATGCCCATGCTGCAATATGGAAAGAAAGGGAGTTCCTAACCTCTGGGGGAGCCCCATTAAATACCACAAGGAAATCATGGAGTTATTGCACACAGTGCAAAAACCCAAGGAGGTGGTAGTCTTACACTGCTGAAGCCATCAAAACGGGGAAGGAGAGGGGAGAGCAGCAGCATAAGCAGCTGGCAGAGGCAGGCAAAGACCAGCAGAAAGGAAAGAGAGAGACAGAAAGTCAGAGAGAGAGGGAGAGAGAAGAGGAAACAGAGACAAAGAGGGAGTCAGAGAGAGAGAGAAAGAGAGAGATAGAAAGTCAGAGAAAGAGGAAGAGACAAAGAGGGAGTCAGAAAGAGAGAAAGAGAGAGACAAAGAAGAAGTCAAAGAGAAAGAGAGATGGAAGCAGTAAAGAAAAAACAGTGTATCTTATTCCTTTAAAATCCAGGGTAAATTTTAAACCTATAATTTATAATTGAAGGTCTTCTCCATAACCCTATAACACTCCAAACCACCTTGTTGTCAGTGTAAACAAGGGTGTAGCCCAAAAACACTGAGGCCACTGACAACCCATAGCCTTCCTATCAAAACTGTAGCTTTCCTATAAAAATATCCTTAACCCAGCAGGTTTCCTAACAGGGGATCTAAATCTTAATTAATTACCATACAAAGGTCCGACCAGACCTAGGAAGTACTCCCTTCAGGACGGGATGATAGATGTTTCCTCCCGGGAGATTAAGGGAAAAAGACACAATGGGTATTCAGTAAGTGATAAGGAAACTCTTGTAGAAGCAGAATTAGGAAAATTGCCTAACAATTGGTCTGCTCAAATGTGCCAGTTGTTTGCACTCAGCCAAACCTTAAAGTACTTACAGAATCAGGAAGGAGCCATCTATACCAATTCTAAGTTAATAAGGTCTTAGTGTGTGGTAGTAGGATAATACATGTTACACTGTTAACTTTTAGCAAACTGTAGTTTTGTTGAAAACTTTGTAAGTTTGGGATTTCAATTATTCTTTGCTATTAATCTCAAAGGATTTCTCAGACAGTTTGCAAAAAATAACAAAATCTATCCTTACTCTACAATCCCAAATAGACTCTGGTAGCAGTGACTCTCCAAAACCGCCGAGGCCTAGACCTCCTCACTGCTGAGAAAGGAGGACTCAGCACTTTCTTAGGGGAAGACTGTTGTTTTTACACTAACCAGTCAGGGATAGTACAAAATGCTGCCCGGCATTTACAGGAAAAGGCTTTTTAAATCAGACAATGCCTTTCAAACTCTTATACCAACCTCTGAAGTTGGGCAACGTGGCTTCTCCCATTTCTAGGTCCTGTTTCAGCCATCTTGCTATTACTCACCTTCGGGCTGTGTGTTTTTAACCTCCTTGTCAAATTTGTTTCCTCCAGGATCCATGCCATCAAGACATAGAGGTCTTACAAATGGAACCCTAAATGAGCTCAACTAACAACTTCTACTGAGGACCCCTGGATCAACTCACTGGCCCTTTGGCTGGCCTAGAGAGTTCCCCTCTGGAGGACACTACCACTGCAGGGCCCCTTCTTTCCCTCTATCCAGCAGGAAGTAGCTAAAGTGGTCATAGCACAATTCCCACAGCAGTTAGGGTGTCCTATTTAGAGGGGGGATAGACAGATGAAGCCAGCTGGGTTTCTGGGTCAGGTGGGGACTTGGAGAACTCTTCTGTCTAGCTAGAGGATTGTAAATGCACCAGTCAGCATTCTGTAAAAATGGACCAATCAGCACTCTGTAAAATGGACCAATCAGCAGGGCATGGGTGGGGCCAAATAAGGGAATAAAAGCTGGCCACCAGAGCCAGCAGCAGCAACCTGCTTGGGTCCCCTTCCATGCTGTGGAAGCTTTATTCTTTCGTTCTTCATAATAAATCTTGCTGCTGGTCACTCTTTGGGTCCACACTACCTTTATGAGCTGTAACACCACAAGGGTCTGTGGTTTCATTCCAGAAGTCAGCGAGACCACGAACCCACCAGAAGGAACAAACTCTGGATATGCCACCTTTAAGGGCTGTAACACTCACTGCGAGGTCTGCGGCTTCATTCTTGAAGTCAGCGAGACCACGAATCCACCAGAAGGAATAAATCCCAGACACAAACTCAGAATACTCTGATACTATAATTGTAGTGTGCAATCCACTTATAACTCTAATATGAAGCCTCAAAAAGCAAATCTATCAAAAACAATAATAGCTACAGAAACCTGTTAAGAGATAGGTAATATAAAAATATGTAAAGTCAATTAAAATTCAAAATGAGAGAGAAATGAAGTTAAAATGTGGAAGTTTCATTTTTTGTTTGTCTCTATTCTTTGTGATCTAAGATAAATTGTCATCTCTTTAAAATAACTTGTTATATCTACAAGATTTTTTTGTAAACCTCATAGTAACCATAAGGCAAAAACCTATAATAGATTCACAAAAATTAAAAAACAGCAAATTAAAACATACTACCACAGAAAATCACTTAACCCCAAAAGAAGAGAGTGAGAAAAGAAGAAAAGAAGAGAGGAGTTTCAAAATACCAGAAAATAAGCAACATAATGGCAGTAGCAATTCCCTACTTATCAATAATAATACTGGATTTAAATGGACTCAATTTTCCAATTAAAAGGCATAGGGTGGCTGAATGGATAAACAAACAATACCTAACTACATGCTGCCTATAAGAAACCCACTTCACCTCTAAAGATATAGATAGACTGAAAGTGAAGGGGTGAAAAAAGATATTGCATGCAACTGGAAACTAAAAGAGAGTGGGAGTAACTATACTTACATTAGAGGAAATAGACTACAAATGAAAGATTGTAAAAAGAGATAAAGAAGGTTACTACATAATGATAAAAAGGTCAATTCAGCAAGAAAATGTAACCATTATATACATCTGTGCACCAACACTGATAGATTTATACAAATATAACTATAAAAAACTGATTAAAGTAATTGAACAAAACATTAATAAGGATATTCTATGTCATGGATTGGAAGAATTAATATTGCTAAAATGACAATACTATCCAAAGCAATTTACAGATTTAATGCAACCCTTATTAAAAGACCAATGCCATTCTTCACAGAAATAGGACAAATGCTAAAATTTATATGAAACCAGAAAGACCCTGAAGACCCAAAGCAATTCCAAGCAAAATAAGAAAAAAACAAAAAAAGCTGGAGGCATCACATTACCTGACTTCAAAATTTACTGCAAAGATATAATAACCAACGATTCACAATATTAAAGACATGGAATCTATCAAAATGCCCATCAATGGTAGAATGGATAAAGAAAATGTTGTACATATACACCATGGAATACTATGCAGCCATAAAAAGGAACAAGATCATGTCCTTTGTAGGGACATAGACAGAGCTGGAAGCTGTTATCCTCAGCAAATGAACGCAGGGACAGAAAACCAAACACCACATATTCTCACCTGAATGAGCTGAATGATGAGACCACATGGACACATACTTGGCCTTTTGGGGGTGGGGTGTTGCAGGAAGGAAAGCATCAGGAAGAATAGCTAATGCATGCTGGGCTTAATACCTAGGTGATGGGATGATCTGTGAAGCAAACCACGGTGGCACACATTTACCTACATAAAAAACCTGCATATTCTGCACATGTACCCTGGAACTTAAAACAAAAATTAAACATTAAAAAAAAAAGCTATAGTAACCAAATTAGCATAGAACTGGCAAGAAAACAGACACACAGACCAATGAAACAGAATAGAGAACCCAGGTATAAATCAATGCATTGACAGCCAACTCATCTTCAACAACAGCACCAAGAGCATACAACAGGAAAAGGAGAGTCTGTTTAATAAATGGTGCTGGGAAAACTGGGTAATTACATGTAGAAGGATGAAATAAACCCCTATATCTCACCATACACAAAAATAAAATTAAAATGGATGAAAGGTTTAAATCTAATACCTGGAACTATGACTATGAAACAATTAGATGAAAACTTTGCGGAAGTGTTCCAGGACATTAGGCTGAGCAATGACATTTTGTGTAAGACCTCTAAAGCACAGGCAACCAAGAAAGAATAGACAAATGGCATTGAACCAGGCTAAAAAGCTTCTGCACAGCAAAGGAAACAATCAACAATGATTTAAGGTCCTGTATGAGGGATTTGTTAAAGTATAATCAAAATGGAGGCAACAGTATATTCTTAGGTCAACCACTCATAGCCACATAACCAAAATTTAAGCTATCCTGATTTCTCTGAAATGCAATTTCTAATGATTAACAAAAGTTAAGCTTTCCTTTCTTGTTAGTATGATGAAATTGAACCAATTTGTTACAGATAAATAAGTTTATACAACTCTACTTGCCCAAAAAGGAATATGTTTTTAATAGCCAGTCACAGCAGAGGTCAATGCACTTCCTCATTGATGCTTTATAAGCTGCACTGTAACTCTCACGTCAAGTTTCTTACTATTTTTGATTTGAAGTCTTCTGGTTTGTGAACTATTCTTCTGTATGTATAATAAACCTTCATATTCCTTTTTTACTTGACCTGACTTTATTTTTACGGGGTCCTCCATGGCGTTTGGGTTTCTCACAGTGTGGCAGTCTCAGGATAATACTGTAGTACTTTTCACTAGGCAGGTGTCTTCTATGAGCAAGATCTCCAACAGAAAGGAAGTGGAAGCTCTTGTGGTCTGGAACAGAAAGCTCACACAATCTCTCTCTCTCTTTTTTTGTTTTGAGACAGTCTTGCTCTGTTGCCCTGGCTGGAGTGCAGTGGTGCGATGTTGGCTTGCCGCAAGCTCTGCCTCCTGGGTTCAAGCAATTCTCCTGACTTAGCTTCCCAAGTATCTGGGATTACAGGCATGCGCCACCATGCACAGCTAATTTTTTTTTTTTTTTTTTTTTTTTTTGCATTTTTAGTAGAGACGGGGTTTCACCATATTGGCCAGGCTGGTCTCGAGCTCCTGACCTTGTGATCTGCCTGCCTCAGCCTCCCAAAGTGCTGGAATTACAGGCGCGAGCCACCACGCCTGGCCAGCCCACACAGTATCTCTTCAGCAATATTCAGTAGGTTAGGGGAGTCAAAGAGCCCACCCAACTCAAGGGGAGAAAACAAAGGACCCTTATTCCCCCTTTATACGCTTCATGATGAGAGTATCAAAGTGCTTGTTGCAATATTTATTTCACCAAGGAGGAAAAGGTCAATTTGGACCAGAAAGGTCAGAAAAAGTTTCCCCCGTCTGGGTATCTCCAATTCTTCTATCCCTGGTTCACCTCAGAGTATTGCAGTTCTGAGAACCAGTGCATTCTGGATTCATTGTAGAACTTTGATTCTCTACTTGACTGTATGTCAGAATCACCAGAGAGCTTGAAAAATCCTGATACCTGGATCTTTTCCCGCAAAACTCTGGTTCATTTGGCTTGGGATTCAGTGTGGGCATTAAGGAGTTTCATCAGCTCTCCATGTAGCTTTAAATGTGATTTTAAGCTGGTTAAAAACCACAGCTTTAAAATGATATGGCCTAGACAGTGCACTGTTAGGTAAATACTTATTCCATAGGCATCAGGGTTAAGTTGATATGCAGAGAAGATCTCTAAAGAGAAAAAAAAAAAAAAAGGTAGGAAACAAATGAAAGTGGAATAAATGAAGGTGTAAATCAATAAGATGAATGGGGGAGGGGATGTCACTCTACGTATATGGTATAAGTTCTGCTCTTTTAGCTCCACGTAAGCTAAAATTGTGGAATAATGTACAAGACAAAAGTTATGAAGTTAGCATCGAATTTAAGCCAGAATTAAAAATTGTCAGGCACTCTCAGCTTGTTTTCTAGATTCGGTATTGATCTCTGCGAAATTCAGTTTTCTCTTTGCCAAAGGATATTGTGAGGTTTACTGGATATTTTTGACCTAGATGTATAGGCCTACATACTTGGACACAGGTTGTCTGTTAACCTAAGACTTTGAGTCAAATTTTAATAATAAGAATAGTTATAAATGTATAGCCCTATGAGTTAGCATTTTTTTAGTTCCAGCTGAAAAAAGAAAAAAGAATTGTCTAGAACATTTTTCTCTCTTCTGGGTATCCCCAGTACTTCTATCCCTGAGTTGCAATCCACTAATATTATTATTTATTTGATGCTCAATTTGTCCCAGATTTGTCCAGTGGGAACCCCTTTAAATGTCCTTAAAGGTAAAAACTGCCAGCATGTTCTACTGAGATATGGACTAACAATGTCAGACATATGTGGGTGCTTGAATAGTATTTGCTTCAAAAATATTTATTACTAGAAAGCTGCTGTGTTTGGGGTGAGAGGTTAGTAGGGAAGGGGGTTCATAAAGGGAATGCAAAAGCCACGTCCTCTGGAAGTTAAAGGATCATTTTAAATGATTCTACTGCAAACATTTTTCAAAAGATAAACATGACCCATTTCTCCAATTTGTGTCATGTAATAGTAATAATAATGATATTTAAATACTCCCACTGATATGTCCTTTACAAAGATATATTATATGTCTTATTTAATCAAAAAACCTTAAAAGAGTCCCTGTACCTAATTTTATTCCAGGACTCAAACTGTGTCAGCATGTCATTCAGTGCAAATCAGACATTTAGATGCATAGGCTATGCTGTCAGTAGTTCTGAACTTTCATAGACATTTCCAATTAGCTCGGAGAGACAACTGGATATTGTGTTTAAGCACTGTGTTTAGGAAAACAGGCACTGGATGGACCAATGCCAAATTTCCTGCTCTGCTGCTTAACTAAGTATGTGTAATTACTTGGGCAATTACTTAAGCAATTACTTGGGCAATTACTTAAGCCAATCCCCAATTTCTTCGTCTTGAGCCCAGAAGGTCAAGGCTGCAGTGAGCCGTGAATGTGCCTCTGCCCTCCAGCCTGAGCGACAGAGTGAGAATTCCCCAGGAGTGCAGAGGTTCTCAGAACTGCAATACTCTGAGATGAATTTTGAAAGGTGAATCAGGGATAGAAAAAGTTATATAGGGAAGGCAGTCAATAAGCTTGTTTTAAAGGATATGGAGCATTTGAAAAAGTGGAATGTACATAAGGCTGGAAATATCAAATATCTAAATATAGAACAGGAACAGTGATGAAAAGACTTTCAAAATGCTTAGCAAAATGAGAATTATATTTCTTTCTCAACTCTTTTGTTCCAACAGCAAAAGCAACAGTGGGGATCAGCATCAACTTGGGTAAGTAAGTTTTTCTGGTCATAAATAGGCTGATTCAACTGAAAAAAATGTTTCTTTAAGAAGGGTGAATTTGTGTCTAAGGATTTTATGAGACTAACTGGGAAAAGTCAGTCAGAGTTTAGTTTGAGGTGAGAAGTGCTTACTGTTGACACTCTACCTAATTATAGGGAAATGTGTGCAGTTAGTCCTGAGACCAGATGCAGGGTTGAAAGAAAGAGGTGTGATGTAGCAGCCATTGATTAGGCAATTTGGGTTTAGCAAGCCCAGTCAATGCCCTCAGAGGGTCAACAGTGTATAAGATTTAGTCCTTGAAGGCATCTTTTAAAGTTTCATTCAGAAGATTTTAATAATTTTGACCATAATTTTCTGAGAAGAGGCTTTTCTGAGATTTGTCATTCACAGATAAACAGTTGTCTAATTTGTGTGTGTGTGTGTGTACATGTGTGCATGCGTGCATTTGTGCATGTGTGCCTATCTAGCCTCTTTTGAACACAATGGTAGATTGGCACCTGGTAGATAATATTGTTGAATGAATTGTATTATTCATATTATCTCACTGCCAATTTGAAGAATCTACATTCTGTTTCCAAAGTTTTGTGCATATAATACTAAACCAGAAACAGACGTGTTTTAGTAATACGTACCAATTACAAATTAACCATTCCTGCCTGGAATAAACACAGGTTTTGTTAAATAGCTCAATTTTCAAAATTTGTCTCATGTTATTTCCAATCCTTTTTTTTTTAACGCCGATATATTTTGAATTTACGAATGTGAAAGCTGAACTTCAAAAAAATAAAGGGAGAGGAAACAAAGCTCGTGAAAAATTTTAAAAATATCTTTTAATGCGTTATAACATCCTGGAGAGAAATCAAATCAATGTGTTTCAATGTTACAATATAGATTTCTCCTCCCCTCCCGGATAAAGCACTAATTTATTTAATTTGGTTCAGAGCACTGAATATTCCAAGCTACAGCCTTGTGGGTAAGAGCATTATCTTAAAGAGTGTTCGGATTTAACAAAGGTCAATGTCTTGTGCAGTTTACATAGTATCTACTCTCAGTAGCTTTTGCTTCTTGAGCTCTAGGTGGCTCCTCAGAAGCTGTTAGGCTTAACAAACAAAAATAAAGTAAAATCAGACACGGTATGGGGCCTTGGGACTCTAAAACCTTCATCCGGAGAAAATCAGTTAAGCCTTCAGAGACTAGAAGAGAGAATGTGTGTGATTGGTAGGCAAAGCAAAGAAAGATTAACACAAGTTGTCTGGCAGCTGGATAAAACCTTACACCTGCGCAAAAATAAGCCTCCCTCGTAAGAAAGCCCAAAGATGTCCGGGGTCCGGGAGGAGAAAAGTGTTTCTCATCTGTCCCATCAAAGCAAATTAGTGAAACCTGCCTCAGGTGAAGTGCAAAGGCCAGTCTGTAGGCAGAGTTTCGACCTCTCCCCACGAGATTGGCTAGACATCACCTGCCCAAGCTCTCTCCCGACCTGCTAGAGCCGAGAGGGCGGAGGCCGGAGAGGCTGCAGCCGGGAAGTAGCACCGCCACCGCACATCCGGGAACGCCAGCAGCCGGCTGAGGGCTGCATAACTGATGGAGGGCCGGGCGCGGTAAGAGCGTCTCGGGGGAGTGGGGCAAGGCGGCCGGGCCCCTCCCATTCCGCCTTTTCTTCAGCGTCCTACCCGCGGCACTGGCTGCGAGCGCCGGGCCACCTGCGAGTGTGCGCAGGGACTCTGGACACCCGCGGCGGCGAGCTGAGGGAGCAGTCTCCACGAGGACCCAGGCGGACCCTCTGGCGCCATGCGCGCCCTCCCCGGCCTGCTGGAGGCCAGGGCGCGTACGCCCCGGCTGCTCCTCCTCCAGTGCCTTCTCGCTGCCGCGCGCCCAAGCTCGGCGGACGGCAGTGCCCCAGGTGTGATGGGTACAGGGTCCAGGGTAGGGAGGGCGGAGGGCGCGCGAGGCTCGGGTCCCCGCGGGCAGAGGGCATCGCCGGCGCGCCGGGCAAGGGTGGCGGGGAGAGGCGCGGGGATGCTGGTAAGGGCGGGTGGGAGAGTCGGCGGCGGCCTCCCATTAGCTACGTTTGTGTCACCTAAGCTGAACCCTGAAACTGCTGCGGCTCGCGTTCCTGCGCTCTTTGGGGCGAGTCTTGAACGAACAGCGCCCCGCGAGTCGGGCGCGTAGGTAACAGGGCAGAGTCTGGTTTTTCCTAGGAAGAAGGCAGTGGGGTGTGTGGGTGGTTGCAGGGACCAGCTAGCGACTTGGCTTGGGCAAATATGGCATGAATTTTGAAAGCCACATTTCCCCAAGGCCTACTCCCTTTTCTTGATTCGAGAGTAAGGCTCGAGTATCACCTCCTTCCCTCCTCTTGGCAGGTGGGTTGGCTTTGAGGATTTTTTTTTTTTTTTTTTTTTTTTTTTTGAGACGGAGTTTTACTCTTGTTGCCCAGGCTGGAGTGCAATGGCGTGATCTCGGCTCACCGCAACCTCCTCCTCCCGGGTTCAAGCGATTCTCCTCTGTCAGCCTCCAGAGTAGCTGGGATTACAGGCATGCGCCACCACGCCGGGCTAATTTTATATTTTTAGTAGAGACTGGGCTTCTCCACATTGGTCAGTCTGGTCTCGAACTCCCAACCTGAGGTGATCCGCCCGCTTCGGCCTCCCAAAGTGCTGGGATTACAGGCGTGAGCCACCTCACCTTGCCGAGGATGTTTTTTTAGAGCTGAGTAGGGGAAAAAACATCATAACCAACTAGCCAACCAAAGATCCACAACTTACAGGATAACGTGTGTGTATCTTCATTTTACACCGTGGTCTTTGAAAACAAAATGTGTGTGTGCATGTGTGTGTGTGTATGTGTGAGATTTTTGCTTGTTGTTTTATTGTTTAAGACACTTTGACAGAGGGATTACGTGCAAAACATTAACAAAGCCAACACGAAAGTTGCCATTCTACCTTCACCTGTTTATAATTACTTTTCATATTGAAAGGATTCCATCCAACCTATTGCAAGTTTCTGTGTCATAAATGTTACCAGCCAGTAAGGGTAATAAAAGACCACCTCTCAAGCTGGTAAATATTGGCCACCAGTAACTAAAATTGGGACATTATTCTGCAAAAAGTTTTCAAACTCTCATGGGAATTTATTTTCATGGGCTTGTAAGATGTGGAATTTTTGTAACACACCATAGAGAAGGAAGGATAATCAAAAGGTAAGACTATTAATTTTTATAAATGCCTTTTAAAACGTCTAGTTGTTAACAACTTGGACAGAACATCGTGGGTTCCTTCGCAGATTTCCTTGTGCCACATCTCTTTTCCATAATACCACTTATAAAGAATTGTCCAGGCCTGTAATCCCAGCACTTTTGGGCGCTGAGGTGGGAGGATGGCTGGAATCCAGGAGTTCAAGACCACCCCGGGCAACATAGCAAGGTCCCTTCTTTATTAAAAAAAAAAAAAAAAAAATTAAAAGTGCGGTTGTGGTGATGTACACCAGTAGTCCCAGGTGCTTGGGATGCCAAGGCAGAAAGATTGCTTCAGTCCAAAGTTTGAGGCTGCAGTGAGCTATGATGGTGATGGTGCCACTAAGCTCCAGCCTGGGTGACAGTGCAAAACTGTCTCAAAAAAAAAGAAAGAAAAAGAAACAGAATTGTCCAGGACATTTTTCCCCCTTCTGGGTATCTCCAATTCTTCTATCCCTGGTTCACCTCAGAGTATTGCAGTTCTGAGAACCAGTGCATTCTGGATTCATTGTAGAACTTTGATTCTCTACTTGACTGTATGTCAGAATCACCAGAGAGCTTGAAAAATCCTGATACCTGGATCTTTTCCCGCAAAACTCTGGTTCATTTGGCTTGGGATTCAGTGTGGGCATTAAGGAGTTTCATCAGCTCTCCATGTAGCTTTAAATGTGATTTTAAGCTGGTTAAAAACCACAGCTTTAAAATGATATGGCCTAGACAGTGCACTGTTAGGTAAATACTTATTCCATAGGCGTCAGGGTTAAGTTGATATGCAGAGAAGATCTCTAAAGGAAAAAAAAAAAAAAAGGTAGGAAACAAATGAAAGTGGAATAAATGAAGGTGTAAATCAATAAGATGAATGGGGGAGGGGATGTCACTCTATGTATATGGTATAAGTTCTGCTCTTTTAGCTCCACGTAAGCTAAAATTGTGGAATAATGTACAAGACAAAAGTTATGAAGTTAGCATCGAATTTAAGCCAGAATTAAAAATTGTCAGGCACTCTCAGCTTGTTTTCTAGATTCGGTATTGATCTCTGGGAAATTCATTTTTCTCTTTGCCAAAGGATATTGTGAGGTTTACTGGATATTTTTGACCTAGATGTATAGGCCTACATACTTAGACACAGGTTGTCTGTTAACCTAAGACTTTGAGTCAAATTTTAATAATAAGAATAGTTATAAATGTATAGCCCTATGAGTTAGCATTTTTTTAGTTCCAGCTGAAAAAAGAAAAAAGAATTGTCTAGAACATTTTTCTCCTTTCTGGGTATCCCTAATTCTTCTATCCCTGATTCACCTTTCAAAATTCATCTCAGAGTATTGCAGTTCTGAGAACCTCTGCACTCCTGGGGAATTCTCACTCTGTCGCTCAGGCTGGAGGGCAGAGGCACATTCACGGCTCACTGCAGCCTTGACCTTCTGGGCTCAAGATGAAGAAATTGGGGCTTGGCTTATGTAATTGCCCAAGTAATTGCTTAATTGCCCAAGTAATTACACATACTTAGTTAAGCAGCAGAGCAGGAAATTTGGCATTGGTCCATCCAGTGCCTGTTTTCCTAAACACAGTGCTTAAACACAATATCCAGTTGTCTCTCCGAGCTAATTGGAAATGTCTATGAAAGTTCAGAACTACTGACAGCATAGCCTATGCATCTAAATGTCTGATTTGCACTGAATGACATGCTGACACAGTTTGAGTCCTGGAATAAAATTAGGTACAGGGACTGTTTTAAGGTTTTTTGATTAAATAAGACATATAATATATCTTTGTAAAGGATATATCAGTGGGAGTATTTAAATATCATTATTATTACTATTACATGACACAAATTGGAGAAATGGGTCATGTTTATCTTTTGAAAAATGTTTGCAGTAGAATCATTTAAAATGATCCTTTTAACTTCCAGAGGACGTGGCTTTTGCATTCCCTTTATGAACCCCCTTCCCTACTAACCTCTCACCCCAAACACAGCAGCTTTCTAGTAATAAATATTTTTGAAGCAAATACTATTCAAGCACCCACATATGTCTGACATTGTTAGTCCATATCTCAGTAGAACATGCTGGCAGTTTTTACCTTTAAGGACATTTAAAGGGGTTCCCACTGGACAAATCTGGGACAAATTGAGCATCAAATAAATAATGATATTAGTGGATTGCAACTCATTTAATAATATGGGAATTCATGAGTACCCACTGATGTAAATTTAAAAAGGAGTCAATGAAAAGTTTGATGGGGTACAAAGTATTAAAGATTCAGAGTAACTCTTCAGAATGTGCTCATTAATATCAAGGGAAAAAGAGTAACTTTATGGTGGAGAAGCTTGGCAGACAGCACTTTGATCAAATGATCAAAGACCAAAATCTGTTTAAATGGAACAGATGAACCATAAGCCTACTTTTATTTATTTATTCATTCATTCATTCATTTAATTTTTGAGACAGGGTCTCACTCTGTCACTCAGGCTGGAGTACCGAGGCACACTCATGGCTCAGGGCAGCCTTGACCTTCTGGGCTCAAGAGATCCTCCCACTTCAGCCTCCCACATGGCTGGGACTACAGGCATATGCCACCACACCCGGCTAATTTTTGTATTTTTTGTAGAGATGGGGTTTCACTAGGTTGCCTAGGCTGGCCTTGAACTCCTAGGCTCAAGCGATCTTCCTGCCTCAGCCTCCCAAAGTGTTGGGATTATAGGCGAGAGCTACGGTGCCCAGCCTAAGCCTACTTTTAATAGTGATGTTTCTGATGCATGACCATTTTTACCCTAAATTTATCATCACAAAAAAATTATATGTTGAAAACATTTGTTAAGAATTAGGGCAACTGACTCTTCCTCATCTTCTGTCACCCTCGTTCCCTTCCCTCCTACCTCTCATCTTTCCCTCCATAGGTCCTATAGTTATTTGGTGGGGAAGAGCAAGGAGACATCCTCACTAAGTGGGTGGAGCCCAAGGGGACCAGATCAGGATATCTGAGGCTGACCCTGGTAAGGATGGCATCAGGCAGGAGGGCAGCCTGGTGTGGAGTATTAGGGCCTGAGCACAGTGAATGGTTGCTCCTGCAGCGGGCAGCTTGACACAGGATCCCAGAGTTGAGCAAGTTTAACAAGGCTTTTGTGCAGGAGCAGCAGATGGGTGATGTTTGATCCCAAACAAGATGTGGAGGAAAGCATGTAGGAGGGTCAGACCAGCGATGGAGGTTGGAGCCTGAGTGGGTAAGGAGACATCTCTGTGGGGACAGGTGTGGCAGTAGCAATGACAGTTTAGCAGTATACAGGGTGATGGATCAAATAATTAAATCTAGGAAAGATAATAGGATCTAGGTTTTTCACTAGAGAAGAATGAAATAAAGATAGAGAAAAAGTAGAATGAACCCTGTGGTGTTGGATTGCAGTTGGCAGTATCCATGGGAATCCATGACATTAAATCCCTATCTCTTTACTTAAGTCTATATAGGTATATAGCTTTAAACAAGTATATGTGTAAATATATGTATGATGAATACGTATCATGCATATCATATACATAAGTGTATATGATATACATTATAAGTTGTATGTGTATATGAATATGTGCACATGTATTCTTAGCAGTGATTTCCAGTAGTGATGAGTATACTTAGCACCCAGATCTTGGGTTCTAAATACCATTCTTTACTAATAGTAACCAAGGCTTCTTGGAGAAATGGCTGATTTCAGGGCTAGTGTGGGAAAGTAGCAGATAAGCCTAGAACATCTTGTGCCAGAAAGCAATGGAGTGCTCAAAGGATAATGAGTCATGTCAAAAAGATACAGGAGCCAATATGAAGGGGTTCCCACTGGACAAATCTGGGACAAAATTGAGCATCAAAATAAATAATAATATTAGTGGATTGTAACCCATTTAATAATATGGGGATTCATGAGTACCAACTGAAGCAAATTAAAAAATAAATCAATGAAAACTTTGATGGGGTACAAAGTACTAAAGATTCAAAGTAACTCTTCAGAATATGCTTACTAATATCAAGGGAAAAAGAGTAACTTTATAGTGGAGAAGCTTGGCAGACAGCACTTTGATCAAATGATCAAAGACCAAAAAAATGGTATGCCATCTGAGACGATCTGGTGAGAAGAGCACAGCATCACTTCTATGATCTTCCTGCCAAAGATGCCTACCTCAAATATAATCATATTAGAGCAGAACTGTCTTGGAATTTTAAAAAGTGTCAAGGTTATGGAAAAGTCAGAAGAGACTGTCACAGGTCCAGAGTGAAGCCACATTAGAGAGAAGTGATAGCCAACGGCAATGTGTGATTCTGAGCTGGAACCTTTTGCTACCAAGTGCGTTATAGGGACTTTTTTTTGAAACTTAGATGGGGTGTGGGGATGAGATGGTGCTTCATATATATTCATTTCTTGATTTTAATGGTTGTATTGTGATGGTATGGGGAATGTCCTTTGTAGGAAATAGACGGTAATGTTTTAGTGGGGCATGAAGCATCAGGTCAGAAACTTACTCATATGGTTCAGAGGGGAAAATGTTCTGTTCTTGAAATGTTTCTGCTACTTTGAGATTGTTTGAAAAGAAACAAAAATAATTAGTTTACCTGAGAAAGCTTCAGTTTACCGAGGTATTAAACTAAAACAGTAGTTGAGAAATCTGTTAATGTTCTTAGGTATCATTTTCCAAAGGTGTATATGCCCTCCAACAGAAACAAATCACATGTGTTGAGGCTATTTGTTCTAAAGTGTAATCTTTTCACATTAACTTTGTACAGCTGGTCTCACATATGGCACAATATAAGGTGAACGTTAGAAATTAATAACTTATGACATATATGCTGATGTAGGAGAACAAACCTCACAACACTTTGCTAAAAATAAACTCTACTCCTAATAAAAATTGCCACTATTTAAACATAGAACATCTCAAATAATGTTAGAATAGAAATTATGAATGTTACCTTTAAAGAGTTGTTATTCTTTTCTTTGAAAATAGCATTTTCCTGGCATTTTTGAAGTTATTGAGGTTATTGTACTAATGTGTCCCTAATCCCAAACCAGAAGCTTTTAATAGCCTTGCAATTATATACTTCTGAGAACCTGAAAGGGAATTTAGATACCTTGTTTCATTGATCTTGAAGCCCAAAGTGCTTTTGTAACTTAGCCAAAAGCAATGAGATAGCTAATAGCTATAACTGTTTTCCTGGTTTGCATTTCAGCGTCCCTCCAGCATGTGGTTTTTCTTCATAAAAAGTCCTCAAAATAGGCCCCTGGCAGGAGGGTGTTCTTGGGAGAGAAGGGTGGCAAAAAATGTTCACACTTTAAAAATGTCTGCACCTAAACTATGCAGAACAGGAATTTAGGGCCACAGGGCCATTGGAAGATTATTAAGAATGATCACATTGAAGAATCAGTATTGCTGATGTATCTGTTCAAAATCAAGGTTTTCAACTTTGGTACTGTTGGCATTTTCCGCTGGATAATTCTTTGTCGTGGCAAGCTGTTATCCTAAAATGTTTAGCAGTATCCCTGGCCTCTACATATGCGGTGGGTGAATTGTACACCCCAAAAAGATATGTTTAATCCCTGATCTTGGGTACCTGTGAAAGTGACCTTATTTGGGAGTAGGGTCTTTGCAGATGTAATGAACTAAAATAAGGTCATACTAAATTAGAGTAAGCCCTAAACCTAATGACTGGTCTTTATAAAAAAAGGAGAAGGAGATTTGAACAGAGACAGAGACATATACAGAGGGAGGATGATCATGTAAAGACAGAGGCAGATATTGGACTAATGCAGCTACCAACAGCCAAGGAATGCCAAGGTTGCCAGCAACTCCCAGATGCTAGGCAGAGGCAAGGAAGGATTCTTCACTCAAGAGTTCAGAGGAGGAAGGTCCTGCCAACACCTTGATTTCAGACTCCTGGCCTCCAGAACTGTGAAAGAATACACTTTTGTTGTTTTTGCCACCAAATTTGTAGTCATTTGTTATGACACCTAATTTGTGGTAATTTGTTATGAAAACTTATATAACCTACTAAATAAATGTAGTAATCTTCCCCCAATTGTGACAAGCAAAATGCTTTCAGACATTGCCAAATGTCTCCTGCGGGGCAAAACTACCCTCAGTTGAGAGCCACTGAACAAAATCCCAACTCTTATCGAATAGACTAACAATTGAAACATTTAACAAATCTACAGTCTTTAGAAAGAATAGAAATCTTAGTTATTAACTTTCGGGGTTTTATTTTTTAATAAGTTTTTATTTGGCATAAGTTACTGTTAAAGTATCTTAGTGACCCATGTAGAGGTGATTTGAAACAGAATTTTTACATTGCCCTTTGAAACGTATATTATTGCCAAAATTATATTTTTTTAAAGAGATCTATTTATTTCCATTCCTATACCATCTGGTTTTTAAAATAGTTTTACAAGACTGGTAAAAGTGTGCATTGTACTTGTCAGTAGGCCTTAAAAAAAAAACCTTGTCTGTAAAGGCTTCTTGTCCAATAGCTTCCATACTGTGCAGAAAATATCAAGAGTTCAAGAGTTCTCTGTGTGGAGTGTTATCTGTCTCTGACTTAGAAAGTCTGACTTATAAATGTTCCCATCAGGATTACTATAAGTTTTTTGTTTTTTTTTTGGAGACAGAGTCTCACTCTGTCATCCAGGCTGGAGTGCAGTGATGCGATCTCAGCTCACTGCAACCTCCGACTGCCGGGTTCAAGCAATTCTCCTGTCTCAGCCTCCCAAGTTGCTGGGACCACAGGTGCATGCCACCATGCCTGGCTAATTTTTTGTATTTTTAGTAGAGACGGGGTTTCACCATGCTGGCCAGGCTGGTCTCAAACTCCTGACCTCATGATCTGCCTGCCTCAGCCTCCCAAAGTGCTGAGATTAGAAGCGTGAGCCACCGCGCCTGGCCCTGATAACTAGAATTTTTTGACAAGCTTTTTTTTTTTTTTTTTTTTACTTGTTTTTCTTCTTTTTTGGATGAATCTCTCTGGAGTATAATTTCCAGGACTCAGAGATGCCTTATTTCCTTTTTCCTCTTTCTGCTGCATTTATGGACAGGGGATAGGGCTACTCTGCTCCTAAAACCCATAATTCTCCATGTGTTGTGTATAATCAGTATTTTACTTAGTAATTAGGTATTTTAAAGCTAAGTTTTAACCATATCATGGCTTAAGTGGCCTTTACAATTTGGCATGGGATCACATGGTTATATATAACATTGCTTCCATGAAGAAATATATTCTTATTTCCAAATCTCTATTTTATGAATAATATGTAATATTCATTCCTATCAGTGTTTCTGTAATTGGGTTGCACATTTATAATGCTGTATATCAGAATGTTAAAATTAAGTACTGCATGTTGATAGCAATCAGTATAGAGATGAGAAAGATAAAGAATAATATTTATTCTAATAGTTGCTTCTTACATTTTTTTCTTAATGAAGTTCAGACCCTTCCAAGATTTTAACATATAATAAAGGGATTTTGGGGGCTTTAGAGAGAATGTTTATTCTTAATCAGAGATGTAGTTGCATTTATTTCCTGATTTAAAAAAGCAAATCTTAAGACCCAATGCAGTTTTCTAGTGTTACTTATTTTTCTTCCCAACTTACTTCAATTAAATGAAGTCCTCAAAATGAAATATGTGAAAATGTTACCTTAATACCTTTAAGTAGAATTATAGCATGTTTATTTCACTTGAAAGTGTTAATAGAATAAATTATATGCCCTTCTAGCAACACATTTTAAAATATAATATGTGAAAAACATTTAAGTAGAGACCATTTTGCTATTTCACAGAAAATTATAACAGGTGAAAATTAAGATGTTACTCACTTCTTTGATGCAGTAGTCTTATGCCTCAACTGCCCTGCAAAGAGAGAAAAAAGTCTTTTAATCTCTTGAGCAACTATTTGATGTTACTCTTTCATGTTGATATTTTTGTCTCTACCTGTAAAAGAATGCTATATGGAAATTTTCCAGCAATGATTAAGAAAGGGTGAGTTTGATAACTTGAGAAATGCATGTTATGATCTTGGCATCATCACTCATATTTATACAACTTTTCTGATCCTCATTTTTTTTCCCTATCAGATGAGGTTTACAGTGGAGACATATTTTCAAAGCACTGAGCTGGGCATATGGCGTTTGGAAACCCTAAGTAACAGTCAGTGACAGAATTTGGATTAAGACCCCAAATTCCTTCCTCTCCATTTTATACTTCTTTTTGTGACTCAGCCTAATCCTTTTAGGGAAGTATTCAAACCACATCTGCCTGAGTCTCCTGCCAATTTCCTTTAAACCCCAATGTTAGCTGAATCAGCCTCCTGCCAGCTGTCCTCCAACTGAAAGCAATAAGGTTTACATTCTCACTTTTTTGGTTAAAAAAATCTTGCCTAAACAAAGAACTTCTTTTACTGTCCTAATACCTTCTGTAGGTTGCCCTGCTTTTCCACTTAAGGCATTTCTGTATATTGCCTCTTTAAGGGACTTTTCCCAAGGCAAAAGTCACACAGCAGTTACACGTGTTCTTTTGCACTTGGCACTTTTTCCGTGGAACCTGAAGCTTGACCAAGATTAGTGCCTTAAAGGGAATATGAAGTTAAGGTACTGGTGGTGTTTGGTTTATGGATGTCTGATTGTATTTTTAATATGTGAGCCAGCAATTGTAAATGGCCTCAACAGCTAGTATATTCTGGAAATACCCAGACTTCCCTACCTCTGGAAACTTGGTGTTTCCTTCCTTTCCTATCCTTCAACTGTCATCAGCTTAGATTCTGCCAAAGCCAAACTTAGACTCATTTTCTCTCCTTGTTCTAACACAGGTCCCTGTTGAGCCCATCCATGACAAGTCCTAGTGATCAGTAAGGGAGAATAGCCCCAGCATTGGAGCTCATCTTCCTGGAATTATCTTCACCCTTCTTCCACCTCCAGGCTCAGGCTTCATACTCTAGCTCATGTGCCAATTTGTATAAAATATACTGGCTATAGTCAGTTATATACTGACTATAACTGTAACTATATATACAGTTATATATTAATGCATAGTTATATACTATGCATTAATGGGTGCTGCTCGAAATTTTAATGACTCTCAATCTCAAATTATGGACCCAAACCCCTACTATTATGATCCACATAGCCCTTTAAGGACCAAGTTTGCCCAGCTTCATATTCTCCATCAGTACCAAGTGTGCATGAGATACTGTGTATATTCACTTACTTAAGTGGAATAGGAATAAGAATGACAGAAAGCATTTTTTCTTTAGTTTATGTCACTCTTATTGTTACTGATACTGTGAACCATAATAATAAATGATGCTGGAAATCTCAAAAAGGTTATGGGCTTGTTTCAGGGATAAAGAGTATAATAAGAACCCTTAAGATTGTATTCTGCTGTACAGTGGGGTATCCCTGGGGAGGAAAGCAAAGATATCAAAGCTTACGTTTTGCAGGCTTCACAGAACAGATGATATAGTAGAATAGCGGTTTCCTTCTCATCCACCCCCGCCTGGCTTCCTGTCCATAAGTGAATAGCATCTGCCTTGATCTTCCTGAAATATTTTGTCTTTAATATAACCTCTAAGTATGCTAGCCCCAAGAATGGAAACAAGGAATTTTCATTAGGAAAATAACATTTATGGGAGCCTTTCTTTTAAGCAGTGTGTATATGTGTGTTTGTGTGTGTGTGTGTGTGTGAGAGAGAGAGAGAGAGAGAGAGAGAGAGAGAGAGAGAAAGAGAGTTGGGGAGGGTGAGAGGGAAGAGGAAGAGAGAAAAGGGGTGAAAAGACAGAGAAGGAGGGTGATGGGAGGAGAGGGAGAATGGGAGAATATGGGTACAAATATGAATGAATGAGTGAATGAATTAATGAATGAATGAATACTAGATGTGACTGGAGGAAAGGTTTTGTATACTTGATAGCCTAGTGAGAAACTCAGGACATATTTTCCTATATAATCATTGTGAGAGGGTAGTCTGATTTAATATGTTATTTAAGGACTTTTTTTCTTTTTTTAAAAATTATTATAAGTTCTGAGATACATGTGCAGAATGTGCAGGTTTGTTACGTAGGTATACATGTGCCATGGTGGTTTAGAAAGTGCATTAAACTTCTAAAGCTGTTTTAGAAGTGATTAAACCTTTGGAACACAGCCTATTGGAGAGTTAGGTTCTGCTAGGTACGTTATTTTACTAGGCGATATTGTAAAAGCAATGTTCTAAAGCTAAAGTAACAAAAGTGATCACTAACTTTTACATATAAGAAAATGAAAGAACTGGAAATCTAATCTTGTACTAGAAATAACTTTCTGAGCAGATTATTTTTAAAAAGTGTAATAAAAATGGCTCAGGTTTCATTTAAATTGAATGGGATTTAATTTAAATAATGCAGCCAAGTTTACAATAATAAGCTTTTTTTCCCCCTTCTCTGACTTCTTTGATATATTTGAGTAGTTTCCTGGAAGGTAAGGTCTGGTACTCTAAAATAAAAGGAACAGTAGGCCATGTTGTTGGCCAGGTGTGGTGGCTCATGCCTGTAATCCCAGTACTTCGGGAGGCCGAGGCGGGCGGATCACGAGGTTAAGAGATTGAGACCATCCTGGCCAACATGGTGAAACCCCATCTCTACTAAAAACACAAAAATTAGCTGGGCGTGGTGGCGGGAGCCTGTAGTCCCAGCTACTCGGGAGGCTGAGGCAGGAGAATTGCTTGAACCGGGGAGGCTGAGGTTGCAGAGATCTGAGACCATGCCCCTGCACTCCAGCCTGGGCAACTGAGTGAGACTCCCATCTCAAAATAAAAATAAAAATAAAAATAAAAATAAATAAAATAAATAAAGTAACTTCGAAGAGAGTGAGAGAGGTGGAAATAGAAACCTTGTTTCTTTAATTAAAGTTTTCAAAAGGAGAGAGAAGTGACAGAGGCAGAGGAAACTGAAAGTCAGGTGTTAGAGGGCATGCCTCTTGGTAACCGTAGCTAGAAAACAAATAGCAACCCAAACTGGCCCGTCAGCCATTTTATCTTCTCTGTTCCCTGGTGCCCAGTGCTATCTATTTTTTTTTTTAATTCTCTTTATTAAGGTCTGCCTGTCGCTCTTCTTTCATCTTCTCTCTCTGCCTCTTCATATCTTTCCATTTTCTGGCTCTCTCATCTGATTCCTTGGTATCTTCAGTTTATTTATGTTTTGTAAAGAAACTATAATAGTAGAATAAAAATGGAAGGCGTTATTTAAAAAAAGCCATCTGATGTAAGTCAGTAGGGATTTTTAGGTTAAAAAAGAAAAAAAATCAGAATTTTTTTCACATTTAATAGCCTAATATATCTCTAAATGTCTTTGAAGTATATAAGACTTTGAGCTTCCTGAAAACACAGTTTTTCATTAATAGTTCACAACAGTGTTTTAGCTGTTTCAAAGTAGTTTTTAGATAGTCATTTACTCTTGATAAGAGTGTGTAATCATGTGTTCTTTCTCTTATAGATTCGCCTTTTACAAGTCCACCTCTCAGAGAAGAAATAATGGCAAATAACTTTTCCTTGGAGAGTCATAACATATCACTGACTGGTAAATGTATCATGTTTCAAATAATGCAATTCGAAAAAAAGGGTTTAAGCAATTTTTCTTAAACAAAGCTACTGCTTTTTGCTTTGCGAAGTGGTAATCCCTGTTCCTGGCCTGGTGGGAAAACATACCAGTAGTGAGCTGGGAATCTAATGTGGTGAGGACGTTTTACTGGGGGCGCACAAAGGAGGAAAATATACCAGACATGCCAAGGCTAAGAATGGCTCCCCAGAAAATGGATACCTGAGAAAAGGGAGAATCAATTTTGATTTGCAGATACTCTTATGTTTTCATTAATTCTTGCTGGTACATCCATTACATCACTCTAGGTCAAGAAGAGAATTTGTGTATCTGTTGGAAAACCTTTAGCCAGAGAAATTAAAGATGATATCAAATGAGTCACTGTGCTAAGGAGAAGCAAGCAAGGAACTCCAACATGGCAAAACCCTGTCTCTACTACAAATACAAAAATTAGCTGGGGATGGTTGTGGACACCTGTAGTCCCAGCTACTTGGGAGGCTGAGGCAGGAGAATCACTTGAACCCAGGAGTTGGAGGTTTCAGTGAGCCGAAGTTGAGCCACTGCACTCCAGCCTGGGGGACAGAGTGAGACTCTGTCAAATAATAATAATAATAATATAATAATAATAATAATAATGTCTTCATTTAACTTTGGATTTGTTTTTGACAAAGATTTGTCATTAATTTAGAAACATTAGATCTCAGAGTTGGGCACTGAATGGTTACATTTCCATGTAGGTTGTTGCTCTAGTGCCTTCCCATCAAAAAGTTTGGTCTTAGAAACTACCTTTGCTGAACTACAGAATTTAAATTTGAAGATATATTTATAATTTTTAGTGTCAATGTAAAATAAAAATATCGAGATGAATCTCTAAACAAAATGTTTTATTTGGTAGAACAGAATTGGAGTTCAGGGCTTACACAGAGAGTGGAATGGTCTTCAGTATGACTGAAAACCAAAGAGAAGTTTAGAGGTTTTATTAGAGAGAAATGTTATATATTGTTTTGGAAGAAAACTCATTAGCACTAGCAAAGTTTTTGGGAGCTAACAAGTTCTGACTGGTGAGTGATGGTGGTGGGTAAATTAGTCTTAGAGTCATGGTGGTTTGTTTCAGAAGCTGCTAGGTAAAACTGGTCTTAAAGTTATACCAGGTCATTTCAGCAGCTAGCTTGCAGTATTAGCCCCGGGCAGGTGCTTTGTGTCCTAAGTGTTTTTTTTTTTTTTTTTCTTTTTTACTGGGTCTCTGGACTCTAATTTAGTTGAAAATGACAAGATAACTCCAATTCCTGATTATCAATTTTTACCTTATGAACCATAGACTTTCTTCTTACTGCTGTTAAGATTTTTAACCTACTATTTGTAAATGGAGTGTTTTCATATTTTCATAACATTGATATGTATCAATATTGATTTTATCATTATTCATTGTTGTCTAGAAACAATACTTATAACATTTCTATGTTGTTACTTATTATTTTCTCTTTCCCTCTGGCCATTGTCGAAGTTAATCTCTCTGTTAGGATAAAATGTATCTTGTAGAGAGATTCAAATACAATACGTTAATTGTAAATTTTGGACCAGAAAGATTTTGGTCTGGCTCTTGACATACATACTTATCCAAAGATTCTCGAGACTGGAAAACATATGGATTCTTGTGCCTGGGAGAATGAAAACATGGCTTTTGATTCATAAAAGCTTACTTATTTAATATTTTTAAAATATTGCTAATTATTAACAAACTCATGATGTTGACTATGTACCATGTTTGTATTTCTAAGTAACTTAATTCTTATAACAGCTCAATGAGGTGGGTACTATTACTATTTGTAATTTGCAGGTGAGGAAAGAGAGGCACAAAGAGGCGAAGTGAACTGACCAGGATCACAGTTCCTGAGTTGGAGCTTATGGTTTTCAATGCAGGCAGCTTGGTGCCCAGTCTGTGCTATTAGCCATTATGCTTTGCAGCCTTTCTTTCTGGGCATAATGCCCAGTTACTTGTTTCTTTTAACAGCATTATTAAATCAAGTATATTTATTTTTAGAAGAATGACATTAGTTTTGAAATGATGTAGTAAACAATGAAAATAAAGCTATTTTCTAGGTTTATTGCTATTTCTAGGCTTATTTAGTAATAAAGCTATTGCTTTAGAAGTTGCATTTGCTGCCTGCAATCCCAGCACTTTGGGAGGCCGAGGCAGGCAGATCACCTGAGGCCAGGAGTTCGAGACCAGCCTGGCCAACATAGCAAAACCCCGTCTCTGCCAAAAATACAAAAATTAGCCAAGTGTGGTGGTGGGCACCTGTATTCCCTTCTACCTGGGAGGCTGAGGCAGGAGAATCACTTGAACCTGGGAGGCGGAGGTTGCAGCGAGCCGAGATTGTGCCACTGCAAGAGTCCATCTCCCCTGCCCCCCCAGAAATAAAGAAATTGCACTTGCTTAATCATAAATTTGTGAAAGTAATTGACTTGACTGAAACTAAAAGTATTTTTTCTGCTCTCAGAGGTTTTAAAACAGATCTTTTGGTAATGGACTATTTTTATATCACTGTACTTAATTTTCCAATGTCCATAGTATTTGGAATTCATTGTATTGTTTGTATTACCACAATATATTTTTTTTGTTTTTTTCCTCTCTGCATATTAGTGTTTAGTTGCTCAATCAGTGTGTTATAGTTTAACAGAAGAGATTGAAATAAAAATAAACAGCTGACAGTTTCCTTGACCAACTTGTTAACGTTGGAATCACCTCTCCTGTGTTGACCCAAAGGCACATTTTATTTACATGTTGAGATGTGAGCAGCTCTCCCACAAGGTCCTTGTGAGCCAAGGAGATAATATAGGCAGACATTAGAGGTGCAGATGTGCAAATTAAGGCACAATGTAAGATTCGGGAAGATTAGTCAAGATAAGGAAAAACAACCACATTGTCTAAATCTCGGCCAGCAAGAGGTCTAGGTTAGGACCACTCAGATTCTAGGGGCAGGTGATTGAGAAGATTGAGAAGAAGAAAAGAAGTGAAAATACTTTATTGCAGAAAAGATTCTAGCATGACTCCAATGCTGCAAGTGTTAGGATATTTTTTCAGAGGTACTCATCAAACTTGATATGTAGACTGTTGATGCACAGAGAAAAAAACTGAGGCCTAACATTCATAGAGAGTCAGAGAAAGTAAAGATGGAAGAGGGATCTACCCATAGCAACACAAGTGGCAGTGGCTGCGATCAACTTTTGTTTTTTTAATATCAGTTTTTTTTGTTTTTGTTTATATTAACAGAAGTATTGATGTTTGGGGCTGGATGATTCTTGGTTATAGGAGGTTGTTTGCAGAATTGTAGGTTGTTTAACACCATTCCTAGCCATTACCCACTAGATGTGAGTGACACCTGCTAAGTTATGACAGCTGGATATGTCTCCAGATATTGTCAAACATTCCCTGGGGTACAAAATTTTCCCCATTTGAAAATTATCCCCACTGTTCTATACATTAAAAATGAGAGTCCTGCATGTTTCCCATCCCCTTATCTTGGGAATACACATGATTTAATAATCTTGTGATTAACATTTAGTAAAGAATCTCACCATAAAGTTAGATGATGGTGCTGAATCACAGGCACAGGACCTCACACTCTGTAAGTGGGACCTGTCTCTTCCCTCCCTCCTACTGGTGTTCAAATCCTTCCTCTCTCTAAGAATGGAGTCAAGATCCCATCTTCAATAAAGCACATATCAGAGAAGCGCATATGTTCCTGCTTCTCTGATATGTATTTACTGTATTTTTGTTAAATTTTAATTCTGCAAGTAAAAATGAGTTGTTTTGAAAATATTAAACATTATTTTCAGCATTAGAGTAAATTAGAAAATCTGAAAACCCTCCTGCCACACCTACGAGTATCTAAAATACAGTAAACATTCTTTTAAATATATAGCAATGTACACAAAAGTAAAGAAGTTTCTACCGATCAAAATTGGTGATCAGGGCATGAAACCCGTTAACTGATATTGTGTTAGGTTTCCTGTGTTTGTTGCCAAGATATTTGAGTTTTAAGAGCTACAAAAATATAAAAAACAAGGCCTTGAGTTCATGCAAGGAGGAGAGTTGGAACTGAAAACCTGAAGAAAACTATCCTTCCTAGGCTGTAAATATAGGGAAAGGTTTGATTTAGGGAAGAAAATCAGCCGACAGCACAAGATGACAAGTTGGCTTATTTCTTTTAAAGTTTTGTTAGGCATTTAAACCAAAAGATTCCCAGTGTTTCCTGCCAGTTAAAAATAATGTGAATAAAAATAATTTTTTTAAACCTGCAAATCCCCAAAGATTTCCGTTATTATTTAAAGACGTGGGCCTGTCCTCAACACAGTTTAAATTGCAAATTTACATTACCTGCATTATACTGTACAGGAGCCTCCGAGCTGAGAAATAACACAAAAATGACCCTGGCAGGTAGTACTTCCACAGGAAAGCAATGAAAAACCCTCTGTGGAAGAATGCATTGTCCATCCTGGTGACATAATCCCTGCTGTTACATGTCTCAACATGTCACAAAACAAAAATATAAAAAACAAGCACACAGTCCCTAACAGAGCTAAGGAGCAGTAGGATTAGACATTCCAGAGCTTCAGATTATAGAAAATACTAGGTAGAGAAATAAATATCAAAAACATGAGAATGAATATTATACTGTTTTTTAAAAAGACAAAGCAGGTTCAAAAAATATCCAAATAGAACTTCAGGAGGTGAAATAAAAAATGTGACTGATGAGTTTCAAGTCTCATTGAATTACCCACCATTTCTGTCTCTCTTCTCTTCTCCTCTTTTACAATGGTATACGCTGTTCAATGTGTTTCTTTCCCATGCTGTGTATGTGTGTGTGTGCATGTGTGCATCCATAAAAACTAGTATTGTTTGTTTTCTTTAGTTTTAGTGCTATTAGTCCATATGTATTCTGAAAATTGATTTTTGTCATTCAACATTAGTTTTTGGAGATCTAGTCATATTGCATATGAATCTAGCTTTTTTTTTTTTTAATTTGTATGCACAGTATAAATACACCAGCTTACTTAGACATTTTTTTCCTAATGGACCCTAGTTGGCTAATATATTTTTTTGTTATAAACCATGTAGCAAGGGATACCCTACATATATCTCTCTGGGCATAATTGTGAATGTTTCTCTAGGATAAATACCACAAAGTAGAGTTGCTCAGTTAGAAATTATGCACATCTTTATTTTAACATATACTTCCAGATTGGCCTTCAAAACATCTTGACAGTTGGCCCCTTTCCCTGACCCACGTACTAGGCTTATATTTTATTTTTTGAATTAATTTAAATGAGGTAGGCATAAATTTTGGATACTGAATTTTTACTTTTTATAGAAGTTGCGAATATTTTTTCCCACTTTAAACTTTAAACTTTTATGTGGTGTTTTTTAGTTGTGAAGAAGTTTCATTATATTTCCTCCTATTATTTGCATACTTTTCCACCTTTCACTTTTTAACCCATTTATGATATAGTTTTATGTTTTGTGTGTGAGAAGGAACTAATTTTATGGTTATTATTTTGTACTGTTAGCCAGCGTCTCAACTTTCTTAACTGAATAGTTCTCCTTTTCCTGATAGCTTTGAAATAGCACTCTAATCATATTTCAGTTCCCAAACTCTGTTCTGTTTCTCTACTGTTACATTGTTTTACAAAGTTATTAAAGTACTTCCCAAAGTAAGAAGTACATTTTACTTTGCAACCTGATGCACCAACTGCATGTTCACACACATATGAAACAGAATATTCATCGAATAACACCTACACCTAATAAGCTTGTTATACTCTGATAATTTCTCTTTTACTCCAATCCATTAAAAAACAAATCTGTTGATAACTATTAAATTGATTTCCTGATTCACTAATAGATTTTTGCTTGCAGTCTAAAAAGTTTTGCCTATTTTATTTCATTAATTTCTTGGTATTTTATGGCATAATTAACATGTTAGTATTATTTTTAAAAACATATCTTTTTATCTGTTCTTTTTAAAAAAACAGATTTTCTTTCTTGGACTTTCTTTCACATGCACTTCTTTTTTTTAATTATACTTTAAGTTTTAGGGTACATGTGCACAACGTGCAGATTTGTTACATATGTATACATGTGCCATGTTGGTGTGCTGCACCCATTAACTCGTCATTTAACATCAGGTATATCTCCTAATGCTATCCCTCCCCCCTCCCCCCACCCCACAACGGGCCCCGGTGTGTGATGTTCCCCTTCCTGTGTCCATGTGTTCTCATTGTTCAGTTCCCATCTATGAGTGAGAACGTGTGGTGTTTGGTTTTTTGTCCTTGAGATGGTTTGCTGAGAATGATGGTTTCCAGCTTCATCCACGTCCCTACAAAGGACATGAACTCATCCTTTTTTATGGCTGCATAGTATTCCATGGTGTATATGTGCCACATTTTCTTAATCCAGTCTATCATTGTTGGACATTTGGGTTGGTTCTAAGTCTTTGCTATTGTGAATAGTGCCACAATAAACATACGTGTGCATGTATCTTTATAGAAGCATGATTGATAATCCTTTGGGTATATACCCAGTAATGGGATGGCTGGGTCAAATGGTATTTCTAGTTCTAGATCCCTGAGGAATCGCCACACTGACTTCCACAATGGTTGAACTAGTTTACAGTCCCACCAACAGTGTAAAAGTGTTCCTATTTCTCCACATCCTCTCCAGCACCTGTTGTTTCTTGACTTTTTAATGATGGCCATTCTAACTGGTATGAGATGGTATCTCATTGTGGTTTTGATTTGCATTTCTCTGATGGCCAGTGATGATGAGCATTTTTTCATGTGTCTTTTGGCTGCATAAATGTCTTCTTTTGAGAAGTGTCTGTTCATATCCTTCGCCCACTTTTTGATGGTTGCATTTCTTAAAATTGGGTTCTGTAAAAAATACTCTTGGAATTTGACTGATTCTTCACCCACTCTGTAGATTTATTTTGGGGAAAATTAATGTTTTTATACTATTGCCGTCTGTGATTTAGATCTCATTTTATTTGCAGTATCTGTTGTAGTTAAACTTAATTGTAGATATTTGTGTTTGAGTTATATGTCCCCTGCTAGATTAGTAATTTTAAATCCCCTCTATATCACATATAGCATATAAAAGTACTAAACAAATTTGTTTTGGCCAATGGATGAGTCAACTGTGTGAGACAAGAACTTCTTATGCATTTCTTGCATATCCCGTAAAGTACTTTCCACCTAGAATTCCTCATATAAATCATGAGGCAGAATTTTAATATGCTTGAACCTTCAGTCTAAGGGAAAGTGCCTTATCTGTCTAAAGAAGTGATTCATGTTTTAAGTACTGTATTCCGGGAGCTACAACCACTTCAACAAAAATTTATTGAAAGCCTCGTTTACAGTGGTGAACATGGCAGACTTCCCTTTCTGCCCTCCTCCCCCGATGTCATACAGTGTATGTTTCAGTGGGAAAGGCAATGGATAAGTAAGTAAACAAATTAATATGAAAGGTGAAACCGGACAGTGCCAAATGCTAGGAAGTATATAAAGGAAGTGTGATAGAGAGAGTCTGTTGTTAGCAGTGTTGTAAGGTTAGAGGAGCCCTTTCTGCAAAGGAGGCATGTGACCTGAGACAATCAGTCACTTGGGGTGTGTACAAAATGTATGTACTGACTCCCTGAGTGTCTGCATGGTTAGCACCTTAGAAGTTGATACCATGAGACATAAACCATTGTAAGACTAAATATCAAGGATTGGCATCAGGGTGTAAACACCTGCAGTTTGGAGAAATTCATTACCAAGGTAGCAGGCCATGCTTTCAGTTTACATTAGGTATTTATGAGCCCTTATCTTGATCTGGTGTGTGCTGAGACTTGTGTTTACCTCTCCTTTGATGGAATCCAGTTACTTTTATTGTATTTTATTTTTTAAATTCTGGGGTACATGTGCCGGATGTACAGGTTTGTTACATAGGTAAACGTGTGCCATGGTGGTTTGCTGCACCTATCAATCCATCACCTAGACAGTAAGCCCAGCATGCATTAGCTCTTTTCCCTAATGCTCTGCACCCCTGCCCTCCATCGACAAGCCCCTATGTGTGTTGTTCCCCTCCCTGTGTCCATGTGTTCTTATTGTTCAGCTCCCACTTATAAGTGAGAACATGCGGTATTTGGTTTTCTGTTCCTGTGTTAGTTTGCTGAGGATAATGACTTCCAGCTTCGTCCATGTCCCTGCAAAGGACATGATCTTGTTCCTTTTTGTGGCTGCATAGTATTCCATCGTGTATATGCACCACATTTTCTTTATCCAGTCTATCATTGATGGGCATTTGGGTTAATTCTATGTCTTTGCTGTCGTGAATAGTGCTGCAATGAACATACGTGTGCATGTGTCACTTTTAAGTCCTTTGTTCCATGTGATGCAACCATGATGGGGAAAGGAGATGAAGGGATGAAGAGGCCAATCTTGAATGCTTTCCACACCCTCTCCAGTCTTCACTAATTGTAGCAACACTTTTTATCAGTTTTATACAGTTATCTGTGTGTGTGTGTGTGTGTGTGTATGTGTGTGTGTATGTAGTGGGGGTTCTGTTTAAGTTTTCCTGTGATTTATTTCTGAAACAATTCTGCTACTAAAATAATTTTGAAATCCATTAGAATAATCCATTTCAAAATTTAAATGGTTCTTGTACTGGGGAATCAAATGATATGACATTGTCATTTGCTGTTCCTTTCTTCCATTATATTGAAGTGGATATGTGCAAAATGGTTCAAAATAAATGAAAGCTTTTTATCAAGGTAGAGAAGGCAGAAATTAGATATAAAGATTGGAGGCAAGTTGTTATGGCTTGAGATGATTTTGATTTGTAAATGTAGAAGAGATGGAAAAAATACTAAAGTGTGATTTATAGCTACAAGAACAAAAGGGCAGGACTGGCCATGGAGGGGAGCATACAGGGCCAGGGACTGGCTGATCTGAGTCCTGGACTGCTACCTCAGCCTGGATCTTGTCCCCTGTGTAACCTCAGGTATTGTCTTTCAAATGTGCTGAACTGGTACTATGATTACCACTTTGCAGAATTCATTCTGGGGACCAAGTATTATCATATGTTCTAGATATTTGTGAGCTGCCAAGTGACATCAGTGCTATGTAATTTTAATAAAATGGAAGGAGTGCATAGATGAAGTATCTAGTGTAAATCTTGATAGGTGTATATGGATTAGGTTAATGATCTCAAGCCCAGAAACAGTCTATAGCCAGTTAAGCAGGAAATAATTTGTTGAATAAAGGATTTTGGCTAGCAGAATTGATGAGAAAACTGGAAATCAAGTTCTGGCAATGCCAAGGACCTCAGGCTGACAGACAGCAAGGATTACTGGAAGAGTCTGCTTAAGATATTTCTGCAGGCACTGGACTCTTGATACTAGGGCCTAGAATAAAGGCACGTGATATATTTTTAGTAAAATTGTTGAACGAGTGGATAAATGAAAAGCACATGGTAGGTGTTCGGTAAATAAGTGTTAAATGAGTGAGTGAAAGAATAATGAGGCACAATCACTGCTAGACACTTGCCATTGCTATTGTGATTAATTTTCAGTTCTGCCTAGGTCCCTAACTCCCTCCCTCTAACTTTACAGCCATGAGTAGAAGGTTATAATTAAAGTGGCCAAACCCTAGTGCTCAGCTGGGCAGAGAGAAGAAATATCTGTTCTTAGGTTTCCGCAGTGAGTGAGTACTTTGCCTATCACCAAACCTTACACGGATGGGAAGGGTGTTCGGATTCTGGTTGTCCAAAAATATGATCAGTGGTCCCCACTATAGTGTTGGATTAACTTCATGTTAATTATTTGGAAACAGTGGCAACAAATGTATTTGGTTACTAAAACAGTGTAACCATTTACTATAGTTTTCCTGTAATTGATGTAAACAATAGTTGCAGTGTTCTCTATGTTGTAGAAAAATATATTTAATTATTGGATTATTACCCAATGTTATTGTCTCAAATTAAATACTGCATTGTTGAAACAAGAGACATGCAATTCTGGAATTCAAACAGAATTGTTTTTGTTTTTCTTTGAAATGATGTTAAATCAGTTTAGAAAGTAGAGAAATAACCATTACATGCCTTAATTTCTGTTACTAAATGAAGTGGAGGAAAACAGTGACTGATAGGAGCTTTGTTTAGTGAAATTCAACTAGCATCTCCTCTTAAATAATTTTAACATATTTTCCAAAATATTGCCAAATCTTTGATGAATTATTTTGGAAAACCTGGCTTCATTTGTGTAGAAGCCATTCATGTTTTCTGGTATTTCTCTTTCTTTTGAGGATGTCTGTGTAAAAAAAATTCTAAAAGTTTGAAAATAGGCTCAGCTCATATAACACCAGCCACATAGTTCATAGGTCTTGAGGGAGTCTCCAGGGATTACTTGGAGATTTTATATACATATAAAAAAGTATATCAAGGTATATGTACTACATTTTACTCAAGTTGGGTTTATATAATTTCAGGTTTCTCTGTGCACATTGGTGATTTCACATTTTAAGTTTATGGGATTCAGGAAGCACGTGTGTTTTAGGCTGTATCACATTGGTGTGGCACTAATCAGATGGCATGTAAATAACTTGTTGATAGGATCACTTAATAAACCATCATGATTCTTCAATCCATATGAGACTTATTTGGGAGAGAAGTGAAATTACAAGAATCAAGGGATTAGTATTATGTTTTATAAATTTTGGATATAAACTTTGAGAATTTTATTCTTATTCATAAGTTAACTCCATATGTTTAAGACGCACAACATTAATGATAAAAATAAGATCCATTGTATCATTTTTATATAGGGGTGTTGGCCTCATGTTAGTGTGGCCTTCTGTTTCTGTAAGGATTCTGGATGTTTAATAGACATTTTGGGTTGCATCATGAAGCTTTATTGACTTTTATGGTGAAATTATTACAGGGCAGGTGAATCCGAACATTGGGGTTTAGCCCGAGAAGGTTGGCTCAGGAAAGAATTCAAGAGTGAGCTGGTGGTAGAAAAATCAGCTTTATTGAGGCAGGGTTGTTACAGCTCTGTGACTTCTCCTTCAGAGCAGGGGTACCCCTGGGCAGTGTGTCAAGAGTAGCAGCTCAGGGCCAGTTCTGCAGCCATGTTTATACTACTTTTAATTATGTGCAAATTAAGGGACAAGGTATTCAGAAATTTCTAGAAAACAGAAGGTAACTTCTGGGTCATTGCCATGGAAAGGGATGGTAACTTCTGGGTGTAGCCATGGCAATGGTAAACTGTCATGGTGCTGGTGGGTGTGTCTTACGGAGAGGATCTTTCGTTGCCTCTTCCTTGTTTCTGTCAGTCTTCAATCTGGTCCAGAGTCACATTCCACCTCCTACCTCATTATGAATAATGAAAAGTCAGGCTGATAGGGCTCTGTATTTTCTATCTTGGCTTCTGTCAGAGTTGTCCCATCGAATCCGTCGTATATGTCACAGTTCACTTAACTGTGTTTAGTAAGGGTTTCTATCTTTAAAGCATGTTTGGAAACACTATCCTATGCAATAAATTTTAATTGGCTTCTTCCATATTTTCTTTTTCTTAATAAAGAACAAAGCAGACTTTTATTTCTAGTGAAATGGTTTACAAGATTGGGTCCTGAATAGACCCAAGAAAATCTAAATGTCATTTCTCTGAAGACTGCAAATTGTTGAAAGGCCCATATACTTTAAAAATGTTACCTATGAAAATAAGAAATTATTTAGACAGGTATAAATTACTATATGGTTTTAAGAACAGTCTTGAAAATACGTTTCAAAAACAACAAATTGTTATCGTTTTAGAAATGCAGATGTCATAGATGTTTTTGCAGCACTCTAAAGCAGCAAAAATGCATTGCAGTTGTGCAGTATTAAGGAAGTTGAAACATCGTTGACTGAGCTCACATTAGTTTGTTGGCTAACCACAAAATATGTAAAAAGGTAGAGCTTTTTGCATGTTTTTGATGCTGTGATTTCTTGACAGGAAGGAAAGCAAACTGCAGAAGCACAGCAAACTGCAGAAGCACCTGCAAAGTATTATAGGAAACAGTGAGACAACGATTAGGGCTTGGAGGATGGCCTACCATTAAGAAAAACTGTGTTGCACTTTAAGTTATGTAAAACTATGTTTAGTTGAAAATGTGTATTTTTAAAATATTTTGATTGCACTGTTCATTTTATCATCGCATTCATATTGGTATATAGCTACACTGTACATTTCTTTAATCTTCTATTAATATTTTCTTTTATTTAAAATCTTGTTTCAACAGTTTGAAGGTGATGAAGTTAATTCCATTGTAATGAGAATTTAATATGTTTGAGAGTTGGTATATTCTGTTGGTTATCACAGTCTGGACTCAGGCATACCTAAATCTGAGATTCAGTGTTGCCTTTGTCTTGATGTGTAATCTTAGACAAAATAGCCTCTCTTTGCCTCATCTCTAAAGTTGGAATTGTAGCAGTGATACTTACCTCATAAAGCTGTTGTGAAGATTAAATTATTTAATCAACATATAACCCTTAGCACCATATATGATAGTTTTTATAATATTCCCCAGTGAGATAATGGTGAGAAGAAGTAAGTGGGCATTTATTAATTGCTATATTATATTACTGTTGACGTTTCTTATGATAGAACTTTTTACAATCTCATGGAATATTATTGTCCCACCTTACAAATAAGGAAACTGATGTCTAATACAAAGATACTTTGATTTGCACATGCAAGGTATAGAATCAAGGCAGTTAAACAATTTGAGTTTTGCTTAAATTGCTCCAACCAAAGTTGTCCTTTGGTTGGAGCAAGAGAAGCTGGCCAAGAGAAATTAGATAATTTACCTGGTCTTGGTGAAAGATAATGAAGGCCAATAATAGGAGGGTTGGATAAAACTGGGCAAATTTGTTTGACATTTTAGCGGTAGAATCAACTAAATACTACTGCATGTGATTCAGTGTTATAGGTCAGCACAAGGGAATATTAATGGATCTCTTGGATATTTTGAGTTTGAAGTTCTCATGGGATATCCAGATTTAGATGCTCCGTAGACACCTGGAGCTGTAAAATAAAAAAACGACTTCAGTGGAGGTTCTAATTTTGCAAGTAAAGAGCATTAGAGTTAATAGTTGAATCCAACAAAGAAGTGCCAAATTGAGAAGTAAAGAGACCAGAGAGCAAAATCCTGATGGGCACCAACATTTAAAAGGTAGTTGGAATAATTTGGTGTGGCTAGCAAAATGTTTAAAATATACTAGGATAGTGAAATAGAGCACAGTAAAGGGAACTGCAAGGAATAAGGTAGTCTCTGGCAATATATGTATTCTAGAGACATCAAATATTATTTTTCTTTTTGAGCATTAAATTCAATTCAGCAATTTTGCAATTTTACAAGCAGTTATTTCAAGCATGTGCTCACAAAGCACTTTGCACGAGCTGTACTTCACTATCTGCAAACCTTGCATCTGGTCCTTGCTTATGGAAGCATTTCGTAAAGTTTCAAATGTAATTAAAAGTGATAGAATTTTTTTTTTTTTTTTTTTTTTTTTTTTGCCTGAGACAGGGCCCTGCTTTATCACCTTGCCTGGCGTGCAGTAGTGCCACCTTAGCTCACTGCAGCCTCAACTCTCGGGCTCAAGAGATCTTCCCACCTCTACCTGAGACTAGATGGGACCACAGGCATGCACTACCAAGCCTGGCTAATTTTTTCTTTTTTTTTGTGGAGATGAGGTCTCACCATGTTGGCCAGGCTGGTCTGGAATGCCTGTGCTCAAGCAATCCCACACACCTCAGTCTCCCAAATTACTGGGATCACAGGCATGAACCATTGCACCTGACCATTTTATTTGAGTTGTATTATTTTTCTTTCTACATTTTGGCTCTGCATTCTACATTTCATCATACTATACCATTATTGAGAATGAGAAGAGCTTGAGAAATTTGTTTATATGATATACTACCGTCTTCCAAACACAACTCCTTCTCTTCCCCTTAAGAGTAATTACCACTATTCTGATTTTTATGCAGTCACTTTCTTGCTTTTCTGTATTGCTTTATTACCCAGGTATGCATCCCTAAATATTACAGTTCAGTTTTGCTTTTCTTTTAATAGTATTTTTTGAGTATCTTATAATCTTCAGGTGCCCCAAACATAGCACCTGACGTCCGATACAAAGACATCTCTCTCCCTTTTAAAATTTGTCTATTGAAAAAACCAGGCCAGGTGCGGTGGCTCATCACTTTGGGAGTCCAAGGCAGGCAGATCGCCTGAGGTCAGGAGTTTGAGACTAGCCTGGCCAACATGGTGAAACCCCATCTCTGCTAAAAATACAAAAAAATTAGCCAGGCATGGTGGCAGGCGCCTGTAATCCCAGCTACTTGGGAGGCTGAGGCAGGAGAATCGCTTGAATCCGGGAGGCGGAGGTTGCAGTGAGCTGAGACGACACCATTGTACTCCAGCCTGGGCAACGAGGCTCCATCTCAAAAAAAAAAAAAAGAAAGAAAGAAAAAGAAAAAACCAGATCATTTATTTGTAGAATTTTCCCAGAATCTGGATTTTGTTGATTACTTTCATGAAATGTAGGTTAATGTGTTCTTCTATAATCCATGTTTCCTGTAAACTGGGAATTGGATCCAGAGACTTAACCAGTTTCAAGAACCTCCTCCAGCACCTTTTTTTAACAAGACTATATCCTAGGTAGTGGGGTATTCTTCCTCAAGAGAGACATAATTCTGTTTTTGAAATTATTGCAGCAGTTGATGCAAAATGCCTAGATCCATGATTCACTAGGGGTTGCAGCATCATTATGGTATATTTGTATGATTTCTTTTTTATTCATTTGCTGGAATTTTTCTATAAAGAGAACGTTTATTTTCTCTACTGTTTGGTTAGCCAGTGATACAGTTAGTGTAGGACAAACAAGGTACATGCTTAATATTTTTTCTTTATTTGCCACTGTTCAAAATTAAAGTTAGTTTTTTTGTGTTTTCCCTAAGTGTGTGTGTGTGCGCGTGGGCGCGTGTGTATGTATGTGTGTATTGTTGGATAGTTAGTGGTTGGGAACTTGAGGGTTAAACTGAAGAAAGAAAAGACAAGTAGAGGCTCTTACTGCTCTTGCTCTAGTGCACCCTTTTTTTTTTTACACCAGTATCCCAGAAATCCCAGATTTCTGGGATACTGGTGTAAAAAAAAAAAAAGCTTGTACTTACCTGCTGGGTCAGAGGTCCTGAAATCTCAGGCTTTAGAAATGGGGTTGGAGTGGAAGGGTGGGGAGTCCTAACCATTCCATATTCCTTGCCAAACTGTCAGGGAGGAACTTTTTCTCTGCAATTCTCTACAATTTCAGGCTCCGCGAATTAAACTGACAAAAGATAGATTAGCAAAACAAAAAGCGTATTTAATAACATATGGACAAAAGTTACCAAAACATGTAGCTCAAAGGGCCAGTTAAAAGTGGGGGCTTATACACCATCTTAGTAGGGTAAGGAGAGGAGGAGAGAAAGGCAGCTTATGGAAAAACGAAATGAGTTTTAGGAAAGATAAATGAGCCCTTTAGGTAACAGGTGGAAGATATAGTTTTGTGACAGTGTCTGTTTAGGTGTGGTGTGAAGATTTCTCATGTTCAGTGATGACTCCATTCTCCCTATTGCTCCTAGGGAGGGGATTTATGACAATGGAGGTTTTTTGGAGTTCCTTTGAAAGGCTCTGCTTTTAGTCAGAGTAGCTATTTTAGGAACTCAAATGCCTTCTGCTCAAAATAATTTGTATGCTATCCAGGCATATTCTGGACCCCTTCAGTGTGTGTGTGTGTGTGTGTGTGTGTCTGTGTGTGTGTGTGTGGTGTGTGTGTGTGTATTGTTTTCAAGATAAACACCTCAACTTCCCTAAAGCTTCTCTAAGGGTTAGCTCCTTCTCTTCCCACCTGTAGATGGGAAGAGTAATTGAGAACCTTTCAGACTACTTTTTAGGTACAAGTTTAAAAAATTTGCTAAGAGGGAAGGTCTAATGTTAAGTGTTCTTATGATAATCAATCAATCCAAAATAAATATCTATTTTGAAAGTCAAAAAGAAGGATAAACACCTCATGAATTCATACTGATATTGAAATTCAGTCAAAATTCAGAACTACTGGATGCTTATTTAAATTCTCTGTCTTGTACCTATGTCTATATCCAGTCCTTACAGGTTCTGAAGAAGACTAGGAATGGTTAGAATATAATATATCACTCAAATCCATGTTACACACAAAACATTCTCTAGTAGTTATTAGATCCATAAAACTTAATAACTACTAACAACATGATTACTCAAAATTATTGAAACAGGCATTCCATTCTCACCCATGAGTGTGTGTTTGTATTTACAGTTGTGCTGTTTTTACACTGTCAGAGCATACGGCACATGTTATAGGGTACTCTCTACCCTATATTCTGCTCAGTATAGAGCTTAAGGAGATAACTATCACAGCTTTAGGTTTTTTTTAATTGTGTTAATGTTGAATCAAAACTTTTCTTTAGGTGTGCATATAAAAGGGAATAAGAAAGGGAACCAACTATGTTGATAGAGGAATAATTCTTCAAATGAATGTTACATTAAGAAATTGTCAATGAAACACTGCTGTTAATAATATAAAAGGTTTTATGTGTTAGATTCCTCTGAATATAACTTTCACATTTTGTCCTCTTTTGTGCTAATAGAACATTCTAGTATGCCAGTAGAAAAAAATATCACTTTAGAAAGGCCTTCTAATGTAAATCTCACATGCCAGTTCACAACATCTGGGGATTTGAATGCAGTAAATGTGACTTGGAAAAAAGATGGTGAACAACTTGAGAATAATTATCTTGTCAGTGCAACAGGAAGCACCTTGTATACCCAATACAGGTGAGTATACAAATTTTAACCTACCTTGCTCACCAAAAGTAGCTTAATTCTAAATATTTTTGCTGACTGAGCATTCTTTCCTCTGCAGCCACTTGAATGTTATGCTAATATTCTAATTTGCATATTTACAGAATTATTTCTCTTTTTAAATTTTTATTAATGGCTAAGTCTTTTCATTTTCATTAAGGTTTTGAGAACTAAGCCTATATTAATAACTTGAATTATCTTTAGGTTCACCATCATTAATAGCAAACAAATGGGAAGTTATTCTTGTTTCTTTCGAGAGGAAAAGGAACAAAGGGGAACATTTAATTTCAAAGGTCAGTATTAATAACTTGAGGAATAGTTAATAACTTCAGCATTATGTTCTTAGATTTCTCAATCCTGTAATTTTAAAATTATTTTTACAATAATAAACATAATGTAGCTGAAAGAAAGTCATATGCTTTCCAGAGCCACAAGAGGCAGCCTTGAAAATGGTCTTGTATCCCCCAAGTCCACTTCCTTCCTGCTTCTATTCCTCAATTTAAAGCACATGTTTTAGTTCAAAAGGCCAGCCTACCACATTATTAGTGAATTATATCAGTTGCCTGAATTTCTTTATTTATCTCTCTAAATTCATAGCTCTTATAATAGTCCTCCACGTTTCTAAGTTATTGTGGTCCCAGCCTCTGAGAGTGTGGGTTGATGTTCTATATCCATAGCTCCAGGACATGGGATTTTAGGATCCATAAAACTTAAAAATAATATGGAGATGCACAAACGGTTGCCTACTTTTTATCTCACCAAGTAAGGAGGTTTAAAGATATATACAAGCCACAGAATATCATCCACATTTCTTTTGCTTGGAAACAAACGAATTAAAATATTTTACTGTTACCATCATTAAACCAAAACTCAAGAAGGTCTCAATCTCATAATAAAGACTAGTTATTTGAGTTAGATAATTATCATTATGAAAAACCCAGTATTTTGTGGTGATTAGTGAACCATATTATCGTGCTGGTATTTGGGAAATGCAATCTGTCGCCATATTAACTACGTCGGACTCTGCTTTGCATTAATTCCCCAGGAAACATGAAAATTGTTGTAACTTTTCCTAAAACTCCTAAAGCCCGACTGTCTGCTGTGACAGAATGTGGATGCTATTCTCAAGGCTCCATCAATAGCAGAATGGCTTGCTTCACCATTGCCATGATCTAATGGTTCACTCCTGTGTCCCTCATTGCATCCCTTCTGCACTCACAGAGTCATTTTATTTTTATGTCTTTGTAATTGTTCCAATGTGGTGAATATAATAAATTCTTGTATTTATATATCTTGGTCTCTCCAAAAGCAGAAACTAGTATCATTCTTTGATTATTTTAGTCATGTATATTCTTTCTTAACTTTTTTCCCTCCATTTGCCTTTAACTTGGTGAAGGACTAGATAACACCATATACATTTCCTTTCAGTTTCCTTTTCCTTATGCATTTCATTTTTCCCTCCCCTGCCCCATCTGCCCTTCCCCTCCTCTTTCCTTAATCTCTCTTTTCCTTTCCCTTTTTCTGTCCTTTCTTCCCTCCCACCTTTTGAGTTCATTTCCTTCCTTCCCTTCCTGCCTCCTTCCTTCCTTTTTTCCTCCCTTTCTCTTTTTCTTCCCAATGAGCAAAAAATAATACTAAACACACAAAATTTCAGTGAACATGTTTTATTGAGTTTTTAAAAAATATGTAAAGAAGGCCTACAGATTCTGAGGAAATGCTCACAGAATCTTGTGACTTAAAGTGCTCCCAAGATATTCAACTTTAAACACTTTTTTCTTTTTTTTTCTAAGACATTGTGCTCTGGAAATATATACTAGTCATACCTGCTTTCAATATTGAAGATAACACATTTTTCTCATTAGTTTTGATAATTACTTAAATTATTATGTGGAAGTGACCATTCTTGTGTCTAATGTGAAGATTAACAAGCATTTTACTTTTCAACATACCAATACATTGAATTGCAAGTATTCACACGGAAGGCCTCTTGATTCTCCAACTGTTTTGAGATAACTAAGCTGATTTTGGCTGGTGTCAGCAGCGCTGACCCAAGGCCTAGGATTTAAATCAAGGCTTTAAGGAAAGCAAAGAATCACTGAACATTTACTTTTTTTTCTTTTCTAGTTGTCTTGAAGCAGTTTAGGTTAGCTAATTTGTTTTTAATGCCCCTTTAACATTAATGTAACTTTTAAGTATGTATTATATCTTGAAGATATTTATAAAATTAATAAGTTGGGTCCTTTTAAATCTTCCTTGGTAAAATAAAAATTCCCTATAATTCATCTAAATTGAATATTGCTTACAGAAATAATTTTTACTTGAGTAGTATTTAAAGACATCTGTACATTATGGATATTATAGTTATTTAATAGGTCTGAAAGGCTTATAAAATGGTGTGTATTTTTATAAATGTCCTATTATATTATTTCTCCATATGGTTTACTTAATGGTTTTTCCTAAGAAGAATAATTATCTTTTCTTAGAAGACTTACAACTGCATGTAGATGAAAAGACTGTTTTATTCTCTATTTTAAATTGAACCAAAGATAAATTTTTCTGCCATTGACTACATGAGCCACCTATAGTGCATGAGCCTGAGTCTTCAGAACAATTCATCAGCAAAGTCCCTGCTGCTGTCTTTATGGGTGCTGGTTGATTTACTACTACAAAGTTGTAAAAGGCCCTCAAGATTACTGATTAGTTCAATGCACAAAAACCTGCTGACTTTATGTGTTTCGCTCTTGATGCCAGGACAGAGGAGACAGCAAAAGTGTACACTGGAAGTTTGTGACTGCTAATAAGTTGCTGATTACTTGCCACCCGAGAAAGAGAAAGATGAGTGATGGTCTATAGTGTTTCTCAGTAGTGGATCAAATATTCTGAGTGGTTGCTGAAAGCTTCCATAATATTTATCAGTGTTAAAATCTCTTAGTAGAAAGTATGCAGAAATTTAATTGGTAAAGAACAAGAACTTTTTGGAAGTCATGATGAGATTTTGATAGTACCAAATGTAGTGAAGCCTGTCAAAGCTCAACTATCTGTCTTCCCCTGGAAGTATCTAAAAATATAAAGTATGGAAAGGTAGCATAATAGAATCAGCTAGGACTTCAGCCCTGGATCCCAGTGTTGAAGTATAGTTAGCATTCTTTTACTACATGGAGTAATCTTTTTTCCTAATTTAGTGGTACCTAAAAGTCTTTGAACCAATATGACATTTAGGCCAATTTGTTCTAGTTCATGAATATACAAATATAGTCTCCAATTTTACAACTCCAGAGAGCTGTTACTTTCACTGGGTATATCCAAACCCCATCTTCCTAGAAACTAGCCTGAATCAGCAATTTCACCACCTTCAAACCTGGTTTATTCCAACCGTAGCACTCGTATGCATCCTACTTTATGCAAAGTCTTAAAAGGTCGACAGGGCACATTAGAATACTGTCTCACTGTCCTTATATTAGTAAATATTTCCAAATATAAGCTGTGGCCCTGAACCCCAGAATAGTTCAAACAAATGTCATGTTCCCTGAACATAGTGCATTTTATAATTTAAATCCACACTGCTGTTATTAGCCATATATAGCAGAACAAAAGCATGGTTTATGGTATTTTAGTCATTAGTCTAGGGGATAATCAAGAAAACTGAAGAGATGGCAAGAAAACAGAATTTTGGTTTCAGCTTTTCCATGTTGTCACTCAGTCATTGTCAGCTACCTGCAATTTACAGCCTGATCTTAATATTTAGTTGGGATGGTTTAATAACATAGTCATGTGTTCCTCATCAAATCTCAGAATACTCAACTTTCTTGAAAAGCGCCTCGCAGCTTCCATTATGCTTCCCAAGCAGGTAGCTCTTCAAGGAATACTGAAAAGCAGTGTATATTCTGCCAGGTTTTTCCCCAAGAATTACCTTTCTTCCACATTTTATTCTTAGCCTGTGGGTAAATTTTGGTATTTTGAACCTATTTCAACACATATTTTCATGCTAAAGCATGACTCAATTGCCAGAAAGAAACATGTAGAGATTGAGAAATAGGATATCTGAGAGATAAACAACCTGGGAAAGCGGAAACTGTGTCCTTAATTACTGAGTGTCTAATGCAAAGCCTGCACTCCAAAACAGTGTTTGTTTTAAGGTGAGCCTAACAGGGCTGTTGAGGTCATTGCCCTAGTAATGCACTAGTGCATCTTGTGCCTCTTCAGATGGAACTCAGGAAGTGTGGCTGCTCTTCCTCTCAGGTTGTAGGGAAACTTGTGGCTTCAGCAAAGAATCCCTATTTTAGCCAAGCTCCAATCTCTGCTTATCTGCAGGTCTTTAGTTGACATGATTTCATCCATTCTTTCCCTACTGGCAAACTAAACATATAAATGAAAAAAGTAAACAGACAAACACACGCATGTGCGCACACACACACAAAACCAAAAGAAGCAAAAAACCTGCTAAAATTGAAAAAAGTAAAAGAAAAAAATTAACAAAATAATCTTAGTTGATGAGTCTACATCTTCAGTGTAAGTGTACCTTCTATAATACATCTTTAAAGGTCAATCAGAAGGAACTGATTGCACCATGTAGGCTTTTTATTGTACTGTTTATGCTCTTATCTTTTAATATTCTTTACCAAGTTATTACATCCTTAAAACTTATTTTTTTTCTAAATTCAGTGCTCATTTGTATTCTGTTTCTAATGGAATCTACTTCAAACTTCCTTGACTAGGAAATTTATCATAATGGATATTAGTGTATATATATATATATTTTACAAAACCACATGAAAGAATTTTTAAATCTTATTTTCTTTCTTACGCTGTTCTCTTTCTGTTAATTTTCCTTTGTTCCTTGTTCCCACCTTCTCTAACTCTTTGCTGGCTTTTCATAAATTAGTATCAACTAAAGATTTCCTATCCTGGAAATTTTATCTGCTCACTCAAATGCTACCTGAGGTTAAAACTTTGAAGAAAATAATTACTCTAAGGTAACTTAGTAGGTGGGAAGAAAGAACAGGGGTTTGAAAACATGAAGCCTCTTTCTTACCCAAAACATTTAACTTATCCAAAAAGGAACAATACTTTTGTTGTTAGGCTCAATAATAGAAGACCTTCCATTTCTATACATTGGAGACAATTATATCGAATCTATCTACTATTATTATTACTACTAACTACACCCTAACTACTATAAATTAGTTTCATTGATATATAACTGAAAGTACTTAAAATAATGTAATGAAAAAATGAAAGGAGACAATATTTGCACATTTAATACATTTCCTTTACCTAAACTCTTTCAGTAACATACATTTCTCTATTTTATTCTCAGTCCCTGAACTTCATGGGAAAAACAAGCCATTGATCTCTTACGTAGGGGATTCTACTGTCTTGACATGTAAATGTCAAAATTGTTTTCCTTTAAATTGGACCTGGTACAGTAGTAATGGGAGTGTAAAGGTAAGATAGTTCCTTGATTTGAAGAAAACAACAACAACAGAAAACATTTATTTAAAAAATAACAAGATTGTAACAGACTCAGCATTCCTAAGATGATTTATACTTTTGTTATCTTGTTGTTTAGCTTATGTTCATAAAGAAAGAGCAGTGACAAACAGAGTTGTCATTTGATGGTTTTTGGCATGTTTACGTTATACATATGAAGATACTCTTAACGTTTCATTAGCTGGTAGTTTGTTTTTTAGGTTTAACAATTTAATTACATTCTTTGAAAAGAAATTACATTTTGTGTGTAGTTGCCTAGTTTAGAAATAACCCCATTAGAAAATATTCTTTTTAAAAATCATTCCATGAAAGTAACTAGAAAAAATGCTAGACATCTTTTTGGGCTTCTGTCTCCTGAAACATCTGTGATAGAATGCAAAATAGTGGCACTATTTGAGAAAATAATGAAAACTTTGTAACTTAATCTTACATCTTAGGTTCTATCAGAAAGTGTCATTGGCCTTTTCAAGCTACCTGAGAGAAGCCAAATACTTTTAATTCCTTTTTTACTGAGAGAAATCGCTATTCAAAGAGCTGATATTAAGAAAAACATGAGTATTTTATAAATAATTTCTGGTTTCCTTTCTTCTCCCCAAATAGCCTCTAATGGCAGGAAAATTTAGGACATTGTCCTTTAAGAGACACCCTTCCTTTGCCCTGGCACTAAGAAGCATTACAATTAAAGTCCCGTTAAAGGCAAGCTATAATTGTAGAAGGAACATGTGAGACAGTGTAGATGTTACAATGAAATATTAAATTCCTTCTTAGGCAAAATTGGTGTTATTATAGACTATTGAAGGATGACAGATGATTCAGAAGGGAGTGTGACTTATTCTGTGCTAACAGGTTTAGTTTTTCAATGAAATAGTTCCAACCAAATCCCATAGATGCAGACTGAAGCCATTCCTACTCCTTTATGTCTTCTGATGGATGATGAGGAAAGGCAGTCATTGTGTATATGTAATTTTTTTTTAAAAAGTGTAATTTTGTAAAAACAAATGTCAACTATGGTATTTGAAATACACAGCTTTATTTATTGATGTGTATGTGGTACAACAATATGTGAAAAACATTAGCCTTCATCTAATTATATCAGATGTTGAAAATGTCGTTTTAGACGTACCAGTGCTTTTGTCCATTGCTATACTAGTCATTATCCTCTTAATTTGACTCTAAGCATGAGTCTTATTAGGATGTGAGAAAAGTTTGGGGAATAGGATGCAGGTCAAAACTTGAGCACAAGTGCCTTTTCAAAATGTAGACCAACCATGTGCATCAGAATCAGCTGGGTACTTATTAAAAATATGGTACTTTGATTGATTAGCTCTGACCAATCTGTACCAAACATTCCAGGCAGTGTTGTGCACATGGTGCCAGGTTGCTGTAATTTTTTTTGCACGAATAATATACTCACAGATAATTATTCCTTGGATAAGCTCTGAGAATATTTGTATGCAGATTAGCATTTATTGAATAGCACGGTTGAGTGATGGAGCAGGAAAAGCATCAAATGGCTTGGGAATAAAATTTAATTTAAATAGATTAAATAAAACAGCCCCAAATAGCTTAATATGGCACCTTGTGAGGCTGTGGAAAACCCAGCAAATCTTAGAAGCCAGCTTATCTGAGTGAGAAAGAAATTCAGATATGAAAAGACAGAAGGTGTGCAGTTCACTTCGGATCCCAGGCTCACAGAGGGTCCCCTCCATTCTATCTACATCAGCTCCAAAAGCCTGAGAGTTTCATCTTCATTTCTAGCCTGGGGAAATCACATTGTCTGAGTGAGCGATTTTCCTTTATAGAAATGATCAGAAATAGTAGCTTCCGGGGTGGTAGTTGTTTGAATATGTGCCTGTGCTTGTGAAGGAAAAAGTACTTTAAAGCACTAGGCAAGGATAGGAATGTGAGACTCAGATGATTGGGATTTTTCTGTTTTTAATTCTTCTATAATATTTATTCATGATGACCTATTTGCTTCTTTGTAGTTTTAAACATTCACTGCTAAATCCTTATAGCAATGTATATATTTTTTCTTTGTTTGCTCCCTGGGAGATCAAACTCTGATAAGACTTAAGTCTGTTATAGATAACCTCTCACAAACTTTAATATGCCTTTCTCTAGTAAGCAATATTGTTGGCATTATCTTATAGCTTTCACTGAAAAACTATGTCATGTATCTTTTATGTGCTATGATAGGAATGGATTTTAATGTCTCCTCATATTAGGTTCCTGTTGGTGTTCAAATGAATAAATATGTGATCAATGGAACATATGCTAACGAAACAAAGCTGAAGATAACACAACTTTTGGAGGAAGATGGGGAATCTTACTGGTGCCGTGCACTATTCCAATTAGGCGAGAGTGAAGAACACATTGAGCTTGTGGTGCTGAGCTATTTGGTGCCCCTCAAACCATTTCTTGTAATAGTGGCTGAGGTGATTCTTTTAGTGGCCACCATTCTGCTTTGTGAAAAGTACACACAAAAGAAAAAGAAGCACTCAGGTGGGATTTCTTTTTTTTGTTTTTTGTTTTTTTTAGAAAGTATTATCAGTTAATTATAAGTATCATTTACTTATGATATGGATTATGATTTGATACATTGCAATGACTTTAGGATTTTTGGGGAAAATCTTCATTTTCTTATTTGGAGCAGTATTTAGGTTTACAACAATGGTGACAGTGAGCTGGAAACATATACCCATGGTCTTCCTGTTTCAATTCCTGAAAAAACTTAGTATTAAAAATGCCTTTTTTCTTTCTCTTCCCCCACCACCCCCCTCTTTTTTTTTTTTTTTTTTTTTTTGGTGCTACTGGTACCTAAGTACCAATTAGGTGATATGTATTCTGGCACTGGAATATTAGAAAAATCTATGATAGCTTAATATAAAAAGTCTAAAAGAAACAATTTTTCTTTCACTTAGATTATCATTTAAAAAAATATTTTATTAACCATTCCAGAGTTCTCATTAAAGAGAGACCATCCTGTCATGTCCTATTTTTGCGGCCTGTGCCTGATGGGTTACAGGTTGATAAAGCAGTAATCCTCTAGAAAATTGACCTTACGTCCTGTATTCTTTCCTGATTTTATACTAAATTTTTAATGATTTAAATAATGACAAACTAAGCAGTCATGTTTTTGAAAATACCAGGCCACTAAACTATGTTTGATCAGAAATGCAGATAAGGTCTGTAGTGCAGATAAAGGAGGTGTAGGTGTTTAAGGTAGCATGTCTCTCCTTCATTCCAAACAGGAGAAACAGCATAGTACTTACTTACTTAGGAAGGAGGTTTAATTGAGCATATATGTTCCATAAAAGTGACAAACCAACTTCACAGTCAAATTCTTCTTTTGTTACACAGATGAGGGGAAAGAATTTGAGCAGATTGAACAGCTGTAAGTATTATTTTTTACAGATTAATTTTCACTTGGGTAAAATACAGGGAAACATAAAATTGAATGAAATGTTTGCAGTTAGGGGGAGAAAAGGCAGAGGAGTATTTTCTGTATATGTCCACGTGGTGGTGGAAAGTGGCTTTCCAAGTCTGCCTACCTGCGTGAGAATTCTTCTTCATCACTTACTACCTGCACTTCTCTGTACTTCAGCTTTCTTCTCTACAAAATGGATTTAATAATAGTACTCACCATATGAGGTTGTTGGATGGAATGAATATTATATATGTGTAAATGCATAGCATAGGTTATGGTGCACAGAAGGTGTGCAGTAACCATCAGGAAGTATTTAATATTATTATTTTTAAAGCAATAGTTCTCAAGCCTGGCAATTTTTGATCACTTAAGAGCCTCTTTAAAAAAATACAGTTGCTCAGACCTTGCTGAATCTCCTGGATCAGAACCTCTTGGGTTGGGGCTATGGCATCTGTTATTTCTTGAAAACATCTACAAATGGTTTTGATCCTCTGTCTGTTGAAAATCACTGGCCTAGAATTCTATTAGTTATTATTATTCAGAGAACACAAATTGTGCCACAGGTTCTCTTACACAGCCTTTGTTTAGAGTTAAGCATGAGGAGGTCTGGAAATAAAATCACCAGGGATGTAATTTAGTTTGGCAAAGATGGGAGTTCCGAATTCCTCGAAGCCAGAGAACTGAGTATGGAGGCCAGTGACAGAGGTGTCCAAGACTGGGATTAAAGCCTGAACAATAGAGCCAAGGGCTGGAGTCCAGGAAAACGAGGCTAGATTAAAGTTGCTGCAAGAAACCTGAGAAGTGGAAGGCCTGAGCAACTATAACTAACACAAAATGGCACTTAGAGTTTATCAGCCAACAGGAGCTCTATGGAGTGAGTGTTACAGGCATGGATAGCAGGAGTGGAGCAGACAGTTGTCATTTAGATGTTTGTAGACATTATTCAGATAATCATGTTGACTCCATTCACATAGGCTGCTAAAATAAACCAATATGATATGAGCTTCCAAGTTAAGGGCACAAAATAACTACATCAGAAATCCTATAACACCAGATAGAGAAAAGCAATGTTGTCTTAGAATCATAGACTCCCATAGTTGGAAGGGAATTGTATCTCTCCCAAGAGAATCCCTTCTCTTTCTGGAGAACATAGATATCTTATTTATGTTGATTTGAACTTTTAATCTTTCCTATTTCCACGTATTGGCGTTTTTCTTGTTCTTAGCATCATATAACAAACGTGACAGTCATTGACATATTTGAAAACAGAACCTTGCTCGGATTCCTCTATTCTCCGAGCTCTGCCTCCCACTGTCTCTAACCATTCTTCTGAGCTCACATTTGGAAGTTGCATTCTGATTTAAAACACACTCTGAAAGGATGGTACCAGAACAGTGTGGAATGGACCATCACTTCTGAACAATGTAAAATGGATTCAATATATAGTGTAAAAGATGAATTATTTTTCTGAAAATTGGATCAATGTACATCATTTTGCTCATCTTGTATAGCACCATAAGGATCACTGAAGGTGTTTAGTTTTTCTTCAGGTTATTTCACTATCTTTAGATTGTATACAAATATCAAGGGCACTTGAAATCATTCAGAACAATGAGCTTCTTGATGTCCCTCAAACCATTTCTTGCAATAGTTGCTGAGGTGTTTTCTTAGTGGCCATTATTCTGCTTTTGAAGAGTACACACAAAAGAAAAACAAGCACTCGTGGGATTTCTTTTTTTTTAGAAAATATTAATTATCAGTTAATTGTAAGTAACACTGTCTTATAATATGCATTATGATTTGATAATTGACGCCTGCCCCCAAGACCTTGAAGGGCAAGGTATTCATTATGCATACTGGTTATTTAGTTTCCGTCAATCTTTAGAATCTGAGGCCCACATTTGTAGTCCTGCTCTGATAAACTTTGGGTGGAAAAAGAACCATTTTTAACCTCTATTTCAGTGTAATAAGCATACAAATGTATAGCACCAATATCACACATGTTGGCTGACCTCCTAATTGGCTATTACCTTGCATGTTTCCAAAACCACACATAAGTTATGGTCTTTACGCCCAAGTCCTCACTCATGCTTGGGGAGAAGCAATTCTCCCTGTGCATAAAATCAACAAGCCTTTGTCACTATCATTTGTGGTAACAGCTCCTCTTCAAGCAATGCCATAAAATAAATTCAACATTGTAAGTAAAACATTTTTAGGAAGAAAGAATTCTGTCCGTATTGACATTTTACATTTTAACCTGATAGCCATATCAGTGATGTACTGACTTAATTTTATATAATATAAGCATTTAGTAATTTTCTTTTTTGTTTTCTGTGCAGGAAATCAGATGATAGCAATGGTATAGAAAATAATGTCCCCAGGCATAGAAAAAATGTAAGTTACTTCTGAATGATATTCCAAATAAAAGGTCAAATTCAATATACATAGGCTATCTATCAATCAGTTACTTTTTTTTAGTTCCATAAAAGATCTGGTCATTTATGATGTGCTCAAATATGCTTGTTAACACTATTATAGGGGAAAATATACAGTATAGTTATACAAAAATAAATCATTTTCCACCAGAGGGCACATAGCAACTAATCTAGAAGTAAATCTTTTGCACTGGCTACATATTTTATTTTATCACCACGGACTAGTTTCTTTTACAATTTTTCATGTAGCTTTATTTGTTTTCCTCTAAAATTTTCTGGATTTTCTGTTATTTTAGTTTCATTTATTCCCATATATTTGGGGGTATAAACTTATGCATATAAGCTAACTTTCTTTGCTGATTAGATTCAAAATTTTTAGTTCATCAACATTAGAGTAGGAGCTCTGTTTTGGCAGTAGATTGGATCCCTCACTTCCCAGTATTTTTTGCTTTGCTAAAGTGATAGTAAGTTACTATAAAATAACCAGAACATACTAATTATATTTGATTATGCTTTATTTAACTCAGGAGTCTCTGGGCCAGTGAATACAAAACATCATGTCGAGAATCATTGGAAGATATACAGAGTTCGTATTTCAGCTTTGTTTATCCTTCCTGTTAAGAGCCTCTGAGTTTTTAGTTTTAAAAGGATGAAAAGCTTATGCAACATGCTCAGCAGGAGCTTCATCAACGATATATGTCAGATCTAAAGGTATATTTTCATTCTGTAATTATGTTACATAAAAGCAATGTAAATCAGAATAAATATGTTAGACCAGAATAAAATTAATTATATTCTGGTCTTCAAAGGACACACAGAACAGATATCAGCAGAATCACTTAATACTTCATAGAACAAAAATCACTCAAAACCTGTTTATAACCAAAGAATTCATGAAAAAGAAAGCCTTTGCCATTTGTCTTAGAAAGTTATTTTTTAAAAAAAAATCATACTTACTATTAGTATCTATGGAAGTATATGTAACAATTTTTATGTAAAGGTCATCTTTCTGTGATAGTGAAAAAATATGTCTTTACTAAGTTGAAATGAATACTTTCTGCCTTTGCTAATGATAGTTATTCTACAATCTCCACAAGAAAAATATACCTTTTATCCGGAAATATTGGTTTAAGGCAAATAAATAAAACTGTGCTTGCTCTAAAGCTCTGCACTACAAAAGCAAATTTTCCAGTCTTTATTCCACTCATAACCACTGCTTTCCCCACCAGGCTAAAGTGCTTCTTAGTCTTAAATAGGGTTTTTAACTTCATAAGGTACACCATTGTTTATGTTTTAGGGTGCAGGTCCATATAGTCGTAATACTTAAAACACTGCTACACTGATGCTTTTGTGGCTCATGGTTTCCTGGTTCTTTGATTTAACACCTGGCTTCCTGGTATCTATGGCTGGTTAAATATCTAAACCTGCATTATTAGTGCTTTACAATAATAATTCCCTTGACTGAAGTCCAGAAATACTAAAGCACTTCTTTTTTATTGCTGTGAATGCCTTAGACTTATCTTCCAAAATAGGATACTTCGTTTCTATTGCATATATAACTGAAATATTTTATAAACTCACTGTAATCAAATCTTATAAAATCTGAATCAACATGAAAAGTTGTCAATGCTTGAATGAATACTAAAATCATACCACAAGATACTAGATAACATAAATGACCATGAAGTGTCCCACTGCTCAAAGGGCAACAACTTTAAGAACAGAAGCAAAGAGTGGTGGTGTGGAACCCAAGATTCTTGGCGACTAGGGAATTTAAAGGTTGGGGAGGAGGAATTCAATGATTTGACAAGAAATACTTTATAAAAATTTGCTCCATGTATTGGCTAAGAAAAATATAATAAAATTTTGGTAGTGAAAATTGTATCACTAATGTTTACCAATATTACTAGTATGAATAATACACATAAGGTAGTGACTTGGAAGCTGCTCAATACTTTGTTGCTATAACAAAATGCAATATTTTGTTGTAAAGCATCTTAACTACACATATAAGTTTGCTGAACTTGAATACATCCCGGTAATGGCAAACTTCATTTTATTCTTGGTTTTCATTTTATTCTGGTCTCAGGGCCATACATTTATTTTAGTTTAATTAATTATTATTTTGACAACATTACTTGGGTAATATCTATATAATGGTAGATAACCAATCAGTTAGCTTAATTAATCTAAGCTATTTGAATTCAGGGAAATATTAGTCAAATCTGCTGTTTGACTAAATACAATTCAAAGCAGTGTATTTGTGACTTGGAATATAGAACACAAACAAATGTGTAACCCATCTGCAGTATGCATTCTTCCATTTTACCACCACTAACCATTGAGGCTCATACAATTTTCAAGCAACAAGCATTGCTTCCCAAAGGTAAAATAATCAGGAATATTTCTATAGTAAATGGAGTTTTTAATTGGCAATACTGTTTATTTTTTTCTAGCAAAGACAATTTATCTCAGTAACCTTAAATAGGAAAAGTACTCAAAAATTAAAGTTGACTTTTGGCTTTTTGTAGTCTCTCTGGAGGACTTCCAGAAAATTACCACTGTTGGATTTTAATCTGCTTCCATTAACCAATCTTACAGAGATGATAAATGAATTAACTAATATTGACCAAATATAAATTGACTGCAAATAATAAGCCGCATAAAAGTTGAAGTAGGAAAACTACTCCAAGTTTATATATTAGGCACCTTGGGGAATTCTCTTAGTCTTTCCAGCTAACAAGGATTTTCAGCATAATAAGTAGATTTAATGATGGCATAAAATTCCCAGATACTTTCATATACATTTTTTGCCAAAGTGTAAATCTTCTCCTTTTGCAGTCTTTTTGTTATTATCCCAACATCTAGCTGCTCAGGCCCTAATTTAGAACTCATTCTGATATTTTCTTCTTCTGTATTAATTAATACTTATGGGTCATGAATCCCTGCTCCTTTGACCTTTTTAATAGCTCATGAATCCATCCCATTGCCTCCCCAACTCTGCCCACACCTGCTGCAACACTAATGCCTTGATTTTCCTACCTCAGTCTCCTTTTCTATTAATCCCTCTTTTGCGTGGCTGCCTGAGTCCACTTTCTCAAACACAAACCTCACTATGCAACTTTGGAATCTCTGTAGGCTCACCTTTGCCATTTCTTAATATTGCATTCTCCAAATTGCTAATCTCTATCCAGTCTCTTGAACTAGACTTGGCACATGGAGATTCCGCTCAGAAAGTGCTCTTCACACTTCTACCTGCTTGACTAACCCCAGATTATCTTTCAAGACTTTAATCTGATCTTGTGTCTTAGAGAAGCCCCCATACCTGGTAGAGCATGTACCATCTTACATGCTTAAATAACTCCACATTTATTTGTGTTTATTACTCTGTGTTATAAATATACATTTGTTGGTCTCTCTCTTGGATTATTTTGTTTCTTTGTCCTGTAACTACCACTGAAAGGGTGCAATACAGCTTTCTTGAAATGTGTATTGAACGGATGAATGTATAAATAAAAATTAAATTTTGTAAATTTCTGCTTATTCTTAGAAAAAGAATCTAAATTGTGACAAATCAGAATTGAAAAAAGTATTCTAATAAAGAAAAACAAGCTTTTATAACTTCAGTATTTGCTTCTTTTACTTTGAAAAACACATAGAATAGTATAAAGGTCCAGTCATATTTTCTGTAATAGTGAATTAGTGTCTTGTGAGCAAAATGAGTTCTAATTCCTAAACTATTACACAGATTACGTTGCTTTCAACTTATTTAAATTTCCCTTGTTCTTCATGTTTCATGGACAGTACAAATGCAAACCTTATTTTTATCCTTTATTCTAATAACATAATGCATTGATTTTAAATGTAAAGAATTTTAGGCTGCATGGTGGCTCACATCTATAATCTCAGAACTTTGGGAGGCCAAGGAGGATGGATCACATGAGGATAGGAACTTGAGAACAGCCTGGGCAACATAGTAAGACCCTGTCTCTACTAAAAATAAAAAAGAAATTAGCCAGGCATGGTACTTGCCTGTAGTTCCAGCTACTTGGGTGGCTGAGGCGGGAGGATTACTTGAGCCCAGGAGTTTGATGCTGCACTGAGCTATGATTGCCACTGCACTTCAGCCCGGGAGACAGAGGAAGACTCTGTATCTGTTCCCCCCAAAATTTAGTGATTGTATTTCTTTACATCATACTGTAGAGAGTTGATGTTTGTGTTCACTCCACTAACCTCATTCCACTTTCCCCTGCCAGTATACTTCAGAATATCTCAGATCCAATTCAAAATTTAATCTTAAAAGGTATAATTATTTTCACAGTTTCATAGTTTAGTTTTGATCACTGAAAGCATTTCTTTCATTTTGTCTAATCGAACAAATTTATGCAAAGAATTGGGGACTTATTCCTCATTAGTATTGTTCATCTATAGGTGGAAATAAGTTCAAGTATGTGTTGCAGTATTAATTAAAGGCAAAGTGACCTACTTGTACTATATTCTGAATAAATACTTATTGAATGAATGAAAAATAGAAGAGTGACTCAATTATTTTAGAATCTTAAGTTATACAGATTTATGTAATGTCTATTTTGATTTTTATTAATTAACCATGAATTTATCCTACTCTAGTATTGAGAAAAAGAAAATGGAACTATAGACCCTTCTTTCATATGATACTTAGGAATGTATCTGCACTGTATCCAGAAAGTCAGTTACATGCCCTGTTTACCAATTGAATTCTGCTTCACTAAGGATAATAATAACTGACATTGAGTGCATGGCATATGATGGGCACTGTGCAAATTGCTTTGACATGTTTTGTTCATTTAATCCACACAATGGTCCTATGCTATAAAAACAGTTAATATCTACTTTTTTAATAGATGAGGAAACTGCAGCTTAGAGAGATTAGGTAAGCTGCCTTAAGTCACCCTGCCTGTAAGTGTTTAGAGCTGAGATTCACATTCACGGAGTCCTCCTGAAGAACCTAGGATTAACCACCACGTTGAACAGCTTTGGCCTGCAAGTTACATGCTTCTTAGAAAATGAGGCTATTATCTATAATCTGTATTTTTTAATATCAATTTTATTCCTTTCAACTGGTCAGTTATATCATAAATTCCATGGAATTTTTATGGAATCCATGCTTTGCCACTCTTGTATCCCTATAGTGGTGCTGGGGAATCAAGACACATTTATTTGCCTTAGCACTCTTTCTTTCTTTCTTTTTTTTTTTTTTTTTTTGTAATTTTACTTATAAATTGGGAGGGTGGCCATAAAATTTATCATCCAACCACTGAAAGTGAAAGAAGGTGCTATTTATGATTTCCCCAGGACAACAGGCAGAAAATAGTCTCTGGTCGTACATTTAGCCTGCAGAGAGAATTTAAGTACATTATGGATAGTCTGCCATAGACACAGCAGTAGCATCTGCAACAAGTAAATGATAAACAAAAATCAACTTTCAGGGAAATAGCCATTTTTAGTAGTAAACATAGGGAAATAGCCATTTTAAGTAAATGTCAGGAGAGTCTCACTATAAACTGCCTATAATGAGACAGTTTAGTAAGCTTAAAGTTTTATTAATTTCCAAAAGCATCTAATAGGTTGAGATTTATTGGCATTCAAAAGTATGATTCACAGATTGTAAGAGAAGCTGGCAAAGAAAGTCATGTTTTTGCTGGCCTATGGAATGCACTCGAGAATTCTTTGGGCTTGCATATCTTCTGATTCATGTGTCATAATAATAATGTCTGTGTGATTCTCAGTGAATCATGAATGTGTGATTGTGCTTTTATGATAAAATTTTCTTATGAAGTCAGTGAAAATAATTCATGAATAATGTTGTCAAAATTACTTTTAATCACAAGATTAACCTGCAACAACTATGTATATTATTTTTATGTGTTGGCTTATTATGTTCAAAAACTTTGTTTATAAAAACTGATTTTGCTATTTAATTTTTAATTTACTTTAGAAAATAATGTAGCACAATGTTAGATTTATTACATATGTAACAATACTATTTAATGCTGCAAAATCATAGCACATGTTTGTAACTATCACATTTTATTAACTGTCTTTGTACTTTTAAAGAAAGAAATATGATCATAATCTTTAGTTTTATTTAAATCAAGGATCATGGATTTATTTTGACATACTTTCTAATAATTATAATTTTTTCCTTTGTAAGCATATGTGCCTAAATTCTCATTGAGGGCTTTCTGTACTGTGTAAATAGCACAGAAAATGTCTATATAGGAATGTTTAAAAAATATTTTCTGTTGCATGTAACTGAAAAGATACATCTAATATGCAATTAAATTGAATAAAATAGTACTTAGTGAATTAAAAAGTTAAGTATTGAAAAACATTGTCATGCTTTTTATTTTTAATAGTGGTTTAAAAGAGAATATAAAGGCACTAAACAGAAAACACTAGTTTTTTTTTTCTTTGTGTATACTCACAAATAATTTAAATCATGTTGAACAATATGTCCTTCTCAAGCCCAGTGAAAAAGTGCACCTAGAGCTGGGACTCTAGTTTAACACATCGAACCAAAAGTCTTTCAGAAAGGAATTTTCAAAGTGTCCCAAAATATATTTGAACAATTTAAAAGGCAGTAGCGAACTTCATAAAAATAGATATTTTAAGTTAAAATGATGCAGAGAACAAATTTTCTTGTTGTTCTGGGTAAATTTTTTTCATTATATTTTAAGTTCTGAGGTACATGTGCAGAATGTGCAGGTTTGTTACATAGGTATACACGTGCCATGGTGGTTTGCTGCACCCATCAACCTATCATATACGTTGGGTATTTCTGCTAATGCTATCTGTCCCCTAGCTCCCACTCCGCAACAGGCCCCGGTGTGTGATATTCCCCTCCCTGTGTCCATATGTTCTCATTGTTCAATTCCCACTTATGAGTGAGAACGTGCCGGTGTTTGGTTTTCTGTTCTTGTGATAGTTTGCTGAGAATGATGGTTTCCAGTGTCATCCATGTCCCTGCAAAGGATATAAACTCATCCATTTTTATGGCTGTATAGTATTCTATGGTGTATATGTGCCACATTTTCTTTATCCAGTCTATCATTGATGGGCATTTAGGTTGCTTCCAAGTCTTTGTTATTCTGAACAGTGCCACAATAAACATACGTGTGCATGTGTCTTTACAGTAGAATGATTTATAATCCTTTGGGTATATACCCAGTAATGGGATTGCTGGGTCAAATGGTATTTCTAGTTCTAGATCCCTGAGGAATCGCCACACTGTCTTCCACAAGTAATTTACACTCCCCCAACAGTGTAAAAGCATTCCTGTTTCTCCACATCCTCTCCAGAATCTGTTGTTTCCTGACTTTTTAATGATCACCATTCTAACTGACGTGAGGTGGTATCTCATTGTGGTTTTGATTTGCATTTCTCTGATGACCAGTGATGATGAGCATTTTTTTAATGTGTCTGTTGGCTGCATAAATGTCTTCTTTTGAGAAGTGTCTGTTAATATCCTTGGCCCACTTTTTGATGGGGTTGTTTTTTTTCTTGTAAATTTGTTGAAATTCTTTGTGGATCCTGGATATTAGCCCTTTGCCAGATAGATAGATTGCAAAAATTTTCTCCCATTCTGTAGGTTGCCTGTTCACTCTGATAATAGTTTCTTTTGCTGTGAAGAAGCTCTTTAGTTTAATTAGATCCCATTTGTCAATTTTGGCTTTTGTTGCCATTGCTTTTGGTGTTTTAGTCATGAAATCTTTGCCCATGCCTATATCCTGAATGGTATTGCCTAGGTTTTCTTCTAGGGCTTTTATGGTTTTAGGTCTAACATATGAGTCCTTAATCCATTTTGAATTAATTTTTATGTAAGACGTAAGGAAGGAATCCAGTTTCAGCTTTCTACATATGGCTAGACAGTTTTCCCAGCACCATTTATTAAATAGGGAATCCTTTCCCCAGTACTTGTTTTTGTCAGGTTTGTCAAAGATCAGATGATTGTAGATAACGCGGCATTATTTCTGAGGCCTCTGTTCTGTTCCATTGGTCTATCTCTCTGTTTTGGTACCAGTCCCATGCTGTTTTGGTTACTGTAGCCTTGTAGTATAGTTTGAAGTCAAGTAGCATGATGCCTCCAGCTTTGTTCTTTTTGCTTAGGATTGGCTTGGCTCTGTGGGCTCCTTTTTGATTCCACAAGAAATTTAAAGTAGTTTTTTCCAATTCTGTGAGAAAGTCAATGGTAGCTTGATGGGGACAGCATTGATGTCTCAATTACCTTGGGCAGTATGGCCATTCTCATGATATTGATTCTTCCTATCCATGAAAATGGAATGTTTTTCCATTTGTTTGTGTCCACTCTTATTTCCTTGAGCAGTGGTTTGTAGTTCTCCTTGAAGAGGTCCTTCACATCCCTTATAAGTTGGATTCCTAGGTATTTCATTCCCTTTGTAGCAATTGTGAATGGGAGTTCACTCATGATTTGGCTCTCTGTTGGTCTGTAATTAGTGTATAGGAATGCTTGTGATTTTTGCACATTGATTTTGTATCCTCAGCCTTTGCTGAAGTTGCTTATCAGCTTAAGGAGATTTTGGGCTGAGACAATAGGGCTTTCTAAATATACAATCATGTAATCTGCAAACAGAGACAATTTGACTTCCTCTTTTCCTAATTGAATACCCTTTTTTCTTTCTCTTGCCTGATTGCCGTGGCCAGATCTTCCAATACTATGTTGAATAGGAGTGGTGAGAGAGGGCATTCTTTTCTTGTGCCAGTTTTCAAAGGGAATGCTTCCAGTTTTTGCCCATTCAGTATGATCTTGGCTGTGGGTTTGCATAAATAGCTCTTATTATTTGTAGATATGTTCCATCAGTACCTAGTTTATTGAGAGTTTTTAGCATGAAGGGGTGTTGAATTTTGTTGAAGACCTTTTCTGCATCTATTGAGATAATCATGTGGTTTTTATCATTGATTCTGTTTATGTGATGGATTGTGTTTATTAATTTGCATATGTTGAACCAGCCTTGCATCCCAGGGATGAAGCCGACTTGATCGTGGTGCTTTTTGATGTGCTGCTGGATTCGGTTTGTCAGTATTTTATTGAGGATTTTCGCATAGATGTTCATCGGGGATATTGGCCTGAAATTTTCTTTTTTGTTGTGTCTCTGCCAGGTTTTGGTATCAGGATGATGCTGGCCTCATAAAATGAGTTAGGGAGGATTCTTTCTTTTTCTATTGTTTGGAATAGTTTCAGAAGGAATGCTACCAGTTCCTCTTTGTACCTCTGGTAGAATTTGGCTGTGAATCTGTCTGGTCCTGGGCTTTTTTTGGTTGGTAAGCTATTAATTATTGTGTCAATTTCAGAACCTGTTATTGGTCTATTCAGAGATTCAACTTCTTCCTGGTTTAGTCTTGGGAGGGTGTATGTGTCGAGGAATTTATCAATTTCTTCTAGATTTTCTAGTTTATTTGCATAGAGGTGTGTATAGTATTCTCTGATGGTAGCTTGTATTTCTTTGGGATTGGTGGTGGTATCCCCTTTATCATTTTCTATTGCATCTATTTGATTCTTCTCTCTTTTCTTCTTTATTGGTCTTGCTAGCAGTCTATCAATTTTGTTGATCTTTTCAAAAAACCAGCTCCTGGATTCATTGCTTTTTTTTTGAAGGGTTTTTCTTGTCTCTCCTTCAGTTCTGCTCTGATCTTAGTTATTTCTCGTCTTCTGCTAGCTTTTGAATTTGTTTGCTCTTGGTTCTCTAGTTCTTTTGATTGTGATGTCAGGGTGTCAATTTTAGATCTTTCCTGCTTTCTGTCATGGGCATTTAGTGCTATAAATTTCCCTCTCCACACCGCTTTAAATGTGTCCCAGAGATTCTGGTACGTTGTGTCTTTGTTGTCATTGGTTTCAAAGAACATACTTATTTCTGCCTTCATTTTGTTATTTATCCAGTAGTCATTCAGGAGTAGGTTGTACAGTTTCCATGTAATTGTGGGGTTTTTAGTGAGTTTCTTAATCCTGAGTTCTAGTTTGATTGCACTGTGGTCTGAGAGACTGTTTGTTATGATTTCTGTTATTTTGCATTTGCTGAGGAGTGTTTGACTTCCAATTTTGTGGTCAATTTTAGAATAATTGCGATGTAGTGTTGAGAAGAATGTATATTCTGTTGATTTGGGTGGAGAGTTCTGTAGATATCTATTAGGTCAGCTTGGTCCAGAGCTTGGTTGAAGTCCTGGATATCCTTGTTAATTTTCTGTCTCATTGATCTGTCTAATATTGACAGTGGGGTGTTAAAGTCTCCCACTATTAATGTGTGGGAGTCTAAGTCTCTTTGTAGGTCTCTGAGAACTTGCTTTATGAATCTGAGTACCCCTGTATTGGGTGCATATGTATTTAGGATAGTTAGCTTTTCTTGTTGCATTGATCCCTTTACCATTATGTAATGCCCTTCTTTGTCTCTTTTGATCTTTGTTGATTGGTTTAAAGTCTGTTTTATTGAGACTAGGATTGCAACCTCTGCTTTCCATTTGCTTGGTAAATATTCCTCCATCCCTTGATTTTGAGCCTATGTGTGTCTCTGCATGTGAGATGGCTCTCCTGGATACAGCACACCAATGGGTCTTGACTCTATCCAGTTTGTCAGTCTGTGTCTTTTAATTGGGTCATTTAGCCCATTTACACTGTTAGTATTGTTATGTGTGAATTTGATCCTGCCATTATGATGCTAGCTGGTTATTTTGCCTGTTAGTTGATGCAGTTTTTTCATAGCATCGGTGGTCTTTACAATTCGGTATGTTTTTCCAGTGGCTGGATCAGTTGTTCCTCTCCATGTTTAGTGCTTCCTTCAGGAGCTCATGTAAGGCAGGCCTGGTGGTGACAAAATGTCTCTGCATTTGCTTGTCTATAAAGGATTTTATTTCTCCTTCACTTATGAAGCTTAGGTTAGCTGGATATGAAATTCTGGGTTGAAATTCTTTTATTTAAGAATGTTGAATATTGGCCCCCACTCTCTTCTGGCTTGTAGGGTTTCTGCTGAGAGATCCGCTGTTAGTGTGATGGGCTTCCCTTTGTGGGTAACCCAACCTTTCTCTCTGCTGGCCTCAATATTTTTTCCTTCATTTCAACCTTGGTAAATCTGACAATTATGGGTCTTGGGGTTGCTCTTCTCGAGGATTATCTTTGTTGTGTTCTCTGTATTTCCTGAATTTTAATGTTGACCTGTCTTGCTAGGTTGGGGAAGTTCTCCTGGATGATATCCTGAAGAGTATTTTCTAACTTGGTTCCATTCTCCCCATCACTTTCAGGTACAACAATCAAAGGTAGATTTGGTTTTTTCACGTAGTCCCATCTTTCTTGGAGACTTTGTTCTTTTCTTTTCAGTGTGTTTAATCTTGTCATCTCACTGTATTTCATTGAATTGATCTTCAATTTCTGTTATCCTTTCTTCCACTTGATCAATTCGGCTATTGATACTTGTGTATGCTCCATGAAGTTCTCATACTGTGTTTTTCATCTCCTTCAGGTCATTTATGTTCTTCTCTAAACTGCTAATTTTAGTTAACAATTCATCTAACCTTTTTTCAAGGTTCTTAGCTTCCTTGCATTGGGTTAGAACATGCTCCTTTAGCTCGGAGTTTGTTATTACTCACCTTCTGAAGCCTACTTCTATTAATTCGTCAAACTCATTCTTCATCCAGTTTTGCTCTTTGCTGGTGAGGAGTTGTTATCCTTTGAAGGAGAAGAGGCATTCAGGTTTTTGGAATATTCAGCCTTTTTGTCCTTCCCGGATTTATCTACCTTTGGTCTTTGAAGTCGGATGGTGTCTCTGAGTGGACGTCCTTTTTGTTGATGTTAATACTATTCCTTTCTGTTTGTTAGTTTTCCTTCTAACAGTCAGGCCCCTCTGCGGCAGGTCTGCTGGAGTTTGCTCAAGGTCCACTCCAGACCCTGTTTGCCTGGGTATCACCGGTGGAGGCTGCAGAAAAGCAAAGATTGCTAACTGTTCCTTCCTCTGGAAGCTTCGTCCCAGAGGGGCACCCACCAGATGCCAGCCAGAGCTCTCCTGTATGAGGTGTCTGTCGGCCCCTACTGGGAAATGTCTCCCAATCAGGATACACAGGGATCAGGGACCCACTTGAGGAGGCAGTCTGTCCCTTATCAGAGGTTGAACACTGTGTTGGTAGATCTGCTGCTCTCTTCAGCGCTACCAGGCAGGGACGTTTAAGTCAGCTGAATCTGTGCCTACAACCGCCCATTCCCAGAGTTGCTCTGTCCCAGGGAGGTGGGGGTTTTATCTATAAGTCGCTGACTGGGGGCTGCTGCCTTTTTTTCAGAGAGGGAATCTAGAGGATGCAGTCTGGCCTCAGAGGCCTTGCTGAGCTGCGGTGGGCTCCACCCAGTTTGAACTTGCTGGTGGCTTTGTTTACACTGTGGGGGAAAACTGCCTACTCAAGCCTCAGCAATGGTGGATGCCCCTCCTGCCACCAAGCTGGAGTGTCCCAGGTCGAGCTCAGACTGTTGTGTTGTGCTGGCCGCGAGACTTTCAAGCCAGCGGATCTTAGCTTGCTGGGCTCCGTGGGGGTGGGACTCGCGGAGCCAGAGCACTTGGCTCCCTGGCTTCAGCCCTCTTGCCAGGAGAGTGAACGGTTCTGTCTCGCTGGATTTCCAGGTGCCACTGGGGTGTGAGAAATAAACTCCTGCAGCTAGCTCGGAGTCTGCCTAAATGGCCACCCAGTTTTGTGCTGGAAACACAGGGGCCCTGGTGGTGTAGGCACTGGAGGGAATCTCCTGGTCTGCGGGTTGCGAAGACTGTGGGAATAGCGCAGTATCTGGGCCAGAGTGCTCGGTACAGTCCCTAATGGCTTCCCTTGGCTAGGAGAGGGGGTTCCCCGACACCTTGCACTTCCCGGGTGGGGCATCACCTCACCAATGCAAATATACTTAACATTACTAAACTGTACACTTAAAAATAGTTCATCTTAACCATGGGAAATTTTATGGTTTTTAAAATTATAATTTAAAAAGTGGTAGGATAAAAAATCCTATAAATTTTTCAGAAGAAAAATAAAATAAGATCTAGGGCTTGATAAAGAGTGCTTGACATCAAAAAAGCCATAAAAATAAAATTCATAAATTACACTTCATCAAAACTTAAACTTTTACTCTGAAGGACTTTGTTAAGAGGATGAAAAGACAATCTACACACTGGGAGAAAATATTTGGTAACCGTATATCTTACAGATGATTCATTTAGAATATTTAAAGAACTCTCAAAACTCAACAATAACATCAAAACAAAAATTCTAGCTAGAAAATGAGCAAGAGACATGAACAGGCCAAAGAGGATATATAGATGGCAAATAAGCACGTGCAAAGATGTTCATCACTAGCGATTAAAAACTGCAAATGAAGGCCACAATGAATATCACTACATACATATGAGAATAGCTTAAAACTACTGACAATACCAAATGTTGGTAAGCATACACAGAAATTATCTCTCTTATACATTGTTTGTGGAAGTGTACAGACACTCTGAAAAGTAGTTCAGCAGTTTATTTTTCTTTTTCTTTTTTCTTCTTAATTTATTTTTGAGGCAGAGTCTTGCTTTTTCGCCCAGGCTAAAGTGCAGTGGCACGATCTCGGCTCACTGCAACCTCCGCCCCCCTGGTTCAAGCAATTCTGCTACCTCAGCCTCCCTAGTAGCGGGGATTACAGGGGCCTGCCACCATGCCTGACTAATTTTTGTATTTTTAGTACAGATGGAGTTCACCATGTTGGCCAGGCTGGTCTCGAACTCCTGCTCTCAGGTGATCCACCTGCCTCGGCTTCCCAAAGTACTGAGATTACAGGCATAAGCCACTGCGCCCAGCCGTGGCACTTTCTTAAAGGACTAAACATATATGGCCAATAAATCTCATTCCTGGGCATTTATCTCAGAGGAATGAAAACTTATGTCCACACAAAGAATTGTACATGATTGTTCATAACGGCTTTAGTTATAAAAGCTTAAAGCTGTAAGTAAACAAAATATCTTAAAGTAGGAGGATATTTAAACAAACTGTGGTACATCCATATCTTGGAATATTGCTCTGTAATAAAGAAGAATGAATTGTTGATACATGCAACAATTTGGATGGATTTGAAGGACATTATGCTAAGTGAAAAGCCCATGTCAAAAGATGTGAGTCCATTATATGATGTCCTTGAAAGGACAAAATTACTGAGATGGAAAACAAATTAGTGGTTACCATGGGTTAGGAATGCTGCGGGGGCAGAGAAGTGGGAGTAGATGTGACTATAAAGAGGTAATAATAGGGAGTTCTTTGTGGGAATGGTTTAGTTTTGTATCTTGGTGGTTGTGTGAATCTACATATGTGATAAAAGACATAGAACTAATACATATACATTATAACAAATGTCAATTTCCTTCTTTTGATATTGTACTATAATTACTTAAGATATAAGCATGGGGAGAAACTGAATTAGGTGAAAATGAGAGCTCTCTGTAATATCTTTGCAACTTTCTATGAATCTGTAATTTTTTCAAAACAAAATATTTTAAAATGTTTGAATCAATTCATTAGTCTAAGCATTAAATGGTTAATATTAGAAAAGAATATGGATTTTTTTTACTTCTTTATTATTGGTTTAGGTAGAAAATCAACCTAAACTATCAACTGAAACTATTGGCATAAAAGCAAAGTACAGAGTCAGTTACAAGCCCATGTTCTCAGATGTCTTACCAGATAGTCCTTGCAAGAAAAAAAAAAAAAAGTCTTTCTTATATCTATTTAAATGACAATGCAGGTTTTAAAATGTCCTTTCATCATTGAATGATTGACAATATTTATGTATAAACTTGATAAAGATCATTTGAGAATAATCTTTGTTTTGTGTTACTGTAGCTACATAAGAGAAAGAAATTGTATATATTAAATCTCTCATTGTATCTAGCCATAGCTAAAATAACTGCTTTATAGTGGGAAAAAAAAAGATTATTTTATTTTGGAAATAAGTACATTTTCAAGTTTGAATCAAAACCTTTCACACTTACTAAAATATATCTGTACACACAAAACCCCAGAGTAAATATTCACATTCATGTCACCTCCCTATAATAACTACATTTACTCATATTTATTTCTGTGAATAGGGGTTCTGGAACCATTATAGTAGCTAAAATGTGGTGCAGGAGATAAGAGTGTTTAATCAAGGTTCACAATGATTTGCAATGGCAGGAGACAGTTTGTGGCTAGAGATAACATTCAGCAGCACGTGTTTATGAGTGAGATGGACACCTGTCTGATAGTACCATGAGCCAGCCTGTGTGCTTTGCTGATGCAGGTAGTGCTGAAAGCATTAAAATTGTGCAGTGAAAAAATGTTATGCTTCTAAAACTTTTGAGATTCTGAAAACAATTATCAAATGATACTCTAATTCTGCTTTACGTTCTGAAGTCTCCTGAATTGGGGTAAACAAAAACCTTTAGCCTAAATATAAAATATGGTAATTTAAAACATAAACATAAGTATGTTTATCTAAAGAGAAACCAAAGTTTCTTTTTAATTTTTAGTTTTTTTTTATTGTGGTAGAAACACTGAACTTGAGATTTACTTTCTTAACAAATTTTTAAGTGCACAATACAGTATTGTCAAGTATAGGCACGCTGTTGTACACCAGATCTCTCTTTTTTTTTTTTTTTTTTTTTTTTTTTTTTTTTTTTTGAGACAGGGTCTTGCTCTGTTGCCCAGGCTGGAGTGCAGTGGAGTGAACACTACTCACTGCAGGCTCAATCTCCCCAGCTCAAGCAATCCTCCCACTTCAGCCTCTTGAGTAGTTTGGACCACAGTTGCATGCCACCACATCTGGCTAATTTTTACAATATTTTGTAGAGACAGATTCTCACCTTATTTGTCTTTATATCTTATTTGTCTTGCATAAGTGAAACTTTGGTCAACAACTTCCCATTTACCCTTCCCCCAGCTCCTAGTGACCACCATTTTACTTCTATGAGATTGACTTAACGTTAGATAGCTCAGATAAGTGGCATCATACAGCATTTGTTCTGGCTATCTCACTTAGCACAATATCCTTCAGGTTTATCCATGTTCTTACATATGGTAGAATTTTTTTAAGAGCTAAATAATATTTCACTGTATGTATATATCACATTTTCTTTATCCATTCATCTACTGAGGGACATTTAGATTGTTTTGAAATCTTGGGTGTTGCTAATAATGCTGCAGTGAACGTAAGAATGCAGAAATTCCTTTGAGTTCCTGATTTCAATTCTATTGGATATATACCCAGAAGTGGGGTTGCTGGATCATATAGTTATTCTATTTTTACTTTTGTGAGGAACCTCCATATTGCTTTCCATAGTGGCTGCATCAACTATTCCCATCAACAGTGTATAAGAGTGCCAAGTTTTCCACATCCTCAACAGCACTTGTTTTTTAAGAGTCATCCTAAAGGTGTGAGGTGATTGACATTTCCCTGATGACTAATGATGTTGAATTTTTTTTTTTTTTTTTTTTTTTTTTTTGAGACAGGGTCTCACTGTGCCACCCAGCTGGAGTATAGTGGTGCAAACACAGCTTGCTGCAACCTCAATCTCCTGGACTCGAGTGATCCTCCTGCCTCAGCTTCCTGAGTAACTGGGACTACAGGCGTGTACCACCATGCTTGGCTAATTGTTAAATGTTTTGTAGAGATAGGGTCTCACTATGTTGCCCAGACTGGTCTCGAACTCCTGGGCTCAAGTGATCCTCTCACCTCAGATTTCCAAAGTGTTGGATTATAGGTGTAAGCCACTGAGCCCAGTTTGAATGCTTTTTTATATATTTTTTGGCCATTTGTATGTCATCTTTGGAGAAATGTCTATTCAAATCCTTTGCTCATTAAAATTATTTTCTGATAATGAGTTGTAGAAGTTCCTTATATATTTGGAGATTAATCCATTACTGGATATGTGGTTTGCAAATATTTTAACCCATTCTATAGGCTGCCTTTTCACTCTGTTGATTGGTTCTTTTGCTATACAGAAGCTATTTAGTCTAAAGGAGTTTCACTTGTTCATTTTTGTTGTTATTACCTGGGCTTTTGTCTTATACAGGAAATCATTGTCAAGACCAACATCCAGAAGCTTTCCCCCTATGTGTACTAAGAGTTTTACAGTTTGGGGTCTTACATTTAAGCCTTTATTTTGAGGTGATTTTTATATATGGTGTGAGATGAGAGTCCAATTTATTCTTCCGCATGTGAGTATCTGGTTTTCCTAACACTATTTGTGGAAGAGACTGTTTTACCCCATTGTGTATTCTTGGCACCCTTTTTGAAGATCGGTTGGTTGTATATGCATGATTTTATTTCTGGGCTCTCTATTCTGTTCCATTGATCTATATTTCTGTTTTAACTTCAGTAAAGAAATATAATTAATTCAGCTGGAATTTTGATGGGGATTGCATTGAATGTGTTGAACACTTTGGGTAGTATGGACAAGTTAACACTATTGATTCTTTCAACTCATGAGCATTGGGTAACTTCATTTTTTGTGTGTGTCCCATTTATTTTATTACCATTTATAGTATGTAGTTTAATTTCATGGTGCTCAGAAAAGATACCTGGTTTCATTTCAATCTTAAGTTTGTTAAAACTTGTTTTGTGACCTAATATGTGACATATCCTGTAGAATATTCCGTGTTTACTTGAGAAGAATGCAGATTCTGCCACTAGTGAGAGGAATGTTTATTACAGATCTCTGAGGTAAATTTGGCCTGTAGCATTGTTCAAGTCTGTTGTTTTCTTATCTTTGAGTTCACTAATTCTTTCTTTTTTTTTTTTTTTGAAGAGGTGTTGAATTTCATTGAAAACCTTTTCTGCATCTATTGAGATTAAAATATGGTTTCTGTCTTTAGTTATCTGTATGTGATGAATCACATTTGGGTATGTTGAACCAACCATGCATCCTAGGGATAAAGCTGAGTTGGTTGTGGTGTATCAGCTTTATTATGTGCTGCTGGATTTTATTCACATTTTGTGGAGGATTTTTGCATGAATACTCATCAAGAACACATATTCATTTAATGTCATAAATTTCCCTCTAAGGAATGTTTTAGTGGAATCCTATAAGTTTTAATATATTATGTTTTCTTATTATCATTTAAATGAAAATATTTTTCAATTTTTTAAAATTATACTTCAAGTTTTAGGGTACATGTGCACAACCTGCAGGTTAGTTACATATGTATGCATGTGCCATGTTGCTGTGCTGCACCCATTAACTCATCATTTAACAATAGGTATATATCCTAATGCTATCCCTCCCCCCTTCCCCCACCCCACAAAACAGTCCCCAGTGTGTGATGTCCCCCTTCCTGTGTCCATGTGTTCTCATTGTTCAATTGCCACCTATGAGTGAGAACAAGCGGTGTTTGGATTTTTGTCCTTGTGATAGTTTGCTGAGAATGATGGTTTCCAGCTTCATCCATGTCCCTCCAAAGACATGAACTCATCATTATTTATGGCTGCATAGTATTCCATGGTGTATATGTGCCACATTTTCTTAATCCAGTCTATCATTGTTGGACATTTGGGTTGGTTCCAAGTCTTTGCTATTGTGAATAGTGCCCCACTAAACATACGTGTGCATGTGTCTTTATAGCAGCATGATTTATAATCCTTTGGGTATATACACAGTAATGAGATTGCTGGGTCAAATGGTATTTCTAGTTCTAGATCCCTGAGGAATCACCACACTGACTTCCACAATGGTTGAACTAGTTTACAGTCCCACCAACAGTGTAAAAGTGTTCCTGTTTCTCCATATCCTCTCCAGCACCTGTTGTTTCCTGACTTTTTAATGATTGCCATTCTAACTGGTGTGAGATGGTATCTCATTGCGGTTTTGATTCGCATTTCTCTGATGGCCAGTGATGGTGAGCATTTTTTCATGTGTCTTTTGGCTGCATAAATGTCTTCTTTCGAGAAGTGTCTGTTCATATCCTCCACCCACTTTTTGATGGGGTTGTTTGTTTTTTTCTTGTAAATTTATTTGAGTTCATTGTAGATTCTGGATATTAGCCCTTTGTCAGATGGGTAGATTGCAAAAATTTTCTCCCATTCTGTAGGTTGCCTGTTCACTATGAGGGTAGTTTCTTTTGCTGTGCAGAAGCTCCTTAGTTTAATTAGATCCCATTTGTCAATTTTGGCTTTTGTTGCCATTGCTTTTGGTGTTTTAGACATGAAGTCCTTGCCCATGCCTATGTCCTGAATGGTATTGCCTAGGTTTTCTTCTATGGTTTTTATGGTTTTAGGTCTAACATTTAAGTCTTCAATCCATCTTGAATTAATTTTTGTATAAGGTGTAAGGAAGGGATCCAGTTGTAGCTTTCTACATATAGCTAGCCAGTTTTCCCAGCAACATTTATTAAATAGGGAATCCTTTCCCCATTGCTTGTTTTTCTCAGGTTTGTCAAAGATCAGATAATTGTAGATATGCAGCATTATTTCTGAGGTCTCTGTTCTGTTCCATTGATCTATATCTCTGTTTTGGTACCAGTACAATGCTGTTTTGGTTACTGTAGCCTTGTAGTATAGGTTGAAGTCAGGTAGGGTGATGCCTCCAGCTTTGTTCTTTTTGCTTAGGATTGACTTGGTGATGCGGGCTCTTTTTTGGTTCCATATGAACTTTGAAGTAGTTTTTTTCCAATTCTGTAAGAAAGTCATTGGTAGCTTGATGGGGATGTCACTGAATCTATAAATTACTTTGGGCAGGAGGGCCATTTTCACAATATTGATTATTCCTACCCATGAGCATGGAATGTTCTTCCATTTGTTTGTGTCCTCTTTTATTTCCTTGAGCAGTGGTTTGTAGTTCTCCTTGAAGAGGTCCTTCACATCCCTTGTAAGTTGGATTCCCTAGGTATTTTATTCTCTTTGAAGCAATTATGAATGGGAGTTCACTCATGATTTGGCTCTCTGTTTGTCTGTTATTGGTGTATAAGAATGCTTGTGATTTTTGCACATTGATTTTGTATCCTGAGACTTTGCTGAATTTGCCTATCAGCTTAAGGAGACTTTGGGCTGAGACGATGGGGTTTTCTAGATATACAATCATGTCATCTGCAAACACGGACAATTTGACTTCCTCTTTTCCTAATTGAATACACTTTATTTTCTTCTCCTGCCTAATTGCCCTGGCCAGAACTCCAAACACTATGTTAATTAGGAGTGGTGAGAGAGGGCATCCTTGTCTTGTGCCAGTTTTCAAAAGGAATGCTTCCAGTTTTTGCCCATTCCGTATGATATTGGCTGTGGGTTTCTCATAGAAAGCTCTTACTATTTTGAGATACGTCCCATCAATACCTAGTTTATTGAGAGTTTTCAGCATGAAGCGTTGTTGAATTTTGTCAAAGGCCTTTTCTGCATCTATTGAGATAATCATATGGTTTTTGTCTTTGGCTCTGTTTATATGCTGGATTACATTTATTGATTTGCATATGTTGAACCAGCCTTGCATCCCAGGGATGAAGGCCACTTGATCATGGTGGATAAGCTTTTTGATCTGCTGCTGGATTCGGTTTGCCAGCATTTTATTGAGGATTTTTGCATCGATGTTCATCAGGGATATTGGTCTAAAATTCTCTTTTTTTGTTGTGTCTCTGCCCAGCTTTGGTATCAGGATGATGCTGGCCTCATAAATGAGTTAGGGAGGATTCCCTCGTTTTCTATTGATTGGAATAGTTTCAGAAGGAATGGTACCAGCTCCTCCTTGTACCTCTGGTAGTATTCGTCTCTGAATCCATCTGGTCCTGGACTTTTTTTGGTTGGTGAGCTATTAATTATTGCCTCAATTTCTGAGTCTGTTATTGATGTATTCAGAGATTCAACTTCTTCCTGGTTTAGTCTTGGGAGGGTGTATGTGTCGAGGAATTTATCCATTTCTTCTAGATTTTCTAGTTTATCTGCATAGAGGTATTTATAGTATTCTCTGATGTTAGTTTGTATTTCTGTGGGATCGGTGGTGATATCCCCTTTATCATCTTTTATTGCGTGTATTTGATTCTTCTCTCTTTTCTTCTTTATTAGTCTTGCTAGTGGTCTATCAATTTTGTTGATCTTTTCAAAAATCCACCTCCTGGATTCATTGGTTTTTTGAAGGGTTTTTTTTTTTGTGTATTTCCTTCAGTTCTGCTCTGATATTAGTTATTTCTTGCCTTCTGCTAGCTTTTGAATGTGTTTGCTCTTGCTTCTCTAGTTCTTTTAATTGTGATGTTAGAGTGTCAATTTTAGATCTTTCCTGCTTTTTCTTGTGGGCATTTAGTGCTATCAATTTCCCTCCACACACTGCTTTGACTGTGTCCCAGAGATTCTGGTATGTTGAGTCTTTGTTCTCATTGGTTTTAAAGAACATCTTTATTTCTGCCTTCATTTCGTTATGTACCCAGTAGTCATTCAGGAGCAGGTTGTTCAGTTTCCATGTAGTTGAGCGGTTTTGAGTGAGTTTCTTAATCCTGAATTCTAGTTTGATTGCACTGTGGTCTGAGAGACAGTTTGTTATAATTTCTATTCTTTTACATTTGCTGAGGAGTGCTTTACTTCCAATTATGTGGTCAATTTTGGAATAGGTGTGGTGTGGTGCTGAAAAGAATGTATATTCTGTTGATTTGGGGTGGAGAGTTCTGTAGATGTCTATTAGGTCCGCTTGGTGCAGAGCTGAGTTCAATTCCTGGATATCCTTGTTAACTTTCTGTCTTGTTGTTCTGTCTAATGTTGACAGTGGGATGTTAAAGTCTCCCATTATTATTGTGTGGGAGTCGAAGTCTCTTTGTAGGTATCTAAGTACATCTGGAATTGGTGGGTTCTTGGTCTCACTGACTTCAAGAATGAAGCCGTGGACCCTCACGGTGAGTGTTACAGCTCTTAAGGTGGCGTGTCTGGAGTTTGTTCCTTCTGATGTTCGGATGTGTTCGGAGTTTCTTCCTTCTGGTGGGTTCATGGTCTCGCTGGCTCAGGAGTGAAGCTGCAGACCTTTGCAGTGAGTGTTACAGCTCTTAACGCAGCACATCTGGAGTTGTTCATTGCTCCTGGTGGGCTCGTGGTCTTGCTGGCTTCAGGAGTGAAGCTGCAGACCTTCATGGTGAGTGTTACAGCTCATAAAAGCAGTATGGACCCAAAGAGTGAGCAGTAGCAAGATTTATTGCAAAGAGTGAAAGAACAAAGCTTCCACAGTGTGGAAGGGGACCCGAGTGGGTTGCCACTGCTGACTCGGGCAGCCTGCTTTTATTCTCTTATCTGGCCCCACCCACATCCTGCTGATTGGTAGAGCTGAGTGGTCTGTTTTGACAGGGTGCTGATTGGTGCGTTTTCAATTCCTGAGCTAGACACAAAGGTTCTCCATGTCCCCACCAGATTAGCTAGATACAGAGTGTCAATTGGTGCCTTCACAAACCCTGAGCTAGATACAGGGTGCTGATTGGTGTATTTACAATCCCTTAGCTAGACATAAAGTTTCTCCATGTCCCCACCAGACTCAGGACCCCAGCTGGCTTCACTCAGTGGATCCTGCACTGAGGCTGCAGGTGGAGCTGCCTGCCAGTCCCGCACTGTGCACCCTCACTCCTCAGCCCTTGGGTGGTCGATGGGACTGGGCACCATGGAGCAGGGGGTGGCGATCATCGGGGAGGCTTGGGCCACACAGGAGCCCACGGAGGGGGTAGGAGGCTCAGGAATGGTGGGCTGCAGGTCCCAAGCCCTGCCCCGCAGGAAGGCAGCTAAGGTCCAGTGAGAAATCGAGTGCAGTGCCGGTGGGCTGGCACTGCTGGGGACCCAGTACACCCTCCGCAGCTGCTGGCCTGGGTGCTAAGCCCCTCATTGCCTGGGCTGGCAGGGCTGGCTGGCTGCTCCGAGTGTGGGGCCCGCCAAGCCCACACCCACCCAGAACTCCAGCTGGCCCGCAAGCGCCATGCGCAGCCCCAGTTCCCACTCGCACCTCTCCCTCCACACCTTCCTGCAAGCTGAGGGAGCCAGCTCCAGCCTTGGCCAGCCCAGAAAGGGGCTCCCACAGTGCAGTGGTGTGCTGAGGGGCTCCTCAAGTGCTGTCAAAGTGAGAGTCCAGGCAGAGGAGGTGCCGAGAGTGAGCGTGGGCTGTGAGGACTGCCAGCACGCTGTCACCTCTCAATCCCCCGTCTAAACAGGACACCCCAACTGCTGTTGGGAATTTGGCCAATGCCTGCTCTAGCTACTTCCTGCTGGATGGGGTGAAAAAGGGGCCCTGCATTTGTAGTGTCCTTCAGAGAGGAACTCTCTATGCCAGAGGAAGTGCCAGTGGGTCGGTCCATGGGTCCTCGGTAGAAGTTGTTAGTTGAACTCATTTGGGCTTCCATTTGTAAGACCATCTGTAGCTTGATGGCCTTGATTCTAGAGGAAACAAATTTGACAAGAAGGTTAAAAATACAGGGCCCAAAGTCAAGTAACATCAAGGTAGCTGCCATGGGACCTAGAAAGGGGAGAAGCCATGTTGCCCAACTCCAGAAGTTGGTATAAGAATTTGAAAGGCGTTGTCTGATTTCAGAAGTCTTTTCCTGTAAATGCTGGGCAGCATCTTGTACTATTCCCGACTGGTTAGTGTAAAAACAACACTCTTCCCCTAAGAAGGTGCAGAGTCCTCCTTTCTCAGCAGTGAGGAGGTCTAGGCCTCAGTGGTTTTGGAGAGTCACTGCTGCCAAAGAGTTTATTTGGGATTGTAAAATAAGGAAGGATTTCATTATTTCTTGCAAACTGTTTGAGAGGCAGATATAGGTTGAAGATCCACATAAGTAGAATATGCCTTGGCTGGGTAGATAGAAATTTATCCTGGCTTTTAAAGGAATAGGGTACACTGTTTTTTCTTTACTACTTCCATCTCTGTCTTTCTCTCTTCGACTTCTTTGTTTCTTCTTCTCTTTTTAACTCTCTCTTTGACTTTCTTTGTCTGTTTCTCTTTCTCTCTGACTTCTTCTTTGTCTCTTCCTCTCTGTGTCTTTCTTTGAGCTTCCTGTCCCTTTCTTTCCTTTCTGCTGCCTCTGCCAGCTGCTTATGCTGCTGTTCTCCCCTCTCCTTCCCATTTTGATGGCTTTGTCAGTGAAAGATTCCCACCTGTTTGTGTTTTTGCATTGCATGCAATAACTCTATAATTTCCTTGTGGCATTTAATGGGGGTTTCCCCAGTGGTTAGGAACTCCCTCTCTTTCCATATTGCAGCATGGGCATGTAGGATTAGATAAGCATACTTGCTATCTCTATACACATTTATTCTTTTTCCTTTTCCCAGTTCTAAGGCTCGGGTAAGTGCCACTAGTTCTGCTAACTGGGCACTGGTCCCTAGGGCAAGAGGCTTACTTTCAAGTATGGTTACATCACTAACTATGGTGTAACCTGCCCTTTGTATCCCATTCTCCACAACTGAACTTCCATCGGTATATAGGTTAAGGTCAGGATTAGTTAATGGAACTTCTAAGAGATCATCTTGGGTGGCATAAGTCTGGACTACAATTTGTTGGCAGTCATGCTCGATGAGTTCCCCATCCTCTGGGAGAAAAGTGGCAGGGTTGAGGGCCATGCACGTTCATATTTGAAGCACCATCCTCAAGGAGTAGTGCCTGGTATCTAAGTAGGTGGTTGTCTGATAGCCATAAAATTCCTTTGGCACCTACTATGTCATTTACATCATGAGTAGTCCAGACAGTGAGATCCTTTCCTTGTATTATTTTGATAGACTCTGACACTAAGATGGCCACTGCTGCAACTACCCTTAAACAGTGATGCCAGCCTTTTGCTACTACATCAGTTTCCTTACTTATGTATGCCACTGGTTGTGGGGTAGTCCCCTGAGTCTGAGTAAGGACTCCAAGAGCTATCCCAGCTCTCTCTGTGATGTATACAGAGAAGTTCTGTCCTGTGGGAAGGCTTAAAGCTGGAGCTTGTACTAGGGCCTGCTTTAAGGTTTTGAAGGCTGTTTCTGCCTCTGGTTCGCATTTGACTAGATGAGTATTTGCCCTCTGGGTTTCCTTGATTAGAGTATAGAGGGGCCTGGCTATCTTGCTGTATCTGGGGATCCATGTTGGCAAAAGCCAGTAATTCCAAGGAACCCCCTCAACTGTTTTAATGTCTTAGGGTGAGGATAAGCCAGTATAGGCTGTATTCGTTCCTTGCTGAGGGCCTTGGTCCCTTTGGCTAAGATTAGGCCTAGATATTTTACCTGCTGTAGGCAAAGCTGGGCCTTTGACCTAGACACCTTGTACCCTTGATTAGCTAGAAAGTTCAAGAGATTTAGAATAGCCTGCTGGCACGAGGCTTCCAAACTGGTAGCCAAAAGTAAATTATCCACATATTGAAGGATCAGAGTGCGTGGACTTGAGAAGTGGCCTAGATCTTGGGCCTGTGCCTGACCAAACAGATGAGGGCTATCCCTAAACCCTTGGGGCAAGACCGTCCACATAAGTTGGGATGTGTGTTCTGTGGGATCCTCAAAAGCAAAGAGAAACTGGGAATCAGAGTGCAGGGGAATACAGAAGAAGGCATCCTTGAGGTCCAGAACCATGAACCATTCTGCTTCCTCTGGTATTTGAGAGAGCAGGGTATAAGGGTTGGGTACAACTGGATATAGTGGAATTACTGCCTCATTAGTGCGTCTAAGATCCTGCACTAGTCTCCACTGACCATTCAGTTTTTGTACTCCTAGAATTGGGGTGTTGCAGGGACTGCTGCATTCCCTTAATAAGCCTTGAGCTTTCAAATGTTTAACTATATTCTGTAATCCTTTATGAGCTTCAGGCCTTAAGAGATATTGCCTTTGATAAGGAAAAGTGGTGGGATCTTTTAACCTGATTTGGACTGGTAGGGCATTTTTTGCCCTTCCATATTGTCTCTCCAATGTCCAGACTTCAGGGTTGATTCCCTTCTCAAGTAGGGACAACAAATGGGTAACTTGTTCCCCATATTCTTGTAGATAATAGCTCCAGCCTTGGCTAATATATCCCTCCCTAATAAGGGTGTGGGACTTTCAGGCATAACAAGAAATGCATGTGAAAAAAGCAAAGTCTCCCAATTACAACTGAGAAGGTGGGAGAAATACCTGGTTACAGGCTGTCCCAGGATTCCTCGGATGGTAATGGACCTTGAGGACAGTCGTCCAGGACAGGAGATTAACACTGAGAAGGCCGCACCAGTGTCCAGGAGGAAGTCAATTTCCTGGCCCTCAATAATTAAACATACCCGGGGCTCAGTGAGGTTGATGACATGAGCTGGCGCTTGCCCAGGCACCATCAGTCCTGTTGTTGGATCATCTGGTTGGGGGCTTCTGACCCAGGGAACCTTCGTCCTCTGGGGCAGTTCACCTTCCAGTGATTGCCTCTGCATACTGGGCATGGATGAGGGTGCAGCTTGTTTCTCATTGGACAATCTTTTTTAAAGTGTCCTAGTAAACTACACTTATAACAAGCCCTACCAGGTGATTGGCCTGCTTCATTTTCTGTCCTCTCTGAACCACAAAGCTTTGTTTGTCTGAGGGCCATGACTAAGGCTGCAGTCTTTCTCTGATCTCACTTTTCATTTTGGGCCTGCTCCTCTTGGTCCCTATTATAGAACACCAAGGTTGCCAGGTTTAATAATGCCTCTAGATTTTGTTCAGGGCCTAGGGCTTGCTTTTGGAGCTTTCTCCTGATATCTGCGGCTTATTGGGTAATAATCTTATCTTTTAGAATCAATTGACCCCCGAGTGATTCGGGTGACAGGAGAGTATATTTTCTTAAGGCCTCCATAGCCACTCGAGGAAGGCAGAAGGATTCTCTTCCTCTCCCTGAGTTGTGGTGGACATCATTGAATAATTTATGGGCTTTTTTTCTAATTCTCCTTAGTCCTTCTAGAACACAGGTCAGATGTTTATGACTCCAGTCCCCATGATCTGAGTCAAGATCCCAGGGGGGCTCCATACTGGGGATGGCTTGCTGACTGGTAGGGAATTTGTCCCTTTCTTCAGCTGTCATTCTATCATTTACTTGAGTAAGATACCAGCTATCTCCAAACTCTTGGGCTGCAGCTAAAGCTGCATTCTTTTCATTAAAGGCCAGGGTTTGATCTAACAGTAGCATGACATCTCTCCAAGCGAGGTCAAAGGTTTGCTCTAGACCCTGTAGGACATCTATATACCTATCAGGATCATCTGAAAACTTCCCCAGGTCTGCCTTGATCTGCTTTAAATCAGAGAGGGAGAAGGGGACATGCACCCAGGTTGGGCCAAATTTCCCTCCCCCTACTGCTCGAAGGGGACATAACCGATAGCCCAGGGGTTTTTGTGGTCCTTTGGAGATTTCTTTGCTTATTTCCTTCTGGGCAGGGGAGATTAGAGGAGGATTATCATTAATAGGAAGGGGAGCTATAGGGAGGCTAGGATATGGGGGTAAGCTGAGAGGTCCTCCTGAGGGATGTAAATTGCAGACTTTGCATAGTTGTGTATTCTCCCTCAATGAAAAGAAAGCTTGAACATAAGGTATTTCACTCCATTTGCCTTCCCTCTTACAAAAAAGGTCAAGCTGCAGAATAGTATTGTAATTTGTACTTCCCTCAGGTGGCCATTTTTCCCCATCATAAAGAGAATATTGGGGCCAAGCCATAGTGCAGAAAAAAATGAGCTGCCTCTTTTTCAGGGTTTGTGTGTCAAATTTGTCCCAATGGCTTAGGATGCATTTCAAGGGTGAGCCTGTTGGTGATGGAGTGTTTCCCATCTGAAAGACAAAACTGCCCATGGTTTTGGTTTGTTTATTTCTCCTCCTGCCTAAGAATCTGCAACGATCCCTGGACCCTGCTGATTGGAATAGTTGTGCTCACCAACACAGCAGCAGAAACAACCCCTGCCCAAGAAGCCACAATGGTCCCTGGACCCTGCTGATCAGAATAGTTGCACTCACCGATGTAGCAGCAGAAACACTAGTTTTCCTCCCAGACCACGTGGAGGACTGAGGAAAGTTGGATTTAGTGGTCCTTACTGATGCATTCTCGAAAACCTGCACCCTTTCCTATCCTCCTAGACCACAAGGAGGACTGACCGAGAAAAATCAGATTTAGTGGCCCTTACCGACACATTCTCAAAAACCTGTTAGAGCCCTAAGCATTCTCCTGTTAGTATTGAGACTTTACCCCTGTCCTATAAAGATGTTATGCCCCAGAAATGAAGTGGAGAGCCATACCTTGAGGGAGGAAAGGGATCTCCAGGGTTGGAAGAGTGACACCTTTTGTCCTCACTTATATGAATAGGAAGGATACAATTTCTGAGGCTCCCCATATCCTGGCTTCAGGAACAGATTTGTTAGGCCTATTAGTCTGAGGAAGGATCCTAAAATTCCAGGTAGTTCCCACTATGACAGGACTTTGGGCAAAAGTTATGTCTTTCTGATTAGTGAGCCTAGGTGCCTAAAGCAGGTAACAGAGTCTTAGAATTTATACTAGAAATCATTCTTATAGGAGAAACTAGAAAAGCACCAGAGACAGGTAGCAATTTTTAGAAGCAGGACTAGCCTCAGAGAAGAGAGGCAAGATAAAGTTTATCTGGCAGACATTAGGACCCAGGGGGCAAGGGTCAGGATAGATAGGATAGATGGGCGAGTCTCGCTTGGGTGACATGCCTTTGAGAGGTCCACTCATGGCCGCAGGGTCAACCAACTTGTTGTCGGGACCCCGGAGCTGCATGGCTTTCCTCTCCGTCGACCGTCGGCTCAGCCCAGAAGTACAGGAAAAGTGGAAGCTGGTTCTAGGCAAACCAACGTTCCCAACTCCGAAGAGTCGGGGGTGGTTAGAGAGCCCTTTCCCAGAAAGCCTGACACCCGTGTCTTTAGTCTGGCGGCCATGCTAGTCACTTTTAACCAGCCAACAGGTGCCTGGTATTTAGCCCCTGAATTCTAAGGAAAGATAGGACAGAATAGCAAGTGAAAGGGGTCCAATGGTACTCACTGCTTGGCAATAGGTGATTGTCTCGCTGCTCAGCTATAGGCGATGGTCTCATCGCTTGGTGATAGGCAAATGTCCCTTCGTGGTTGCCAAAATGTGTCCGGAATTGGTGGGTTCTTGGTCTCACTGACTTCAAGAATGAAGCTGCGGACCCTTGCGGTGAGTGTTACAGCTCTTAAGTTGGTGTGTCTGGAATTTGTTCCTTCTGATGTTTGGATGTGTTTGGAGTTTCTTCCTTCTGGTAGGTTCGTGGTCTCGCTGGCTCAGGAGTAAAGCTGCAGACCTTTGTGGTGAGTGTTACAGCTCTTAAGGCAGCACATCTGGAGTTGTTCATTCCTCCTGGTGGGCTCGTGGTCTTGCTGGCTTCAGGAGTGAAGCTGCAGACCTTCATGGTGAGTGTTACAGCTCATAAAAGCAGTGTGGACCCAAAGAGTGAGCAGTAGCAAGGTTTATTGCAAAGAGCGAAAGAACAAAGCTTCTACAGTGTGGAAGGGGACCCAAGTGGGTTGCCACTGCTGGCTCAGGCAGCCACATTTTATTCTCTTATCTGGCCCCACCCACATCCTGCTGATTGGTAGAGCTGAGTGGTCTGTTTTGACAGGGTGCTGATTGGTGCATTTACAATCCCTGAGCTAGACACAAAGGTTCTCCATGTCCCCACCAGATTAGCTAGGTACAGAGTGTCGATTGGTGCATTCACAAACCCTGAGCTAGATACAGGGTGCTGATTCGTGTGTTTACAAACCTTGAGCTAGATACAGAGTGCCGATTGGTGTATTTACAATCCCTTAGCTAGACATAAATGTTCTCCAAGGCCCAACCAGAGTAGCTAGATACAGAGTGTCGATTGGTGCCTTCACAAACCCTGAGCTAGACACACGGTGCTGATTGGTGTATTTACAATCACTTAGCTAGACATAAAGTTTCTCCATGTCCCCACCAGACTCAGGAGCCCAGCTGGCTTCACCCTGTGGATCCCACACCGGGGCTGCAGGTGGAGCTGCCGGCCAGTCCCACACCATGCACCCACACTCCTCAGCCCTTGGGTGGTCAATGGGACTGGGCACCATGAAGCAGGGTTGGCGCTCTTTGGGGAGGCTCGGGCCACACAGAAGCCCACAGAGGGGGTGGGAGGCTCAGGCATGGTGGGCTGCAGGTCCCAAGCCCTGCCCCGTGGGAAGGCAGCTAAGGCCTGGCGAGAAATTGAGCACAGTGCCAGTGGGCTGGCACTGCTGGGGGACCCAGTACCCCCTCTACAGCCGCTGGCCCGGGTGCTAAGCCCCTCAATGCCTGGGGCTGGCAGGGCTGGCCGGCTGCTCCAAGTGCAGGGCCCACCAAGCCCACACCCACCCAGAACTCCAGCTGGCCTGCAAGCACCATGTGCAGCCCCAGTTCCCACTCGCGCCTCTCCCTCTACACCTCCCTGCCAGCTGAGGGAGCCGGCTCCGGCCTTGGCCAGCCCAGAAAGGGGTTCCCACAGTGCAGCGGTGGGCTGAAGGGCTCCTCAAGTGCTGCCAAAGTGGGAGCCCAGGCAGAGGAGGTGCCAAGAGTGAGTGAGGGCTGTGAGGACTGCCAGCATGCTGTCATCTCTCATAAGGACTTGCTTTATGAATCTGGGTGTTCCTATATTGGGTGCATATATATTTAGGATAGTTAGCTCTTCTTGTTGAATTGATCCCTTTACCATGATGTAAGGGCCTTCTTTATCTCTTTTGATCTTTGTTGGTTTAAAGTCTGTTTTATCAGAGACTGGGATTGCAACCCCTGCCTTTTTTTGTTCTCCATATACTTGGTAGATCTTCCTCCAATCCTTTATTTTGAGACTATGTGTGTCTCTGCATGTGAGATGGGTTTCCTGAATACAGCACACTGGTGGGTCTTGACTCTTTATCCAATTTACCAGTCTGTGTCTTTTAATTGGAACATTTAGCCCACTTACATTTAAGGTTAATATTGTTATGTGTGAATTTGATCCTGTCATTATGATGTTAGCTGGTTATTTTGCTCATTAGTTGACGCAGTTTCTTCCTAGCCTCAAAAGTCTTTACAATTTGACATGTTTTTGCAGTGACTGGTTTCGGTTTTTCCTTTCCATGTTTAGTACTTCCTTCAGGAACTCTTTTAGGGCAGGCCTGGTGGTGACAAAATCTCTCAGCATTTGCTTTTCTGTGAAGTATTTTATTTCTCCTTCCCTTATGAAGCTTAGTTTGGCTGGATATGAAATTCTGGGTTGAAAATTCTTTTCTTTAAGAATGTTGAATATTGGCCCCCACTCTCTTCTGGCTTGCCTAGTTTCTGCCGAGAGATCCGCTGTTAGTGTGATGGGCTTCCCTTTGTGGGTAACCCAACCTTTCTCTCTGGCTGCCCTTAACATTTTTTCCTTCATTTCAACTTTGGTGACTCTGACAATTATGTGTCTTGGAGTTGCTCTCCTCGAGGAGTATCTTTGTGGCATTCTCTGTATTTCCTGAATTTGAATGTTGGCCTGCCTTGCTAGATTGGGGAAGGTCTCCTGGATAATACCCTGCAGAGTGCTTCCCAACTTGGTTCCATTCACCCCATCACTCTCAGGTACACCAATCAGATGTAGATTCGGTCTTTTCACATAGTCCTATATTTCTTGGAGGCTTTGTTCATTTCTTTTTATTCTTTGTTCTCTAAACTTCTCACTTCATTTCATTCATTTCATCTTCCATCATTGATACCCTTTCTTCCACTTGATCGAATCAGCTACTGAGGCTTGTGCATTCATCACGTAGTTCTTGTGCCTTGGTTTTCAGCTCCATCAGTCCTTTAAGGACCTCTCTGCATTGGTTATTCTAGTTAGCCATTTGTTTACTTTTTTTTCAAGCTTTTTAAGTTCTTTGGCATGGGTTCGAACTTCCTCCTTTAGCTTGGGGTAGTTTGATCATCTGAAGCCTTCTTCTCTCAACTTGTCAAAATCATTCTCCATCCAGCTTTGTTCCATTGCTTGTGAGGAGCTGCATTCCTTTGGAGGAGGAGAGGTGCTCTGATTTTTAGAGTTTCCAGTTTTTCTGCTCTGTTTTTTCCCCATATCTGTGGTTTTATCTACCTTTGGTCTTTGATGATGGTGATGTACAGATGGGGTTTTGGTGTGGATGTCCTTTCTGTTTGTCAGTTTTCCTTCTAACAGTCAGGACCCTCAGCTGCAGGTCTGCTGGAGTTTGCTGGAGGTCCACTCCAGACTTGTTTGCCCGGGTATCAGCAGCGGAGGCTGCAGAACAGCAGATATTGGTGAACCGCAAATGTTGCTGCCTGATCATTCCTCTGGAAGTTTTGTCTCAGAGGAGTACCCGGGTGTGTGAGGTGTCATTCTGCCCCTACTGGGGGGTGCCTCCCAGTTAGACTACTTGGGGGTCAGGGACCCACTTGAGGAGGCAGTCTGTCCTTTCTCAGATCTCCAGCTGCATGCTGGGAGAGCCACTACTCTTTTCAAGGCTGTCAGACAGGGACATTTAAGTCTGCAGAGGATTCTGCTGCCTTTTGTTTGGCTGTGCCCTGCCCCTAGAAGTTGAGTCTACAGAGGCAGGCAGGCCTCCTTGAGCTGCGGTGGGCTTCATCAAGTTTGAGTTTCCTGGCCACTTTGTTTACCTACTCAAGCCTTGGCAATGGTGGGTGCCCCTCCCCCAGCCTCGCTGCCACCTTGCAGTTCGATCTCAGACTGCTGTGCTAGCAATGAGCAAGGCTCCGTGGGCATAGGACCCTCTGAGCCAGGCGCGGGATATAATCTCCTGGTGTGCTGTTTGCTAAGACCATTGGAAAACTGCAGTGTTAGGTTGGGAGTGACCCGATTTTCCAGGTGCTGTCTGTCACCCCTTTCTTTGACTAGGAAAGGGAATTCACTGACCCCTTTCACTTCCCTCACCCTTCTTTGGCTCACACTCGGTGCACTGCACCCACTGTCCTACACCCACTTTCTGACACTCCCCAGTGAGACGAACCCAGTACCTCAGTTGGAAATGCAGAAATCACCCATCTTCTGTGTCGCTCATGCTGGGAGCTGTAGACTAGAGCTGTTCCTATTTGGCCATCTTGGTTCCACCCCTCCCAGTTCACTAATTCTTTCTTCTGCTTGATTAAATATGCTTTTGAACACTTACATTGAATATTTTATTTCAGCTGTATTCTTCAGTTCCAGAATTTTTGTTTTGTTCTTTAAAGAAATACTTCTATTACTTTGTTTACATTCTTAATTTACTTATGTATTATTTTTCAGAATTTATTTAACTGTCTGTGTTCTCTTGCAACTCCTGAGCCTCTTGAAGATGACTATCTTGAATTCTTTGTCAAATAGTTTTTATATCTCCCTTTCTTTAGGATCCATTACTGGAGATTTGTTTTCTTTATTTGATTGTATCATGCTTTCCTGATCTTTTCCTATTTTTTGTAGCTTTGTATTGACGTCTACACATTTGAAGAAACAACTAGCTCTTCTAGTAATTCTCCATAGACTGGCTTTGACAGAAAAAAGTTTCCTGATCAGCCTGGCTAGGGATTCCAGGCCTGTGTTCCTAGCTGCCCGGGCATCCAGTCTTTTTATTTTTAAAGCCCATGGTTTCTTGCTCCTGCTGGTGTTAGAATATGTCAGTTCCTTTAGTGCTCAGTGTAAGGCAAGAGAGGCACTGGCTCCTTGAGTAGTGTGCTGAAAGGCCAGGGACATTGGAGTCACAGGATATTAGAGTCATGTCCCATTCATGTTCTTTCCTGAGGGAGAAGTCTCAGTTCTGTACGGTTTCCAATCTTGCAGATCTGTGCTAGCTGTAGGGGCGTGCCCACCCCTTTTTCTTTGTTCCAAGCTGTTCCAGTAATCTGAAGTATGCTGCTTCGTTCAGCACTTTGTATGAGGTAACACTGAAACTGGCCTCTTGTGGAGCGTATTGAAAAGCTGGGAAGTTAGGCTTATGGTTCACCCTCTCTTTACTCCCTTTGTAGAAGTCATGGGCCAGGCGATCTCTCTCTCTGCTGAGCTGTGCCAGTTTGGGGGAAAGGCTGATGTGGATAAAGTGAAATTACTCATATCCATTTCAGTGTGGCTCTTCTTGGTTTTGTGCTCATGTGGTGTGCTGCAACTCTTTACCTACATTGTAGACTTCTCATAACGGTATTTTCATGTATATATTATTGTTTGCTGTTTCTCTGGGGGAACTAAACGCTAGGACTTCCTATTCTTCCATCTTGTGGGCATCAGTCTTTCCAAGTTTATTTTTAATGTTATGAAAGTACACAGAGATGACAGAAGCTGTAAATCTGTTTATAAAGAGGAAACCACAGTTAAGAAAACTAATCCTTGGCAATGAAACATCAATTTCTGTTCTTACACTTATTAAGTAGTGCCTTACTATTTTCTGTTATTCTGAGCTTAATAATTCCTGGTGAAATACAATTCGAGCTCAGATCTCAAAACTTTTTCATTAAAATCTGTTGTAGAAAGAAACAATGATGTTCCCTTATATAATGGGAACAGGCATCATTTCATTTTTGGCTATTAATCTGACTCTAAAACATATGAAATTCATCTGTCATTCTTACTTTTCTGTTTTAATTATATCAATTTGCCAAAGTACTAAATGTTTATGTCTGTGTATCCCTGTGTACACAGAGTAAATGGGCATCAATTAATGTAATAGTATGTTTCAGAAAAGCAATCAGTATCCGTAAGATTGACCTTAGGCTGGAAGCTTCCCAGTCCAAATGACTGCTGTTAAAAGAAGACAGGAGCTGAATGTCCTTGCATTTGGCTGACTTAAGAAAGAAGGATGCCAAACAAATGAACTATGACACAATTGAATTTTTGCTAATTCCTGAGAACTGTGGCAAAATGTTTTCCTTTCATAACCTTTGAACTGCTAAGATCATAAATAAGAACTTAGATGTTTGGTTTTTTTTTTACCAATTTTCCTTTTACACTACACACAATAGAATGTGGTTGCAATTGGTATGTTATATCTGCCAGAACTGTTGCTAACAAGTATCTAGTGAGGGATCGGGCATCAGCCATCATTTGCTTTAGCCTAAGAAATACCAAGAACTGGCCTGGTGCCGTGGCTCATGCCTTTAATCCGAGCACTTTGGGAGGCCAAGATGGGTGTATCACCTGAGGTCAGGAGTTCAAGGCCAGCCTGGGCAACATGGTGAAACCCTGTCTCTACTAAAAATACAAAAATCAGCTGGGCACGGTGGCATGTGCCTGTAATCCCAGCTACTCGGGAGGCTGAGCCAGGAGAATTGCTTGAGCCCAGGAAGTGGAGAGAGAATCTGTCTCAAAAAAAAAAAAAAAAAAGAAAAAGAAAAAAATACCAAGAACTTACACTTGAGGAAGGAAGTTAAGTATTTAGAGACATCATAATTTAGAGCTAGTGTGTTTTCTTAGAATTAGGTCACAGTTGGATTGAGAGAAAAATACCTTTTTATTCTCATGTTTCTTCCATAGGATTTTCTCTATTCCAAATTCTCGTTTTGTAATTTTGAAAGACAGAGTAGGAATTGTAAAAATGTGAAGAAGAAAATTATTGAATTTTAATGATGTAGAACATTATTTTCGTGTCATTTAACCTCTTATTCTATAACAATGCACAAGTGCTTTTGCGATAAAGGTATTCTAAAATATTCCTTGCTGATTTTTTTTTTTTTTTTTTTTTTTTTTTAGTTTTTGTTTGTACAAGGCCCTTGGCACAACTTAAGATTCAATTAACATTATTAAGACACATATTTTGTATATGTTATTTCATTCAAATCATGGGAATGAGTGTAAATGCTATTTAAAAGATTTGTTTCTGCCTTCTACAAATATTTATGGAGGGTTCACTTTGCTTAGCAGTGTGCTGGTTACTGGGAATACATGGATAAATGAGGCAGTTCCTGTCTTTAAAGAATGTACAGGCTTGTGCTGGGTAAAAAGCAATAATTTTCAGTATAATGTGAAAAATGCTCTTTTTTTTAAATGAATGATCTCTGGTATATAAATAGAAAGAATATATAAGGGAGATCTTACCTACGTAGACTTCTTTAAAATGGAATGACCTCCCACATGCTTTAGTGCAGAAATGAACACTTTCTCAAATTCTGAGGCGTAACAATTTCTAAAATTTTTTCAGAGTTCTGGCTCTTGTGTCAGGTCCTTCTGATTTGCCCCTCCAACTTTGTTATTATTATATGGCACTGCTGTCTCAGCTATATCACCTGGGTTAATTGCCACTATTTTGGGCACATCCATACCAAGAGACCAGCTCTCTGAATTTTGGAAAGGGACTCTACTTTCTCTCTGACTGCCTTATCCTAATATGTGGAATAGTCCCTTTTCCTTACTTCTTCATGACCTAGAGAACATTTGTCAAGATTTTACCGAAGGCTTGACCACACACTAGAAGAAAATACAGCATAGAAAATAATTCACAATTATTACACAGTTGCAGCCCTATACTGCAGAGTTTTTATCAGCCCCACGTCTTCCTGTTTACATCCAGGTTGCCTCCACCAATGTGGGAACTACCTGTGTCTCACTGATTCTAGGCCGAATGTCCAAAACATTTAGAGAAAATGAAAGATGTTCACACTTCTCAGCTATAGTGCACCTCTTGAGGCTCTTTAGGAATTTTCTTCCCCAGGATTGAGAATCTGTCCAGTATAATTGACTGTGGGAATATTCATGAGGGAAATTTCTACTCCCATCCATAACACACTTATATCCAAACATTTCCACAGTAGTGTGAAATCAGTATATTTCCAGAATTTTGAATTACATAATGTTAGATAGTATCATGTTGAGTCAAAAATTGTCCAGGTCAGGTTGCGGTGTAACAGTCACTTTCCCATTAAAAAAACTGAACTTAGGGTCTAATATCAGCAAAATTCTCCTGTTTTCTGTATGTAAAACTCACAGAACAACATAAGAATTCACCAAGTAACACTCTGAAGATTCTTCGGGGGTCCTTTAACAAACTGACCATCGAAATGATAATCAGTGTCTTATCAGTTTACCAGCCTAACTGTATCCTGGATGTCCTGTGTGTAGTACATAGGATGTATACTTTATGATATTATAAGAATAGTATAAGAACATTTTGTGGGTAAGTACCTGTACCTGGAACAGTTATTGGTCTAGGAGATAGCATCGTAAACAAATTGAAGTGCCTACCCTCATGGAACTTACCTTCTAACAGAGAAGACAGATGAAGTAAAAGACAAATAAAATATATAATATATTAGCTGAGATTAATAAGTACACAAAAGAAGTAGCAGGCAAAGAAAGACTAACTTGTGCTTTTATTTAATATATGGTGACTAGAAGGCATTTCTGGAAAAGATCCAAGCCGAGATCAGACTAAACTTATGTGAGTATCTGGGGAAAGAGCATTGCAGTCTGAAGGGGAGAAAGGACAACCTTATGGTGTGGTGTGCTCTAAGGAGCAGCAAGAAGTTTGGCATAGCTGTACTAGAATGAATGAGGATGAAGGTTAGGAAATAACAAGGCCAAGGACTGAGTCATATAGGAACATACAAGCCATGAAGAAGATTTTAAATTTCCCTCTCAATTTTGTGAAAAGTTAGAATTAGGCATCAATGAAATATATACGTATACAGACACACAGACAAACACACACACATATATGGAAGTGAATGAATCTTCTATCTTTCAATGAGTATCTCATTAGAGTAGGGGTACAGAAAAATATTTCTACATTTTTTATTGACTGTGTTTTTTGAAGTAAATATTAAGTGAATAATCAAGGCAATAAAAACTTGAGGAAGTAGGGTCAGTAACTGATATTTGTCCAGTTCCAAAGTAAACCTTATAACTTATATATCTTATAAATACATATCTATTAAACCATTACTAAGATGATCTTGATAGAATTTAGATTACTATCATAGACTTCTAGCTGGTCTCCTTGCTTCAACTCTAGACTCCTCCATTCATCACACAGCAGTCCAAGTGATCCTTTCATAATCTAAATCAGTTTGTGTCATGCCTGTGCTCAACACCACCCAATGGCTTCTTACGTCGGAGTCTACTCATATTCCTCCAATGCATAGTTACTATTCTTTTGGGGAAATTGTACCCCTGATGTATTCACAAATAATTAGAATAAAAGCTACATTTTCCACTTTATCTCAGAGCTAGAGTTAGCCACAAGATTAAATTCTATTAAATGGAATGTACGCAGAAGTGTAAGCAGAAGTCCATTCAATGGAATGTAAGCAGAAGCACTAGAATATATATATATATATATATATAATATATATATAATATATATATAATATGTATATTCTCTCTCCCTCCCTCTCTCTCTCTCTCCCCCTCTCTCCCTCTCCCTCTCTCTCTGTCTCTTTCCAGGAAAGATAAATATTCATTCACTTTCATATAAAGACATCAAGATATAGGCATCTTGTTGAAATTCATAAAACTCTCAGGGACCTAAGATCCTCTCTCTTGCTGTTCAATCATACTCAGACTATGACTTCTGCCTCAGGGACTGAAATGGCTGAATGAGCTCCAGTCATCAACTCTGTATTTCAACAACCATAAAATACAAAGGAGCAAAGAAAATACCTCTATCTAAAAAGTTATGTCCCAGAAATTGTTTAAGACACTTCTGATTCCATTCCATTGAATAGAATTTCATTTCATCTCATGGTTACCTCTAGGTCTGAGATAAAGAAGAAAATGTAGTTTTTATTCTAATCATTCATGAATACATCAGGGGTCCAATTACTCCCCCAAAATAGTAAGTAGGCATTGGCGGAATATGAGTAGGCTCTGACATAAGAAGCCATTGGGTAGTGTTGAGCACAAGCATGACACGAATTGATTTAGATTATGAAAAGATCCCTTGTACTGCTGTGTGAAGAATGGAGGAGTCTAGAGTCAAAGCGGGGAGACAAGTTAAAAGTATATGATGGTAATCTAAATCTATTAAGGTCATCTTAGTAATGGTTTGATAGATTTGTAGTTATAATTTTACCTTGGAACTAGCTAAATATCAGTTACAGACATTACTTCCTCAAGTTTCTATTTCGATTGCTCACTTAATACTTACTTCAAAAAACACAGTCAATAAAACATATAGAAATCTTTTTCTGTACTCATACTCCAATGAGATGCTCATCAAATGTTTTTGAAAAAAAACTATTGTATATTAAATATAAAATGTGCAGAATTTATGACAAAACAAATTAATACATGTTTGGTATATTGGCAGTTGATAGACAAATCATTGAAATCAATGTTTTCCACTGCAGAGAACAATCTCGTGACAAAACATTTCTTCATCATTCTTTTGCCAGCCCAGATGAACTAGGCTTTCAAATATAATTTCCACCTAATATAAATTTTTCTCCAGTGAGAAGTCAGACTACGAGAGAGAGAGAAAGACACAGAGAGAGAGATGGAGGGAGGAAAAAGAAGGAATGGAGGGAAGGAAGGAAGAGAGGGAGGGAGAAAGGAAAAGGTTAGCATATGTTACTAAAATGCTAAGTGGGAGTCAGTTTTAATGAACCATAAATGATTGATTTATTGAATTTGTTCCTTCCTTTGAAATTAGTTTTAGAAGAGAGAAAAAGATTATCTTGCTTAATGGAAGGAAGGAAGGAAGGGAGGAAAGGAGAGAGAAAGAAGGAAGGAAAAGGGACAGTCATCCTTATGTAGGACTATGGCTAAAAGCAACAGGAAAGATAACCTTGAAAAAGTAAGAGTTGTGACTGCTTCACTCTAATTTTTCATATTAATCACTTCTACAAAATGTTCTCATTAATGTACAGACTTTTTTCATCACAGAAAAAAATTAAGTTTGTTTTCTGGACAGGGGTATCTTCCAACCTGACTAAGAAAATCCAATTTGTGTTGTGCATACTTGAGGGCAAAGTAGAGGGACAGAAATATGTAAGTAGGAAAGGAAGCCAGGGAAGAAGTCATTACCTTTTCATCAGCTAAAGAGCATTAAATTTGATTTCCAAAATTATTTGATGTGTTTTGTATCTTGATATTAAGGCCAGCTATCTGTGTAGTAGTCTGATAAGGTGTACTAGGAAAATTCCCTTGGTTATAAATATTTCCTCCACTCCTTCAGTGAAATTATTCATTTGGGAAAATACCATTTAGAGGGTCATGGGCACATAAAGGGAAGAACTCCAAATGTCAATTTTCTAAGGGGCAATGTGGTGGATAATGTGGTATTTGCCTAAATATATAGCCTATGAGGAATAAGGTTTCAATATTTCTATATTTAATTGTATTGTACCTCAAAGTTTAGCCAAATTATTTCAGTAATAAGTCCCTCAGTAAGCAAAATATGCCCAAATCAGCAACAAACTTACAACATCAAGTTGGAACTACAAGGGCTTCATAAATTTAGTTTACCTAGAGTAGGCCAATCCCCACAGTATAAGAAATGTTAGGAACTGAAAGGTAATAGATTCTTCAGAAATTCTTGATAAGGTACTTCATGGGTTGTCAGTGAATGAGACTTCCCCAAAGTTTCATTTCCTCCATATTCTGCTGTAGATGTTTAGATATAATTCAAAGCACACTCTAGTTTATGAAGACAAGTGATGGTAGAAGTCAACACCCACATTTATGAATTGGAAAATATCAAAGTGCCTTTTTATGTAAAAAGCATATCTCTTTTTAAAATTTAATATTGACATCCAGCCTCCTAATTATGTCTCATGTAATGGTTAATCAAGGATAGAAAATATTTATGCTGTGAAAAATTCGACTTTAATTATCTAAAATGTCTGATGTTTTAAAAACCTCTCTTTGGGAGAATACGAAATATCACAGGAATTGAAATTTCATAATCACAATGTTTACCAAGGAAAAGGTTAGCATATGTTGCCAAAATGCTAAGTGGGAGTCAGTTTTAATGAATCACAAATGATTGATTTAGTTGAATTTGTTCCTTCCTTTGAAATTAGTTTTGGAATAGAGAAAAAGATTATCTCGCTTAAATGTTGCATCTAGTTATTCCACCCCATGGTACCAGTCTCAAGAGTGGGAAATGACTCCTGATTTGATTTCTCTTCATATAATCATAGAGTAAAAATTTAATTAAACCTAAGGGGAAAGGGTAGAAACCCAGTAAACAAATAATACTTTTAAGTGGTGAATAAGTTAATGGAGGGCAGTTTTAGGGGAGGAGAGAGCACAGCAAAAGTATAAAGATGAGAAATACATGGCAAAATTAAGGAATGTAAAAAACTGTGGTGCAGGTTATTAAAATAGAAGATAGGTGTACAGGGCTAGGAGTAAGATTTGGCTGCTGAAGGCACAAAATTAAATTTAAGACATATCGTGAAGATTTTTGAATAAAATCTAGAGAAGCTTATATTATCTTCTGCAATAATTAAGAGCCTATAGATGAAACACAACTTTTTAAAAAGTACTATATTAGTCTGTTCTCACACTGCTAATAAAGACATACCTGAGACTGGGTAATTTATAAAGAAAAGAGGTTTAGTTGACTCACAGTTCAGCATGACTTGGGAGGCCTGAGGAAACTTACACGCATGGCGGAAGGGGAAGGAAACACGTCCTTCTTCACAGGGCAGCAGCAAGGAGAAGTGCCAAGCAAAAGGGAGAAAAGCCCCTTATAAAACCATCAGATCATGTGAGAAATTGCCAGTATCATGAAAACAGCATGAAGGTAACCACCCCCATGATTCAATCACCTCCCACCTGGTCCCTCCCATGACACCTGGGAATTATGGGAACTACAATTCAAGATGAGATTTGGGTGGGGACACATCCAAACCATATCAAGTAAACTGATGGAATTGGAATAGCCAAAGTAATGGTGGTCATCTCAATTAAAATCTCCCAACATACTCTTCAAAACAATACAATTCAATATGAAAAACAACAGAGAAACCCACAAATCTCAAGTAAAAAACAGGGAACACCACTGCTTCAAATTACCTGTAAGTAGAACTATAAACATCACTTTCGTAGAGTTGTTTGCTGAGCTTCCACTGACCTTTGCAGAGAGTAAGGGGTAGGCATCTTGAAAAACCAAGTGGAAGATAGGAGAAGCAAAAGGAGGGCTTATGACTGAGCTAACATTACCACTAGAAAAAAGAAAGCCCATGTTAAGTGCCAAAATACTGAAAAAGAGCCTTGTATATCAGTATATTGGCTACAGATAAGGGATCTAAAAAGGATACAGTCTTGGAAAGCTATTTCTTCTGGGAAGAATAAGGGAAGAAAGAAGAGAGAGTCAGACTTTGAAAATTGTGCAGTGAAGAGACAAACAGAGCAAGTGGGGACTTAAAGTACTGAAAGACAAAAGAAAAGTCAAAAATCACAGAGCAAAACCTGCCTGGACAACATAGCTAGACTCTGTCTCTACAAGTTTTTTTTTTTTTTTTTTTTAAGTTAGCCAGGTGTGGTGGTGCTTGTAGTCCCAGCTTCTCGGGAGGCTGAGTTAGTAGGACTGCTTGAGCCCAGGGGTCAAGGCTATAGTGAGCTACAATTGTACCACTGCCCTCCAGCCTGTGCTATAGAGCAAGACCCTGTCTCAAATAAATAAATAAAATAACAGAGCACAAAACATAAAACCTGTCCTCTAAGTGCCATCAATTAAAGAAATTGCACTTTCCCACCATGACAAAATGTGGGGTAGGCCTTCTTTAAGAATGCTTTAAATCACCCTAAGTCAAGAGTCCTGTCCATGAAATTCATGGCAAAATAAATTTTGACTTCCAGAAAGACACTATCCGAGAAAACTAAAAACAAGAATCAAACTATCTTAGCTAATGAAAGCTTCTCCCTCCCACCACACACAGCAGAAATGTTACCAGTATTGTGAAATACATTACATATTCTCAAACATTTGCTAATATTAAAAAAACCAATAATCTTAGGTTAGTAATTTTAGAAAGGACAGAAATGTACCCAAACCATCAAGAAATAAAATGGTATTTGATTGATCTTAGGAAAGATATAGAAGATAAAGAGAAAATTTTATAATAATAAGACTAAATTACAAGATGCCGAGAAACAAAAGTAGGAAAACATCAAAGAGAATAAAAATTGAGATAAGAAAGAAGTAAATTGGGCCAGAGAAACAGTGGTTGAAATATGCAAGCAAAGAAGATCCACATAAGCATAATTTGAAGTTATTGAAGAAGAAAAACAAAACACGGAAACAAAACTAGTATTTATATATATAAGACAGGAACAATTTCCAGAAATAAAATGACATTAATCAGCAGAGCTACCCAATTACCTGTGGAGATCGAATCAGAAAAATCAAACCATAGACATATTTTTATAAAACAATTAAACTTTAAAAATAAAATATGACCAAGGCCCCCTGCCTCAGCCTAAATAAACAAGCAAACAAATAAATACATTTCATGAAAATTAGACTATCAGCCTTCTCAAAACAGCATATAAATAAAGACAACAATGAGTAACATTTTCAGGACACCATTTTCAGGACACTCAAGGAAAGAATGTCTGAACAAAGCTTTTTTACCTAGGTAAGCTATCCTTCAAGTGTGAAGGCTATAAATAAAAAATTTAAAACATTCAAGATATTGAGGTTTATTTCTTGAGCATTCTAAGAGAAGATGAGCTTTATCCAATCAAAGGGTAACAGACGAAATTTCAGCAAAAAAACCCTGCTGATATGTATTTAGTATTTTAAATTGATGATCTGAAACTAAAACAAGGGTGGAGATGAGTAATAAAATATAATATAGTAATATACCTTTGGACAGAAGAAATAATACGGCTAAAAAGGGGACAAGGGAGTGGCAAAAAGGCAAGTAGAATAAATTGATTAATTTTTGCGTAGGCAATAGGTATAGTCAAAGTATAGCATCACAAACTGACCAGCCAGTAAAAGGTTAGATAAGAAAATGAGAACAAAGGGGCAATTTAAAAGTGTAAAGATAGCCATTAGGACAGAAAATAAAATGTTATTTCAGTTTTAAAATAAACAAATAAAGAGAACATATTACATAGAGAAATCAAATAGAACAGATATTGTAATTATAACTTAAATAATTGGGCAGGGTAGAGACTAAGCATATCAATCATCTTAATAAATGTGTATGGGCTTAACCTACTTATTGAAAGGAAGAGATTCTCAGTTTAACTCAAAGCAAAATTCAACTGTTTAATGCATATAAGAACAAACCTAAACAAAAGGATTTGGAAAGGTTCAAAACAAAGAGAAGGACAAAGGAATTACAGGCAAATGGAAATAATAAGAAAGTGTAGATTGAAATTCTGATATCAGACAAGTAGAATTCAAGTCAAAAGTTATTATATAGGACAAAGAAAGGCACATTTCATTTCAAAATAAAAAATATAATAATTATGATCACCAATGCACCAAATAACTACCCTTATGAAGCAAGCACTACAGGCAATGTAAGAAGACATTGGTAGAAACATACTGAATATTAGAGACTTTTATACATCTCTCTTAGTTTAAGATGACAAGTAAGTATATAGACCTGAACAACAAAATCAACTAGATACATCTTATAGTTAGATATTGATCTCTATGCCCTGACAAAAGAGAATAGACTAATAACATTTTCTAACAATGCAATAAAACTAGAAACTAGTTACAAGATATAAAAATCAAAAGGGTATTTCCAACAGTAATAAAAATCTTCTATTGATAAACTCTTTTGTTGTTTTAAAATAAAAGTTTTATTGTTATTTAGGTATGGCAAGGCGAAGAGATCAAGAGAGGACTGCCATTGGAAAGACAGTTTGTTATATACACAGATCCCAGGAGGAGGGGCCATGCCTTGCCATGGGGAGGCCACATGGGGAAGCACCAGAATGGTCAGGATGCAGGTGGAGTGGGAAAATGTGGGCAAGAGAGTTTATTGTGGTTTCTGTAGAAAGGGACAGGCAAGACAAGGTAAGCAGGTTTAGGATGGGCTAATTTGAGTAATTCTAGTGGGCCCTGGGACATAGGGACTGCCCCAAGTTGTTTGGTACCTGGCCCTGAGGTGATAAGGGCAGGTGGATACTTGCCTAAAGTGTGAGAGAGCCCAATGAAGGAGGTGGTTTGGGGGTATGAAGGTTGGTTGGTTGCACATGACAGGTGTGTTCAGAGGTGAGTTCTATGCCTTGTCTAGGAATTAGCCCTGAGAGGGGCAGTTCCTCCAGGTTCAGCAAGGCCCTAAGATATCAAAAATATGGAATAAAAAAAGACATAATTAATACATTGGTGAAAGGAGATGCACAACTAAAATAATAATAATGGAGACACCCCAGCCAGTGCAATATGGTAAGAAAAGGAATTTAATGTTTATAGGTGAAAAGGAAAACTAAAATTATACCCACTTATAATTGTTTATGTAAATAGTTTCAAGAATCTACAAAAAGAGATTCTTAGATCTAGCAAGTACATTGAGGTCATTCGGGTTGCAGGATTTGAGCTCAACAGACAAAAATTTATTCATATACAAAGAATGAAACTGAAATAAAAATACAAAACCATTTACATTAGCTCCAGAGAAAATGAAATTCCTAAATACAAATCTAAAAAATTTACAATATATGGTAAAAATTCCAAAATGCTGATGAAAAAAATTAAACAAGGCTTAAACAAGTAAAGAGGCATTCCATGTTCATTGTTTTGAAACCTCCTTACAGAAAAAAAAAAAAAGTTAATACTCCCCAAACTGATCTGTAGATATAATGCAATTCCTATAAGAAACCCCAGGTAAACTTTTTGTTGACATAAACATATTCTAAAATTCATATAGAAAGGCACTGTAGCTGAAATAGCCAAAAGAATTTTGGAAAAATAAAGAATAAAGTGGAAGGAATGATCCTGTTTGATACTAAGGATTTCTGTGTAGCTAGAGTAACGAAGATTGTGTGGTATTGGTGGAGTTGGTAGAGGAAAAGACATATTTTGCCAACTAATTAGTGACAAAGACATAAAAACAATGGAGGAAAGATAGATGTTTTAATAAATGGTGCTGCGGCAATTGAGCACTGTAGAAAAAAAAAAAAAACTAAAACAAAATCTCAATCTAAAATCTCACTCCTTTTACAAAAATTAACCTAAGTGGCTTATGAACTTAAATGTAAAATGTAACGCCACAGAATTTTACTAAAAACATAAGAGAAAATCTTTGGGATGTGGTGCTAAGTGAAAGTTATTTGACTTGACACCGAAAACATATTCCATAAAAGTAAAAAGTGATAAAAATAGACCTCATCAAAGTTATAAACCTTGCTAAACAAAAAAGTTTTACTGTACAGAACCTTTTGCTCTATCCTGTGAAGAGGATAAAATGACAAGCTATAGATTGTGGGAAAAGATTTGCAAACCACACATGTAAAAAATAACTTGTATTTAGAATATATAAAATAAAATTATCAAATCTAACTATAAAAGTAAGAAACCCAAATAGAAAATTGACAAGAGACATGAACATACATTTCACAGCAGAGGATATACAGATGGCAAATAAGTACATGAGATGTTCAGCATTATTCACCATTAGGGAAATGCAAATTAAAACCATAGTGAGCTAGCCCTGCACATATATCAGAAAGGCTGAAATTAAAAAAAAAATAGTTATAATACCAAATGCTGACAAGGATGCAAAGAAACTGGATCACTCATTAAACAGATTTATGTGTTGCCATGGGCAAGGAGACAGAGAGAAATCTAGTTTGTTGTGGCTGTAAACAGGTAGCACAAGAAATGCTAAGGGAACTGTTCAGTTTCTTTTCAGTTTCTTGACTTTAATAGCAATCATACAAATATATGTGATAACATTTCATAGAATTAATTAAACAAACACACACACACACACACACACACACACTGCATTACCCAGGGTTCATCAGAGAAACAGAATCAATTGAATTAAGTACACACACACACCCCTATAGAAGGGGATTTATTATGAGAATTGGCTCACATGGTGGTGAGAACTGAGAAGTTCCATTAAATTCCATTTGCAAGCTGGAGAACCAGGAAAGCTGGTGGTGTAATTCAGTCTGAGCCCGAAGGCCTAAGAACCAGGATACCCAATGATACAGCTTCCAGTCCAAAGCTGTAGGCCTGAGAGCCAGGGGAGGGAGCTGCAGGTGTGAGTCCTGGAGTCTGAAGGCCTGTGAACAAGGAGTTCCAATGTGTGAGAGCAGGGGAAAATGGATGTACCAGCTCAAGAGGAGAAAGTGAACTTGCCCTCACGTCACCCTTTCATTCTATCTGGGCCTAACAGTTTTATATAACACCCTCCCACATTGGTGAGGGTGGATCCACTTTACTCATCTACTGATTCAAATGCTAATCTCTCCAGGAAACACCCTCACAGACATACTCAGGAATGTTTTACCAGCTATCTGGGCATCCCTCAGGCCAGTCAAATGGATGTATAAAATTAACCATTACATACACACACACACAAATGTATGCAAAACTGGTAAAATCTGAATACAGTTAATAGATTCCGTTAATGTTAATTTCCTAGTTGTGCTATTGTAATACAGTTGAGCAAGTTGTTAGCATTGAGGGAAGCTAAATGAAGGATACACTGGATCTCCGTATTATTTCTTACAAGTGCATGTGAATCTACAATTATCTCATAATCAGAAGTTTAAAAAATTGCATCTCAAAATCTGTGATATGCATTTAAAGCAATAGCCGGTAGAAAATGTGTAACTTTTATATGCTTATACAGTCATGCTCTGTATAATGATATGTTTGTGAACTTCAGAGAGCATATATAGCAGTGGTCCCATATTATTATAATACTGTAATTTTTTTACTGTGCCTTTTCTATGTCTAGAAACACAAATACTTATCATTGTGTTATGATTGTCTACAGTATTCAGTACAGAAACATGCTGTTCAGATTTGTAGCCTTAGGAGCAATAGGCTATACCATATAGCCTAGGCGTGTGGTAGGCTATACCATCTAGGTTTTTGTAAGTAAACTCTATATGGTTTGCCCAATGACAGAATCACCTAACAACTCATTTCCCGTCCTTCCTTCCTTCCTTCCTTCCTTCCTTCCTTCCTTCCTTCCTTCCTTTTTCTTTCTCCTTTCTTTCTTTCTTTCTTTCTTTTTCTCTTTCTTCTTCTTTCTTTCCTCTCTCTCTTCTTTCTCTCCTTCCTTCCTCCCTCCTTCTCTCTTTCTTTCTTTCTCTCTCTTTTTCTCTTCTTTCTTTTCTTTCTCTCTCTCTTCTTTCCTTCCTTCCTCCCTCTCTCCTTTCTTTTTTCTTTCTTTCTTTCTTTCTTTCTTTCTTTCTTTCTTTCTTTCTCTCTCTCTTTCCTTCTTTCTTTTCTTTCTTTCTTTCTCTTTCTCTTCTTTCTCTCTGTCTCTTTCTTTCTCTCTTCTTTCTTTTCTTTCTTTCTCTCTCTCCCTTCCTTCCTTCCTTCCTTCCTTCCTTCCTTCCTTCCTTCCTTCCTCTCTCTCTCTCTTTTTTTTCTCCCAGAGTCTCACTCTGACACCCAGGATGGAATGCAGTGGTATGATCTCAGCTCACTGCAAATTTCACCTCCTAGGTTCAAGTGATTCTCATACCTCAGCCCCCTGAGTAGATGGGACTACAGGCATGCACTACCACCCCTGGCTAATTTTTGTATTTTTTATTAGAGGAGGTTTTGCCATGTTACCCAGCCTGGTCTCAAAATCCTGACCTCTAGTGATCCACCTGCTTCAGCTTCCCAACGTGTGAGCCACTGTGCCTGGTCCCTAATGACTCATATCTCAGAAAACATCCCATTGTATTAATAAAAATGAAAGAATGAATATTATAGAATTTCCAGCCCCAAAAGCTAGTTAAAGAGCACAAAACAAAGCAACACATATACACACACACAGAAATAATAAGTATACAAACAGAAAATAAATGAGACAGATTGAAAACAGTGGATCTATTGTATTCAAAATCCTGTTTTGCTTTTTGAGAAAAATTAACAAAAAAATTACTGAGAGGAAAATGAAAGAAAATCCCAATACTCACATAATACATAACAAGGGGTGAAATAAACATTTAAAGAGATTAAATTAAACACATATTAAACTAATTTGCTGACATTCCCTACAAATAAAATCTGAAAACCTAGATGGTTGGATATTGTTTTTAGAACACATAGCAACTTCTATAGAAGAAACAGAAAAAATTATTTAGGAAATATTTCACACAAAAGCACTATTGTCAGATATTTTCACAGGAAAATTCCACCAAACCTTCAAAAACTAGATGGTCCCAATGCTACATGAATTGTCTCAGCACATAGAAAATAAACGGATATTTCTTAATTCTTTTTTATAAGGAAGTATAACAATGAAACTTAAATCTGATTAGGTTAGTACAATAAAAGAAATTTACAGATTAATATCATTTGTGAATATTATTATTATAAAAATACAAAATAAAACATTAAAAAAATAATTCAATACCATATTAGTGAAATAATACATTATACAAAAATAGGATTTATTTCAGGAGTTCATAATGGACTCAATTTTTTAAAAATCTAGTAATATAAAATACCTAGCAATCAAATTCTAGAAATTAACTCTGAAGACACAGTTCTCAGAATACAAAAACATACATGCTTAAGTTTATTAAATACAACATCGTTTGTAATTGTAAAATATTAGGAACAGCTTAAAATACTGTACCACAGGTGATTAGCTGAGTAAACTATGAGACGTCCACCAATGGAGAACTATGCAACTGTATAAAAAAAGAGCAAGCTTTCTATGAACTGATGAGATTGCCACAATATATGCTTAACTTAAAAAAGTTAAAAATGTTAATTATAGTTAACCTTTGTGTAAGCAAATGAAGAAATAAGAATGCAAGTAAGGATGTGTTTCACGTTATGAAAAGAAACACGGAGAGAAATTTCAGAAAAGAGTGAGCTTGGTTGCCTACAGGGAATTAATGGGATCAGATCGGAGGAACAGAGAGTATGCAAGTGAGTGAAAGGCATAGGAGAGTGGAGTGATATTTCTCTGAGTATATATTTTGGGTACGTTTCACTTTTGGAAGTGTTAATATTTCACTTCAAGTTGAATGAATGAATGAGGGAATGAATAAAATCAACAGGGATTGAAGGTAAAAAACTAAAATGCAATACAAACAGAAACTAGTCAATATAAGAAGTGTATTTGTCCCTGTTTGCAGATGACATGATTGTATATTTAGAAAACCCCATTGTCTCAGCCCAAAATTTCCTGAAGCTGATAGGCAAATTCAGCAAAGTCTCAGGGTACAAAATCAGTGTGCAAAAATCACAAGCATTCCTATACACCAATAACAGACAAACGGAGAGCCAAATCATGAGTGAACTCCCATTCACAATTGCTTCAAAGAGAATAAAATACCTAGGAATCCAACTTACAAAGGATGTGAAGGATCTCTTCAAGGAGAACTACAAACCACTGCTCAACAAAGTAAAAGAGGATACAAACAAATGGAAGAACATTCCATGATCATGGATAAGAAGAATCAAAATCGTGAAAATGGCCATACTGCCCAAGGTAATTTATAGATTCAATGCCATCCCCATCAAGCTACCAATGACTTTCTTCACAGAATTGGAAAAAACTACTTTAAAGTTCATATGGAACCAAAAAAGAGCCCACATTGCCAAGAAAATCGTAAGCCAACAGAACAAAGCTGGAGGCATCATGCTACCTGACTTCAACCTATACTATAAGGCTACAGTAACCAAAACAGCCATGGTACTGGTACCAAAACAGAGATATAGACCAATGGAACAGAACAGAGCCCTGAGAAATAATACCACACATCTACAGCCATCTGGTCTTTGACAAACCTGACAAAAACAAGAAATTAGAAAGGATTCCCTATAATAAATGGTGCTGGGGAAACTGGCCAGCCATATGTAGAAAGCTGAAACTGGATCCCTTCCTTACACCTTATACAAAAACTAATTCAAGATGGATTAAAGACTTAAATGTTAGACCTAAAACCATAAAAACCCAAGAAGAGTAGAAAATGAGTGAAGCAAGAATCATGTCTTATTCATTCTTTTATTTTCACATTTTATTACAAAATGTTTTTTATGTAGTAAAATTCTTAAAATTCTTGGATCACTTATAAATGCACTAAATAATGTAAAAATACTAAAGTAGAAAACTAATTAGCCTTGTAATTTGTTCGTATTGCCATTAAAATAAATTTAGTCTATTTAATAAATGTCAAGAAAAAAAAAAACCCTAGAAGAAAACCTAGGTAATACCATTCAGGACATAGGCATGGGCAAGGACTTCATGACTAAGACACCAAAAGCAATGGCAACAAAAGCCAAAACTGACAAATGGGAGCTCATTAAACTAAAGGTTTCTGCACAGCAAAAGAAATTAAAGAAACTACCATCAGAGTGAACAGGCAACCTACAGAATGGGAGAAAATTTTTACAATCTACCCATCTGACAAAGGGCTAAAATCCAGAATCTGCAAAGAACTTAAACAAATTTACAAGAAAAAAATCAAACAACCCCATCAAAAAGTGAGCAATGGATATGAACAGACACTTCTCAAAAGAAGACATTTATGCAGCCAACAGACACATGAAAAAATGCTCATCATCACTGGCCATCAGAGAAATGCAAATCAAAACCACAATGAGATACCATCTCACACCAGTTAGAATGGCCATCATTAAAAAGTCAGGAAACAACAGGTGCTGGAGAGGATGGGGAGAAACAGGAACATTTTTACACTGTTGGTGGGACTGTAAACTAATTCAACCATTGTGGAAGACAGTGTGGTGATTCCTCAAGGGTCTAGAACTAGAAATACCATTTGACCCAGCCATCCCATTGCTGGGTATATACCCAAAGGATTATAAATCATTCTACTCTAAAGACACATGCACACGTATGTTTATCGAGGCACTATTCACAATAGCAAAGACTTGGAACCAACCCAAATGTCCATCAGTGATAGACTGGATTAAGAAAATATGCCACATATACACCATGGAATACTATTCAGCCATAAAAAAGGATGAGTTCATATCCTTTGCAGGGACATGGATGAAGCTGGAAACCATCATTCTGAGCAAACTATCGCAAGGACAGAAAACCAAACACCACATGTTCTCACTCATAGGTGGGAATTGAACAATGAGAACACTTGGACACAGGGTGGGGAACATCACACACTGGGGCCTGTTGTGGGGTGGGGGAAAGGGTGAGGGATAGCATTAGGAGATATACCTAATGTAAATGACAAGTTAATGGGTGCAGCATACCAACATGGCACATGTATACATATGTAACAAACCTGCACGTTGTGCACATGTACCCTAGAACTTAAAGTATAAAAAATAAGAAAGAAGTGTATTTCAAATGAATACCATAAACACACTGAAGGGGGGAGAAAGAAATAACACAAGTGACCTTTGAACACAATATATTCACGATATACTTTAAGACTAAAAAGACAGCTAAACCAATATGGAACTCTAGTTACTAGTTTTCCTTCTCCAACCTTCCCAGTGGGGTGAGTTGGCAATTTTAAAACTATTTTTGGTATGTTCTAGCATTGAATACATAAGTAAATATGATAGTGATCAGAGTCAGATATCTATGTTAAAGAGATGAGTCCTAGTAAATGCTGTCTAATGTCCACAGTTCCCTTTTAGGACTGAAGGAATTTTTCTCCCAACTGCTGAGAATGCTGCAGGCTGGCAGCTCTCAGCTGTAGGCAATCCATGAGAATTATGCTCGTGTAAATAGAGTTACCTAGTTTGTTGAAGAGTGTATTATCAAATGATGCAGCATACCACAGCTTTATAGAAATATTTTATTCTTAGTTTAGACAATATACATGAAAAGTAATGTTAAATCAGGAATTTAAAATCTATGACTTGTGGATCAAATCCAGACTGTTGTCTGATTTTGTCTGTAAAATTTTATTGGATCACAGGCATGCCCCATTGTTTGTATATTGTTTATGGCTGGTTTCCCTCCATATAGGCAGTGCTGAGTAGTTGCAACAGAGATAATATGGCTCACAAAACTGGAAATATTTACTATCTGTTCCTTTATGAGAAAAGCTGACTCTGCTCTAAACTAGAAAATTATACATTTAGTTGGTATAAAATAAGAGTCAAGGTAAAAGGACTTATAGGACTTAAATCAACTAAATTTTATCATGTTCTCTATAATTAATAACCACCACCACAATCATCACAAGGAGCTGATTCAACTGACACCTTATTGATCAGTGAAGTCAGAATTTTCTAACATTTCATGCATGAAATATTGATCTCTATGGATTTTTTTAAAAAAAGATTCTATAGTTAAATAATTTTGAAACATGACGTGCAACATCTTCCCCTCCTAAAAATCTCATACCCATTGCTATAATAATGATTAAAGCCCTAAGCAGTCATAATTTCCAGTTTCTTTGTGTGTGTAAAATAAAACATGTATCTATAAGTCATAATTTTTAAAAATCACATAATAGCACAAATGAAAAGCAATTACAACCTTGAATCTCACTATACAAAAATATGATTAGAATTAAAACAATAAAAGCAATAATACAACTGTACACATACACAGATAGGGAACAAAGCCACATGAAAAGTTATGGGTTAGAAACATTAAAAATCTTTCTACATTTTCTCTTGTTCTGCTTCTTTAAGGTAATCTTTAAAAATTTTTTTCTGAATTCTTCCAGTTTTTTGAAAAAAGAAAATAGAGATGTATCTACCTACATATTATTTCAGTTGTTTTACAGAAAATAAATCGTGTTATATGCATTGTTTTGCACTTTGAATTTTACATTTGAGCCTGTATTTTGGAGAGCTTTTGAAATATTATGTTTGCTTTTATTTTCCATGGTGGATTTTTTTTGATAGTATGCCCTAACTTATTTAGCCAGTCCCCTGTAGATGGAACAGTTGCTTTTAATATTTGCTGTTTTGTTGTTGCTGTTTATTTATTTTTGCAACTACAAAAAAGCTGAAATGAAATCCTTCTGCTCATATTTTCATACAGTTTTGTCTATCTGTAAAGTAAAATTCTGACAGTGGGATTTCTAGATAAATTTAAAAAAATATTTAAATCATTTCCTATAAAAGTTGCACTATGTGCACAACAATAAGTAGGATGTTTTTTCTCCACATTGCTACTAACAATAAAAATCATTTTATTAGGGAAATCTCTTTAAATGTCACACATTTAAAGGTAAATATTGAGAAAATATAGTCCTCCAATATAATTGCTCTTCCTTTTATCATTGGTATTACACTCCTCAGAAATAAGCACATAAATAGTGCTTCTTTATATACTTATAAAGACAAAATTTATAAAAATTTTCAGTTCACAATTGTGTACAGTAAGCAGCATTAAGGAAGGAAATATTACAGCTGATTATTGAGCAGAGAGACAGTTATGTGATTATTAAACTCATCAACAATAACTCTTATAATTCACTTTCTAAAATTAAATGGCTCAAATATGAGAGAAAGTATATTGGTGTCCTGCAGATGTTGTGATTTATTTATGTATTTATTTTGAGACAAGGGTCTCGTTCTGTCACCCAGGCTGGAGTACATTAGCCCAATTATGACTCATTGCAGCCTCGACAACTTCGGCTCAAGCAACCCTCCCACCTCAGCCTCCCTAGTCGCTGGGGCCACATATGTGTGCCACCAAACCCAGCTAATTTTATTATTATTATTGTTATTATTTGTAGACATGAGGTATTCTTATGTTGCCCAGGCTGGTCTTATTTTTATAATTGTGTATATTTGTTTGTGAGAGTCAAATGGCCAGGGATTTGAAACTTATCTTAATGAATTCCATGTGTTTTCCTGTTTGACCCTATTGTTAGGTAATAATCCTGTTGGGTATTTTAGATTCCTCTCAGGAATATCAAGTTTACATTAACCACAGGCTAACAATGAGAGGTTAAAGCAGTGGAAAGAGTTAGGTGTTAGGAGTACAGTTATTTTCACAAAGAACCTCTGTCTGGTAGATTTCAAGCTTTAGGTCTCAGTTTCAATTAGTCTCTTTCAAAATTAAGGTTGTGGTTTTGAGCCAACAAAATGCATTTATATGTTAATACTGAATGTAATAACACAATGAGAATTGACATCTAAAAAAGACTGTAAAATGTTATAGCCATTAAAAGTTGGTTTCTTGTCTATTTGGAAAGTTGAGGGATTCTCTTGACTAAAGGTGGTAAGAACCAGATATGTTCTTATTCTTCCTTCCCTTCTATGATTCTGTGATTTTGTGATTATAATTGGTTTTACTGGCAATAGCTACTTCTCTTTGCCTAAATTAATTCCTTCTGATATTTCAGAGACCCAGAGTCAATAATTGACTGGAAACGGATGGTAAATTTTATATTTCCAACTGTTAAAAATGGGTAAAACAAAAGGCTTCTTTTTGTCAATCTCATTTGAAAAGGATGTGTTGGTTAGGCTGTTTTTTTTTTTAATTTGTGGTTGAGGGAAAATGCTTATTAATTAGAATAATATGCATCAATATCAATCATTGGGAGGGAAATATGATTCACCAGTTATCAATTCCAGGTGAAGGCTCTAAATACCTCATTAATTTTTGCCAAGGTCCTTAGATCTGGCAGGAAATTTTGTACTAAGCCAGATGCCAGAGCGTGTGTTATGTGAGACAAAAGACTTGCACAAGTCAGGCAACACAACTTTGTTACTCACAGGTAAGTAGCAAGAATTAACAGAAGCCTTGGATGCATAGACAAGCTGTTCACCTAAGGCTCAGGAAAGGTTCCCAGGGTTGAAGGAATCTCATCTGCACATGCCCCACTTCACATCACATCTATGAGACCCTCAAAGCATTCTGCTATGGGTTTTGTATTCCAGGAGAACTGGGTTGTGTCACAAGATATGCTATTCTAAAAGGGACGAGGACAAAGCTTAAGCTGTTCTGAACAGTTTCTACTTATCTGAGAACATTACGTTCTTAGTACATTCTGTCTGAAAAATCACAAGGAAGAGGGGGAAGAGCTGGATTTGCCAAGATAATTCAAGGACTTGCTCTCCTCCAATGCTGTGCTTATTCCTGACCTTTTTCTGGTCCTCCTACCCTTCCCCTAGTTGGAACACTATCTTTTCTCCTGCTTCTTATTCTAGGGGTATTCATACTTAAAAGCCCAGCTACACCCTACTCTTAATACTTCAGAATTTATTGTCGGATTCTCCTCTGAATTTCTCTGTTATTTACTTTGAAAAACACTTTATTTAATTTGATTCCACAAATGAATATGAGATAGGCACAACATATAGACATCTACTTATTTTTTAGATGATGAGGCTTCTAGGTCAAATAATTTGTGCAAAATTGGCCAACTGGCAAGAGATGAGCTGGAGCTAAAGTATAGGTCTCCACTTCTTCTAGTGCTCTTTTGCCTCAATGTATTGCTAGTTACTTATAATAGGCTTTATTCTGTAATCATTTATTGAGTGTATACGATGTGCCTAAAAATCTACTTTGCACTGAAGGAGGGTATAAAAGATGTAAGACGTATCCTGAGCTTCTCATGTACTACAATCTATTTGGATAAAAAAATGTATATGAGATAATTAGGGAAGAAAGTGAACTAAGGGAATATTGAGAGAGGGAAGACAAATATGATTCAGAAAGGTCAAAAGTCAATTGTGAGTTAAGACCCCAAAGATGCACAGAGTATAATTTTTTAAGCAAAAATCAAGAAAAAAGTGCTGAAGATGAGAGTTGTTTTTGAACAATGTCTTACCTGGAGTTGTGGGCAATGTTAGGAAATAAGGTAAATAAATGTCTGTTAGAAAGCTAGAACTGAATGCAAAGGACATTTGTTCATTTACTCCCTAATACTTAGTCTTTCTTTGTGTTACCCAAAGTACTCTTTCTCATTTTTAGCTATGAAGTCTGAGTGGGATTAACTTTACCCAGATTTATTGAGCTAATAAGTTTATACCATCTTCTGTCCTCAATTATTTTTGCAATGTTGGGCAAATAATCCAATTAGAGTCAGTAAGATGTTAAGATATATTTGTAGGCATTATAGGGAATGGAAAATATATCTTTCTTTCATAGGAAGTGAGGTTTACAACTTCAATACCCATTTCTATAATAAGGGCAGAGCCCAGACATTCCAGAAGCAACTAGGTAGAGTCTGAGAATGAAGACAGGATCTCAAAGGACAGGAGGAAGAGAAAGGAAGAAGCTTGTTACTGTTTATTACAGTTTTATCTAGATGAAGACTTGTCTGAAGATATCCTTGTTCCTTTTACACAAAACAGTGGATCTCACTTTTTGTTTAAATCACTTTGAATTATTGTATATAATCGCATATATATAATTTGCTGTATAATAGGTATCTTTACAGCAGCACCCCACTCTACTGGTACCAATTTGCTGTATTAGTCTGTTTTTACGCTGCTGATAAAAACATACCTGAGCCTGGGTAATTTAAAAAGAAAAAGAGGTTTAATGGACTCACAGATCCACATGGCTGGGGAGGCCTCACAATCATGGCAGAAAGTAAAAGGCACATCTTACATGACAGCAGACAACAGAGAACAAACCAAGCAAAAGGGGTTTCCCTTTATGAAACCATCAGATCTCATAAGACTTATTCACTACCACGAGAACACTATGGGGGAAACTGCTCCCATGATTCAATTATCTCCCACCAGGTCCTTCCCACAACATGTGGGAATTATGGAAGCCCCAATTCAAGATGAGATTTGGGTGGAGACACAGCCAAACCATATCAAGCCCTAACGTAAACACTAAGAGAAAGATTCAAGCTGGAAGTAGAAACCTGACGTTAAACTTGTGGCAAGCTTAAATGAAGTCATAAACTGGATCTGTTTCTGCGGGATTCCACGATACAACTTTGTTTAATGTCTACTCCCGGGTGGCAGGAGGTATATAAGAAGAGCCATTACAGGAGTTAGGGTGATAGAAAAAAATATTTCATATAATAAAAGTAAAGAGGGGACAAAAATCTCTAGAACACTTGGGTGTCAATGCCAATTCTTTAGTTTTTGAGCTTTTCACCAGCAATGAAAAGAAGCTCCTGGAGCCTACAGATTTTAGGTCTGTTATCAATCCAGTCAGATGAGACTAGTCCTCTGGCCATTGATCCCAGTGTCCATTGTCTTCTGAGACCTTGTTCTGCACACTGTGTATTGTGGATGAGCACAGGCATTACAGACATGCAGAACCTTGGTTCCTATGTTTGACTTTCTAATTTGGAGTTTGCATCTTAATGAGTCAACCAGATGAATGAAGCCAGAGCCTAAGTTTGTTATTTATTATCCTTACATCCAAGAGTGATAGTGTCATCCCAAACAATTATCTTTTACTATATGATTGTTTCCACAGTGTTCTCTTTCCCCTTCTTCCTGAATTAGACACCTTTCTACAATAATTCTCCCATTTTGAGAAGTGGGACTACCTCTAGTTTTTTATTTCTTTCCTGTTTATTAAAGTTATAATTGGCAAATAAAATTTGTATATATTTAAGGCATACCCCATGATAATTTGATATACATATACATTGTGAAATGATTACCACAATTAAGCTAAAAAACATATCCATCACCTTATGGTTACCTTTTTTTTTTCTGGTGAGAAGATTTAACATCTACTATCTTAGCAAATTTCAAGTATATAATACAGTAGTGTGAACTATAATCCCTCTGCTATATATTAGATCCCCACAATTTGTTTATCCTGCATAACTGAAATTGTACTCTGTGCCCACCATCTCCTCTTTCCCTATCACCATCCCCCAGCCCCTGGAAACTACCATTCTACTCTCTCCTTCTATGAGTTTGACTTTTTAAGATTCCACATACGTGAGATCATCAGTATTTTTCTTTCCATGTCTGGCTTATTTCACTTAGTATAACATTATCCAGGTTCATCTATGTTGCCCCAAATGACAGATGACAGGATTTCCTTTTTTTAATAAGGCCGAGTAATATTCATATATGTGTGTGTGTGTGTGTGTTCATTGTGAACAATGCTGCAATGAAGATAGGAGTGCAGATATCTCTCCAACATACTGATTTCCTTTCATTTGGATATATACCCAGAAGTGAGATTGCTGGATTACATGGTAGTTCTATTTTTAATTCTTTGAGGAATCTTCATACTATTTTCCATAATTACTGTAGCAATTTACATTCCCACCAACAGTGTACAAGGATTCCTTTTTCCCACACATTCCCCAACACCTGCTTTCTTTTATCTTTTTAATAATAGCCATTCCAACAGGTGTGAAGTGATATTTCATTGATTTTAATTTGCATTTCTTAGATTATTAGTGATGTTGAGCACTTTTTAATATACCTCTCGGCCATTTTTTTGTCTTATTTGGTGAATGTCTATTTACAGCCTTTATCCATTTTTAAATTGGGTTATTTGTATTCTTGCTATCGATTTGTTTGAATTGATTATATACTTTGAATATTATCCCCTTATCAGATGTATCATTTGTAAATATTTTCTCCTGTTTTGTAGGTTTTCTTTTCACTTAATTGTTTCCTTTACTGTGCAGAAACTTTTTAGATTGATGCAATTTCATTTGTCTATTTTTGCTTTTATTGCCTGTGTTTGTGGGGTTACATTTTAAAAATAATTTCCCAAACCAATGTCAAAAAGCTTTTTCCTTATTTTTTCCTCTAGTAGTTTTACAGTTATTTAAGTCTTTATTTTGAGTTAGTTTTCTATAGGTATGAGGTAAAGGTCCAGTTTTATTATTTTGCATGTAGATACACAGTTTTCCCAACACCATTTATTGAAGAGACTGTTTTTCCCCCATTGTATGCTCTTGACAGATCCGTGGAAGATCAATTGACAATAAATAAGTGGATTTATTTCTGGGCTCTCTATTCTTTTCCACTGGTCTGTGTGTCTGATTTTATCCAGTCCCATGCTGTTTTGATTCCTGCAGGTTTGTAGTATATTTTGAAATCAGGTGATGCAATGTCTCCAGCTTTCTTTTCCTTGTTTAAGATTGATTTGGCTAAGGTCTTTTCTGGATTCATATGAATTTTAGGATTGTTTTTTCTCTATCCATGAAAAATGTCACTGAAATTTTAATAGAGATTGTATTGAATCTATAGAACAGTTGGGTAGTGTAGACATTTTAATATTAATTACTCTAATCCATGAATACAAGATATCTTTGGATTTGTGTCTTCTTCAATTTCTTTAATTTATATTTTAATATCATTTTCAGTGTACAGATCTTTCATCACCATGGTTGAATTTAATTGCTTTTTAATTTTTTCATGCAATTGTGAATTAGATTGTTTTAGTAATTCTTTTTTTGAATACTTTGTTGCTAATGTATAGAGATGCAATTGATTATTTCTAACAGTTTTTTAGTAGAGTTCTTAGGGTTTTCATAACCATTGTTATTGGTCTGTTCAGATTTCCTATTTCTTCACGATTCATTCTCAATAGGTTATATGTGTCTAGGAGTTTCTCACTTCTTATAGGTTATTCAATTTTTGGCAAATAATTGTTCATAGTAGTCTTTTATGATCCTTTCTATTTCTTTAGTATCATTTGTGATGTCTCTTCTTTCATTGAAAATTTTATTTTAATCTTCTGTCTTTTCTTTTTAGTTAGTCTAGCTAAAGGTTTATCAATTTTGTTTGCCTTTCAAAAATAAATACTTGGTTTTATTGATTTTTTCTATTATTTTTCTATTCTCTACTTCATTTATTTCTGCTTTGATCTTTATTATTTCCTTTCTTCTACCAACTTTGGTCTTAGTGTGTTTTTTTATGTTTCCTTGAAGTGTAAATTTAGGTCATCTATTTTAGATTTTTTTCTTAATGTAGGCATTTATTGATATAAACTTCCTCATTAGACCTATTTTTGCTGTATCCCATAAGTTTTGGTATGTTGTGTTTCCATTCTTGTTTATGTCAAGCTTTTTTTAAAAATGTTTCCTTTTGATTTCTTCTTTGATCCATTGGTTGTTCAGAAGCCTTTGCCACTTAATCTGAAATAAAAACCATACTCTTTCCTCCACAACAATCACTCATTCCTATATAGTATGTTGCAGTTATATCAAATGGTAAATTTTATTTATTTATATTTATTTACTTTTGCTTCAGTCCCTTTGGAATTGTTGAAGAAGCAAAATATAGTGTATAGCTTGATAATAGTGGTGGGGTATGTCCATAGCAGCCCTGTGTCCCCTGACACATTGCATTGATGAATACATTCTTGTATCACCATCCTCTTTCCTTTTCTCTTTCTCTCATTTTTCATAATTCTTATTTGAAGAGGATGAAGAAAAGGGAGACAATGAAGAATCCATGGAGGAAAGGAGAAAAGAAGACAGAGAAAATATAGTGCTATGGTTTGAATGACCTCCAGAAGTCATGGGACGAAACTTAATTGCAAATGTGATTGTGTTACAACGTGGAGTCTTTAGGAGGTGATTAGGTCAGGAGTGTGCAGCCCTCCAGGATGGGATTAAAGTCCTTATAAAAGAACTTGAAGAAATTGGGTTGCGACCTTTGTCCCTTCCCCCAAGTGAGGACACATTTGTCACCTCCAGAGGATGCAGCAACAAGGTGTCAGCTCAGAAGCAGAGAGCAGCTCTTACCAGGCACCAATCCTGCCAATGCCTTGATCTTGGACTTCCAAGTATCCAGAACTGTGAGAAACAAATTTCTATTTTTTATAAATTACCTCTTCTCAGATATTTTGTTATAGCAGCACAAACAAAGATACGTAGTCACTGTTCACGTAGGCTGTATGTTTATGGAGTTGGTGTTGTTGCAGTCAACCAAATCAGATCTCTAAAGAATAAGTCTACAGAATGACAGAATGCTGCATTTATTTTCTTCTAGAGACATTCTCTCCTCAGGTGTCCCAAGTTCTTAGATGACCACTTTGAATTCTGTCAGTTTGACGATTTTTCCTCCTCAACTTGTGGAAAATTCACATGTCACCAATACATCATGATCATGAAAGGATTCACACATCCCTGCATTATGTGGTTCAGAGACCCAGGGAGAGTTATAGAGCACAGACTCTTTCAAAAAACAAACAAACAAACAAACAAACAAAACACAAGAAAGCCAATATAGTGTTTATATTTATTAAATATTTATTAAAGGTAAAGGATTGCCTTTTATTCTGATATTATGTCTTTCCTAAATTTTGCTGTTACTATATATTTTATGAAATGATGGCTACAAAAGATAGTTGCTTTGTAAAATTGTACATGGCAAAATAAAAAGTTTCCACCCCTAAGTCTGTGTGTGTCTGTTTGTGTGTGTCAGTGTGTGTGTGTATAAACTTGGAAGTTTGTTGTGGGGTCTGAAGGATGTGAGGTATCCTTTTCTCTATACTTACATACAGAATTGTTTTTTTTTCCTATCAAAGCCCTGTGTAGTCTACACCCTTCCTACAACAAGAATGTAAATCAAATAGCAAACATTTGGAGGTAATGACATAGTAGACTCCAGCAATGGCATTTCTGATGTGATGAGCAGTAAGTATTTCAGATGACAAGAAAATCTCCCAGTATTATAATTTTTAGATGTAAGCAGTAATTACAAGACCTATGGATAACTGGAGTTATAGAAATACTATTGTTAACACAGTAATTCCTAAGTAGTTGCAAACAAAGCCCAAGTTTTAGGTGTAAGCAGTAATTACAAGACTCCTGGAATAACTAGAGTTATAGAAATACTATTGTTAATACAGTAATTACTAAGTAGTTGCAAACAAAGCCTGAGTAGAGATTTATTCTTCAAAAGGCCAACATGGGCTAATAATCAGCAAGTGCATAGTTCTGGAACAAAGAGAAAAAAAAGATATCTCCTGTTTCTTTGTTACAACTCAGGTATGGGCTTTAAAAATTTGTTTTCAAATTCTTGGTTAGGCCAGATTGGAAGCTAAACTTAGAACATTTAGGATGACTCAGGAGGCAATCTGGGATCTCAGAATGCCTTCAGGTCATTATTATGGACATTTGTTATCATGGTACTGATCTTGTCTAGCTGCAAAACTCTATGCTTATAACACAGAGTTTGGACAGGTAATTTATTACAGTAGATTCCCAGAATGTTAGAACTGGAAAGGACTTGGAGAAATTATAATTCATTGGTCTCATTTTAAGGATAAGAAAATGGGGATTCAGAAAGTTTAAGAAATTTTCCTATGGCTATAGGTCTAGAAAGTGGAAAAACTGGGGCGTGAATTTAGGTCTTCTTAATCTAGTATAAATATTTTTAAAATTACACTTCACCAGTTCTAAGATTTTCCAAAATGAATGTTAAATGACAAAAGAACTTTTCAATCCACACTATAAGTAATACATACAACATTGTTAATGGTAAACATTCTAGCAATTAGCTGCTAGTAAATTTACAATTGCTAGTAAATTTAGGTTCATGAAATTTGTAAACTGAAGCACCATGATAACCTGTGGCCCTCCGTTAAGTACAAAAGGTAGAATTTATTATTAAATAATTCAACAAATATTTATTAAGGGCCTACTGTCAGGAAGAAAAAGTTAAAATCAAGAATCTCACAGTAAGAAGTAGATCTCAATCAAAAAGAATTATTGATTAAAAACCTCTTTTTTAAAATTTTATTACTATTATACTTTAAGTTTTAGGGTACATGCGCACAATGTGCAGGTTTGTTACATATGTATACATGTGCCATGTTGGTGTGCTGCACCCATTAACAAGTCATTTAACATTAGGTATATCTCCTAATGCTATCCCTCCCCCCTCCCCCCACCCCACAACTCTCCCTGGAGTGTGATGTTCCCCTTCCTGTGTCCATGTGTTCTTATTGTTCAATTCCCACATATGAGTGAGAAAATGTGGTGTTTGTTTTTTTTGTTCTTGTGATAGTTTGCTGAGAATGATGGTTTCCAGTTTCATCCATGTCCCTACAAAGGACATGAACTCATCATTTTTTATGGCTGCATAGTATTCCATGGTGTATATGTGCCACATTTTCTTAATCCAGTCTATCATTGTTGGACATTTGGGTTGGTTCCAAGTCTTTGCTATTGTGAATAGTGCCACAATAAACATACGTGTGCATGTGTCTTTATAGCAGCATGATATATAATCCTTTGGGTATATATCCAGTAATGGGATGGCTGGGTCAAAAGGTATTTCTAGTTCTAGATCCCTGAGGAATCATCACACTGACTTCCACAATGGTTGAACTAGTTTAGAGTCCCACCAGCAGTGTAAAAGTGTTCCTATTTCTCCACATCCTCTCCAGCACCTCTTGTTTCCTGACTTTTTAATGATGGCCATTCTAACTGGTGTGAGATGGTATCTCATTGTGGTTTTGTTTTGCATTTCTCTGATGGCCAGTGATGATGAGCATTTTTTCATGTGTTTTATGGCTGCATAAATGTCTTCTTTTGAGAAGTGTCTGTTCATGTCCTTCACCCACTTTTTGATGGGGTTGTTTGTTTTTTTCTTGTAAATTTGTTTGAGTTCATTGTAGATTCTGGATCTTAGCCCTTTGTCAGATGAGTAGGTTGCAAAAATTTTCTTCCATTTTGTAGGTTGCCTGTTCACTCTGATGGTAGTTTCTTTTGCTGTGCAGAAGCTCTTTAGTTTAATTAGATCCCATTTGTCAATTTTGGCTTTAGTTGCCATTGCTTTTGGTGTTTTAGATATGAAGTCCTTGCCCATGCCTATGTCCTGAATGGTAATGCCTAGGTTTTCTTCTAGGGTTTTTATGGTTTTAGGTCTAACGTTTAAGTCTTTAATCCATCTTGAATTGATTTTTGTATAAGCTGTAAGGAAGGGATCCAGTTTCAGCTTTCTACATACGGCTAGCCAGTTTTCCCAACACCATTTGTTAAATAGGGAATCCTTTCCCCATTGCTTGTTTTTCTCAGGTTTGTCAGAGATCAGATGGTTTTAGATAGGCAGTATTATTTCTGAGGTCTCTGTTCTGTTCCATTGATCTATATCTCTGTTTTGGTACCAGTACCATGCTGTTTTGGTTACTGTAGCCTTGTAGTATAGTTTGAAGTCAGGTAGCATGATGCCTCCAGCTTTATTGTTTTGGCTTAGGATTGACTTGGAAATGTGGGCTCTTTTTTGGTTCCATATGAATTTTAAAGTAGTTTTTTTCCAATTCTGTGAAGAAAGTCATTGGTAACTTGATGAGTATGGCATTGAATCTGTAAATTACCTTGGGCAGTATGGCCATTTTCACGATATTGATTATTCCTATCCACGAGCATGGAATGTTCTTCCATTTGTTTGTATCCTCTTTTATTTCGTTGAGCAGTGGTTTGTAGTTCTCCTTGAAGAGGTCCTTCACATCCCTTGTAAGTTGGATTCCTAGGTATTTTATTCTCTTTGAAGCAATTATGAATGGGATTTCACTCATGATTTGACTCTGTGTTTGTCTGTTATTGGTGTATAAGAATGCTTGTGATTTTTGCACATTGATTTTGTATCCTGAGACTTTGCTGAAGTTGTTTATCAGCTTAAGGGGATTTTGGGCTGAGACAATGGGGTTTTCTAGATATACAATCATGTCATCTGCAAACAGGGACAATTTGACTTCCTCTTTTCCTAATTGAAAACCCTTTATTTCCTTTTCCTGCCTAATTGCCCTGGCCAGAACTTCCAACATTATGTTTAATAGGAGTGGTGAGAGAGGGCATCCCTGTCTTGTGCCAATTTTCAAAGGGAATGCTTCCAGTTTTTGCCCATTCAGTATGACATTGGCTGTGGGTTTGTCATAGATAGCTCTTATTGTTTTGAGATACATCCCATCAATACCTAATTTATTGAGAGTTTTTAGCATGAAGGGTTGTTGAATTTTGTCAAAGGCCTTTTCTGCATCTGTAGAGATAATCATGTGGTTTTTGTCTTTGGTTCTGTTTATATGCGGGATTACATTTATTGATTTGCATATGTTGAACCAACCTTGCATCTCAGGGATGAAGCCCACTTGATCATGGTGGATATGCTTTTTGATGTGCTGCTGGATTCGGTTTACCAGTATTTTTTTGAGGATTTTTGCATCAATGTTCATCAAGGTTATTGGTCTAAAATTCTCTTTTTTTGTTGTGTCTCTGCCAGACTTTGGTATCAGCATGATGCTGGTCTCATAAAATGAGTTAGGGAGGATTCCCTCTTTTTCTATTGATTGGAATAGTTTCAGAACGAATGGTGCCAGCTCCTCCTTGTACCTCTGGTAGAATTCAGCTGTGAATCCATCTAGTCCTGACCTTTTTTGGTTGGTAAGCTATTGATTATTGTCACAATTTCAGAGCCTGTTATTGGTCTATTCAGAGATTCAACTTCTTCCTGGTATAGTCTTGGGAGGGTGTATGTGTTAAGGAATTTATCCATTTCTTCTAGATTTTCTAGTTTATTTGCATAGAAGTGTTTATAGTATTCTCTGATGGTAGTTTGCATTTCTGTGGGATCATTGGTGATACCCCTTTATCATTTTTTATTGCATCTATTTGATTCTTCTCTCTTTTCTTCTTTATTAGTCTGGCTAGTAGTCTATCAATTTTGTTGATCTTTTCAAAAAACCAGCTCCTGGATTCATTAATTTTTTGAAGGGTTTTTTGTCTCTATTTCCTTCAGTTCTGCTCTGATTTTAGTTATTTCTTGCCTTCTGCTAGCTTTTGAGTGTGTTTGCTGTTGCTTCTCTGGTTCTTTTAATTGTGGTGTTAAGGTGTCAATTTTGGGTCTTTCCTGCTTTGTCTTGTGGGCATTTAGTGCTATAAATTTCCCTCTACACACTGCTTTGAATGTGTCCCAGAGATTGTGGTATGTTTTGTCTTTGTTCTCGTTGGTTTCAAAGAACATCTTTATTTCTGCCTTCATTTCTTTATGTACCCAGTAGTCATTCAGGAGCAGGTTGTTCAGTTTCCATGTAGCTGAGTGGTTTTAAGTGAGTTTCTTCATCCTGGTTTCTAGTTTGATTGCACTGTGATCTGAGAGACAGTTTGTTTCATATTTCTGTTCCTTTACATTTGCTGAGGAGAGCCTTACTTCCAAGTATGTGGTCAATTTTGGAATAGGTGTGGTGTGGTGCTGAAAAATATGTATATTCTGTTGATTTGGGGTGGAAAGTTCTGTAGATGTCTATTAGGTCCGCTTGGTGCAGAGCTGAGTTCAATTCCTGGGTATCCTTGTTAACTTTCTGTCTCTTTGATTTGTCTAATGTTGACAGTGGGGTGTTAAAGTCTCCCATTATTATTGTGTGGGAGTTTAAGTCTCTTTGTATGTCACTCAGGACTTGCTTTATGAATCTGGGTGCTCCTGTATTGGGTGCATATATATTTAGGATAGTTAGCTCTTCTTGTTGAATTGATCCCTTTACCATTATGTAATGGCCTTCTTTTTCCTTTTGATCTTTGTTGTTTTAAAGTCTGTTTTATCAGAGACTAGGATTGCAACCCTGCCTTTTTTTGTTTTCCATTTGCTTGGTAGATCTTCCTGCATCCCTTTATTTTGAACCTATGTGTGTCTCTGTATGTGAGATGGGTTTCCTCGATACAGCACACTGATGGTTCTTGACTCTTTATCCAATTTGCCAGTCTGTGTCTTTTAATTGGAGCATGTAGCCCATTTACATTTAAAGTTAATATTGTTTTGTGTGAATTTGGTCCTGTCATTATGATGTTAACTGGTTATTTTGCTTGTTATTTGATGTGGTTTCTTCCTAGCCTCCGTGGTGTTTACATTTTGGCATGTTTTTGCAGTGGCTGATACTGGTTGGTCCTTTCCATGTTTAGTGCTTCCTTCAGGAGCTCTTTTAGGCAGGCCTGGTGGTGACAAAATCTCTCAGCATTTGCTTGTCTGTAAAGTATTTTATTTCTCCTTCACTTATGAAGCTTAGTTTGGCTGGATATGAAATTCTGGGTTGAAAATTCTTTTCTTTAAAAATGTTGAATATTGGCCCCCAGTCTCTTCTGGCTTGTAGAGTTTCTGCTGAGAGATCCGCTGTTAGTGTGATGGGCTTCCCTTTGTGGGTAACCCGACCTTTCTCTCTGGCTGCCCTTTACATTTTTTCCTTCATTTCAACTTTGGTGAATCTGACAATTATATGTCTTGGAGTTGCTCTTCTCTAGGAGTATCTTTGTGGCATTCTCTGTATTTCCTGAATCTGAATGTTGGCCTGCCTTGCTAGATTGGGGAAGTTCTCCTGGATAATATCCTGCAGAGTGTTTTTCATCTTGGTTCCATTCTCCCCGTCGCTTTCAAGTACACCAATCAGATGTAGATTTGATTTTTTCACATAGTCCCATATTTCTTGGAGGCTTTGTTCCTTTCTTTTTATTCTTTTTTTCTCTAAACTTCCCTTCTCATTTCATTTCATTTATTTCATCTTCCATCACTGATACCCTTTCTTCCAGTTGTTTGCTTCAGCTCCTGAGGCTTTTGCGTTCTTCATGTAGTTCTCCAGCCTTGGCGTTCAGTTCCATCAGCTCCTTTAAGGACTTCTCTGTATTGGTTATTCTAGTTATCCATTTGTCTAATTTTTTTTCAGTTTTTAACTCTTTTGCCATTGGTTTGAATTTCCTCCTGTAGCTCAGAGTAGTTTGATTGTATGAAGCCTTCTTCTCTCAACTTATCAAGTCATTCTCCATCCAGCTTTGTTCCATTGCTGGTGAGGAGCTTCGTTCCTTTGGAGGAGGAGAGGTGCTCTGCTTTTTAGAGTTTCCAGTTTTTCTGCTCTGTTTTTTCCCCATGTTTGTGGTTTTATCTACTTTTGTCTTTGATGACGGTGATGTAAAGAAGGGTTTTTGGTGTGGATGTCCTATCTGTTTGTTAGTTTTCCTTCTTACAGACAGCACCCTCAGCTGCGGGTCAGTTGGAGTTTGCTGGAAGTCCACTCCAGACACTTTTTGACTGGGTATCAGCAGTGGTGGCTGCAGAACAGTCGTGGCTGTAGGACAGCGGATCTTGGTGAACGGCAAATGCTGCTGCCTGATTGCTCCTCTGTACGTTTTGTCTCAGAGGAGTACCCAGACATGTGAGGTGTCAGTCTGTCCCTACTGCAGGGTGCCTCCCAGTTAGGCTGCTCGGGGTTCAGGGACCCACTTGAGTATTCAGTCTGCCTGTTCTCAGATCTCCAGCTGTGTGCTAGGAGAACCACTACTCTCTTCAAAGCTGTCAGACAGGGACATTTAAGTCTGCAGAGGTTACTGCTGTCTTTTTGTTTGTCTGTGCCCTGTCCCCAGATGTGGAGCCTACAGAGGAAGGCAAGCCTCCTTGAGCTGTGGTGGGCTCCACCCAGTTCAGGCTTCTGGGCTGCTTTGTTTACCTAATCAAACAACTAACTAGGCAATGGCAGGCGCCCCTTCCCCAGCCTCACTGCAGCCTTGCAGTTTGATCTCAGCCTGCTGTGCTAGCAGTCAGTGAGACTCCGTGGGTGTAGGACCCTCCAAGCCATGTTCGGGATATAATCTCCTGGTGCGCCATTTTTTACACCCGTCGGAAAAGCGCAGTATTAGCCCGGGAGTGACCAGATTTTCCAGGTGCCATCTGTCACCCTTTCTTTGACTAGGAAAGGGAACTCCCTGTCCCCTTGCACTTCCCGAGTGAGGCAATGCCTCGCTCTGCTTTGGCTGGCACATGCTGCACTGCACCCACTGTCCTGCACCCACTGTCTGGTACTCCCTAGTGAGATGAACCCGGTACCTCAGATGGAAATGCAGAAATCACAGGTCTTCTGCGTCGCTCATGCTGGGAGCTGTAGATCAGAGCTGTTCCTATTTGGCCATCTTGGCTCTACCCTCTAAAAAACTCTTTTAAAAGCAGCATTTTAATTATCTTCCTTTGTTCAGTAATTAATTCTTTCAACAAATATTTTCTAAAAATACAGTATTCTAGGCACTGTTCTAGGTTTCATTCTAGGTACTGAATATGTAACAGTGAAAAAAATTGATAAAATTTGCTGCCCTCCTATGATTTACATTCCAGTTGAGGAGACAGAAAATAAGCATAAAATGCATATGGAAAGTTAGAAAGGGTGAGTGTTATGGGAAATTATATTGCATGATAAGAAAGATGGTTTGAAAGTGCTAGGGGGTTTGTAATTTCAAGCAGGAGAATCACAGTGAGCATCATTGAGACATGATAGTTGAGTGAATATTTGAAGGAGGTGAAGAGCTGCATAAAGAAGATTTTTCAAAAAAAAAAGATTTTTCTGGGCAAAGGAAACAGTCAGTACAAGGTTGTACCAGGTTCTGAGGTCAGAGTATACTTGAAATAGTAAAAAAGGAGCAAAAAGCCAATGTGGCTAGATAATAGTGAGCAAGGAGGAGAGCAGACAAAGATTAGAGCAGAGAGGTCATGGGATAAATTTAATAAAAATCAGTGATAAAGAGAAAAATCTGCAATCCTTCCAAATTTCAAGTTACATACATATAAATAAAAATAAGGATGATGGCAATTTCTTGTAGATAACAACACAAGAAAGAATATAAAATATTCAAGAAAGAAAAAAATAGAAGAGGATGGAATGTTTCCCAACTCATTCTATAAAGCAAACATTATCTAATACCAAAACTTGGCAAGGATATTACAGAGAAAACCCCAACAGACTAATACCTCTCCTTAATAGAGATGCAAAAATACTTAACAAAATTTTAACAAATAAAACCCGACAATATAGTAAAAGGATTATATAGCATAACTAAATGGGGTATACTTTCAGAATGCAAGGTTTAACACTCAAAAATCAATTGATATAATTTTCTTTTAGTAACAAACTAATAATGAAAAGTTTATGAGCATCTAAATAGATGCAAGAAAAGCACATAAAAACCCAACAACCACCCCTAATTAAAACCCTCTTGAAACTAAAAACAAAAGTGAAATTTCTTATCTTGATAAAAGGTTAAGATAAGTCTATATAGAAAGTCCTGTGGGAGCTAAGAAAACAAAAACAAAAACCTACCAAACAACCCCAGGAAAATAAATTCATAAGTTTAGCAAGTTTGCAGGGTACAAGATTAACATGCACAATTAATTGTATTTCTTCATGCCATCAAAACCCACTAGGAACACACTGACTTGATTACTCATTTGTGTTTTACTATATAGCATATTACAGTAAAGAAGGAATACACTCAATACACTCATATTACCTTGGAGAGAAAGTTATTGGATATTTTGTTGTTTGCCCAGTGGACTTGCTTCTCTCTTTGGTTAGACAAAATCATGAAGTGGCCTTGTTTTGTCACATATCATCGTGGTTGCAGCGTGACCTTGTTGGTGTTATGTGAGATCGTTTATAACCTACATGACAAAAACACTGCCTATGTGTGAGCACCAGGACATCTTCTAAAAACACCATGGCCTAGTTTAGTTAGGTTGGTTCCTGTATGTCAGGAACTGCTTTTTTTCTTTCTAACATATCCCTACTAAGGTCAAACCTCTGAGAGATGAAGGAAGAGTGGAGGTAGGGGTTGGAGTAACCGGCAGGGCTTCTTCACAGACTCCGCCCACATCATTTAACACAGTAGCTGAAAGTTGAGCTGCTTTATGTGTTGAGCATCTTCAAAAAATTTCTTCTGTTACTTAAAAAACTTGAAAGCCACACCGTGGGTGTGTGTGTGTGTGTGTGTGTGTCTGTGTGTGTGTGTGTCTGTGTGTGGTTTTCATTAATATATCATGAACTGAGGTAAAAATGTGTATAGTGGAGGTTGAATTGCCTTGGCTCTGATCTTTCAAAGAATAGGTGAAGCAAGGAAATCATTCAGATCTTCAGAAAATCAGCACTACTAGTATTCTGTCCACCACATTGTGTTGTAATAGTTTCATTTCTTTTTTTAAAAAAGTAGGAATCTAGGCAGCAATTTTCAGGTAATGACACCTCACTGTGTAGCAATACTACTTCATCCATTTCTCCTATTGATCAACTCATTAAGCATGTCTAACATTAAAATCATAATTTTATTAATATGTAGAAATGGAGAAAGAAAAAATGAAACTCATATTTTCATTTAAATTTATTTGTATTAATAAAGCCTTCCTTGAATATTTCTTCTGAAAGCCATCTTTATCTTTGAGCTCTATTCTTGCAATAATCCATTTCTGTTTTGCATTAAAAGTGTTTGTCTACATCTCATCTCCACAAGCAAATAGTATTATCCAGTGCAAGAAGTGAGACAATTGTGTCTCATTCCTTCTTATGCTTGTCAGTGATTCACACAAATGAATATCCAGTGAATATTTGTCCATTGGGAAACATTTGGAATCACAACAAAAATCAATATTATACATAGCTTTGCTTGGGAATTTAAATACATTTAATATGAGCTTTAAATGCCCCAAATATTCATCTTGAACACTACCTTCAACCACTGATTTAAAGACTCTATTATTTGTAAACAAAGTTTCTATTTTCGAGTCAAGTAAAATTGGAAACAGAGAGAACTTAAGTAGAAAGGGGATGATTAATTAAATCAGGATAAACTCAAAGTATCCGTGAAAAATGAAGATGATAATGATTATGTGAAAAAAAATGAAAACATCCTATGTAGAGAGTGATAAGCACGAGGATCAAAATGTTGACATAAGCTATAATGATTGCCACTCTGGGAAGTTGAGCATAGCATATAGAAACTGGTAGCAAATATTCCTGGATGGGAATATAATTTGTATTTGCATGGTGGGGCAGTATTTCTTCAAGTTTGATTTCATGTTTTAAAAATAATCAATTTAGTCAGTATCTCAAAGAGATTAAAACATCAAAAAAATCATTAATAATGCTATCAATTGTAGCATTATTCACAATAGCCAAGACAGGGCTACAACCTAAGTGTCTGCCAATGGGTGAATGTATGAAGAAATTGTGGTGTGTATATACATGCAATAGAATATCATTCAGCCTTAAAAAGTAGGAAATCCTGCCACTTGCAACAACAAGAATGAACCTGGAGGACATTATGCTATGTGAAATAAGCTAGACACAGAAATAAAATACCGATATTCTCTTATTTATGTAGAATTGAAGAAAAATTCATAGAAGCAGAGAGTAGAATGGTGATTACCAGAGGTGGAGGAGTGGGGAAAATGGAGAGATGTTGGTCAAAGTGTACAAAGTTTCAGTCATATAAGGTGATAACATGTACTACATGGGGACTATAATTGATAATACTCTTTTGTATCCTTGAAATTTGCTAAGAGAGTAGACCTTAAGTATTCTCACTACACAACACAAAAGGTAACTATCTGAAGACATGGTTATGTCAATTAGCTTGGTTGTAGTCATAAATTCACTATGCATATGTCTATCAAAGCATCATGTTGTATACCTTAAGTTTATACAGTTTTTTTGGAAACAATCAATTTGGGTTGGTTGTGGTGGCTTGTGCTTGTAATCCCAGCACTTTGGGAGGCCCAGGTGGGTGGATGGCTTGAGCCCAGGAGTTCAAGACCAACCTGGCCAACATGGTGAAACCCTGTTTCTATAAAAAACACAAAAAATTTGCAAGGCATGGTGGTGCACACCTATACTTCCAGCTACTCAGGAGGCTAAGGCAGGAAGATTGCTGTAGCTGGGGAGTCGGAGGTTGCAGTGAGCTGAGATCATGCCACTGCACTCACCAACCTGGGTGACGGAGCCCCCATCTCAAAAAAAAAATTTGGCAAGATTGTTAAGTGTCCATCAACTGATGATTGAATAAAGAAAACGTGGGATATATACACAAGGAAATACTATGTAGCCATAAAAAAGACTGACATCATGTCTCTATAGCAACATGGATGAAAGTGTTGGCCATTATCTTAAGTGAAACAACACAAAAGCAGAAAGTCAAATACAATATGTTATCACTTATGGGTGGGCACTAAATAATGAGTACACATGGACATAGAGTGTGAAATATTAGTCACTAGAGACTTGGAAGGGCGGAGGGTGGGACTGGGGTAGGTGATGGGGAACCACTTAATGGGTACAATGTACGTTATTTGGGAGTTTGACACACTAAAAGCCCAGACTTCATCCCTAAGCAATATAGCTTGGTAACAAAATTGCACATGTACTTTTTAAATTTATACAAGAAAAAATAAATAAATTTGGCTATGTCGCTATATTACATACAAGAAAAATTAGAAGAATATTTATATTTAAACCTTGCTTAAAATTTTGTGATCGTTTTAGAATTACATAATTTGAGGTTTAAATCTGTTTCTCAAACTTCTGTTTAAAATATAGACCCACCATTTAACTGTATCAAAAAATACAAAATTATCAAAAAATTTATAAGGAAATTAGAAAATAAAATGACTACAAAAAGATCACTAATGATTTTTAACCTCACAAGACAGCACTAAGACGCAATTTAACTTGTTTTGTAAATTGAAATTAAAATTTGTTTCTGTGTTAAAAATTGTGCAAATTCATAGGTAACCAGCAGGTGGCAGACTTACACTATCTTACGCAGTATTAAACATGATTGGAGTTTTGTGACTTTTTTGGGAGATATTCAATAAAGTAAGTTGAATATAAGAGGAAGAACATACAGTACTTTCTCAGAGATTGCAATAAGAACACTTAAAACATGCTTCTAGATAAGAACTATTTATCCACTGATTGTGAAATGGCAAGGTCTGAAAAGTACTTTATCATTATTTATTGTTAGTGAGATAAAAAAATTCGTACTGTTTGAACTTAAAAAATGAGTCAAACAGTTATGCATAAAATATGAAAATTATTTTATAAACTTTAGTCAACTGGAAAAGAGTAGTATACACTATATGTATACTACTGTGTATATATATATATATATATATACACACATATATATACAGGCACACTTTGGAGCTATTGAAATTTCAGTACCAGACCACCTCAATAAAATGAATGTCACATTAAACTTAGCCACATGAATTTTCTGATTGTCCAATGCATATAAAAGTTATGTTTACACTGTACTGTAGTCTATTAAGTGTGCAACAGCATTATGTCTAACAACAAATGTTTATACCTTAATTTAAAAATGCTTTATTGCTAAAAATACTAATGAGCATCTGAGTCTTCAGCAAGTGGTGATCTTTCGGCTGGTGGAAGATTGTTGGCTGCTGACCAATAAAGGTGGTGGCTGCTGAAGGTTGGGGTAGGTGGCAATTTCATAAATTGAGGCAACAATGAAGTTTGCCTCATTAATTGATTTTCCTTTCATAAAAGATTTCTCTGTAGCATGCAAGGCTGATTGACAGCATTTTACCCAGAGCAGAATTTCTTAAAAATTGGAGTCAATTCTCACAAACTGCCACTGCTTTATCCTCTAAGATTTTTTTTTTTATTATACTGTAAGTTTCAGGGTACATGTGCACAACGTGCAGGTTAGTTACATATGTACACAAGTGCCATGTTGGTGTGCTGCGCCCACTAAATCATCATTTAACATTTGGTATATCTCCTAATGCTATCCCTCACCCCTCCCCCCACCCCACAGCAGTCCCTGGTGTGTGATGTCCCCCTTCCTGTGTCCATGTGTTCTTATTGTTCAATTCCCACCTATGAGTGAGAACATGCGGTGTTTGGTTCTTTGTCCTTGCGATAGTTTGCTGAGAATGATGGTTTCCAGCTTCATCCATGTCCCTACAAAGGACATGAACTCATCATTTTTTATGGCTGCATAGTATTCCATGGTGTATATGTGCCACATTTTCTTAATCCAGTCTATCATTGTTGGACATTTGGGTTGGTTCCAAGTCTTTGCTATTGTGAATAGTGCCCCACTAAACATACGTGTGCATGTCACTTTATAGCAGCATGATTTATAATCCTTTGGGTATATACCCAGTAATGGGATGGCTGGGTCAAATGGTATTTCTAGTTCTAGATCCCTGAGGAATCGCCACACTGACTTCCACAATGGTTGAACTAGTTTACAGTCCCACCAACAGTGTAAAAGTGTTCCTATTTCTCCACATCCTCTCCAGCACCTCTTGTTTCCTGACTTTTTAATGATTGCCATTCTAACTGGTGTGAGATGGTATCTCATCGTGGTTTTGATTTGCATTTCTCTGATGGCCAGTGATGATGAGCATTTTTTCATGTGTCTTCTGGCTGCATAAATGTCTTCTTTTGAGAAATGTCTGTTCATATCCTCCACCCACTTTTTGATGGGGTTGTGTCCTCTAAGTTTTTGGAATACTCAAAATCTTTTATTTTTGTTTCAACAATGCGCACAGTATCTTCACCAGGAGTAGATTCCATCTGAAGAAACCAATTTCTTTGCTCATCCACAAGAAGCAACTCCTTATTTGTTCAAGTTGAGTCGGGAGATTGCAGCAGTTCAGTCACATCTTCAGGCTCCACCTTCAATTCTCCCTCTTTTGCTGTTTCCACCACATCTGCAGTTACTTCTTCCACTGAAGTCTTGAACCCCTCAAGGGCATTCATGAGGTTGGAATCAACTTCAACATTCCTGTTAATGTTGATATTTTGATGTTTTTCCATGAATAATGAATGTTTTTAATAGCATCTAGAATGGTGAATCCTTTCCAGAAATTTTTATGTTTAGTTTGCCCAGTTCCATCAGAAGAATCACTATCTATGGCTACTATAATTTTATGAAATGTGTTTCTTAAATAGTAAGATCTGAAAGTCAGATTTACTTCTTGATCTATGGACTGCAGAATGGATGCTGTGTCATGGAAATATTAGTCTCCTTGTACATCTGCATCAGCGTTCTTGGGTGACCAGGTGCATTGTCATGAGCAGTACTATTTTGAAAGGAATCTTTTCTTTCTTTATTTTTTCTGAGGAGTTAGTTGCCACAGTGGTCTCAAATATTCAGTAAACCATGCCGTAAACAGGTGTGCTGTCACCCAGACTTTGCTTTTCCATTTATGGAGCACAGCAAGAGTGGATTTAGCATATTTCTCAGGGCCTTAGGATTCTTAGAATGGTAAATAATCCTTGGCTTCAATTTAAATTCACCAGCTGCATTAGCTCCCAGCAAGAGAGTCAACCCACCCTTCAAAGCTTTGAAGACCATCATTGACTTCTCTCTAGCTATGAAACTCCTAGATGGCTTCTTCTTCCAATATGGGGCTGTTTCTTCTACACTGAAAATCTTTTGTTTTGTGTAGATACTTTCATCAATGATCTTAGCCAGATCTGATGGATAACTTGCTGCAGCTTCTCCATCAGCACTTGCTGCTTCACCTTGCACATTTATGTTATGGAGATGGCTTCTTTTTAAAAATCCAATGAACCAACCTCCCAAACCCTTTTTCTGCAATCCTCACCTCTCCCAGTCTTCATAGAATTGAAGAGAATTGGGGCTTTGCTCTGGATTAGGCTTTGGCTAAAGGGAATGTTGTGACTGGTTTAATCTTCTATCCAAACCACTCAAATTTTCCCATCACAACTTGGCAAACTGTTTGGTGCAAAAGGCCTAGCTTTCAGCCTATCCTGACTTTCGACATGCCTGCCTCATTGGCTTAATCATTTCTAGCTTTTGATTTAAAGTGGAAAATGTGAGACTCTACCTTTCTCTTGAACTCTTGGAGGGCATTGTAGGGTAAGTAATAGGTCTCATTTCAATATTATTGTGTCTCAGGCAATAGGGAAATCCGAGGAGAAGGAGAGAGATGCAGGAATGGCCGGTTGGTGAAGCAGTCGGAACACACACAACATTTATTGATGAAGCTTGCCATTTTTAGTGCGCATCCTCATGGTGCCCCAAAACAATTACAATGGTAACAACAAACATCACTGATCACAGATCCCTATAACAGACATAATAACAATGAAAAAGTTTGCAATATTGAGTGAGTTACTGAAATATGACACAGATATGAAGCAAGTGCTTGCTGTTGGAGAAATCACACTGATAAACTTGCTTAATATAGTGTTACTACAAACCTTCAACTTGCAAAATGCATGAAATCTGTGAAGTGCAATACAACAAGGTGTATCTGTTTATTAAATGGGTGTGGTGATATATATACAAAGGTCACGATTTTTAAAAGTGTATACGTTAAAGGGCACATTGTTAGCAGTAGTTATTTATGGATGGTGATATCATGTTTAAATGTTTTATATCTCTGTACCTTTTTACTTTCTCACAGTTCTCTAATTTCTACAAGACTGCATAATGTTTTACTACAAAATGTAGATACTAAAATGAAATATTTTTCAAAATGATTTTTGCTGAAGATGAACTCCCGATTCATTCTGGTGATGCAGTCTGATAATATTATAACAGTAACACGAGATGGTGATCTTTTGAAAACTAATGTGGTTTGACTGGCATGGTGTTGGAATCTGGCTCATGCCCTCCCCTGCTCTTTATTATGTCTTATTCAGCATTTGTTTCACCCTTAAGCAGAGTGGCTTACTTTCTTCTTTTGTGATGCCATTGATTTTCATATTTTATTTCTTGTTTCACTTATCAAGCACTTATGTAGTACATATATAAACTTGTTTAATCCTTACGGCAACCTTTGAAGATAGGTGCTATTTTTGTTACATTAGGAAACTCAGGCACAAAATAGATAAGTGACTTGCTCACTAATAAGTAGCAGAGCCAGGATTTGAAATCAAGCAGTCACATGCCGTGTTCTTAACTCTACTGCTAAACCCTGAAATGCCATAAGAATGGATGATGACATTTTAAAGTGATGATTATTTTGAAAATTAGCTGGATACAAATCTTAGTCAACAAAAGTTAGGTGTAAAAAGTACATATATAATTTCATTTTGTTTCTGTCTTTAACACTACGTTGGGTTTAGTGGATTTTCCTGCTGTTGGTAAGCCATTGTGAGCCTGGGAATTGCTTGGCTCCTCCTTGTCCCACCAGCAGAGGGGACGCTCTGAGGATGCTGTCCACAGCCCTGGCTATCCATGCATTATAGATATCTGTTCTTTCCACTGGGTCTTGCTGTTTCCCAGATGTGATGCTTCATTCCCGAGGGAGCACACAGACCCTCTCGTTCTCAGATACCACAAATTCTCTGTCCTGTGTTGATTCTTTTCCAGTTCTCTCTGGGGTGCTGAGCACCTGTCCATTGTCATCCAGATCCTCTGCTTTATCTTACCTAATATTCCCTCTTTTGAAGAAATTAGAATAAACAACAAAGCAAAACAAACAACATTAACAACAAAAAAACCTGAGAAGATTGAACATGGCAAAGGCAAATTAAGGGTATAAAAGAAAATAAAAAGAAAAACTATTAATATTTCAAAAATATTTTCCAACATATTATAAAATATTTAAAGGGGAAATTAAAATTTAAAAGTCAAATGTATACTTAATCCAGCTGCATAATTTTAATAGATTTCATATTGCATTATTAACTCAGAGATATCATAATTTCTAAAATTAATGGGAACAATTTTATTTGCACATAGATGAATGGTAGCCACAAGAAAACCAACATTTTTGATTGTCTCTTTTCTCTTTCTTTGTTTCATGAAAGATGAGAGAAAGAGAAAGAATGGATGATAGCTCCAGAACTATCAGTTTCCTGCTGCTGCTATTTCCCAACTCTCCACTGTTGGGAGCCATTGCTTTATACTTCAGTGGCTCTCTTTACTAAGTTTTATTTGTTTAATTTGTGTAGGCTCTTAAAAAATACTTGTATCTTCTTAGCAGTTTATCAGATATGCATTTCCACTCCCATTAACACCTGTGTTCTGGGTGGAATTATCATTTAGTGTATGGCCCCGATCTGACTGCAAGGATGAACTGTGTCAGCCTCTGTGTATGACTTTCCCTCACTGATGCTAAGCTGTATAGGTCACTGCTGAAAGTATTTAAGAACTTGGCATCTGTGAAATGTTATCCAGTTTGAAGCTTAGGCAATACTTCTCAAGTATCTATTGATTTGCATTACTAGGCTTTGTATGGAAATCAATATATGTATTTACAAACAAGGTTTTGTTGTGGTTCTTGTTTGCTTGCTTGCTTGTTTTTTGAAGTGAGCTGGCCAGATATTTTCAGTACACTCTGGGATGAAAGGTAAATTTATTGTATGTTACTTTAGATGTGCGAGACTCTCATGCCAACTTGTTTCATGCTATAGGAGACTTTCATATCTGCTGAGATGAGGATATGTGGTTACATGGAGCACAGCATTCTAGAATATATTTCCCTAACGAGGTGTATGAAGGGTCCTGATTTTGGAATTAACAAGATCAATTTCTTTTATAGGGGAAACCATTGATAAAAGTACTGTCTATTCTGCATACCTTCCAGAAATGTTTGTCCAATAAAAGGTAATTTGCATATTCCCTAAAAGAAAAATTCTGACAAAAAGTGTTGTAATTGCTGCCATTACTGACTCAAAGGCTTTTAGAATATGTTTATCTTATAAATAAAGCTCTGAAAAAAGCTGGCCACTTATCAAAAATGTAATTTAAAAAGTATCATAATTTTGAAATCATATAGAAAGGCTTCTAATGGAATATTTTCAGTTCAGAACACTAAAGTCTATTCAAGCAACCATCAGTTGTCTAGACATAGGTTTTTTAGCCTCTTGTAAATGCATGTAATTTGTACAAACTTTATATTAAAATTTTTAGAAAATATTTGAAAGCATTTTCCATTTTCTTTCAAAAGAGCTGTTTTTTCGTTATAAGCTTTGTTGCTTTCAATGAAGATTAAATTTTTCCTTTTGGAATTTTAATCATGGACTTGAACTAACTTGAAGATAAACAAAAAATTTCTAAATGACTTAAAATGTATTTCGAGTATTTAAAATTTACCTAAAATTATAAACCAATAATAGTTTGTTTTTTTGTTACAGTGTATTTTGTCCAAAAGCTTCTGATAGCAAAGAGTTTTACATAAAAAGAAAGTTTTGATAATTGTCAGTAATAAAAAGCAAAGCAAAGCAAAACAAAAGAAAATAAAAATATATGTATGGAGAATTGGAAGCCAGCCAATACTGAAAGAAGAAAGCAAAACAGAAGAGAAGGGAAGGGACATATTTGTTTCATGAAGGTTAACAAAACTTGTCAAGCCAATATTTCAAAGTTCTCATGAAGCTGAGTAGACCAAATGGACCCTTGAGTCTCTACATCTGACATGAAAAGGAGCTCAAGTGTGAAGTCACCAGTGAGAACAAATCAGGGTGTGTGACAACAGGCCAGGCCTGTATATTGTGAGCCATGGAGGGCAGATTCCATGAAGATTTTGATATAGCCCATTTTTCTGATATCCCATGACCAAACTCTTACAACAGTCTATCAAGGCTAAATGACCATATATCCTAGTTCCACACAAAGTTGTTCTTTCTTTTCTTTCTTTTTTTGAAAAGTGGGACTTGTTGGGTGTTTGATGGCAGAAATAACACTTATTTTTTGGAGAAAGAACTAATATTCTCAAAACATGCAAAACACATGTTCTTTCTCTAGAGAAGCTACCTTATGGATTTCACCATAGTCCCATTTTCACAAACTTTTCTTAAACTGCTGAATAAACATAAAATATTTTTGTATAACACATTATCAATGGAGAACATCTGAATTATCTTGAATTCATAAACTAAAAAGGAATGATTTGTGTCACTTTAACTGTCCCTAAAAATATTTTATATAATTCTATATTTTAAAACTCCCCACTGAATACAGTGTGATCTGCCAAACGATGGATAGAAATCTCTTTCCTATGACATGGTCTTTAAGTGGACTCATAATAATTGTTTTGAGACTCAAAGATTAATGGTTTGACATTGCTGTGTGTATTCAAAGAATCTTCTCTTCATTAGTATGTATCTGTAATTTTCTGATTCTGTCCCCTCTCTTGTTTTACTCTACTCAAGAGCCCATTTCTGAAATGTTTAGAGGCTTCCCTCATATGAACAAGTTGTGTAGCTACTTGACTATGTTCATTTCTCCAAGATCTGTTATCTTGAGCCCAATTTTGGCTTTTCTCCTTCTTTGTATTTCCTTTCTGTAATGTAACCATCATGCTTCATATTCTTATCTTCTATTGTGAATTGGATATCAGCTTGTGAAGTATTTGTTAGAAGGAGAAGTAAGCTTTCATTTATATACCCAAATGATTCCTCCATAGGTTACTTTCCAGTAATAATAATACATTTGTATTCCTTTCTCTACTATTTCTTCCATTCTTTTTTTTAATTTTTGTTTTAGATTCTGGGTTACATGTGCAGGTTGGTTATATAGGTAAATTGTATGTCACGGGGGTTTGGTGTATAGATTATTTTATCACCCAGATAATAAATATTGTATCTGATAGGCAGTTTTTTTTATCGTCTTCCTCCTCCCATGATCCATGCTCAAGTAGGCCCTGGTGTCTGTTATTCCTTCTTTGTGTCCACGTGTTCTCAATGTTTAGTTTCCACTTATAAGTGAGACGTGTTATTTAGCTTTCTGATCCTGTGTTAGTTCTCTTAGGATAATGGCTTCCAGCCATGTTGCTGCAAAGGACATAATAATAATATTTCTATGGCTGTGTGTTCATGGGATATATGTACTATATTTTCTTTAACCAGTCTACCATTCATAGGCATTTAGGTTGATTCCATGTCTTTGCTACTTTGAATAGCACAGCCAGAATCTATAAGGAACTTAAACAAATTAAGAGGCCAAAAACAACCCCATTAAAAAGTGGGCAAAGGATATGAACAGACACTTTTTGACAGAAGACATACATCTGGCCGACGAGCATATGAAATAATTCCCAGTGTCACTAATCATTAGAGAAATGCAAATCAAAACTGCAATGAGATACCATCTCACACCAGTCACAATAAGATATCATCTCACACCAGTTTTTACTTTTATTAAAAGGTAAAAAATAACAGATGCTGGAGAGGTTGTGGAGAAAAGAGAACACTTACACGCTGCTGGTGGGAATGTAAATTAGTTTTTCCTTCCATTCTGTTGATTTTTCTCATGTTTACAGTTTGGCCAGATGGAATCAGGGTCACACTCAATAAAACAGGTCCTTTGAGGGCAAAGACTCACCCTATCTAAGCACTGATTTTTCCTTACATTGTGGGTCCAGGCCTGGCCGGTCCTAAGCACTTAATAAATGATTGAATGAATAACTACCTACAACTTCTGGATGAGGAAAAAAAGAAGCTAATTGGTCCACGAGGGAACTAAACTTGTAACCTTAGCTTCATTAGTACAGGACTCTATTCAAATATAATTGTTTGGATCCTATGTATTTCATAAAGAAGCTTTTAGCACCAACAATTTGAATGTCCTATTTCTCAAATATCACATTTTTTTTCTCTTACCACTTGGCAAATCAAAATGTACAAACATTTTAAAATAAAAATTGAGCTTGGACAAGAGGAACTAACCATGCCTGTCAGGATGCTGGCTCAAGTCTCTGCATGAAGTCTGACACAGCAAGTGCTTTTTTGGGCCCTAAAGTTGTTGAAGAGCATGAATTACAACTTAAGCATACAGCCTTCTGGGGAGAAAGCCAGCCACAGATAGTGTCACGCTAGGAAGGGACATTCCTTGTCAGAGAGGGAGGCATCAAAGCTACAAAGAATTTGAGAGTCTTGCCTGTATTGCCTTGTCTGTTCCTCATTCAAACTCCCCTCTTTCACTGAGCATCAACAATGAAAAAAATCCCCAGTTGGAGACCCAGAAGGTTCCCAGTTCCTGAAGTTACCGTGATCTAGAAAAAAATATTCTAAATATAGTGGGTTTTTTTCTAACTATAGTAAAATCACAAGTTTCTCAATAACACCTCCTTTCCAGGAAAGCAACAACGCTGAGAGAATGTGACATTTGGATAACAGTATCTTATTGTTTACCACACCTAGAAAGAATAAACTACTCCATGCATTTAAAAATTTTTGAGTAAGTGTGAAGGGTTCTTCCAGTTTTAACATTTTGCAATTCTAAAAGTAGGATATTCTTTAATGGTTGAAATAATAATAGTCATTGGTCGGGCGTGGTGGCTAATGCTTGTAATCCCAGCACTTTGGGAGGCCAAGGCATGTGGATCATGAGGTCAGGAGATTGAGACCATGCTGGCTAACATGGTGAAACCCCGTCTGTACTAAAAATACAAAAAATTAGCTGGGCATGGTCGCGAGCACCTGTAATCCCAGCTACTTGGGAGGCTGAGGCAGGAGAATCGCTTGAACCTGGGAGGTGGAGGTTGTAGTGAGCTGAAATCGCACCACTGCACTCCAGCCTGGGTGATGGAGTGAGACTCCATCTCAAAAAAAAAAAAAAAAAAAGGGGGGTCAATGTTTAATGAGCATTTTGCACATGCCAGACACTCTAAGAAACATGCCTTATTTCATCTTATTTTCAGAAAACATCTCGTAAGAAGGTTTGCTCTTATGCTTCATTGCCAAGTGGGAAAGTGAAGCATCATGTGATAGTGCTTTGCTCAGGTTTTCAGATAGGGAAGGTAGAACTGGGCTTTGAATTCAGACAGTTTGATTCAAGGGCCCGAGTTGCAGGCACTCTGTACTACAACCCAAGTGTTGAAAACTTGCGTTTGTTTCTACAAGATTTTACCTGAAATAATTTCAGGTTGTGTAGATTCAGTGGAAATTCTAAAGATCGTTTTTCTGGGATAAGAAAACAGATTATAACTTCTTCATGGACTCCACTTGCCCTCCCAAAACTTAAAAACATGAGCGAAAGGAAAAGGGGGAAACAAAGAACCAACTCAATAAATTTACTAATACCATCTCCACAGGGTCAATAGCATACATTAATTTTAAATGGCAGCAAACAAACAAGGAAAAGTAAAACAAAACTGTTGGTGAAGAATAAAACATACATTTCCAAACAGAATAGAAAAGCACAGCCTGGTGTTTTTCCTCACTCTCTCCCCAAGTCCACAAACACTCTTGGGTATGGATATGAATTTCCACTCATGTCCCCAAACCTGGTACAAAATAAAGTGTTGATCCTTCTTCCCCTCTACTTCTGAAGAAGCGTAGTGGAGACCTCTAATAGGAGAAGTGCAAGGAAAAAAAGACTAATAGGCCTTTGGAATTGAAACACTAGTGTTACCTCAAACTGAGGAAATAATCCATAGTTTAATGCCATTTCTCCCACCAATGGCCTACCCTTCCTCCCTACTTTCACTCCAAACTCAATGGAGTAAAAAGTTGCCAGACTAAATACTTACTAATAATAACAATTACATACTGTTTATCTGAAATTTCTAGTTAACTAGACATCTTGTTGCAAATAAAAATACAAGACATCCCAATAAATCTGAATTTCAGATAAACAATGAATATTATTTTAGTATATCTCAAATATTGTATGGGACATACTTATACTAATATAAAATTAGTGCTTATCTGAAGTTCCAATTTACCTGTGTATGCTGCATTTTTCTTTGCTAGACCTGACAACCTTAGTGAGATAGTATCCCTAGAATAGGACTAATAACAACATCTCAGGATTATAAACAAACAAACAACAAAACTAAAGCCATGTAGTCTAATAAAGACTAGTTGAAAATATTGAAACCATTGAAACACAGGACTCACACTGAGCAAAATGGTAATAATGGATATATAACAGAAAATAATGCCTGTGATATAATATAAACCTGAGATATATTAATAAGATAGTATAGCTAATACAAATGTTCAAGGTGCTTGAGGCAAGGAAGATGAGAAGACAGGGGAGAATGCTAAAATCCTCTAGCCTTCAAAGCAAGGGGTCAGTAGAAATAGAAACACATGGTTCACACTAGTCGAAAGTATGCATGCTCTGTTTTCTTTTCTCATTTACACCTTCATGAGATACTTTAGGAAACAATATTTTGCATAGTAAAGAATAATTCAATGTTCAAATTGTTTAGTTTTGCTTTTTCATTATTAAATTAAGTCAATATAAATGAAATAATTGGAATGTTTTTAATTTTTTTTAAAAAACCCTCTTTATTCTGATTTCTTTTAATAAAAATATTACTAGCATCTATCTTCTTTCCATCCACTTATCAATTTATCCGCCAGTCTCCCTTGTACATTTTCACTTTGTTATCTCTATTTATTCCAATAAGTTAGAATGACAGTCACCTAATGGTAATGAGAATAATTTCTCAGTGGTTGTTTTGGGGTGAGTTCTTAGTGTTTGCCTTTGTACATCCTGTATTGTTTGATTCTTTATAATGAGTGTGTGCAATCCCTATGGAAATGAGAGAGTGAATACAAAAGATAAAGTGATCTAAAATGACAAGATGTGAAGGGTGGTTAAATTTGGATGGGGAGTCACTGTTTTTTTTTTCTAGATGCCGTATTTTTTTTAAATAAACTCTAAGTTTATTTTTTCTTCAGTATCATTTAGAACTAAGAAGTTGAAAGAAATAAGAAGAAAACTTATAAAGTAGACGTAATTATTTTGTTTTCCCCTAAGAAATGAATCTTCCTTCTTATAAAGAAAGAGACAAAGATATGTGTGTTGAACACAGAAGGAAAAAAACGTAGGAAAAGGGAATAAAAAAAGATAAGGGGATAGGAGAGAAAATATAAAATGCTTCTCTAAAGTAAATCTTAGACATTTTGTAGAAAGTCAGCCTTGCATTGTAAGGGTTAGTTCATGAAACAATCCTCATTTCCTGCCTGATAAGGGACTAGTATTACTCCAGGGAAAGAGCATTAAGTTTCCATCTGATCATCCTTTCTCCTGAAATTTGTTTGCTGATTACTGAGAAGTAGGGACAGTTAGCAGTTTTCCATGCCAATTTTCCACATTCCTTAATATCTGGTGAATGTTATACCCAGAGTGAGAAATGAATAGACTTGTTCCCCGAGGGCTGCCAAACAGAGATGATTGATGACTTGCTGTGTGTAGACGCCCCTTCCTCAATTGTTAGGATGTTTCTCTTAACTGCCTTTCGTAAATCTTGAACTATGATCAAATGTCTCATTCTGAAGTATTGGTTATATTTCCTGAACTGTAATTAATCTAAATGCCTAACTAGATTATTAAATTAAATTTTAATAAATGAACTGGGGAAAGAAGCAACTGAAACGACTTGAGTTAGCTTCTTTTTTGTTACTTTTACTTTTAGAGTCAATTGTACAGAAATGTTTTGGGCTGGTAGAAATAATATGGGTGACAAGATATTGAGTAAACTCTGGCATTTTTTGGCACTACTTTAGCCAAATTACTTCAGACATATGTGCCTCAGCCTTTCCTTTTGACAAAGTAAATAGTCCCAGTGCTTTGGGAGGTCAAGGCAGGAGCATCACTTGAGGCCAGGAATTCATGACCAGCCTGGACATGCTAGCAAGATCTCATCTTTACAAGAAAAATAAAAAATAAAAAAACTATCTGGGCATGGTGGCTCACATCTGTATTCCTAGCCACTGGGGCGGCTGAGGGAGAAGGATTGGTTGAGGCCAGGATTTCAAGATTGCAGTGAGCATGATTGCACCACTGCACTCCCACCTGGATGACAGAGTGTGTCCTTGTCTCAAGAAAAAAAAAAAAGGAAATAAGTGGATTCATTGGGGTTCAGAGTCCCTCATGTCTCTTTCTGCCATATGAGTCCCAGAATTCCTTTGACTGAACCATGGTAAACATACTCACACATATTTTCAATTTCTGAAATTCCATTTTTCCACAGGAAAGTTAAGTTTCTAATGTGAAATCACATATCCCATTGTACTTCATTTCGCTTGTTCAATAAACCAAATGATGGGCCTGTGTCAGGCCAGATTGATCCACAGAGTATTCCACTTTCCTCAAATACAACGAAATTATAATTTAATCCATGCAAGACTCTGTCACTCAACATTGTCGCAATTTAACTGATACAAGGCTCCCTAGAAGTGAGCATTGTAATCGTTAATATGTTTGTGATTTAGTTAGTATCTGACTTACTGCTAAGGCGTAACAGAAATGCTAGGCAAAGTCCCAGGATGGAGTTTCCCTTGATCTCTTGTGTTATCAAATCTTTTTTCCAGAGAATAGTAATATTTATTTCATTATTTTTGTAAATTAGTAACTTGAGAATAAGGAAGCAAGAATGTTAAATAACAATTTTAACTACAAATACAATCTAAGGGACAAAACCTTTCGACCCCCAACCCCTTCCGGGAAACATGGTATTTACATACAGAAATAGTACCAAACGATGTGAGGGCATAGCCCAGTGAGGATTGCGGGTTTGTACGTAGCCCAAACATTTTTTGTGTCTATAAAGGTTTATGAGATGTATTATCTCAAGAAATGGAATTCAACAGAAATGCAATAAGTAGCTGTAATGCATTTGACTTCCACATACTTCAGCACTACAGGATGTAACTATAGCACTTTGCCTAGGCTCACAGAAGTTTCCAGTTTCTGCTCAGTGCATTGAGGGTTAACTAAAAAATTCAATTAACTATAAGATGAAGTTTAGTTCTGTAGTCAGCTTAGCTCTCAGAATCTTGAGCAAGACATTTTAGAAACAGAAGTTACATACACTTTGACAAGTGAAGTAAACAGAGGTCTCTTTTTTTACAATATAAGAGTTGGAGGAGAAGTAATGTTTTCAAAAAAATCTTAATAAAATATTTTTAGATAACCACCTCTTTAATAACAAGGACATATTTATAAACATCTAAAGAGGGATTATTGAAATCCAGAATCTTTAAATCACTACAGGCTCATGAGGAAGTTTAAAGACCAGCACATTCCCATTCAGTATGATATTGGCTGTGGGTTTGTCATACATAGCTCTTATTATTTTGAAATACATCCCATCAATACCTAATTTATTGAGAGTTTTTAGCATGAAGAGTTGTTGAAATTTGTCAAAGGCCTTTTCTGAATCTGTTGAGATAATCATGTGGTTTTTGTCTTTGGTTCTGTTTATATGCTGGAGTACATTTATTGATTTGTGTATATTGAACCAGCCTTGCATCCCAGGGATGAAGCCCACTTGATCATGGTGGATAAGCTTTTTGATGTGCTGCTGGATTCAGTTTGCCAGTATTTTATTGAGGATTTTTGCATGAATGTTCATCAAGGTTATTGATATAAAATTCTCCTTTGTGGTAGTGTCTCTGCCCGGCTTTGGTATCAGGATGATGCTGGCTTCATAAAATGAGTTAGTGAGGATTCCCTCTTTTTCTATTGATTGGAATAGTATCAGAAGGAATAGTACCAGTTCCTCCCTGTACCTCTGGTAGAATTCAGCTGTGAATCCATCTGGTCCTGGACTCTTTTTGGTTAGTAAGCTATTGATTATTGCCACAATTTCAGATCCGGCTATTGGTCTATTCAGAGATTCAACTTCTTCCTGGTTTAGCCTTGGGAGGGTGTATGTGTCCAGGAATTTATCCATTTCTTCTAGATTTTCTAGTTTATTTGCATAGAGGTGTTTGTAGTATTCTCTGATGGTAGTTTGTATTTCTGTGGGATCGGTGGTGATATCCCCTTTATCATTTTTTATTGCATCTATTTGATTCTTCTCTCTTTTTTCTTTATTAGTCTTTTTAGCAGTCTATCAATTTTGTTGATACTTTCAAAAAACCAGCTCCTGGGTTCATTAATTTTTTGAAGGGCTTTTTGTGTCTCTATTTCCTTCAGTTCTGCTCTGATTTTAGTTATTTCTTGCCTTCTGCTAGTTTTGTAATGTGTTTGCTCTTACTTTTCTAGTTCCTTTAATTGTGATGTTAGGGGGTCAATTTTGGATCTTTCCTGCTTTCTCTTGTGGGCATTTAGTGCTGTAAATTTCCCTCTACACACTGCTTTGAATGTGTCCCAGAGATTCTGGTATGTTGTGTCTTTGTTCTCATTGGTTTCAAAGCTCATCTTTATTTCTGCCTTCATTTTGTTATGTACCCAGTAGTCATTCAGGAGCAGGTTGTTCAGTTTCCATGTAGTTGAGCAGTTTTGAGTGAGATTCTTTATCCTGAGTTCTAGATTGATTGCACTGTGGTCTGAGAGATAGTTTGTTATAATTTCTGTTCTTTTACATTTCCTGAGGAGAGCTTTACTTCCCAGTATGTGGTCAATTTTGGAATAGGTGTGGTGTGGTGCTGAAAAAAATGTGTATTCTGTTGATTTGGGGTGGAGAGTTCTGTAGATGTCTATTAGGTCCTCTTGGTGCAGAGCTGAGTTCAATTCCTGGGTATCTTTGTTGACTTTCTGTCTCGTTGATCTGTCTAATGTTGACAGTGGGGTGTTAAAGTCTCCCATTATTAATGTGTGGGGTCTAAGTCTCTTTGTAGGTCACTCAGGACTTGCTTTATGAATCTGGGTGCTCCTGTATTAGGTGCATATATATTTAGGATAGTTAGCTCCTCTTCTTGAATTGATCCCTTTACCATTATGTAATGGCCTTCTTTGTCTCTTTTGATCTTTGTTGGTTTAAAGTCTGTTTTATCAGAGACTAGGGTTGCAACCCCTGCCTTTTTTTGTTTTCCATTTGCTTGGTAGATCTTCCTCCACCTTTCTATTTTGAGCCTATATGTGTCTCTGCACATGAGATGGTTTTCCTGATTACAGCACACTGATGGGTCTTGACTCTTTATCCAATTTGCCAGTCTGTGTCTTTTAATTGGAGCATTTAGTCCATTGACATTTAAAGTTAATATTGTTATGTGTGAATTTGATCCTGTCATTATGATGTTAGCTGGTTATTTTGCTCATTGGTTGATGCAGTTTCTTCCTAGTCTCAATGGTCTTTACATTTTGGCATGATTTTGCAGTGGCTGGTACCGGTTGTTCCTTTCCATGTCTAGCACTTCCTTCAGGAGCTCTTTCAGGGGAGGCCCGGTGGTGAAAAATATCTCAACATTCCCTTTGAAAACTGGCACAAGACAGGGATGCCCTCTCTCACCACTCCTATTCAACATAGTGTTGGAAGTTCTGGCCAGGGCAATTAAGCAGGAGAAGGAAATAAAGGGTATTCAATTAGGAAAAGAAGAAGTCAAATTGTCCCTCTTTGCAGGCGACATGATTGTATATCTAGAAAACCCCATTGCCTCAGCCCAAAATCTCCTTAAGCTGATAAGCAACTTCAGCAAAGTCTCAGGATAAAAAATCAATGTACAAAAATCACAAGCATTCTTATACACCAACAACAGACAAACAGAGAGGCAAATCATGAGTGAACTCCTATTCGCAATTGCTTCAAAGAGAATAAAATACCTAGGAATCCAACTTACAAGGGATGTGAAGGAACTCTTCAAGGAGAGCTACAAACCACTGCTCAAGGAAATAAAAGAGGATGCAAACAAATGGAAGAACTTTCCATGCTCATGGGTAGGAAGAATCAATATCGTGAAAATGACCCTCCTGCCCAGGGTAATTTACAGATTCAATGCCATCCCCATGAAGCTACCAATGTCTTTCTTCACAGAACTGGAAAAAACTACTTTAAAGTTCATATGGAACCAAAAAGAGCCCACATTGCCAAGTCAATACTAAGCCAAAAGAACAAAGCTGGAGGCATCACGCTACCTGACTTCAAACCAAAACAGCATGGTACTGGTACCAAAACAGAGATATAGACCAATGGAACAGAATAGAGCCCTGAGAAATAATGCTGCATATCTACAACCATCTGATCTTTGACAAACCTGAGAAAAACAAGCAATGGGGAAAGGATTCCCTATTTAATAAATGGTGCTGGGAAACTGGCTTGCCATATGTAGAAAGCTGAAACTGGATCCCTTCCTTACATCTTATACAAGAATGAATTCAAGATGGATTAAAATCTTAAACATTAGACCTAAAACCATAAAAACCCTAGAAGAAAAGCTAGGCATTACTATTCAGGACATAGGCATGGGCAAGGACTTCATGTCTAAAACACCAAAAGCAATGGCAACAATAGCCAAAGTTGACGAATGGGATCTAATTAAACTAAGGAGCTTCTGCAAAGCAAAACAATGGGAGAAACTTTCTGCAACCTACTCATCTGACAAAGGGCTAATATCCAGAATCTACAATGAACTCCAACAAATTTACAAGAAAAAAACAAATAACCCCAACAAAAAGTGGGCAAAGGATATGAACAGACACTTCTCAAAAGAAGAAATTTAGGCAGCCAAAAGACACATGAAAAAATGTTCATCACCACTGGCCATCAGAGAAATGCAAATCAAAACCACATTGAGATACCATCTTACAACCGTTAGAATGGCGATCATTAAAAAGTCAGGAAACAACAGGTGCTGGAAAGGATATGGAGAAATAGGAACAGTTTTGCACTGTTGGTGGGACTGTAAACTAGTTCAACCATTGTGGAAGTCCATGTGGCTATTCCTCAGGGATCTAGAACTAGAAATACCATTTGACCCAGCCATCCCATTACTGGGTATATACCCAAAGGATTATAAAACATACTGCTATAAAGACACTTGCACACATATGTTTATTGCAGCATTATTCCCAATAGCAAAGACTTGGAACCAACCTAAATGTCCATCAATCATAGACTGGATTAGGAAAATATGGCACATATACACCATGGAATACTATACAGCCATAAAAAATGATGAGTTCATGTACTTTGTAGGGACATGGATGAAGCTGGAAACCATCACTCTGAGCAAACTATATCAAGGACAAAAAACCAAATACTGCATGTTCTCACTCATAGGGGGGAATTGAAGAATGAGAACACATGGACACAGGAAGGGGAACATCATACACTGGGGTCTGTTGTGGGGTGGGGGGAGGGGGGAGGGATAGCATTAGGAGATACACTTAATGTTATATGACGAGTTAATGGGTGCAGTTAATGGGTTCTCACCTATGAGTGAGCACAAGCGGTGTTTGGTTTTTTGTCCTTGCGATAGTTTGCTGAGAATGAAGGTTTCCAGATTCATCCATGTCCCTACAAAGGACATGAACTCTTCATTTTTTATGGCTGCATAGTATTCCATGGTGTATATGTGCCACATTTTCTTAATCCAGTCTATCATTGATGGACATTTGGTTTGGTTCCAAGTCTTTGCTATTGTGAATAGTGCTGCAATAAACATACTTGTGCGTGTGTCTTTATAGAAGCATGATTTATAATCCTTTGGGTACATACCCAGTAATGGGATGGCTGGGTCAAATGGTATTTCTAGTTCTAGATCCCTGAGGAATCGCCACACTGACTTTCACAATGGTTGAATTAGTTTACAGTCCCACCAACAGTGTAAAAGTGTTCCTATTTCTCCACATCCTCTCTAGCACCTGTTGTTTTCTGACTTTTTGATGATCGCCGTTCTAACTGGTATCTCATTGTGGTTTTGATTTGCATTTCTCTGATGGCCAGTGATGATGAACATTTTTTCATGTTAGTATCAGGTCAATGATGTGTTCATAAAATGAGTTAGGAAGTATTTACTGTTCTTCTATTTTCTTAAGATGTATTAAGATTTTAAAAATTATTTCTTTTATTTTTTAAAGTTTAATTTTATTTTCTTAGGACTTCCCTTAAATGTTCGGTAGAAATCATCTGAGACACTATGTTGGCCTGTAGACCTCTTATTCAGAAGATTTTAATTATAGATTTAAGATTTTAAATAATTATAAAACTATTCAGATTATTTACCTCATTTTGGGTGAGTTTTGGTAGCGTGTAGTTTTCAACTCATTAGTCCATTTCATCTAAGTTGTTGATTTTATTTATATAGAGTTTTTTATAATATTCCATTATTGCCATTTTAATGTCTGAATGCTCTGTAGTCATAGCCTTTTGTTCATTTCCAGTACTGGCAATTTGTGCCTTCTCTCTTTTTTCTTTGTCAGTCATGCTAGAACTTTATCAATTTTATTAACTTTTTCAAAGACCCAGATTTCGTTTCCTAAGTTTTCTCTATTTCTCTACTTCTGATTATCTGGTTTCCCTTTTTTTTTCTTTCACCACTTTACAAAAGTTGTTTCACTTCTGGTGTTTATTTCCTTGACTTCTGCTTTTATTTTTATTATTTACTTTCTCCTGCTTTCTTTGGTTTTATATTGTTCTTCTTTCTTTGGTTTATTTAGGTGGATGCTTAGTTTATTGATTTGAGTTTTTCTTTTTCTACGATAAGCATTTGACACTATAAATATTCCTTTAAGCTCTTCCTTACCTGCATTTCATCTAATTTCTGGTAAATTATAATATGTTATTTACTTCCACTTAACTTAAATTACTTTCTTATTTTCTTTGAAGGTCACTCCTAGAATCATGGTTCATTTAAAAATGGGTTGTTTAATTCCCAAGTGTTGGAGATTTTACCTGATATATATTATTAATTTTAGTTTAATTCCATATGCTTTGTACAATTTTATTTCACTTAAGTCTGTTAACAGTTACTTTATCATTTAGGATATGTTCTGTCTTAGCAATTATCCATATGTATTTGAAAATAATGGGCATTGTGTTTTTATTGAAAGGAGTGTTCTATAAATGTCACTTATATTCTGTGGATTGATCACATTGTTCAGTTTTACACCTTGTTGATTTTCTATTTACTACTAGTTCAATTTATCACTGAGAGAGTAGTGTTGAAGTTTCCAGCTATATCGGTGATATTAACTCCTTTTCACTTTAGTTTTTTCAGTTTTTACTTTATGTATTTGAGTGTTTAGTTAGATGAATTCACGTTTAGATTTATTAAGTCTTTTGCTGAACTACTTTTATCATCGTGTATTGATTCTTTTTATCATCACATAATGTCCCTATTTATTCCTAAAACTTTTCTTTGCTCTAGAGCCTACTTTTTCTGATATTAATATAAACACTGCAGCTTTCCTTTGATTCATTATTGCATGGAGTATATATATATTTTTATATATATATATAAAACTTTATTTCAAATCCATGTTGATGATCACTGACTTTTAATTTATATGTTTATTTTGTTTACATTTAATGTAATGATAGACATGTTTGGAATTAGGTATACCATTATATATTTTCTGAAAGTTAGTTTTATTATTTGTTGTGATGTCTCCCCTTTTTTTGCTTTCTTATTTCAATATATTTTACTATATTATTGATTGTATTTTACTATATTTCTTTGAGCCACTCTTTACTGGCTGCTCTAGAGTTTACAAATGCATAGTTTTCACAGGTTATTAAGGGTCAAAATTTTACTACTTCAAGTGTGATATAAAAATTATATTACCATATAGGCTTTTTTTACCCTTCTTGTCAATGTAGTTGTCTTACATATTATATCTACATACTTCAAAACTCCATCGGAAAATGTTATTTTTTCTTTCATCCATCAAATATATGTTAAAAATATGAAGATAAAAATAGTCTATTATATTTACTCATATATTATCATTTCTATTATGGTCTTTTCATTCTTGATGTTCAAAACTTCCTTATGTTGTAATTTCCTTTCTGCCTGAGGAGCTTTCTTCAGTAATTATTTTAAGGCAGTTGTGCTAATTCTGAGTATTCTATTTTTTCCTTCGTTAGTCTCCATTTCATCCTTATTTCTTTAAAATATTTTTGCTGCATATAGAAGCCCGATGTTCAATTTTTTTGATCACTTAATAAAAGTTATTCCACTTCCTTCTGGCATTTGTTGTTTCTGATGAGAAATCTCCAGTTTTTGGAAATCATTTCCTGTTAGAAGTAGTGTGACATTTTCCTTTGGCCACTCTCAGGATTATTTACCTTTGGTTTACAACAGTTTGATTGTGATGTGTCGTGGGTATGGATTTCTTTATGTTGATCCTATTTGAGCTTTAAACAGCTCCTTGAATAGGTACGTTAAGTTTTCACTAAATTTGGGATGTTTTTATCTATTATTTCTTTAAATTTATTTTTTACACCACACTTTTCTCTTCTTTTTCTAAGATTTTGTTTATGCAAACATCAAGTCTTTTGGTATTTCTCCACAGTTTTCTGAGTTCATTTATTTAAAAAGAATTTTTTTTCTGTGTTAAGAGGATTACATTTTTTCTGTTGATTTCTTTTCAAGTTTATTTATTTCTCTGTTAGCTCCATTCTGCTATTAAGCCCATCAAGTGATATTTTAAAATTTTTATTATTATTTTACCTTGAGAATTTTTATTTAATTCTTCTTCATAATTATCTTTCTAGCTTTCCATTCATTTCAAGAGTTTTTGTCCATACTTTTTGCAACATTTAAAAAATAGCTCTTGCTATTATTAAAGTCCTTGCCAAACAATTTTTGCATTTCTGTCAGCTCAGTGTTGGTCTTTATTTATTATCTTTTTCCATGCAAATGGAGCTTTTCCTGGTTCTTCATATTCTAAGTAAGTTGGGATTGTATCCTGAACATTTTGTATATTACATTATGAGACTTTGAGTCTTATTAAATTCTATGTAGAATGTTGACTTTTTTTTAATAGGCAAAACATCCAATGACATTCAGGCCACAGGTTCGAACCAGCTTTCTATCGGTTGTAGTTACAATGTTAATTCTGTTGTCAAAGTCTTTTTAGTACCATGTGGATCTTCCCTACTTATGTACTACCCAGTGGCCATTGTGAGACCTGAGTACTGATCTACATCTTAGTTCAGTTTCGAAGTCTACGGTATACTGCTTAGGGTTAAAACCACATATGTAGAGCTCAATGGTGGATTCAACAGCTTATAAACTATAGGGTCACTGTCCCAGGCTTCTCCCTCTTTGCAATGTCATGAGTACTTTCTGATTCACTGTGACTCATCTAGCTGGAAATACGGGATATTATTTACTCAGTACTGACACTCATTTCCCTTGAATGTGCTCATGTCTGGAGCCAAGCAGTGGGAGAATAGAGAGACATAAAAAGCAGTAAGGTATGCCCCTAATTTTGTACCCACAGTTCCTCTTAACAGAGAGGCTATTTTTCCTTCCCCAGAGTTTTAATCACCATAGGCTGGGGCAAGAGACAGAAATGAAAAGAAAACAAATGAGAGCTCTCCATTTTTCTCTCTGAGCATTATGAACCTCCTTTCCTAATCCTTGAGCTGGAGCTGAAGGCTTCTCCTCAGCTCTTCTGTTTGAAGATCTGAGGCTTTATTGAAACCAGGTTGAGAAATACTGGGGAGCAATAAAAATGATAAACTCATCAACCATTCAGAGAACTTCTAATTCTGGTTTTCTTCCACAATATCTCTGCCACTACTTTTCAGAGTTCTTGAATAGCAGCTCCATACATTGTGTCCAAGATTTTTAGGTGCAGTGAGTGGGAGAGGCAGGATGGAAGGTACTCACAGCATCACACCTGGAAATGGAAAATAATACTATATTTTAATAAAATATAATATTTTACAACAACTGGTATTTACCAGGTACATGATACTGTAGTAAGTCCTTTTCTTGCTTTATATTACTTTTTTCTTTACTTTTTAGGAGTATACAATTAAGTGCTATAATTTGAGATAGAAAAATTGGCTTTCAGAGAACTTAAACAATACCTCTGAGATCACACAGCTGAAAAACAATGTGCTGCCAGCCCTCCAACCCATTATCTGACTCCAGCGTTTAGTCTCTAGGTCATTCAATACTAACAAACCTCCCATGGAATTCATGCTAATCCACAAAAAGAATAAAGCTATATGTTACTAAAATTGAAGTACCATAAGCTTTCTACTAAATAGTATAGTTCTGGCAAATTAAATATATTGTGTTAATAAGAAATTTTGATGTTACTGAAATAATTCAAAATATTGGACAGCTTTCTTATGTAAGTTGTTACAAAAATTGCCGTTACACTCTACATATAGGATATATCAGTCAATATTTCTTATACAGCCAGCTTCTGCTGTATTTTTCATATCTTCTTCAGCCATTATTTAAATTTCTTATGCTAAGTTATTTTTGTAACCTTTTCAGGCAGTATGACATGCAGTGTTCATCACATCAATAAGTAAGACAATAAAGATGCCTAATAAAACCTAGTACACTAAAATATAATTTGACATACCATCTAAAAATGATTTTGAAACTTCTGGTAAATTGAATGGCTGTACAGTCATTCGGGTTTGCTCAGCCACTGACCTCTTCAATGAAATATAACTGGAGGGCATTACCTTTGTCAAAACATGTCTTCTTCAAGATGCTATTAGCTAGAAGAAAGGAAAACTTGCCCTTCCATAAAGGCACAAAATCTCTCTCTCTCTCTCTCTTTTTCTCCCTCTCCCTCTTTCTCTCCATATTCATACACTGGCAGAATATTATTGTGATATGTTATTGTTATATTTAAAATATTTAAAATATTGAACAGCTTTCTGTATTTTTCAGTACACCCAGTTAGTAGGTGATTAGGTTGAGATTCAAACCTAGGTGTTCTGACAATATCTGCAACAACATTGGGCAAGTTATTATCTCACTGTACCTTAGTTGTTTGTCTACAAAATGGATAGGATGATAGTATTATCTTCTCATAGTTTTGAAGATTAAATGATATAGTGTGTGTAAAACCGTTGGTCTCATGCCGGATATTGTATAATCATTAAAAAGTTCGTTATTCATCTATTTATTCTGGTCATCCATATATGCATTTTGCCCTAAAATTATTATTTGCATGGGTCTGTATTTTTTTACTATCATCAGATTAATGCCTCAGTTCTATGAAGGCAAATAATTATACTTATGTGTATGAATTATGATGGTAATTGAATGAAAAAATTAAAAACTTTGTCATTTATTGGGGGTTTGTTGGAATCAAATTCATTATTTCCCTCTTGATTATCTCAGCCTGAGGTTAACAAAGTATGTGGTGTTCACATGCAGTGACCTTGCAAGTAATTTGTACCAAACAACAGTCCTTTGTTGTTTGGAATGTGTCATTAATTTTATCTGACGGTTATGAAGATGGTATGAGAATTAAGGTGCAGCCTTCAGACTACCTGTCTCAGCTGACTTAACCAGTGACATCATTCTACTTTCTACTGTCCAATCACATTTGTCCTGAACTTCTGACCCACCCTTGCCAGCTCCAGAAGATACTTTTCCAAATGACCTGAGTCATGGCTAATAACATTTGTGTCTGAGGTTTCCATCTTTGCTGCATGATAAATAGAGGCTGAAGCTGATTAATATTTTACAATCTGTGTTCACAGTTACTTGGGAGAAATAACCAACTGCTCATAATTCATTGAAAAGGACCTGGTGTTTCTTAGGTACTTTAGATTTTGTCTCTGTCTTTTTTAAAAAAGCGTGCATACTTGTTTTCAAGAAGAGCCCCAATGAATAAAACACTATTTTTTAGCCATTTACTTTTTCAGTTTATTGCAATTTAGCCAACTGAATTGTGTGGCATATTTTAGCCAGTCCACCAGATATTATGTTACTTGTTCTATAGCCTCCACAAAAATGAAGATTTTAATATGAATGAAGGACACTTCAGTAGCACCCACAGCTGCAAAGGGTAGCATGCTAATTAGGTTTTGTGATTAGCTTCTCCAGCCAAGCATTAATACATCTGGGGAGGGAAAGGTAGATCTTATTTCTTTCCATTTAAGAAATAAACCCTAATAGAAAAATTGTAGAAGTTTATGCAGGAATGTATAAACTTCCCAGAAATAGAAAAAAATTATTAATAACAACATTGAGAGACAAAGGGGGAGTGGGGGAGAGAAACAGAGAGAGGGAACTATGAAGGTATTATTAGTATTCATATTATTAATGATTCACTATTGATTTCTAGTAGAAAAGTGATTATTATGCCATTTTGCAACTAAATGATATTTGGTATTCTTATAATGAACATGACAAGCTGAGAGAAGCATTGAATTTTATTTGAACTCTCCTTATTTTAACTAAAGAGAGCAAATTCTTCCTCTTCTCTGGCCTCAAGTACAACACAGTAGTACATGTACCACCTGTTTTCCTAAGTAATAAAAAAGTCTAACACATTGACAACATTCAACAACTGGAGAGCAGGCAGTCCTCCATCTCTGGAACCCTGGAGGCTTCAGCGTTATCCTTAGGAGTGTGCTCTTAACACAGAAACCTTTAGATTGTGCATAGGTCATGCTTCTTAAGCTATGTAAAAATGGGTATGGGTATATTTAGAGGTGTACTCAGATATACAAAACCTAAAATGCACATGACACTATTTTTGAGAGCATTGATTTCATGCAAAGATTTGTGAAAAGTGTTAATTTAACATGTAGGTGGCAGAAACCGTTTTTATATTAAAATAAACATTGATAGATCAAGGAGTAGAATGTGAAATTTGCAAACGTTTTAAAGAGTCATACTGGCACTTTAAATATTTCACATTTTAGATGGCACCTTTGTGCTATGTCTCTGGCTCCCTGAGGGCCATATTAAATTTCCTATGCCATGTATTCAGTGGAAAATGTTAAGCAGATTATCCTAGATGCTTCTTGATGTAAAAAAATAATCCAGATGTTTGTATTTTCTACTCTATATCTTTGTTTTAAGTAACTGAAGACTTCTTTGTTTCTTTTCTGTGTTCTCTTTTAGAGGTATAACTAAGGATCCTAAGAGAAACAAAAGTTTGAATAGTTACTGTGGGCTACAAGCACGATTTATGTAATTTTCCATTTCTAATTGATAGCTTGGGAATTCAAGTTGGAAAAAGCCTAGCAAATGTTCCAGTTCTTCCCGAGGATATGGTGTAAAAGTGCTTATTGAGAACTATAATGTCATTCACTGCAAAGTTTTCTTGTCTCTTATCCTTTTTTTGAATACTTTTCCAGAAATCAGTCAAGGAACTACATTTAGGCATATAATCCTGAGTCCTAAAATTTCCTAAAGTTATGTCTTAAGTAGACATTTGGATTCAAAATTATTATTTGTCTTCAATACTAGATTTCAACCATATGATTATAAGCAATTATTTCCTCATTTGTATTTCTTCATTTGTATTCCTCATTTGTTAGAGAAAAATTAAATAGTGTTACGTTAAAACCAGTAAAAGGTTGAAGTCTGAGAAGTGAAGCTGGAATATCTTATGTGTTAAGAAGTTAAAGTTATGTACATAGTGTGCCTGGAATTGGTGGGTTATTGGTCTCACTGACTTCAAGAATGAAGCCGTGGACCCTCGCGGTGAGTGTTACCGTTCTTCAGGGCAGTGTGTACGGAGTTTGCCCCTTCTGATGTTCGGATGTGTTCGGAGTTTCTTCCTTCTGGTGGGTTCGTGGTCTCGCTGGCTCAGGAGTGAAGCTGCAGACATTCGTGGTGACTGTTACAGCTCATAAAGGCAGTGCAGACCCAAAGAGCGAGCAGCAGCAAGATTTATTGCAAAGAGCAAAAAAACAAAGCTTCCACAGTAGGGAAGGTGACCTGAGCGGGTTGCCACTGCTGGCTAGGGCAGCCTGCATTTATTCCTTTATCTGGCCCCACCCACATCCTGCTGATTGGTTCATTCTTTTTTTAATTTTTTTATTATTATTATACTTTAAGTTTTAGGGTACATGTGCACAATATGCAGGTTAGTTACATATGTATACATGTGACATGCTGGTGCGCTGCACCCACTAACTCGTCATCTAGCATTAGGTGTATCTCCCAATGCTATGTCTCCCCACTCCCCCCACCCAACAAAAGTCCCCAGAGTGTGATGTTCCCCTTCCTGTGTCCATGTGATCTCACTGTTCGATTCCCACCTATGAGTGAGAATATGCAGTGTTTGGTTTTTTGTTCTTGCGATAATTTACTGAGAATGATGATTTCCAATTTCATCCATGTCCCTACAAAGGACATGAACTCATCATTTTTTATGGCTTCATAGTATTCCATGGTGTATATGTGCCACATTTTCTTAATCCAGTCTATCATTGCTGGACATTTGGGTTGGTTCCAACTCTTTGCTACATCTAGATCCCTGAGGAATCGCCACACTGACTTCCACAATGGTTGAACTAGTTTACAGTCCCACCAACAGTGTAAAAGTGTTCCTAATTCTCCACATCCTCTCCAGCACCTGTTGTTTCCTGACTTTTGAATGATTGCCATTCTAACTGGTGTGAGATGGTATCTCATTGTGGTTTTGATTTGCATTTCTCTGATGGCCAGTGATGATGAGCATTTTTTCATGTGTTTTTTGGCTGCATAAATGTGTTCTTTTGAGAAGTGTCTGTTCATTTCCTTTGCCCACTTTTTGATGGGGTTGTTTGTTTTTTTCTTGTAAATTTGTTTGAGTTCATTGTAGATTCTGGATATTAGCCTTTATCAGATGAGTAGGTTGTGAAAATTTTCTCCCATTTTGTAGGTTGCCTGTTAACTCTAATGGTAGTTTCTTTTGCTGTGCAGAAGATCTTTAGTTTAATGAGATCCCATTTGTCAATTTTGGCTTTTGTTGCCATTGCTTTTGGTGTTTTAGACATGAAGTCCTTGCCCATGCCTATTTCCTGAATGGTAATGCCTAGGTTTTCTTCTAGGGTTTTTATGGTTTTATGTCTAACGTTTAAGTCTTTAATCCATCTTGAATTCATTTTTGTATAAGGTGTAAGGAAGGGATCCAGTTTCAGCTTTCTACATATGGCTAGCCAGTTTTCCCAGCACCATTTAATAAATAGGGAATCCTTTCCCCATTGCTTGTTTTTCTCAGGTTTGTCAAAGATCAGATAGTTGTAGATATGTGGCGTTATTTCTGAGGTCTCTGTTCTGTTCCATTGATCTATATCTCTGTTTTGGTACCAGTACCATGCTGTTTTGGTTACTGTAGCCTTGTAGTATAGTTTGAAGTCAGGTAGTGTGATGTCTCCAGCTTTGTTCTTTTGGCTTAGGATTGATTTGGTGATGCAGGCTCTTTTTTGGTTCCATATGAACTTTAAAGTAGTTTTTTCCAATTCTGTGAAGAAAGTCATTGGTAGCTTGATGGGGATGGCATTGAATCTGTAAATTATCTTGGGCAGTATGGCCATTTTCATGATATTGATTCTTCCTACCCATGAGCATGGAATGTTCTTCCATTTGTTTGTATCCTCTTTTATTTCCTTGAGTAGTGGTGTGTAGTTCTCCTTGAGGAGGTCCTTCACATCCCTTGTAAGTTGGATTCCTAGGTATTTTATTCTCTTTGAAGCAATTGTGAATGGGAGTTCACCCATGATTTGGCTCTCCGTTTGTCTGTGGTTGGTGTATAAGAATGCTTGTGATTTTTGTACATTGATTTTGTATCCTGAGACTTTACTGAAGTTGCTTATCAGCTTCAGGAGATTTTGGGCTGAGAAAATGGGGTTTTCTAGATATACAATCATGTCGCCTGCAAAAAGGGACAATTTGACTTCCTCTTTTCCTAATTGAATACCCTTTATTTCCTTCTCCTGCCTAATTGCCGTGGCCAGAACTTCCAACACTATGTTGAATAGGAGTGGTGAGAGAGGGCATCCCTGTGTTGTGCCGGTTTTCAAAGGGAATGCTTCCAGTTTTTGCCCATTCAGTATGATATTGGCTGTGGGTTTGTCATAGATAGCTCTTATTATTTTAAATACGTACCATCAATACCTAATTTATTGAGAGTTTTTAGCATGAAGCATTGTTGAAATTTGTCAACAGCCTTTTCTGCATCTGTTGAGATAATCATGTGGTTTTTGTCTTTGGTTCTGTTTATATGCTGGATTACATTTATTGATTTGTGTATATTGAACCAGCCTTGCATCCCAGGGGTGAAGCCCACTTGATCATGGTGGATAAGCTTTTTGATGTGCTGCTGGATTCAGTTTGCCAGTATTTTATTGAGGATTTTTGCATGAATGTTCATCAAGGATATTTGTCTAAAATTCTCTTTTTTGGTTGCGTCTCTGCCCGGCTTTGGTATGAGGATGATGCTGGCCTCATCAAATGAGCTAGGGAGGATTCCCTCTTTTTCTATTGATTGGAATAGTTTCAGAAGGAATGGTACCAGTTCCTCCTTGTACCTCTGGTAGAATTCAGCTGTGAATCCATCTGGTCCTGGACTCTTTTTGGTTGGTAAGCTATTGATTATTGCCACAATTTCAGATCCGGCTATTGGTCTATTCAGAGATTCAACTTCTTCCTGGTTTAGTCTTGGGAGAGTGTATGTGTCCAGGAATTTATCCATTTCTTCTAGATTTTCTAGTTTATTTGCATAGAGGTGTTTGTAGTATTCTCTGATGGCAGTTTGTATTTCTGTGGGATCGGTGGTGATATCCCCTTTATCATTTTTTATTGCATCTATTTGATTCTTCTCTCTTTTTTTCTTTATTAGTCTTACTAGTGGTCTATCAATTTTGTTGATCCTTTCAAAAACCCAGCTCCTGGATTCATTAATTTTTTGAAGGGTTTTTTATGTCGCTATTTCCTTCAGTTCTGCTCTGATTTTAGTTATTTCTTGCCTTCTGCTAGCTTTTGAATGTGTTTGCTCTTGCTTTTCTGGTTCTTTTAATTGTGATGTTAGGGTGTCAATTTTGGATCTTCATCCACACCAAAAACCCATCTGTACATCACCATCATCAAAGACCAAAAGTAGATAAAACCACAAAGAAGGGGGAAAAACAGAACAGAAAAACTGGAAACTCTAAAAAGCAGAGCGCCTCTCTTCCTTCAAAGGAACACAGTTCCTTACCAGCAATGGAACACAGCTGGACAGAGAATGACTTTGACGAGCTGAGACAAGAAGGCTTCAGAGGATCAAATTACTCTGAACTACGGGAGGACATTCAAACTAAAGGCAAAGAAGTTGAAAACTTTGAAAAAAATTTAGAAGAATGTATAACTAGAATAACCAATACAGAGAAGTGCTTAAAGGAGCTGATGGAGCTGAAAACAAAGGCTCAAGAACTACGTGAAGAATGCAGAAGCCTCAGAAGCCGATGCAATCAACTGGAAGAAAGGGTATCAGTGATGGAAGATGAAATGAATGAAATGAAGTGAGAAGGGAAGTTTTGAGAGAAAAGAATAAAAAGAAACGAGCAAAGCCTGCAAGAAATATGGGATTATGTGAAAAGACCAAATCTACGTCTGATTGGTGTACCTGAAAATGATGGGGAGAATGGATGCAAGTTGGAAAACACTCTGCAGGATATTATCCAGGAGAACTTCCTCAATCTAGCAAGGCAGGCCAACGTTCAGATTCAGGGAATACAGAGAACGCCACAAAGATACTCCTCGAGTAGAGCAACACCAAGACACATAATTGTCAGATTCATCAAAGTTGAAATTAAGGAAAAAATGTAAAGGGCAGCCAGAGAGAAAGGTCGGGTTACCTTCAAAGGAAGCCCTTCAGACTAACAGCGGATCTCTCTGCAGAAACTCTACAAGCCAGAAGAGAGTGGGGACCAATATTCAACATTATTAAAGAAAATAATTTTCAACCCAGAATTTCATATCCAGCCAAACTAAGCTTCATAAGTGAAGGAGAAATAAAATACTTTACAGACAAGCAAATGCTGAGAGATTTTGTCACCACCAGGCCTGCCCTAAAAGAGCTCCTGAAGGAAGTGCTAACATGGAAAGGAAAAACCAGTACCAGCTACTGCAAAATTATGCCAAAATGTAAAGACCATCGAGACTAGGAAGAAAGTGCATCAACCAATGAGCAAAATCACCAGCTAACATCATAATGACAGGATCAAATTCACACATAACAATATTAACTTTAAATGTCAATGGACTAAATGCTCCAATTAAAAGACACAGACAGGCAAATTGGATAAAGAGTCAAGAACCATCAGTGTGCTGTATTCAGGAAACCCATCTCATGTGCAGAGACACATATAGGCTCAAAATAAAAGGATGGAGGAAGATCTACCAAGCAAATGGGAAACAAAAAAAGGCAGGGGTTGCAATCCTAGTCTCTGATAAAACAGACTTTAAACCAACAAAGATCAAAAGAGACAAAGAAGGCCATTACATCATGGTAAAGGGATCAATTCAAGAAGAAGAGCTAACTATCTTAAATATATATGCACCCAATACAGGAGCACCCAGATTCATAAAGCAAGTCCTGAGTGACCTACAAAGAGACTTAGACTCCCACACATTAATAATGGGAGACTTTAACACCCCACTGTCAACATTAGACAGATCAATGAGATAGAAAGTCAACAAGGATACCCAGGAATTGAACTCAGCTCTGCACCAAGTGGACCTAGTAGACATCTACAGAACTCTCCACCCCAAATCAACAGAATACACATTTTTTTCAGCACCACACCACACCTATTCCAAAATTGACCACATACTTGGAAGTAAAGCTCTCCTCAGCAAATGTAAAAGAACAGAAATTATAACAAACTATCTCTCAGACCATAGTGCAATGAAACTAGAACTCAGGATTAAGAAACTCACTCAAAACCACTCAACTACATGGAAACTGAACAACCCGCTCCTGATTGACTACTAGGTACATAATGAAATGAAGGCAGAAATAAAGATGTTCTTTGAAACCAAGGAGAACAAAGATACAACATACCAGAATCTCTGGGACACATTCAAAGCAGTGTGTAGAGGGAAATTTACAGCACTAAATGCCCACAAGAGAAAGCAGGAATGATTGGTCCATTTTACAGAGAACTGATTGGCCTGTCTTACAGAGAGCTGATTGGTCCGTTTTGACAGGGTGCTGATTGATGTGTTTACAATCCCTGAGCTAGACACAAAAGTTCTCCTAGTTCTCACAGAGCACTGATTGGTGTATTTATAAATCTTGAGCTAGACACAGAGTGCTGATTGGTCTATTTACAATTTCTTAGCTAGACATAAAGGTTCTCCAAGTCCCCACTAGACTCAGGAGCCCAGCTGGCTTCACCTAGTGGATCCCACACCCCGGTGCAGGTGGAGATGCCTGCCAGTCCCATGCCTTTCTGCCAGCACTCCTCAGCCCTTGGGCAGTTGATGGGACCAGGCGCCCTGGAGCAGGGGGCAGCGCTCAATGGGGAGGCTCAGGCTGCACAGGATCCCATGGCCTTGGGGAGGCTCAGGCATGGCAGGCTGCAGGTCCTGAGCCCTGCCCCATGGGGAGGTAGCTGAGGCCCAGAGAGAAATCAAGCACAGCACTGGAGGGCCAGCACTGCTGGGGGACTGGTGCAACCTCCGCACTTGCTGGCCTGGGTGCTAAGCCCCTCACTGCCTGGGGTGGCAGCGCCTGCTGGCAGCTCCCAGTGTGGGACATGCCTAGCCCATGCCCACCCAGAATTCGCGCTGGCCTTCAAGTGCTGTGCGCAGCCCTTGTTCCCACCCCCATGTGTCCCTCCACACCTCCCTGCAAGCTGAGGGAGCCAGCTCCAGCCTGGCCAGCCCAGAGAAGGGCTCCCACAGTGCAGCGGTGGGCTGAAGGGCTCAAGTGTGGCCAGATTGGACACTGAGGCCAAGGAGGTGCCGAGAGTGAGCAAGGGTTGTGAGGGCTGCCAGCACGCTGTCACTTCTCAATAGCATCTGACAAAAGTAAAATAAGAAACTCCTTAAAATGTACTTCCTCCAGTATTCAGTATGCACGTTCCGTCAAGAAAAAATTGAAATGAAAAACTCAAGAAATTGATTCTGCATGTGCAACCAAACTACTCATTCATTGGCCAAATTTTAATAGATGAATATAGGCTTCAACAAAATCGGACAACAGTACAGGTGTAGCACCCTTATTATAAAAGGGGTATTTTTTTAAAAGTGTGAAGTGCATATTGAAACAGTTTTTTCTACCTGGCAAGGATAGTAACAGAATTAGAATGCTGGAGTCCAAGAAACCTGGCATAATCACTTCACTGGTCCTTATCTTCATTTGCCATTGTATTTAGAATCACGTGGCTCCTAGTAATTTGGGAGAGTTTTGTTCATGGGCTCCAAAGGAAGAGTCAATTATCTTAGAACAAAAATTTTCAGTGTTCTTTGGTGGATTCACACAGAAGGAAAAAATTCTTTAAAATTAATCATCTTTTAATAATGTGAACAATCATCCTTAAATTATCTCTTTTTTTGGTTTAGTTTTTATCCTTATATTTGCATGCCTCATTTTCTTAAATGATACATGTCTATGTATAGTTCTGTCATTAACAGGTTCCACTGTTTAATGTTTATCGACAAGAAAATGGCATGATTTCTCTTGGGTTCAATTGGCTAGACATAGCTTGTCCAGTCAGAAAAAATGTCCATGATTTTCTTCAAATTGTGGGAAATTCTAAGGTCACTTTTATATGACACTAACAGAAAAGTTGTTTGATGTAGGAGTGTGAACAACTATTCAGCTGGGAATTTACTGGTTAATGAACATATCATTCCCTTTGTCATAATTTTTTAATGGATTCATACTAGCTCCAGAAAAATGTTGCAAATGTTTAGCAGAATATATTCTGCTTCTTATCAAATCTCCAGCCTTCTTGTGGCATTGTTGCAGACTCATCTTTCTTTCTCTTTCTATTCATACTCTGGTCCAGCTGAGGTAGGAGATAAGCAGGACTTGTTTTCCCACACTGCTAATCCAAACAAGACGTAGGAAAGAAACTGCCCCAAATCAGCTAGGACCAAGACAGCAACCAAAGAGACCTCTAGTTGACCTAATTGCTCATTTACTCTAATTATAATACATTTGCATAAGACACTCTCACCAGTGCTGTGGCAGTTTACAGATGATGCCATGGCAACAACCAGAAAGTTACCTAATATCATTCTGGGAACTTTCCACTCCTTTTCTGGAAAGTTTGTGAATAACCCACTCCTTCATTAGTATATAATTGAGAATAGGTATAAATATAGCTAGCCAACAATTCTTGAGTGCTACTCTGGGCTATTCTGCCTATGCATTCTCCCTGCTCTATCTATGGTTCAGCCATTTTGCTGAATGCTGTTGCTCAAATAAATCTGCATCCTTTCACTTTTGGCTGGCTCTTGAAATCTTTCCTGAGTGAAGCCGAAAACCCTCCTGAGATGGGCAGAACATTTTGGGGTTCGCCTGCATCACAATCCCTCTGAGTGTGCTGTTTCGTGTTTCTGCAGTTGTGCCCCTACATGCTCTCCCTGGTTGTGTGTTGTTTTTAACCCCTGTATATGCATCAGTCCCTTTGAGAAGTGTTTGTCTGATGTCTTTAAGTAAAATTATTCTCTTCCTCTTCTGTGCTCTCAAGATTTTGCTCCTTACTACTAGTGCAATACAAATTACAGTGATTATATATATTTATGTATCTTTAATTAGACTATTGAACTATGAAGCCAGGGACTTAGTTTTATTCTTTTTGCAACTTCAAGTGCCTTTGCCCAGGCAAGTAGGACAGAATCATTTTTCCCCCAACATTTTAATATGAAGATATGCAAATATACAGAAAAGATGCAAAATTGATACAATTAATACATATCCACAAAACTGATACAGTTAGCACAGTAACGGCAACCTACATTTAATGTTTTATACTTTCTATTATTTGCTTAATTGTTATTGTCATCTATAAATATGCAGCACTCTATCATATACAGATAGATATAGATATATATCTATAGATGTTTATAGATTGCCATAAAATACATCTATCTCTCTATACATACACATAATTTTTTATTGAAATCATAATAAATAAGCATCATGTATCATTACACTTTACCTAGAAATACTTCAATATTTCCTAAACATACTTTTGTCTACAAGCCACAATTTTACAATGATACCTAACAAAATTAATATAATTTCCTATCACCTAACTTCTAGTTCATAATTAAAATTTCCCCAATTGCTTCCCAAATAACTTTAGGCTTTTAAAAAATACCAGCTTATTACTAAATTTTTGATCAAATAAATGAATCTGGAAACTCAGTATTGGAACAGTTTTTTTTAAAGAAATATGGAATGCATATTTGATATTTGAAATTCTGTTTTCTAAAGTGTCACATTAAAGCTGATAGTTATGGAAATTGGCATGAAACATGTAAGATTTAGAATGTAATTGAAAAAACTTAATTAAGGCAAAGGAATATAGTTGGATTCGCATTATTGAAGCAATAGAAAAACTTGTGAAAGCAGACCCATTAAGACAGAATGGCATGAGTCAATCCTGGTAGGTATCTGCTGCTATTGTGAAGACATAAAGACAGTGGAAGGTTATTGCTTACACACACTATTTAGCTAAGCCATTCTTATTTAACGCTGTATCATAAAATTTTCAGGTTGTATATAAATTGTGGTAGCACATGCTAACTCTCAGGTAATTTTTTACCAATAGCTCACCTAAAATTGCTTACTACAGTTCTACATTCTAGATCATTGTCATGTCCCGATGACTGAAAGAAAAATTGTTAAAAATCCATGCATAAAGTGCTGTGTAGCTTTTAAGGGAAGCGCCATCCTTGTTCCCAGAATTTTCCATTCCAGCCTCTCTATAGCCTTTGTTATCATCAGCAGATGCTCTTTGTGATTCTTCCTTTGTTATTTTTCCTACTGCTCTGATTCAAGGTGGAATTTGCCATCACATGGTAACTATGCTAGAGGAAAGTACCTCATAAGCAAAATTTTCCTTGGACACCAAGATAGAATAAAGGAAAATTAAAACACTATAGTACCAAAGAACTGTAGAGAAACTGCATGATTTAAAGAATAAAAAACAGTTCAAAATGTGGAAGCATTGACCTTGGGTGATGACTGTAGAAAAATCACTTCACTCAGTTTCCTCATCTATGAAATATAAGTAAAACGGTAGTATCTCCCAGAATGATTACAAGGAAGAAATCAGATGAGGCCTCTATCTGAGAATTCTGCGATCTGTAAACAGCTTAAAATAGATATTTAAAAATTATCAACTGAATTCTAGGGACTTATAGTCTTTTTATATCTGATTTATTATAGTCCTGAGGTATGAAAAGGAGTCTAGAATGTTTCCCTTAAAAATATTTACATGAATCAAGCTAAACAGCATTAGCAATTTTATTTTGGAAACTTTTATAGAGTTGATGTCATTTTTTTACAGGTGTTTTTCCTGAATCGTGGGCCTTGGGTATTCTAAAGTATCAGAAAGAATATTTGTGTTATGTTTTGGCCGTCAGGAGTATTGTGCTCAAAGCAAATCTATCTGTTTCAAATCAAAGCACGTTCTTGAAGCTGTTGGGAGAGAGGGACTGTAGCACTGGTTTTATTTTTAGTCTGTTTGCCTAAATCTCTACTGAGAAGACCCTATAGGTAGTATTTCCTTGGAAACTTTTACAGAATGCAGGCTGTTTGTTCATTCCTATAATGGACTGGTTACTCACTGCTCTCTGCTAAGAACAGCATGGATTTCAGAGGGAAAACCTTTATGTACCATACTTCACCCTAAACCTGTATAAAACCCAATCTTACTGGTGCAACACACACAATAGTTTTTTGTAGGAAGACAGTTGAGATGAATGCCATGAGAGAATTCTAAGAAAAAGAGGACACAGACCTTGCCCTCAAGATGTTTACAGTTGGATAGGAAGGGTTAGATCAATAAACAAATGTAAAATATCAACTATTGTGAAGCGCTATATATAAAGAGAGGTTTAAACCAAGTCATTTCAAAGGGAAAATCTCATAATACCTATTTACCATGTTGAAAAATTATTTTCAGCTAGCTCTGATCCTCTCTTTACTGGTTTTTCTAATGATAAGTCTCCTGGATGGATGTGTTGTTCAGAGAAAACCAGATTTTTTTCCCTTCGGTAGACTCTCAAATCATTCATGCTAGCTTTGGCATAGGTGTAACAGTAGAGGCATAAGACTGAATTTAGAACAGGACTTAATTGTTGGGAGAGCAGTACCTTGGAGGGATGTAGAAATGAGCGTAGGTAACTATGTTTATTGAATGACACTTTATGCCAGGCACTGAGCTGCCTTGTCTGGGTAAGAGAATAAATAATTGCATGTTTGTGCAGTACTCTATTGCAGTATTTCATTTAGATATAACATGAAATTGACTGTGTTATTTAGATTTTAAACATGAGAAAAACAGAGATCACAGAGAAAAGAGGACCTGTCCAATATGTCCAGCTAAAAATTGCACAAATTATTTTTGAACCAGATTTCTTGGACTCCAGCATTTCTACTCTATTCTTCTTGCCAGGCAATTGGGTACTAGAGCAATAGAGTGAAAAGAGCAAAGGATCAGAACTCTCAGGGATTAGTGAAGGCTGCCTGTTAGGAGGTCCAGAGCTAATACTTGGAAAACACAATTAAGTAGACAAACAAAATCAATGGTACCTGGAATCAAGCTAGTGTACTTATAAACTATATTCTTGTATTTTTAATAGAGTAATTTTTGTGGTAGGTGGAACAGAAATCTCAATGTTTATATACATTGTCACAACAATAAACATTCAAAGGCTAAAATATGAAAAGCATTTAAGGCTGAGGTGTTTTATAAACTCAAGGCCATGAAAAATGCCTTCCCTAGGGTGATTAACTTGGCCTTACAGTAGACTAGAAGTCAGGATCCTTCATGTGAATATTGGATTTGCTATGGTCCTGTATACTTTCAGCCTTACTTTCCTCAGTGAAACGAGTAGGCTAACCTAGAACAGTGGTTTTTCAAGTTCATGTCATGACCCATTACTTGACCAAATGAAGTAGAAAATAGAGACGTGCATTTCTTTAAAAAACTTTCACTTTAGGCTGGGAGTGGTGGCTCACGCCTGTAATCCCAAGACTTTGGGAGGCCTAGGCTGGTGGATCACCTGAGGTCAGGAGTTCGTGACCAGCCTGGCCAACATGTTGAAACTCCGTCTCTACCAAAAATACAAAAATTAGCCAGACGTGGTACTGTATACCTGTAGTCCCAGCTACTCGGGAGGCTGAGGAGGGAGAATCGCTTGAATCTGGGAGGCAGAGGTTGCATCCAGCCGAGATTGCACCACTGCACTCCAGCCTGGGAGACAGAGTGAGAATCCATCTCAAAACAAAACAGAACAAAACAAAACAAAACAAAACAAAACAGAACAAACACACACACAAAAACTTTCACTTTACTGTTTAACTTGTATGGTTGACATGTGAACTGTATTGTTGACATATAAACTGTATTGTTGACATATAACTTGTATTGTTGACATGTAAACTGCATCTCTAACTAAGGGAAATGGGCAAATTTTTAAAAAAACTTTGCCTTATATCATCATTTAGATTGTTGCCAGCTCCAAAATTACCTTGTTCTGTCTTTTAAAAATCCAAGACTCCCTTTTCAGACCATACTTTTCTTCTGCCTTTTACACTGCTGTCTGCCTTGTTAACATGGCTTTGCCTGCGTTCCTAGCACCATCCTACTCTGCATTTGCTTCTAAATTACCCACTCTCTTGATTCCTTCTTAACTTTTCTTCCTCCCCTAATTTTGGAGCTTCCTATAAGCATAGACCCTTGTTATCAGTTGTCCTTCACTGAAGCACTACTCCCAAGAAAGTCTCACTCAAAAATCTGAACTATTAACTACTTTCCTCTCACCTAAACCATCAACATCCAACAACATTTCCTCCTAGATGTTGCAATGTCACCACAAGGTTGAATTTCTTGTTTATCACCTGAAATATGTTTCTCCTCTTTTACAGGTTCAATTTTAATATTATAATTTAGAGATGCTGAAATTTTTTCTTTTGATATGGAGAAGGGTCACCTGAGCCCAGGAAGGCTGTTGGTTTTGCAAATATAAGACAAATAGGCACCTGGCAGAAGAGTATAAGTGATCTTTTGTATTTAATGGCTTATTTTTTGGTACATGAAGGCTTAGCATGATTTTCAAAGTGTAGCTCCTGGAAGAGCAGTGTAAGCATTACTTGAGAATTTGTTAGTATTGCAAACTTTGAAACCCCTCCCAGACCTGTGGGATCAGAAACTAGCTGTTTTTTTTGTTTGTTTGTTTTGATTTTTTAAAATTTATTATTATTATACTCTAAGATTAAGGGTACTTGTGCACAATGTGCAGGTTAGTTACATATGTATACGTGTGCCATGCTGCTGCGCTGCACCCACTAATTCCTCATCTAGCATTAGGTATATATCCCAGTGCTATCCCACCCCCTCCCCCCACCCCACAACAGTCCCCAGAGTGTGATGTTCCCCTTCCTGTGTCCATGTGTTCTCATTGTTCAATTCCCACCTATGAGTGAGAATATGCGGTGTTTGGTTTTTTGTTCTTGCGATAGTTTACTGAGAATGATGATTTCCAATTTCATCCATGTCCCTACAAAGGACATGAACTCATCATTTTTTATGGCTGCATAGTATTCCATGGTGTATATGTGCCACATTTTCTTAATCCAGTCTATCACTGTTGGACATTTGGGTTGGTTCCAAGTCTTTGCTATTGTAAATAAAGCCACAATAAACATACGTGTGCATGTGTCTTTATACCAGCATGATTTATACTCCTTTGGGTATATACCCAGTAATGGGATGGCTGGGTCAAATGGTATTTCTAGTTCTAGATCCCTGAGGAATCACCACACTGACTTCCTCAATGGTTGAACTAGTTTACAGTCCCACCAACAGTGTAAAAGTGTTCCTATTTCTCCACATCCTTTCCAGCACCTGTTGTTTCCTGACTTTTTAATGATCGCCATTCTAACTGGTGTGAGATGGTATCTCATTGTGGTTTTGATTTGCATTTCTGTGATGGCCAGTGATGGTGAGCATTTTTTCATGTGTTTTTTGGCTGTGTAAATGTCTTCTTTTGAGAAGTGTCTGTTCATTTCCTTTGCCCACTTTTTGACAGGGTTGTTTGTTTTTTTCTTGTAAATTTGAGTTCATTGTAGATTCTGGATATTAGCCCTTTGTCAGATGAGTAGGTTGCAAAAATTTCTTCCCATTTTGTAGGTTGCCTGTTCACTCTGATGGTAGTTTCTTTTGCAGTGCAGAAGCTCTTTAGTTTAATTAGATCTCATTTGTCAATTTTGGCTTTTGTTGCCATTGCTTTTGGTGTTTTAGACATGAAGTCCTTGCCCATGCCTATGTCCTGAATGGTAATGCCTAGGTTTTCTTCTAGGGTTTTTATGGTTTTAGGTCTAACGTTTAAGTCTTTAATCCATCTTGAATTCATTTTTGTATAAGGTGTAAGAAAGGGATCCAGTTTCAGCTTTCTGCTTATGGCTAGCCAGTTTTCCCAGCACCATTTATTAAATAGGGAATCCTTTCCCCATTGCTTGTTTTTCTCAGGTTTGTCAAAGATCAGATAGTTGTAGATATACGGCGTTATTTCTGAGGTCTCTGTTCTGTTCCATTGATCTATATCTCTGTTTTGGTACCAGTACCATGCTGTTTTGGTACCAGTACCATGCTGTTTTGGTTACTGTAGCCTTGTAGTATAGTTTGAAGTCAGGTAGTGTGATGCCTCCAGCTTTGTTCTTTTGGCTTAGGATTGACTTGGCGATGCAGGCTCTTTTTTGGTTCCATATGAACTTTAAAGTAGTTTTTTCCAATTCTGTGAAGAAAGTCATTGGTAGCTTGATGGGGATGGCATTGAATCTGTAAATTATCTTGGGCAGTATGGCCATTTTCACAATATTGATTTTTCCTACCCATGAGCGTGGAATGTCCTTCCATTTGTTTGCATCCTCTTTTATTTCATTGAGCAGTGGTTTGTAGTTCTCCTTGAGGAGGTCCTTCATGTCCCTTGTAAGTTGGATCCCTAGGTATTTTGTTCCCTTTGAAGCAATTGTGATTGGAGTTCATTCATGATTTGGCTCTCTGTTTGTCTGTTGTTGGTGTATAAGAATGTTTGTGATTTTTGTACATTGATTTTTTATCCTGAGACTTTGCTGAAGTTGCCTATCAGCTTAAGGAGATTTTGGGCTGAGACAATGGGGTTTTCTAGATATACAATCATGGCGTCTGCAAACAGGGACAATTTGACTTCCTTTTTCCTAATTGAATACCCTTTATTTCCTTCTCCTGCCTAATTGCCCTGGCCAGAACTTCCAACACTATGTTGAATAGGAGTGGTGAGAGAGAGCATCCCTGTCTTGTGCCAGTTTTCAAAGGGAATGCTTCCAGTTTTTGCCCATTCAATATGAGATTGGCTGTGGGTTTGTCATAGACAGCTCTTATTATTTTGAAATAAGTCCCATCAATACCTAATTTATTGAGAGTTTTTAGCAAGAAGTGTTGTTGAATTTTGTCAAAGGCCTTTTCTGCATCTATTGAGATAATCATGTGGTTTTTGTCTTTGGTTCTGTTTATATGCTGGATTACATTTATTGATTTGCATATGTTGAACCAACCTTGCATCTCAGGGATGAAGCCCACTTGATCATGGTGGATAAGCTTTTTGATGTGCTGCTGGATTCAGTTTGCCAGTATTTTTTTGAGGATTTTGCATCAATGTTCATCAAGGATATTGGTCTAAAATTCTCTTTTTTGGTTGCGTCTCTGCCCGGCTTTGGTATGAGGATGATGCTGGCCTCATGAAATGAGTTAGGGAGGATTCCCTCTTTTTCTGTTGATTGGAATAGTTTCAGAAGGAATGGTACCAGTTCCTCCTTGTACCTCTGGTAGAATTCTGCTTTGAATCCGTCTGGTCCTGGACTCTTTGCTTGGTAAGCTATTGATTATTTCCATAATTTCAGATCCTGCTATTGGTCTATTCAGAGATTCAACTTCTTCCTTGTTTAGTCTTGGGAGAGTATATGTGTCCAGGAATTTATCCATTTCTTCTAGATTTTCTAGTTTATGTGCATAGAGGTGTTTGTAGTATTCTCTGACGGTAGTTTGTATTTCTGTGGGATCGGTGGTGATATCCCCTTTATCATTTTTTATTGCGTCTATTTGATTCTTCTCTCTTTTTTTCTTTATTAGTCTTGCTAGCGGTGTATCAATTTTGTTGATCCTTTCAAAAAACCGGCTCCTGGATTCATTAACTTTTTGAAGGGTTTTTTGTGTCTCTATTTCCTTTAGTTCTGCTCTGATTTTAGTTATTTCTGGCATTCTGCTAGCTTTTCAATGTGTTTGCTCTTGCTTTTCTAGTTCTTTTAACTGTGATGTTAAGGTGTCAGTTTTAGATCTTTCCTGCTTTCTCTTGTCGGCATTTAGTGCTATAAATTTCCCTCTACACACTGGTTTGAATGCATCCCAGAGATTCTGGTATGTTGTGTCTTTGTTCTCGTTGGTTTCAAAGAACTTCTTTATTTCTGCCTTCATTTTGTTATGTACCCAGTAGTCATTCAGGAGCACGTTGTTCAGTTTCCATGTAGTTGAGCGGTGTTGAGTGAGATTCTTAATCCTGAGTTCTAGTTTGATTGCACTGTGGTCTGAGAGACAGTTTGTTATAATTTCTGTTCTTTTACATTTGCTGAGGAGAGCTTTACTTCCAAGTATGTGGTCAATTTTGGAATAGGTGTGGTGTGGTGTTGAAAAAAATGTATATTCTGTTGATTTGGGGTGCAGAGTTCTGTAGATGTCTATTAGGTCCGCTTGGTGCAGAGCTGAGTTCAATTCCTGGGTATCCTTGTTGACTTTCTGTCTCGTTGATCTGTCTAATGTTGACAGTGGGGTGTTAAAGTCTCCCATTATTAATGTGTGGGAGTCTAAGTCTCTTTGTAGGTCACTCAGGACTTGCTTTATGAATCTGGGTGCTCCTGTATTGGGTGCATATATATTTAGGATAGTTAGCTCTTCTTGTTGAATTGTTCCCTTTACCATTAAGTAATGGCCTTCTTTGTCTCTTTTGATCTTTGTTGGTTTAAAGTCTGTTTTATCAGAGACTAGGATTCAACCTCTGCCGTTTTTGTTTTCCATTTGCTTGTTAGACCTTCCTCCATCCTTTTATTTTGAGCCTATGTGTGTCTCTGCACATGAGATGGGTTTCCTGAATACAGCAGACTGATGGGTCTTGACCCCATATCCAATTTGCCAGCCTGTGTCTTTTAATTATAGCATTTAGTGCATTTACATTTAAAGTTAATATTTTTGTGTTTGAATTTGATCCTGTTATTATGATGTTAGCTGGTTATTTTGCTCGTTGGTTGATGCAGTTTCTTCCTAGTCTCAATGGTCTTTACATTTTGGCATAATTTTCCAGCAGCTGGTACCAGTTTTTCCTTTCCATGTTTAGCACTTCCTTCAGGAGCTCTTTTAGGGCAGGCCTGATGGTGACAAAATCTCTCAGCATTTGCTTGTCTGTAAAGTATTTTGTTTCTCCTTCACTTATGAAGCTTAGTTTGGCTGGATATGAAATTGTGGGTTGAAAATTCTTTTTTTTAAGAATGTTGAATATTGGCCCCCACTCTCTTCTGGCTTGTAGAGTTTCTGCCAAGAGATCCGCTGTTAGTCTGATGGGCTTCCCTTTGAGGGTAAGCCAACCTTTCTCTCTGGCTGCCCTTAACATTTTTTCCTTCACTTCAACTTTGGTGAATCTGACAATTTTGTGTCTTGCAATTGCTCTTCTCGAGTAGTATCTTTGTGGCATTCTCTGTATTTCCTGAATCTGAACGTTGGCCTGCCTTACTAGATTGGGGAGGTTCTCCTGGATAATATCAGGCAGAGTGTTTTCCAACTTGCTTCCATTCTCCCGTCAGTTTCAGGTACACCAATCAGACGTAGATTTGGTCTTTTCACATAGTCCCATATTTCTTGGAGTCTTTGTTCGTTTCTTTCTATTCTTTCTTCTCTAAACTTCCCTTCTCACTTTATTTCCTTCATTTCATCTTCCATCGCTGATACCCTTTCTTCCAGTTGATCATATTGGCTCCTGAGGCTTCTGCATTCTTCACGTAGTTCTCGAGACTTTGTTTTCAGCTCCATCAGCTCCTTTAAGAACTTCTCTCTATTGGTTATTGTAGTTATACATTCTTCTAAATTTTTTTCAAAGTTTTCAACTTCTTTGCCTTTGGTTTGAATGTCTTCCCATAGCTTGGAGTAATTTGATCATCTGAAGCCTTCTCTCAGCTCGTCAAAGTCATTCTCCGTCCAGCTTTGTTCCATTGCTGGTGAGGAACTGTGGTCCTTTGGAGGAGGAGAGGCGCTCTGCTTTTTAGAGTTTCCAGTTTTTCTGCTCTGTTTTTTCCCCATCTTTGTGGTTTTATCTACTTTTGGTCTTTGATGATGGTGATGTACAGATGGGTTTTGGTGTGGATGTCCTTTCTGTTTGTTAGTTTTCTTTCTAGCAGACAGGACCCTCAGCTGCAGCTCTGTTGGAGTGCCTGGCCGTGTGAGGTGTCAGTCTGCCCCTGCTGTGGGGTGCCTCCCAGTTATTCTGCTCGGGGGTCAGGCATCAGGGACCCACTTGAGGAGGCAGTCTGCCCGTTCTCAGATCTCCAGCTGCATGCTGGGAGAACCACTGCTCTCTTCAAAGCTGACAGAGAAGGACATTTCAGTCTGCAGAGGTTACTGCTGTCTTTTTGTTTGTCTGTGCCCTGCCCCCAGAGGTGGAGCCTACAGAGGCAGGCAGGCCTCCTTGAGCTGTGATGGGCTCCACCCAGTTTGAGCTTCCTGGCTGCTTTGTTTACCTAAGCAAGCCTGCGCAATGGCGGGCGCCCCTCCCCCAGCCTTGTTGCCGCCTTGCAGTTTGACCTCAGACTGCTGTGCTAGCAATCAGGGAGACTCCGTGGGCACAGGAGCCTCCGAGCCAGGTGCGGGATATAATCTCGTGGTGCACCGTTTTTTAAGCCCATTGGAAAAGCGCAGTATTCAGGTGGGAGTGACCTGATTTTCCAGGTGCTCTCACCCCTTTCTTTGACTAGGAAAAGGAACTCCCTGACCCATTGCGCTTCTCCAGTGAGGCAATGCCTCTCCCTGCTTCGGCTCGTGAATGGTGCGTGCACCCACTGACCTGAGCCCACTGTCTGGCACTCCCTAGTGAGATGAACCTGGTACCTCAGATGGAAATGCAGAAATCACCCATCTTCTGCGTCGCTTACGCTGGGAGCTGTAGACTGGAGCTGTTCCTATTCGGCCATCTTGGCTCCCACTACCTCCTAGCTGTTCTTTAATAAGTCCTCCAGATATTTCTAATGAATATATACTAAGGTTTGAAAACTACTGTTACACACTTCTTGGTATACAGAAATCATCATGAACTAATTTGCATATGAAGCTTAGGGCCCGCCTTATAGGAGAGAAATTCTGATTTTTCACTGGCACTTTCTGAGATCCAAATTTACAGGAGCATGACTCAGGTGGAGATTACATAAGGTTCCCAAACTGAAGTTACCTGGTGAAATGTTTGAGTTTGTGTCTTATGTTCAGTGCAATATATTTTTTAAAGCTTAATTGACATATAATCCACATACCACGAAATTCACCTTTTAAAAATGTATAGTTTACTGTTTTTACTGTATTTTCAGAATTTGAGCCATCACCACTTTCTAAAAGTGTTCATAGAAACTGATTAGGTGAAATATGTGACTGATGCTAAAGGTTTGGAGAAGCCGCTGCATGTATGCAAAAAGAACTATTTGCACCCTGAAAATAGAGTGTGAAAGAGGCACTACCGTGGTCTCTGTGGGGCTGGCAGAACAAAGGCAAACTGTGTGTTCCAGAAAACTATTTAGAACCCATCTTCAACAGAAATCCCTTGGTGATAGCAAGGAGAATGTGGTTGTGGGTTGATTATACCTACCTGCCAAAGACAGGTCCTATTCATATGTTTCATCCTGGCATAATTATTAATAGCTTATCTCTTCCTTGCCTCTCCAGTGTTCCAGTTTAGATGATCAATCATCTAATCATCTTCATTAGACCTCCTCCTTTCTTGGAGATCCTTTTTCTCTGGTATCCTGCTAGCAAATTGCAACCTTCTCAGTAGCCCTAAATTCCAATTTCTGTCCCCTGGGCTTAGTGAGATAACCACTGACTATCTGTGCAGACTCCACAGGGTATGGATAGTCATGGGGCAGTTTAGGGGCTCATCTCATTTTCCTCCTTGTTTTTAGATCACAGTTGTTTGCTGTCTGCTGTCCAACCTCTGAGAAGTTACATCAGCTATTTTGAGAATAGAGTTTTTTACAATGGGAGGGCTAGTCTGTTTGGTCATGTCACAGACATGACATTATGTCTGTAAAATTTCTCCGTGTCATTATATATAGCAGTAGTTCATTCTTTTTCTTTGTTGTTTAGAATTTCTTGCATGAATAATAAATAATAATGTATTTATTTTATTTTAATGGATATTCTTGTTATTCCTGTTTTTACTATTACGAATTGTCCATATTGTGTGGTGGACATATGCACTTATTTTCATTGGACATATATCCTGAGATGGAATTTTTGAGATGTAGATTATGTTTATATTTTTTAGATACTGAAGTAGTTTCCAAAGTGGTTGTACTAGCTTCCCTTCTCCCATCAATGCATGAGCATTTTGCTCACATGCTCACCAACACTTGGTATTTTCAGTCCTTACAATTTTAGCCATATTGGAGAGAGCATCGGAATGCCACAGTTCTTAATACTGAATTCTTCATTCTTTATTCCATACCCAATATCCGTAAATTAAAACAAAATAGAAGTCTTGAAACTTTTCACCCTATATTTTTAAATTAAAATAAAATCTGTAAAACTTAACTAGTTTATAACCAATCTATAAATAAAGCATCAAAAATAAAAATAATGTTTTATTTTATTAATTAAATGGTGGCATTAAACTACATTTTAAAAAATCTTATAGTTTTTAAGTCCTTTAAGTTTAAACTAATATTCTTTGTATTATGCTTTTCATTCTTACATGGTAGTTTTTTGAAGTTCTTAGTCTTTTTAGACATTAAATTGTCATATCTCAAAATACTGTGTCTACCAAATTCTCCAAATAAGGAGCAGAATTCCTTGACTCATATTTTTAAGTAACTATTATCTTTTGTGTACAACGCACTGTGCTAGGCACAACATTATACATACACCAATGAGTAAGGCATGTCACATTTTTTTCAATGAGTGTATTTGCAAAGCAGCCCACAGACAAGTATACCAATGGTTTAAAAAACGTATTCCCGAAATGTTTTTCAAAGAACATCTTGCTTAAGATGATAATTTGGAATAAAGCAAAACATAAGAAAACCCACACACAAAACAGTTCTGTCATCAAATATTTGAAGAATAATGCTATAAAATAAGATAGAATATAATGGGAAATGCCAACTACTTTAGATGTCAGAAAAAGAAGGGTAAATATATACTAAGAGGGATCAGATTATATTATTTAAGTAATGTTGATGTTTACATAATATGGTTTAATAAATGGAAATGTATTTATTGCTGGAGTCTTGGCATGGGACTTACAAGCCCATCTATGAACATCACTGGTTGGAATTTGGGCTCTTGGTGTTCCTTGACCCTTCTGTTAATGTATTGCCTCTATAGTGTTTAGCAGGAGTGCCTAGTTAATCTTTGTTTCCTTTATATATTATTAATATATTAGTTTATTTATCTGTTAGGAAATCTTTTCTTTTTGTTATTGTCTTAGACTAAAATAAGATAATATTGTCAAGTGATACAGAACTGTTTTTATTCCCTATGCAATTTCTATGTATTTAATAATTATTCAATATCGGAAGGATCTCTTCAATTTAACTAGTTCATTGTTTTCATTTCCCTCAGTCTCAAGGGTTGATAATAACATTGATGATATTTCAAAAAATAATTGTGCCTGACTTTAAAAAAGCCACAACAAACAAAATTAATAAACAAATAATAATAAAAATAATAATTGTTATATTATTATACAGTTAATATTTTCAACACTTAACTGGCAAATAGGATAAATTTGGTTAGTTCCAAAGTTCTGGGATTTTTGAAAGCAAATTTTAATGTCTACAATATTCTAGAGAATCACTTTACTGAAGTTTTTTTTTCAGTTCAATTAATTTATATAAGCAATTCTCCTGAAAGCTCCTTCTGCAATAAACAGTGAATGTACACTACATTATTTTAGAAGTTTGTTAAAGAGTTCTTCTTATTATTAAAATTACAGATTCAGGGAGTACATGTGCAGATTTGTTACATGGATATATTGTGTAGTGCTGGGTTTAGGCTTCTAGTGACCCCATCACGCAAATAATTAACATAATACTGTACTTAATAGGCAAATTTTTCATCCTCACCCTGTTCTGCTATCCCTACTTTTGAAGTCCCCACTATCTATTGTTTTCATTTTTATGTTAATGTGTACCCATTGTTTAGCTCCCACTTATAAATGAGGACATGAAATATTTTATTTTTTGTTTCTGAGTTAGTTCATTTAGGATAATGGCCTCTAGCTGTATCCATGTTGCTGCGAAGGACATGATTTAATTCTTTATTATGGCTGCTTAGTATACCATGGTGCCTATGTACCACATTTCTTTTATCCATTCCACCACTGATGGATGCTTAGGTTGATTCTATGACTTTTCTATTGTGAATAATGCTGTGATAAACATAGGAATATGGTGTCTTTTTGATAAAACAATTTCTTTTCCCTTGGCAGATACCCAGTAGTGGGACTGCTGGATGAAATGGTAATTCTATTGTTAGTTCTTTGAGAAATATCCATACTGTCTACCATAGGGGATGAACTAATTTACATTCCCATTTTGAATGATTGTCGCTATTTTATGACTTAGTCATTTTTAATTTTACAATGTTGTACTTTATTAACTTTTTACATGTTGTACTTTATAAACATCAAATTATTTTGAACCTTAATACAACTGTGTGATTAATGGGACAGGAATATTTATTCTTAAGTACTACAAGTCAGAGCTGAGACATCCTTTGGTAATTAATTTACCAAAGTTTGCATAAGCAATTAATGGCAGTGAGGGATATACAGCCTTGGCACTTGGCCTCTGTTTCAATTAGATGCTATTCCAGATTCCATGTTCAGTTTTTTTTTCCATGAACACTTAGCAGCAGTGTTTAAGGAAATGAGTATTTTATCAAAGGGAAAGTTCAATGACCTTTTATAAACTGGATTTGTTTGGAAATAATTTTCGTTTAAAGCACATTGGGGATTAATTTATAGCAAATGTGTTTTCCCCATGGATACATTTTTGGACCAAATTCAAAAGCTCACTATAGTAAAATTGTGCTTATTTTCTAGTCTCCTTTTATTTAATCAACTGCATGATTTTAATTACTTCTTAGAAAATAATTTTGTTTCTTACAGGACTGTTAGTTTGAAATAAAATGAGACTAGAAAGACTGATTTCTGAAGTCATGTATGAACAAGAATTTCATGTTTTAATCTCACCTCAGTTGTACTCAGGCCAGTCACATTATTGCAACAATGTTCTTATCTAAAATTTGAAGATTGTTTATGTTAAATATAGAGATTTCAAACTGAAAATGGCCTCTTTCCAGTCTTCCTCTGGGCTTCATCAGCTCTATACCTCAGGCTCCTTCCTTTTCCCTTCTCCCTTCTCTAACAAACCCCTCCATGAAAAAGGATGCCTTTCCCAGGATTGCCTATGTGTTTCCGGGTAGCTCGGGCCAGTGGGAAGCCCTGGTGGAAGGTGGAGAGTTGATATCACTGTCTCCTTCTGTCTTAAGCAGCACCTGCAGCAGCTACTGAGTTTCCTCCATGGCTCCGATGCCAGATAGAGTTCCTCCCCTACAGTTCCACTTTCCAACGTGTTATAGGCTGAACGGGCATCTCTTCTCAAAATTCACATTTTGAAACTCTAATTCTTAATGTGATGGTTTTGGAGATGGGGGGGCGTTTGGGAGGTAATTAGGTCATGAGGGTGGAGCCCTCACAATAGAATTAGTCTCCTTCTAACAAGAGACAGGGGGGACCCTCTCTCTGGCTCTCTGGCTCTTCCTCTCTTTCTTCCCCTCCACTATGTGACGATATAAGCAGAAGGCCATCCGCAAACTACGAAGAGGACCCTCACCGACCATGCTGGTTGTCGAATCTTAAACTTCACAGTCTCCAAATCTGTGAGAAATACAGAAACAATTTCTGTTGTTTAAGCCATCCAGTTTATAATATTTTTGTATTATAATAACACTACCTCTCCCTGCTGTCCTTTTAACCTTAGGGATAGTAGGGGCTTCTTGAAGTGGCTGATCTTTTGGTTGTCTCACCTTGTTTTATTTGGCTTTTCAGCTTTTTATCATCTGTGTAACCAGCTCCCCATACTAAAGGCTTACTATTGGTAAGACCTATAGAACAGTGCGTTTGGAAGCGGACTCACCTAGCATTCTATTTAATCACTCTGTAGAAGCTAAGGTAATATCACTTTCTTATCATTTTTGTCCTTTGTCTTCTTTAACAATTATATTCCTGGTTTGTGTCTCATCATTTTGTCTTTTCAACAGCACTTTAATCACCTCTGATTCCCCTTCTTATTTTAAAAAAAATATTTATTTTTTCCAGCAGTTTTTTATGTAACCAAAATATTATGGGTCTCATATGGTTAGCAATGAAGTCATATTAATAGGAAATCTAATTTTTTCACGTTTCAAGCCCCTACCCTCATGGCTGTAATATCAGAGTCCCATCAGCAATATTTCCTACTGCCATGTATTTTAGGGAGTCCTCAGGCATTGTCTGCCATATATTTAGGTATCAGTTTGTGATCTCTCTGCTTTTTATGCTCTAGCTAAGCAGTGGTGCTGGACTCCTGACCCATGGAAATGCTGAAATAACACATGTATGTTGCTTTAAGCCACCAAGTTTGTAATAATTTGTTAAACAACAACATGAAACTAATACTGTTGCAGACATTTATTTTCAATTGTCCACTCGACATATGTTTCTACATATTTTCATATATTACCTCATTGATACCTGGAAGCCATCTCACATGCACCTATCTCAAATAAAATTTTATTGTATTCTTAAAAGCTTCTTCCCTTCTTGCCTCTGAATGCCCTATTTTATTTATTATACTATCAAAAAATAGGTTCCTAAGTCACAAGTTAGTCTTCTCCCTTCACTTCCTTCTCCTCAACCAATAGGTCATGAAATGCTATGTATTCTATCACAAAAACACATGTTGAAATTAATACAGACCTTTTATCTTCTTGCTGAAATAATTGCAAATCTTCCTTCACCTGTCTTTTGAACTCCAGCCCGGTCATCACATTTTCATCTTTTGAACTTCAGCCAGGTCATCACATTTTCGGTGTTAGGTTTCTAGAAACAAAACAGAACAAAATACCCAAATCTCCTCTCCCAACCCCCCCCCAAAACAAAACAAAACAAAAATCTTCCCCTAAACAAAAAGCAAAAAACAAACAATAAAAGCAAGTAAACAAATAAAAACAAGTAAACAAGTAAAAAAAATAAGTCTGATCATTCAATCATTACAGCAATATTTATTGAAAGCATAATCCTTTTCCATTGAATTGCCTTTGCACCTTTGTCAAAAATCAGTTGAAGTCTGGGTGTGGTGGCTCTCACCTGTAATCCCAGCACTTTGGGAGGCCGAGGCAGGCATATCACCTGAGGTCAAGAGTTCAAGACCAGCCTGGCCAACATGGTGAAACCTCATCTTTACTAAAAAAATACAAAAATTAGCCAGGAGTGGTTGGTGGACGCCTGTAATTACAGCTACTTGGGAGGCTGAGGCAAGAGAATTGTTTGAGCCTGGGAGGCGGAGGTTGCCATGAGCCGAGATTGCGCCACTGCACTCCAGCCTGGTTGACAAGAGTGAGACTCCTTCTCAAAACAAACAAAAAAACAAATAAACAAAAAACTGGTTAAATATATTTGTGGGGTTTTATTTCTGGACTCACCATTCTATTTCATTGATCTACATATACATATGTGTTTATTTATAAAGACCACATTGTCTTGGTTACTGTAGCTTAAAATAAGTCATAAAATCAGGTAGTGTGAGTCCCTGAAATTTGTTCTTTGTATTGAATTGGCTTTTCTAAAACCTGTCTTTCTATATATATTTTAGAATCAGTTTATTGATATCTATAAAATAGCTTGCAAGGATTTTGATAAAAATTGCATCAAATCCATAAATGGATATGAATTGACATCTTTACCTTTTATCTTCTTGCTGAGATAACAGCAAATCTTCCTTCATCTATTTTTTTGAACTCCAGTCAGTCCATCAGATATACATGTGTTGGGTTTCTGGGAACAAAACAAGGCAGATCAAGCAAACTTCCTCTGTCAACCTCCAAAACAAAACAAAACAGCCGCCCCCTCCAAAATACAAAAGGCAGAAAACAAGTAATGAAACAATAAAAGCAAGTTAACAAATAAAACACCAAATGTCATCATTTTAATAAGGTGTTAAATGTACTTATCAAATTGGAAAGAATTGATATTTTAACAATATTGAATCTTCCAATCCGTGAATATAGAATATTTCTCTATTTATTTTTATTTATTTTTTATTATACTTTAGGTTTTAGGGTACATGTGCACAACGTGCAGGTTAGTTACATATGTATACATGTGCCATGTTGCTGTGCTGCACCCATTAACTCGTCATTTAACATTAGGTATATCTCCTAATGCTATCCCTCCCCCTCCCCCCACCCCACAACAGGCCCCGGTGTGTGATGTTCCCTTTCCTGTGTCCATATGTTCTCATTGTTCAATTCGCACCTATGAGTGAGAACATGCGGTGTTTGGTTTTTTGTCCTTGCCATAGTTTGCTGAGAATGATGGTTTCCATCTTCATCCATGTCCCTACAAAGGACATGAACTCATCCTTTTTTACAGCTGCATAGTATTCCATGGTGTATATGTGTCACATTTTCTTAATCCAGTCTATCATTGGTGAACATTTGGGTTGGTTTCAAGTCTTTGCTGTTGTGAATAGTGCCACAATAAACATATGTGTGCATGTGTCTTTATAGCAGCATGTTTTATAATCCTTTGGGTATATACCCAGTAATGGGATGGCTGGGTCAAATGGTATTTCTAGTTCTAGATCCCTGATGAATTGTCACACTGACTTCCACACTGGCTGAAATAGTTCACAGTCCCACCAACAGTGTAAAAGTGTTCCCATTTCTCCACGTCCTCTCCAGCACCTGTTGTTTCCTGACTTTTTAATGATGGCCATTCTAACTGGTGTGAGATGGTATCTCATTGTGGTTTTGATTTGCATTTCTCTGATGGCCAGTGATGATGAGCATTTTTTCATGTGTCTTTTGGCTGCATAAATGTCTTCTTTTGAGAAGTGTCTGTTCATGTCCTTTGCCCACTTTTTGATGGGGTTGTTTGTTTTTTTCTTGTAAATTTGTTTGTGTTAATTGTAGATTCTAGATATTAGCCCTTTGTCAGATGAGTAGTTTGCAAAAATTTTCTCTCGTTCTGTAGGTTGCCTGTTCACTCTGATGGTAGTTTCTTTTGCTGTGCAGAAGCTCTTTAGTTTAATGAGATCCCATTTGTCAATTTTGGCTTTTGTTGCATTGCTTTTGGTGTTTTAGACATGAAGTCCTTGCCCATGCCTATGTTCTGAATGGTATTGCCTAGGTTTTCTTCTAGGGTTTTTATGGTTTTAGGTCTAACATGTAAGTCTTTAATCCATCTTGAATTAATTTTTGTATAAGGTGTAAGGAAGGGATCCAGTTTCAGCTTTCTACATATGGCTAGCCAGTTTTCCCAGCACCATTTATTAAATAGGGAATCTTTCCACATTGCTTCTTTTTGTCAGGTTTGTCAAAGATCAGATAGTTGTAGATATGTGACCTTATTTCTGAGGGCTGTGTTCTGTTCCATTGGTCTATATCTCTGTTTTGGTACCAGTACCATGCTGTTTTGGTTACTGTAGCCTTGTAGTATAGTTTGAAGTCAGGTAGCGTGATGCCTCCAGCTTTGTTCTTTTGGCTTAGGATTGACTTGGTGATGCGGGCTCTTTTTTGGTTCCATATGAACTTTAAAGTAGTTTTTTCCAATTCTGTGAAGAAAGTCATTGGTAGCTTGATGGGGATGGCATTGAATCTATAAATTCCCTTGGGCAGTATGGCCATTTTCATGATATTGATTCTTCCTACCTATGAGCATGGAATGTTCTTCCATTTGTATGTATCCTCTTTTATTTCATTGAGCAGTGTTTTGTAGTTCTCCTTGAAGAGGTCCTTCACGTCCCTTGTAAGTTGGATTCCTAGGTATTTTATTCTCTTTGAAGCAATTGTGAATGGGACTTCACTCATGATTTGGCTCTCTGTTTGTCTGTTATTGGTGTATAAGAATGTTTGTGATTTTTGTACATTGATTTTGTATCCTGAGACTTTGCTGCAGTTGCTTATCAGCTTTAGGAGATTTTGGGCTGAGACAATGGGGTTTTCTAGATATACAGTCATGTCATCTGCACACAGGGACAATTTGACTTCCTCTTTTCCTATTTGAATGCCCTTTATTTCCTTCTTCTGCCTGATTTCCCTGGCCAGAACTTCCAACACTATGTTGAATAGGAGTGGTGAGAGAAGGCATCCCTGTCTTGTGCCAGTTTTCAAAAGGAATGCTTCCAGTTTTTGCCCATTCAGTATGATATTGGCTGTGCCTTTTTCATAGTTAGCTGTTACTATTTTGAGATATGTCCTATCAATACCTAATTTATTGAGAGTTTTTAGCAGGAACGTTGTTGTATTTTGTCAAAGGCCTTTTTTGCATCTATTGAGATAATCATATGGTTTTTGTCGTTGGTTCTCTTTATATGCTGGATTATTTTTATTGATTTGCATATGTTGAACCAGCCTTGCAACCCAGGATGAAGCCCACTTGATCATGGTGGATAAGCTTTTTGATATGCTGCTGGATTCGGTTTGCCATTATTTTATTGAGGATTTTTGCATCGATGTTCATCAGGGATATTGGTCTAAAATTGTCTTTTTTGTTTATGTCTCTGCCCGGCTTTGGTATGAGGATGATGCTGGACTCATAAAATGAGTTAGGGAGAATTTCCTCTTTTTTTATTGATTGGAATGGTTTCAGAAGGAATGGTAACAGTTCCTCATTGTACCTCTGGTAGAATTCGGCTGTGAATCCATCTGGTCCTGGAGTCTTTTTGGTTGGTAAGCTATTAATTATTGCTTCAATTTCAGAGCCTGTTATTGGTCTATTCAGAGATTCAACTTCTTCTTGATTTAGTCTTGGAGGGTGTATGTGTCAAGGAATTTGTCCATTTCTTCTAGATTTTCTAGTTTATTTGCATAAAGATGTTTATAATATTCTCTGATGGTAGTTTGTATTTCTGTGGGATTGGTGGTGATAACCCATTTATCATTTTTTATTGTGTCTATTTGTTTGTTTTATCTTTTCTTCTTTATTCGTCTTGCCAGCGGTCTCACAATTTTTTTGATCTTTTCAAAAAAACATCTCCTGTATTCATTGAGTTTTTGAAGGGTTTTTTTTTTTGTCTCTATTTCCTTCAGTTCTGCTCTGATCTTAGTTATTTCTTGCCTTCTGCTAGGTTTTGAATGTGTTTGCTCTTGCTCCTGTAGTTCTTTTTATTGTGATGTTAGAGTGTCAATTTTAGATCTTTCCTCCTTTCTCTTATGGGCATTTAGTGCTATAAATTTTCCTCTACACACTGCTTTGAATGTGTCCCAGAGATTCTGGTATGTTTTCCATATGCCAGAAATACCCAATGTGTTGTTACTATTTTTACTTTAAACAAAAATCTTTTAGATAAATTAAAAATAAGATCAATACAAAATTTAATTTACCTTTATTCCTTCTCCAACCATCCTTTATATTAACTCAAATGTATGAACTTTATAATTTCCTGTCTGAAGTACTTTATAATTTCTCATAGGTTCTACCTGTCAAAGAGGACTTATATTATTTTTTTGCTTATTTGAGGTAGTATTATTCCTCCTTCTGAAGAATAGTTTTGTTGGATATAGAATCCTAGGTTGGTGAATTTTTTTAATGCTTTAAATATTTTATTCTCTTCAGGCATGCATGATTTCTGATAAGTTCATTGTAATGCTTGTTCTTATTTTTCCATAAGTAGGGATTTTTTTTTCCTTAGGCTTCTTTCATGACTTTGTCTTTGATTTCAGTATAATATGCTTAGAGGTGTGTGTGTGTGTGTGTGTTTGTAACTGGAATTTATCCTGCTTTGTGTTTTCTGTGTTTCCTGGATCTATGTGTGTGTGGTTTTGAGGTTTGTTTTGAAATGGGATTGCTGCTGTGCTTTGTTGTCCAGGCTGGAGTGCAGTGGCACCATCATAGTTCACTGCAGCCTTGAACTCCTGGACTTGAGTAATCCTCCTATGTCATCCTCCTGAGAAGTTGCAACTCTAAGCATCTAATAGTTCAAATATTTACTCCTCTTTGATCTCCCTTTCTTCTTCTTCTGTTACTGCAATTACACATATATTGCATCTTTTGCAATGGTGTAACAGTTCTTGGATATTCTGTTCTGTTATTTAATTCTATTTTTCCTCTTTATATTTCAGTTTACTGAGTTTCTACTGATTTATCTTCAAGGTCATTGATGCTTTCCTCAGTTTGCTGAGACTGCTAAGTGCCCGTCAAACTCATTGTTAATTTTTTTTTTATTATACTTTAAGTTTTAGGGTACATGTGCACATTGTGCAGGTTAGTTACATATGTATACATGTGCCATGCTGGTGCACTGCACCCCCTAACTCGTCATCTAGCATTAGGTATATCTCCCGATGTTATCCCTCCCCCTCCCCCACCCCACAACAGTCCCCAGAGTGTGATATTCCCCTTCCTGTGTCCATGTGATCTCATTGTTCAATTCCCACCTATGAGTGAGAATATGCGGTGTTTGGTTTTTTGTTCTTGTGATAGTTTACTGAGAATGATGATTTCCAATTTCATCCATGTCCCTACAAAGGACATGAACTCATCATTTTTTATGGCCACATAGTATTCCATGGTGTATAAGTGTCACATTTTCAACAAAAGACAAAATTGACAAATGGGATCTCATTAAACTAAGGAGTTTCTGCAAAAGAAACTACCATCAGAGTGAACAGGCAACCTACAAAATGGGAGAAAATTTTCACAACCTACTCATCTGACAAAGGGCTAATATCCAGAATCTACAATGAACTCAAATAAATTTACAAGAAAAAAAAAACAACCCCATCAAAAAGTGGGCAAAGGACATGAACAGACACTTCTCAAAAGAAGACATTTATGCAGCCAAAAAACACATGAAAAAATGCTCATCATCACTGGCCATCAGAGAAATGCAAATCAAAACCACAATGAGATACCATCTCACACCAGTTAGAATGGCAATCATTAAAAAGTCAGGAAACAACAGGTGCTGGAGAGGATGTGGAGAAATAGGAACACTTTTACACTGTTGGTGGGACTGTAAACTAGTTCAACCATTGTGGAAGTCAGTGTGGCGATTCCTCAGGTATGTAGAACTGGAATACCATTTGACCCAGCCATCCCATTACTGGGTATATGCCCAAAGGACTATAAATCATGCTGCTATAAAGACACATGCACACGTATGTTTATTGCGGCATTATTCACAATAGCAAAGACTTGGAACCAACCCAAATGTCCAACAATGATAGATTGGATTAAGAAAATTGTTGTTAATTTTTGTTACAAAGTTTTTTATTTTCAGCATTTTCTTTTGATTGGTTTCTAAAGTTTCTATTTCTTTTCACAATATCTATTTTTTCATGTTGTCTATTTCTTACATTACATCCCTTAACATATTTTAATATAAGTATTAATTCCAATTAATATCATACCTGTATCATATCTGAATGTGAATTCTGATGCTGTTTTTTTCTCTTCAGTCTGTGTTTTGTCTCTTATTTTGAAAGCTAGGCATGATGTATCAAATGAAAGGAACATAAGCCTTTAGTATATAGATTTATGTTAATCTGTTCAGGATTTAGACTATGTTTAATGGTTATTGTAGCTGTAACAGGCATTAGAGGCTCAAGTTGCCTTAGTGTTCTTGTTTTTTATCCCCTTCTCACATTGTTCTTTTCTATGTAGTCTTCTGCAGAAAGTCTATGTCTTCCAAGTATTTCAACTATTGTCTACTGTTACAGTAGATGATAGTAAGCCACAAAACAATGGTTACATCAGAGCCATAAATTATTGTTGAGAAGTGTGGAAAAATAACATTCTACAATCTTTTGATTAAATTTTAGTTTTTTAGTGGACCTGTATCTTGAGGCTGTGTCTTTTCCAAGTGTTTCTCCAGTGGTAGAGCTATTTTCCCCTCTTTCTCCATTGCCTACCTATCTGCAGCATTCCTTCTGTATTCCTCCTATTCTTTTAAGCCCTGGCCCCTGTTGACTCTATTTTCCCCACCTAAGGAGGTGAGCCTAGAAGGTTGGAAGAAACTTGGCTAGGCTTTTTAAGGATATTTGTGATAATTCCTGGAAACTGTGATTATGGGGAGATATTATTTCATACTTATGTTTTTTGGCATAGCAGACTTTTAAGGGGGACTATCTGGATTGTCATGATTTAATCACATGCATTCTTAAATACAGAGAGGTTTTCTTGGCTGATGACAGAAGGAGAAGTCAGGGAGATTTGAAACATGGGAAAAACTTGATGTAGAATCCTTGACTTCAATGGTAAAGGAAGCCATGTGAGAAGAAATTCAGGTAGCGACCAGAAGCAGAGGCCAACTACCAGTTGACAGCTGGCAAGGATATGGGGACCTTAGAACTGCAACCACAAGAAACTGCAATGAACTTGGAAGCAGATTCTTCTCTAAAGCTTTCAGATAAGAACTTATCATGATGGACACCTTGACTTCAGTCATGTGTGGCTTGTAGACTACATACCAGGAATATCTACCTTCTCTAATTCATGAGCAAGAAATCATCTTCTGTGTTTACACTATTGGTCTATTTATTTCAGTAGTTTGGCCTAGCTAAATATTATATCTAAGTTTCTTCCACCACGTATTTATAGATGTGTCTTAACGTGATTCATTTATACAAACTAGTGATTCTATATATTAGATGTCCGCATTTAAAAAAATCAGTTACACAATTTACTTGTAAGTTTGGCATATAGTTTTCATGAGCTGACAATAATTTGAATAGCATATAATCTTAAATAGTTTAAGTTTACAAGAAGAAAAATGAACTAAGAAGTTCAGTAATAATTTTGGGCAACACAAAGGGATGAAGAGGAAACTGAAAAGTATTTAGTTTATATATTTTCACAGTACTTTGAAAATTGCCAAATTATATCACCTATCACACACCAGTGTAATTATTTATACTCATTGCTGTCTCTGCACTGCAGGTATCCAAAGGTAAGTGCTGAACAGGTCATCTTTCTATCCTCCATGCTTAGCTTAGTCCTGAGTATGTAAGAGTCAGGATAGGATGGTTGAATGAGTGAGTTATAGGAAGAAAAGACTACTTGTCCTAAAATATTTTGAAAAAGAAACCTAATGTTATATCCTAGTCTCACAATTCTCATTGTAACTAGGGAGCCAGAAAATTCCCACTCTTCTATTTCACTCTGAGAATATCCATATTTTCCCATCTCTAAGTCAGTAGGTAGTGGAAGTCTTCTGCTAAGTAAGTTTAAGGGAATTTTAGTGGGCTGTGTTTATCAGAGGAAGAACCACTGTGCAGTTGATCCTTGAACAATGCAGGTGTTAGGGGTGCCAATTCCCTGTACAGTTGAAAATCTAAGTATAAATTTTGACTCTCTCCAAATTTAACTTCTAATAGCCTACTGTTGACCAGAGGCTTACTGAAAACATAAGTAGTTGACTAATACGTATTTTATATATTACATGTATTATATACTGTATTCTTACAATAAAGTAGAGAAAATAAAATGTTATTAAGAAAATCATAAGAAAAGAATATATATTTAATACTTATTAAGTGGAAGTGGATCTTCACAAAGTTCTTCATGCTCATCGTATTCACATTTAGTGGGATGAGAAGGAATAAGAGGAGGGGTTGGTCTTGCTGCCTCAGGAGTGGCACAAGCAGAAAAAAATCCATGTGTAAGTGTACACAGAGTTCAAACTCATGACTCATGTTGTTCAAGGGTCAACTGTATTTAAAAAACACACACACACACACACACACAGTTTCTCTCTCTTGCTTCCATCTTCCACACTGCCAAAATATTAAGCTCACTCATGCCTAGACATTCAGAAAGAATTTGTTATCTTGTTTTTTCCTTCCTTCTCTCTCCTGCATTTTTCTAGATGTGTTAGTTGAGCTAGCCTGCTTATTTGAGTCCATTGGAAATTGAGACTGGATCCATTGAGCGTCAAACAGCTGGCTTTTCTGCTTTTAACACACATTCACTTAGTTCTCATAATTGGTCATCTTTAACACGTGGCTTACCAGAAAGTGATAAAATCCAACATGTCCACATGAAAAGGTAGAGTCCCATGTAGAATTTAGATTTAGATATGTTCTGCAACCTAACTTTTACCAAAACACTTTGCCTTAGGGGTATTGGGCATTCATGGATATAATTTTTTTAATTGTACTTTAAGTTCTAGGGTACATGTGCATAGGTATACATGTGCCATGTTGGCTTGCTGCACCCATTAACTCGTCATTTACATTAGGTATTTCTGCCAATGCTATCCCGCCCTCTGCCCCAACCCCACGACAGGTCCCAGGGTGTGAAGTTCCCCGCCCTATGTCCAAGTGTTCTCACTGTTCATTTCCCACCTATGACTGAGAACATGTGGTGTTTGGTTTTCTGTCCTTGTGATAGTTGGCTCAGAATGATGGTTTCTGGATGCATCCATGTCCCTGCAAAGGACATGAACTCATCATTTTTTTATGGCTGTATAATATTCCATGTTGTATATGTGCCACATTCATGCATATAATGTTAAATAACTAACTTGTTTCACAGTAGTAACTATTTCCATTTGTGTGTGTGCATGCGTATGCTTGTGTTTTTATAATATTTTTGCCATTCCACAGAAAGAAGAGTGATTATCAGGACAGGATTCAGGCATCCCTGAATCTCTAGTCATAAGACTCCTAATATTCTTAAAAGGCTTAACTCAGGTTCTAACATCAATTAAAAACTGAGATTTCTGTTCTTGAATTGATGAGTTTCTAGATGAAACAGCAGAAATCTAGGAAAGCATACTCTTCACTCCAAGTTTCTTTGAAAAGCTTCCTAAGAAGACACTTCTCAGTTTTCAGGATTCTGGTGATCTTCTAGTGATCTGTTCAAGTTTATACAAAAAGTAAGGAAATATTAAAAAAGAAATAGATAAAACATGAGCATCACTTATAAACTATTCTATAAGCAATATGAAACTCACAATTAAGAACTTCATGCTATTTTTTAAGGATAGATGCAATAATTATGATCTCATGAAGCAGAATAAGAAGTCGAAATTAAATTGAAGAATACCAAGAATACTAAATTTGTTTTTGGAATAGGAACTCATGAAAAAATTCTTACAGTTTCAGTCTTTTTTTTGAGGATTTGTTTCAAACATCCCTTTAGAAAACATAAGTGGGTCAGTGATGAGACCCTCCCATTTGCCTACTCTATATAAAAACTAGGCAGAAGGTTTCTGAGGAACTTCTTTGGGATGTGTGCTTTCATCTCACAGAGTTGAAGCTTTCTTCTGATTGAGCAGTTTGGAAACAGTCTTTTTGTAGAATCTGCAAATGTATATTTGGAGCACTTAGAGGCCTACGGTGAAAAAGGAAATATCTTCACATAAAAACTAGACAGAAAATTTCTGAGAAACTTCTTTGTGATGTGTGCATTCATCTCATAGAGTTGAAATTTTCTTTTGATTGAGCAGTTTGGAAACAGTCTTTTTGTAGTACCTGCAGAGGGATATCTGTTAGCGGTTTGAGGCCACGGTGAAAAAGGAAATATCTTCACAAAAAAACTAGACAGAAGCTTTCTGAGAAACTTCTTTCTGATGTGATGCAAAAGTACATTTTTGAGCCCTTTGAGGCCTTTTCTGAAAAAGGCAATATCTTCACATAAGAACTAGACAGAAGTTTTCATGGAAACTTCTTTGTGATGTGTGCTTTCATCACACAGATATGAATATTTCTTTTGATTGAGCAGTTTGGAAACAGTCTTTTTGTAGGATTTGCAGAGGGATATTCGTGAGCAGTTAGAGGTCTATGGTGAAAATAGAAATATCTTTACATAAAAACTAGACAGGAGAGGGCAGCCAAGATGGCTAAATAGGAACAGTTCTGGTCTACAGCTCCCAGCATGAGTGACACAGAAGATGGGTGATTTCTGCATTCCCATCTGAGGTACCAGGCTCATCTCACTAGGGAGTGCCAGAAAGTGGGCTCAGGACACTGGGTGCAGTGCACCATGCATGAGCCGAAGCAAGGCAAGGCATTGCCTCACTCAGGAAGTGCAAGGGGTCAGGGAGTTCCCTTTCCTGGTCAAGGAAAGGGGTGACAGATGGCACCTGGAAAATCAGGTCACACCCACCCAAATACTGTGCTTTTCTGACAGGCTTAGGAAATGGCACACCAGGAGATTATATCCCACACATGGCTCAGAGCGTCCTACGCCCATGGAGTCTTGCTGATTGCTAGCACAGCAGTCTGAGATCAAACTGCAAGTTGGCAGCGAGTCTGGGGGATGGGCACCTGCCATTGCCCAGGCTCGCTTAGGTAAACAAAGCAGCCAGGAAGTTCGAACTGGCTGGAGCCCACCACAGCTCAAGGACGCCTGCCTGCCTCTGTAGGCTCCACCTCTGGGAGCAGGGCACAGACAAACAAAAAGAGAGCGGTAACCTCTGCAGACATAAATGTCCCTGTCTGACAGCTTTGAAGAGAGCAATGGTTCTCCCAGCACACAGCTGGAGATCTAAGAATGGGCAGACTGCCTCCTTAAGTGGGTCCCTGACCCCTGACCCCCGAGCAGCCTAACTGGGAGACACCCCCCAGTAGGAGCAGACTGACAACTCACACGGCCGGGTACTCCTCTGAGACAAAACTTCCAGAGGAACAATCAGACAGCAGCATTTGCAGTTCATGAAAATCCATAGTTCTGCAGACACTGCTGCTGATGCCCAGTCAAAGAGGGTCTGGAGTGGCCCTCTAGCAAACTCCAACAGACCTGCAGCTGAGGGTCCTGTCAGAAGGAAAACTAACAAACAGAAAGGACATCCACACCAAAAATCCATCTGTACCTCACCATCATCAAAGACTAAAAGTAGTTAAAACCACAAAGATGGAGAAAAAACAGAACAGAAAAACTGGAAACTCTAAAAAGCAGAGTGCCTCTCCTCCTCCCAAGGAACGCAGTTCCTCACCAGCAACGGAACAAAGCTGGATGGAGAATGACTTTGACGAGTTGAGAGAAGAGGGCTTCGGATGATCAAACTACTCCGAGCTACAGGAGGAAATTCAAACCAAAGGCAAAAAAATTGAAAACTTTGAAAAAATTTAGACCAATGTATAAGTAGAATAACCAATACAGAGAAGTGCTTAAAGGAGCTGATGGAGCTGAAAGCCAAGGCTCGAGAACTACGTGAAGAATCAGAAGTCTGAGGAGACGATACGATCAAGTGGAAGAAAGGGTATCACTGAAGGAAGATAAAATGAATGAAATGAAGCAAGAAGGGAAGTTAAGAGAAAAAAGAATAAAAAGAAACAGACAAAGCCTCCAAGAAATATGGGACTATGTGAAAAGACCAAATCTGCGTCTGATTGGTGTACCTGAAAGTGACGGGCAGAATGGATCCAAGTTGGAAAACACTCTGCAGGATATTATCCAGGAGAACTTCCCCAATCTAGCAAGCCAGGCCAACATTCAGATTCAGGAAATACAGAGAATGCCACAAAGATACTCCCTTAGAAGAGCAACTCCAAGACACATAATTGTCAGATTCACCAAAATTGAAATGAAGGAAAAAATGTTAAGGGCAGCCAGAGAGAAAGGTCGGGTTACCCACAAAGGGAAGCCCATCAGACTAACAGCGGATCTCTCGGCAGAAACTCTACAAGCCAGAAGAGAGTGGGGGTCATTATTCAACATTCTTAAAGAAAAGAATTTTCAACCGCGAATTTCATATCCAGCCAAACTAAGCTTCATAAGTGAAGGAGAAATAAAATACTTTACAGACAAGCAAATGCTGAGAGATTTTGTCACCACCAGGCCTGCCCTAAAAGAGCTCCTGAAGGCAGCACTAAACATGGAAAGGAACAACCATACCAGCTGTGGGAAAATCATGAGAAAATGTAAAGACCATTGAGACTAGGAAGAAACTGCATCAACTAATGAGCAAAATAACCAGCTAACATCATAATGACAGGATCAAATTCACACATAACAATGTTAACTTTAAATGTCAATGGACTAAATGCTCCAATTAAAAGACACAGACTGGCAAATTGGATAAAGAGTCAAGACCCATCAGCGTGCTGTATTCAGGAAACCCATCTCACGTGCAGAGACACACATAGGCTCAAAATAAAGGGATGGAGGAAGATCTACCAAGCAAATGGAAAACAAAAAAAGGTAGGGGTTGCAATCTTAGTCTCTGATAAAACAGATTTTAAACCAACAAAGATCAAAAGAGACAAAGAAGGCCATTACATCATGGTAAAGGGATCATTTCAACAAAAAGAGCTAAGTATCATAAATACACATGCACTGAATACAGGAGCACCCAGATTCATAAAGCAAGTCCTGAGTGACCTACAAAGAGACTTAGACTCCCACACATTAATAATGGGAGACTTTAACACCCCACTGTCAACATTAGACAGATCAACGAGACAGAAAGTTAACAAGGATACCCAGGAATTGAACTCAGCTCTGCACCAAGCGGACCTAATAGACATCTACAGAACTCTGCACCCCAAATCAACAGAATATACATTTTTTTCAGCACCACACCACACCTATTCCAAAATTGACCACATACTTGGAAGTAAAGCTCTCCTCAGCAAATGTAAAAGAACAGAAATTATAACAAACTCTCAGACCACAGTGAAATCAAACTAGAACTCAGGATTAATAATCTCACTCAACACCACTCAACTACATGGAAACTGAACATCCTGATCCTGAATGACTACTGGGTACATAACGAAATGAAGGCAGAAATAAAGATGCTCTTTTAAACCAATGAGAACAAAGACACAACATGCCAGAATCTCTGGGACGCATTCAAAGCAGTGTGTAGAGGGAAATTTATAGCACTAAATGCTCACAAGAGAAAGCAGGAAAGATCCAAAATTGACACCCTAACAACACAATTAAAAGAACCAGAAAAGCAAGAGCAAACACATCCAAAGCTAGCAGAAGTCAAGAAATAACTAAAATCAGAGCAGATCTGAAGGAAATAGAGATGCAAAAAACCCTTCAAAAGATTAATGAATCCAGGAGCTGCTTTTTTGAAATGATCAACAAAATTGATAAACCACTAGCAAGACTAATAAAGAAAAAAAGAGAGAAGAATCAAATAGACGCAATAAAAAATGATAAAGGGGATATCACCACCAATCCCACAGAAATACAAACTACCATCAGAGCATACTACAAGCACCTCTATGCAAATATACTAGAAAATCTAGAAGAAATGGATAAATTCCTCAACACATACACTTTCCCAAGACTAAACCAGGAAGAAGTTGAATCTCTGAATAGACCACTAACAGGCTCTGAAATTGTGACAATAATCAATAGCTTACCAACAAAAAAGACTCCAGGACCAGATGGATTCACACCCGTATTCTACCAGAGGTACAAGGAGGAACTGTTACCATTCCTTCTGAAACTATTTCATTCCATCGTAAAAGAGGCAATACTCCCTGACTCATTTTATGAGGTCAGCATCATCCTGATACCAAAGCCTGGCAGAGACACAACCAAAATAGAGAATTTTAGACCAATATCCTTGATGAACATTGATGCAAAAATCCTCAATAAATTACTGGCAAACCGAATCCAGTGACACATCAAAAAGCTTATCCACCATGATCAAGTGGGCTTCATCCCTGGGATACAAGGCTTGTTCAATATACACAAATCAATAAATGTAATCCAGCATATAAACAAAACCAAAGACAAAAACCACATGATTATCTCAATAGACGCAGAAAAGGCCTTTGACAAAATTCAACAATGTTTCATGCTAAAAACTCTCAATAAATTAGGTATTGATGGGACATAACTCAAAATAGTAAGAGCTATCTATGAGAAACCCACAGCCAATATCATACTGAATGGGCAAAAACTGGAAGCATTCCCTTTGAAAACTAGCACAAGACAAGGATGCCCTCTCTCACCACTCCTATTCAACATAGTGTTGGAAGTTCTGGCCAGGGCAGTTAGGCAGGAAAAGGAAATAAAGAGTATTCAATTAGGAAAAGAGGAAGTCAAATTGTCCCTGTTTGCAGATGACATGAGTGTACATCTAGAAAACCCCATTGTCTCAGCCCAAAATCTCCTTAAGCTGATAAGCGACTTCATTAAAATCTCAGGATACAAAATCAATGTACAAAAATCACAAGCATTCATATACACCAATAACAGACAAACAGAGAGCCAAATCATGAGTGAACTCCCATTCACAATTTCTTCAAAGAGAACAAAATACCTAGGAATCCAACTGGCAAGGGATATGAAGGAACTCTTCAAGGAGAACTACAATCCACTGCTCAATGAAATAAAAGAGGATACAAACGAATGGAAGAACGTTCCATGTTCATGGGTAGGAAGAATCAATATTTTGAAAATGGCCATACTGCCCAAGGTAATTTATAGATTCAATGCCATCCCCATGAAGCTACCAATGACTTTCTTCACAGAACTGGAAAAAACCACTTTAAATTTCATATGGAACCAAAAAAGAGCACACATCGCCAAGTCAATCCTACACCAAAAGAACAAAGCAGGAGACATCACACTACCTGACTTCAAACTATACTACAAGGCTACAGTAACCAAAACAGCATGGTACTGGTACCAAAACAGAGATATAGATGAATGGAATGGAACTGAGCCCCCAGAAAAAACGCTGCATATCTACATTCATTTGATCTTTGACAAACCTGAGAAAATCAAGCAATGCAGAAAGGATTTCCTATTTAATAAATGGTGCTGGGAAAACTTGCTAGCCATGTGTAGAAAGCTGAAACTGGATCCCTTCCTTACACCTTATACAAAAATTAATTCAAGATGGATTAAAGACTTAAACGTTAGACCTCAAACCATAAAAACCCCAGAAGAAAAACTAGGCTTTACCATTCAGAACATAGGCATGGGCAAGTACTTCATGTCTAAAACACCAAAAGCAATGGCAACTAAAGCCAAAATTGACAAATGGGTTCTCATTAAACTAAGGAGCTTCTGCACAGCAAAAGAAACTACCATCAGAGTGAACAGGCAACCTACAAAATGGGAGAAAATTTTTGCAAATTACTCATCTGACAAATAGCTAATATCCAGAATCTACAATGTACTCAAACATATTTACAAGAAAAAAGCAAACAACCCCATCAAAATTGGGCGAAGGACATGAACAGACACTTCTCAAAAGAAGACATATATGCAGCCAAAAAACACATGAAAAAATGCTTACCATCACTGGCCATCAGAGATATGCAAATCAAAACCACAATGAGATACCATCTCACACCAGTTAGAATGGCAATCATTAAAAAATCAGGAAACAACAGGTGCTGGAGAGGATGTGGAGAAATAGGAACACTTTTACACTGTTGGTGAGAGTGTAAACTAGTTCAACCATTGTGGAAGTCAGTGTGGCGATTCCTCAGGTATCTGGAACTAGAAATACCATTTAACCCAGCCATCCCATTACTGGGTATATACCCAAAGGACTATAAATCATGCTACTATAAAGACACATGCACACATATGTTTAATGTGACACTATTCACAATAGCAAAGACTTGGAACCAACCCAAATGTCCAACAATGATAGACTGGATTAAGAAAATGTGGCACATATACACGATGGAACACTATGCAGCCATAAAAAAGGACGAGTTCATGTCCTTTGTAGGGACATGGATGAAATTGGAAATCTTCATTCTCAGCAAGCTATCGCAAGGACAAAATACCAAACACCACATATTCTCACTCATAGGTGGGAATTGAACAATGAGGATACATGGATGCAGGAAGGGGAACATCAGACTCTGGGGACTGTTGTGGGGTGGGGAGAGTGGGGAGGGATAGCATTAGGAGATATACCTAATGCTAAATGATGAGTTTATGGGTACAGCACACCAGCATGGCACATGTATACATATGTAACCTGCACATTGTGCACATGTACCCTAAAACTTATAGTAATAATAAGATAAAAAAATAAAAAATAAAACATTAGCAACCTAAAAAAAAAAGAAAAGCTAGACAGAAAAGTTCTGAGAAACTTCTTTTTGACATGCGCATTCATCTCACAGAGTGGAAAGTTTCTTTTGATTGCGACGTTAGGAAAAAGACTTTTTGTAGAATCTGAAAAGGGAAATTTTTTGAGTCCATTGAGGCCTGTGTTGAAATAGGAAGTATCTTCACATAAAAACTAGACAGAAGCATTCTGAGAAACTTATTTGTGATGTGTTCTTTCGTCTCACAGAGTTGAAACTTTCTTTTGATTGAGCAGTTTGCAAACAGTCTTTTTGAAGAATCTGCAAATGGATATGTAGAGCGCTTTGAGGTCTATGGCGAAAAAGGAAATATCTTTACATAAAAAGTAGACAAAAGCATTCTGAGAAACTTCTTTGTGATGCATGCTTTCTTCTCACAGAGTTGAAGCTCTCTTTTGCTTGAGCAGCTTGGAAACAGTCTTTTTGTACAATCTGCAAATGGATATTTGGAGCGCTTTGAGGTCTTTGCTGAAAAAGGAAATATCTTCACATAAAAGCTAGACAGAAGAGTTCTGACATGCTCCTTTGTAATGTGTGCATTCATCTCGCAGAAATGAACCTCTCTTTTGATTTTGAGCAGTTTGGAAACAGTTTTTGTACTATCTGCAAAGGGATATTTCTGAGCCTTTTGATGCCTATGTTGAAAAAGAAATATATTCACATAAAAACTAGACAGAATCATTCTGAGAAACTTCTTTGTGATGTGTCCATTCATCTCACAGAGATGAACCATTCTTTTGATTGAGCAATTTGGAAACAGTCTTTTCATATAATCTGCAGAGGGATATTTGTGAGCCCTTTATGGCCTGTTGTGAAATAGGAAATATCTTCACATAAAAACTAGTCAGAAGCTTTCTGAGAAACTTCATTGTGATGTTTGCTTTCATCTCACAGAGTTGAACGTTTCTTTTTATTGAGCAGTTTGGAAACAGTCTTTTGTACAATCTGCAAAAGGGATATTTCTGAGCAGTTTGAGGCCTAAGGTGAAAAAGAAATACCTTCACATAAAAACTTGACAGAAGCATTCTGAGAAACTTCTTTGTGACGTGTCCATTCATCTCACAGGGTTGAAACTTTCTTTGAATTGAGCAGTTTGGAAACAGTCTTCCTGTAGAATCTGTAGAGGGATATTTGTGAACCCTTTATGGCCTATGGTGAAATAGGAAACATCTTCACATAAAAACCAGACAGAGGCTTTCTGAGAAACTTCTTTGTGATGTGTGCATTCATCTCACAGAGTTGAACCTTTCTTTTGATTCAGCAGTTTGGAAACAGTCTTTTTCTAGAATTTGCAAAGGGATGGTTTTGAGTCCTTTATGGCCTATGGTGAAGTATGAATTATCCTAACACAAAAACTAGACAGAAGCTTTCTGAGAAACTTCTTTGTGATGTATGCTTTCATCTCACAGAGTTGAACCTGTCTTTTGATTAAGCAGTTTGGAAACAGTATTTTTGCAGAATCTGCAAATGGATATTTGGAGTGCTTTGAAGCCGATGGTGAAAAAGGAAATATCTTCACAAAAAAAGGAGACAGAAGCATTCTGAGAAACTTCTTTGTGATGTGTGCATTCATCTCTCAGTGTCGAACCTTTCTTTTGATGGAGCAGTTTGGAAGCAGTCTTTTTGTAGTATCTGCAAAGGGATATTTGTTAGCGGTTTAAGGTCTATGGTGAAAAAGTAAATATCTGCACATAAAAACTAGACAGAGGCATTCTGAGAAACTTCTTTGTGATGTGTGCATTCGTCTCACAGAGTTGAAACTTTCTTTTCATTCAGCAGATTGGAAACAGTCTTTTTCTAGAATCTGCAAAGGGATATTTTTGAGCCCTTCATGGCCTATGGTGAAATAGGAAATACCTTCACCCAAACACTAGACAGAAGCTTTCTGAGAAACTTCTTTGTGTTTTATGATTTCATCTCACAGAGTTGAACCTCTCTTTTGATTAAGCAGTTTGGAACCAGTCTTTTTGTGGAATCTGCAAATTGATATTTGGAGCGCTTTGAGGCCTATGGTGAAAAAGGAAATATCTTCACATAAAAACTAGATGGAAGCATTCTGAGAAACTTCTTTGTGAAGCCTGCATTCATCTCACAGAGTTGAACCTTTTTATTTTTTTTTTTGCTTCAAACAAATTAGGGGTTTATTTACTTTTTTCTTTTCTTTTATTATTATTATTCTTTAAGGTTTAGGGTACATGTTCACCATGTGCAGGTTTGTTACACACGCATACATGTGCCATGTTGGTGTGCTGCAACCATTAACTTGTCATTTAGCATTATGTGTATCTCCTAACGGTATCCCTCCCCACTCTGCCCACCCCACACTGGTCCCCAGTGTGTGATGTTCCCCTTCCTGTGTCCATGTGTTCTTATTCTTCTATTCCCACCTATGAGCGAGAACATGCCATGTTTGGTTTTTTGTCCTTGCCATAGTTTGCTGAGAATGATGGTTCCCAGTTTCATCCATGTCCCTACAAAGGACATGAAATCATCATTTTTATGGCTGCATACTATTCCATGGTGCATATGTGCCGCATTTTCTTAATCCAGTCTATCATTGTTGGATATTTAGGTTTGTTGCAAGTCATTGGTATTGTGAATAGTGCTGCAATAAACATACGTGTGCCTGTGTCTTTATAGCAGCGTGATTTATAATTTTTTGGGTATATACCCAGTAATGGGATGGCTAGGTCAAATGTTACTTCTAGTTCTAGATCCCTGAGGAATCGCCACACTGACTTCCACAATGGTTGAACTAGTTTACAGTCCCACCAACAGTGTAAAAGTGTTCTTATTTCTCCACATTCTCTCCAGCACCTGTTTTTTCCTGACTTATTAATGAAATATCTTCATATAAAAACTAAACAGAAGCTTTCTGAGAAACTTCCTCGTGATGTGTACATTCATTTCACAGATTTGAACCTTTCTTTTGCTTGAGCAGTTTGGAAACAGTCTCTTTGTAGTATCTCCATAGGGATATTTGAGAGCAGTTTAAGGCCTGTTGTGAAAAAGGTAACATCTTCACAAAAAAACTAGACAGAAGCATTCTGAGAAACTTCTTTGTGATGTGTGCATTCATCCTACAGAGTTGAACCTTTCTTTTGATTGAACAGTTTGGAAAGAGTCTTTTTGTAGAATCTGGAAATGGATATTTGGAGCACTTTGAGGCCTATGGTGAAAAAGGAAATATGTTCACATAAAAACTAAACAGAAGCTTTCTGAGAAACTTCTTTGTGATGTGTGCTTTCATCTCACATAGTTGAACATTTCTTTTGATTGAGCAGTTTGGAAACAGTCTTTTTGTAGAATCTGCTAATAAATATTTGGAGCACTTTGAGGCATGTAGTGAAAAGGGAAATATCTTCACAATAAATACTAGACATAAGCATTCTGAGAAACTTCTTTGTGATGTGTGCATTCATCTCACAGAGATGAACATTTCTTTTGAAGGAGCAGTTTGGAAACAGTCTTTTTGTAGTATCTACAGAGGGATATTTGTGAGCGGTTTAATGACTTTGGTGAAAAAGTAAATATCTTCACATAAAAACTAGACAGAAGCATTCTGAGAAACTTCCTTGTGATGCAACCATTCATCTCACAGAGGTGAACCTTTCTTTTGATTGAGAAGTTTGAAAAGAATCCTTTTGTAGAATCTGCAAAGGGATATTTGTGAGCCCTTTGAGGCCTATGGTGAAATAGGAAATATATTCACAGAAAAACTAGACAGAACTTTGTGAGAAAGTTCTTTGATATGTGTGCATTCATCTCACAGAGTTGAACCTTTCTTTTGATTGAGGAGTTTGGAAACAGTCTTTTTGTATAATCGCAAAAGTATATATGGATTGCTTTGAGGACTATTGTGAAAAAGGAAATATCTTCAAATAAAAACTAGAAAGAATCTTTCTGAGAAACTTCTCAGTGATGTGTGCTTTCATCACTCAGAATTGAACCTTTCTTTTGTTAGAGCAGTTTTTAAACAGTCTTTTTGCAGAATCTGCAAATGGATATGTGGAGCGCTTTGAGGACTATGGTTAAAAGGGAAATGTCTTCACATAATAACTAGACAGAAGCATTCTGAGAAACTTCTTTGTGACCTGTGCATTGATCGCACAGAGTTGAACCTTTCTTTTGATTTAGCAGTTTGGAATCAGTCTCTTCATAGTATCTGCAGAGGGATATTTGTGAACGGTTTGAGCCCAATAGTGAAAAAGGAAATATCTTCATATAAAGGCTAGACAGAAGCATTCTGAGAAACTTTTTGTTATGTGTCCATTCATCACACAGAGTTGAAACTTTCTTTGTTTTGAGCAGTTTGGAAACAGTCCTTTTGTAGAATATGCAAAGGGACATTTCTGAGCTCATTGAGATCTGGAGTGAAATATGAAATATCTTCACATAAAAAGTAGACAGATGCTTCCTAAGAAAATTCTTTGTGATGTGTGCTTTCATCTCACAGACTTGAACCTTTCTTTTGATCTAGCAGTTAGTATTCACTTTTTTTGTGGTAACTGCAAATGGATATTTGAAGTGCTTCGAGGACTATGGTGAAAAAGGAAACATCTTCACATAAAAATCGAACAGAATCTCTCTGAGAAACTTCTTTGTGATGTTTGCATTCATCTTGCAGAGTTGAACCCTTCCTTTTATTGAGCAGTTTGGAAACAGTCTTTTTGTACAGTCTGCAAAGGGATATTTGTGAGCGCTTTATGGCCTAAGGTGAAAAAGGAAATATCTTCACACAAAAACTAGATAGAAGCATTCTGAGAAACTCCTTTGTCATGTGTGCTTTCTTCTCACAGAGTTGAACATTTATTTTGATCGAGCAGTTTGGAAACAGTCTTTTTGTAGAATCTGCAAATGGATATTTGGAGCACTTTGAGGCCTATGGTGAAAAAGGAAATATCTGCACATAAAAACTAGACAGAAGTATTCTGAAAAACTTCTTTGTGATGTGTGCATTCATCTAACAAAGTTGAATGTTTCTTTTGATTGAGAAGTTTGGAAACAGTCTTTCTGTAGTATCTGTAGAGAGATATTTGTGAGAGGTTTAAGGCCTATGGTGAAAAAGGAAATACCTTCACATTGAAACTAGATAGAATAATTATGAGAAACTTCCTTGTGATGTGTGCATTCATCTCACAAAATTGAAACTTCCTTTGGTTGAGCAGTTTAGAAACACACTTTTTGTAATATCTGCAAGTGGATATTTGGAGCCTTTTGAGGCCTATGTTGAAAAAGGAAATATCTTCACATAAAAACTAGACTGAAGGATTCTGAGAAATTTCTTTGGGATGTGTGCATCACCTCACAGAATTGAACCTTTCTTTTGATGGAGCAGTTTGGAAACAGTCTTTTTGTAGTATCTGCAGAGGGATATTTGTGAGCAGTTTAAGGCCTATGGCGAAAAAGGAAATATCTTCACATAACTAGATAGAAACATTCTGAGAAACTTCTTTGTGATGTGACCATTCATCTCACACAGTTGAACTTTTCTTTTGATTGAGCAGTTTGGAAAGAGTCCTTTTGTAGTATCTGCAAAGGGATATTTGTGAGCCCTTGATGGCCTATCATGAAATAGGAAATATCTTCACACAAAACTAGACAAAAGCTTCCTGAGAAACTTGTTTGGGATGGATGCTTTGATCTCACGGTATTGAACCTTTCTTTTGATTGACCAGTTTGGAAACAGTCTTTTAGAAGTGTCAGCAGATGGTTATTTGGAGCGCTTTGAGGCCTATGGTGAAAAGAGAAATATTTTCACATAAAAACTAGACAGAAGCATCCTGAGAAACTTGTTTGTGATGCCTGCATTCATCTCACAAAGTTGAACATTCCTTTTGATTGAGCAGTTTGCAAACAGTCTTTTTGTACAATCTGCAAAGGAATATTTCTGAGCCGTTTGAGGCCTATGGTGAAAAAGAAATATCTTCACATGAAAACTAGACAGAAGCATTCTGAGAAACTTCTTTGGATTTGGGCATTCATCACACAGATTTGAACCTCTCCTTGTATTGAGCAGTTTGGAAACAGTCCTTTTGTAGGATCTGTAAAGGGATATTTCTGAGCCCATTGAGGCCTATGGTGAAATATGAAATACCTTCACATAAAAACTAGAGAGAAGCTTTCCACGAAACCTCTTTGTGATATGTGCTTTCATCTCACCGAGTTGAACCTTTCTTTTTATTGTGCAGTTTGGAAACACTCTTTTTGTAGAATCTCCTAAAGATTATTTGAAGTGCTTTGAGGCCTATGATGAAAAAGGAAATATCTTAACATAAAAACTAGACAGAAGATTTCTGAGAAACTTCTTTGTGATGTGTGCATTCATCTCACAAAGTTGAAACCTTCCTTTGATTGAGCAGCTGGAAACAGTCTTTTTGTAAAATCTACAAAGGGATATTTGTGAGCCTTTTATTGCTTAAGATGAAATAGGAAATATCTTCACATTGTAACTACACAGAAGCTTTCTGAGAAATTACTTTTTGATATGTGCTTTCATCTCACAGAGTTGAATTTTTCTTTTGATTGAGCAGTTTGGAAACAGTCTTTTTGTAGATTCTGGAAATGGATATTTGGAGTGCTTTGAGGCCTATGGTGAAAAAGGAAACATCTTCAAATAAAAACTAGATGGAAGCATTCTGAAAAAGTTCTGTGTGATGTATGCATTCATCTCACAATGTTGAATGTTTCTTTTGAGCAGTTTAGAAGCAGTCTTTTTGTAGTAACTTCAGAGGGATATTTGGGAGCGTTTTAAGGCATACGGTGAAAAAGGAAATGTCTTCATGTAAAAACTGACAGAAGTTTTGGAGAAACTTCTTTGTTATGTGTGCATTCATCTCAAAGGGTTGAATGATTCTTTTGATGGAGCAGTTTGGAAAGAGTCTTTTTGTAGTATCAGCAGAGGGATATTTGTGAGCAGTTTAAGGCATATGGTGAAAAAGGAAATATCTTCACATAAAAACTAGACAGAAGCATTCTGAGAAACTTCTTTGTGATGTGTGCATTCATCTCACAGAGTTGAACCTTTCTTTTGATTGAGCAGTTTGTAAACCCTCTTTTTGTAGTATCTGCAAATGGATATTTGGAGTGCTTTGAAGCCTGTAGTTGAAAAGGAAATATCTTCACATAAAAACTAGACAGAAGCATTCTGAGATACATTTTGTGATGCGTGCTTTCATCTCACAGAGTTTAACCTTTCTTTTCACTGAGCAGTTTGGAAACAGTCTTTTTGTAGAATCTGCAAAGGGATATTTGTGAGCAGTTTGAGGTCTGTGGTGAAAAAGGAAATATCTTCACATAAAAACTAGACAGAAGCTTTCTGAGAAACTTCTTTGTGATGTGTGCTTTCATATCAGAGGCTTGAAACTTTCTTTTGATTGAGCAGTTTGGAAAGGGTCTTTTTGTACAATCTGCAAAGGGATATTTCTGAGCCATTTGAGGCTATTGTGAAAAAGCAAATATCTTCACATAAAAACTAGACAGAAGCATTCTGAGAAACTTCTTTGTGATGTGTGCATTCATCTCACAGAGTCGACCCTTTCTTTTGCTTCAGCAGATTGGAAAATGTCCTTTTGTAGAATCTGCAAAGGGTATTTCTGAGCCCATTGAGGCCTATGGTGAAATACAATGTATCTTCACATAAATACTAGATAGAAAGTTTCTGAGAAACTTCTGTGTGATTTGTGTTTTCATCTCATAGAGTTGAAAGTTTCTTTTGATTGAGCAGTTTGGAAATACTCTTTTTGTAGAATCTACAAACACATATTTGGAGCGCTTTGAGGCCTATGGTGAAAAAGGAAATATCTTCACATAAAAACTACACAGAAGCATTCTGAGAAACTTCCTTGTGATGTGTGCATTCGTCTACAGAGTTGAACCTTTCTTTTTATGGAGCAGTTTGGAAACAGTCTTTTTATAGTGTCTGCAGAGGGATATTTGTGCGTGATTTAGAGCCTTTGGTGAAAAAGGAAATGTATTCACATAAAAACTAGACAGATGCATTCTGAGAAACTTTATTGTGATGTGTTTATTCATCTCACAGAGTTGAACCTTTCTTTTTATTGAGCCGTTTGGAAACAGTCTTCTTGTAGTATCTGCAAGTGGATATTTAGAGCGCTTTGAGGCCTATGACGAAAAAGGAAATATCTTCACATGAAATGTAGACAGAAGCATTCTGAGAAACTTCTTTTTTATGTGTGTATTCATCTCATTGAGTTAAAACTTTCTTTTGATTGAACAGTTTGGAAACAGTCTTTTTGTACAATCTGCAAAAGTTTATTTCTGAGCCGTTTGTGGCCTATGGTGGAAAAGAAGTGTCTTCACATAAAAACTAGACAGAAGCATTCTGTGAAACTTCCCTGTGATGTGTCCATTCCTCTCACTGTGTTGAATCTTTCTTTCGGTAGAGTAGTTTGGAAAGAGTCTTTTTGTACTATCTGCAAAGGGACATTTGTGATTCCTTTATGGCCCATGGTGAAATAGGAAATATCTGCACATAAAAACTAGACAGAAGCTTTCTGAGAAACTTCTTTGTGAGGCTTGCTTTCTTCTCACAGAGTTGAACCATACTTTTGATTGAGTAGCTTGGAAACAGTATTTTTGTAGAATCTGCAAATGGATATTTGGAGTGCTTTGAGGCCTATGGTGAAAACGGAGATATCTTCACATAAAAACTAGACAGAAGCATTCTGAGAACTTCTTTGTGATGTGTGCATTCATCACACAGAGTTGAAGTTTTCTTTTCATTGAGCAGTTTGGAAATAGTCCTTTTGTAGAATCTGCAAAGGGCTATTTGTGAGCCCATTGAGGCCTATGATGAAATAAGAAATATCTTCACATAAAAAGTAGAGAGAAGCTTTCTGAGAAACTTGTTTGTGATGCCTCCATTCATCTCACACAGTTCATCCTTTGTTTTCAATGAGGAGTTTGGAACCAGTCTTTTTGTAGAATCTCTAAATTGATATTTGGAGTGCTTTGAGGCCTATGGTGAAAGAGGAAATATCTTCACATAAAAACTAGACAGAAGCATTCTGAGAAACGACTTTGTGATGTGTGCATTCATCTCAGGAGTTGAACTTTTCTTTTGATTGAGCAGTTTGGAAACGGTCTTTTTGTAGGATCTGCAGACTCATATTTGTGAGTAGTTTGAGGCCTATGGTGAAAAAGAAGTATCTTCACATAAAAACTAGATAGAAACATTCTGAGAAACATCTTTGTGATGTGTGCTTTCATCTCACAGATTTAAACATTTCTTCCATTGAGCAGTTTGGAAACACTCTTTTTGTAGTATCTTCAAAGGGATATTTTTGAGCGGTTTGAGGCCTATGGTGAAAAAGGAAATACCTTTACATAAAACTAGACAGAAGCTTTCTGAGAAACCTGTTTTTGATTTTCGCATTCATCTCACAGAGTTGAACCTTTCTTTTCATTGAGCAGTTTGGAAACAGTCTTTTTTCCCTTCTTCAAATGGATATTTCTGAGCAGTTTGAGGCCAATGGTGAAAAAGATATATCTTCTCATGAAAACTAGACAGAAGGATTCTGAGAAACTTCTTTGTGATGTGTGTATTCATCTCACAGAGCTGAACGTTTCTTTTCATTGAGCAGTTTGGAAACAGTCCTTTTGTAGAATCTGCAAAGGGATACTTGTGAGCCCTTTGAGTCCTATGGTGAAACAGGAAATATCTTCACAGAAAAATTAGAAGCATGTTGGAAAGTTCTTTGTGATGTGTGCATTCATCTCACAGAGTTGAACTTTTGTTTTGATTGAGCAGCTTGGAAACAGTCTTTTTGTACAATCTGCAAAAGGATATTTGGAGTGCTTTGGGGACTATGGTGAAAAAGGAAATATCTTCACTTAAAAACTAGAAAGAAACTTTCTGAGAAACTTCTTTGTGATATTTGCTTTAATCTCAAAGGGTTGCACCTTTGTTTTCATTCAGCAGTTTGGAAATACTCTTTTTGTAGTATCTGCAAATGGATATTTGGAGTGCTTTGTGGCCCATGGTGAAAACGGAAATATCTTCACATGAAAATTAGACATAAGCATTCCGAGAAACTTCCTTGTGATGTGTGCATTCATCTCACAGAGTTGAAACTTTCGTTTGACTGAGCAGTTTGGAAAGAGTCCATTTGTAGAATCTGCAAATGGATGTTTCTGAGCCCTTTATGGCCTTTGGTGAAATAGAAAATATCTTCACACAAAAACTAGACAGAAGGTTTCTGAGAAACTTCTTTGTGATGTATGCTTTCATCTCACAGAGGTGAACCTTTCTTTTGATTGAGCAGTTTGGAAACAGTCTTTTTATATAATCTGCAGAGATATTTCTGAGCCGTTTGATGTCTATGGTGAAAAACAAGTATCTTCACATAAAAATTAGACAGAAGCATTGTGAGAAACTTCTTTGTGATGTGTGCATTGTTCTCAAAGATTTGAAACTTTCCTTGGATTGAGCAGTTTGGAAACAGTCCTTTTGTAGAACATGCTAAGGGATATTTCTGAGTCCATTGAGGCCTATGATGAAATAGGAGATATCTTCACATAAAAACTAGACAGAAACTTTCTGAGAAACTTCTTTGTGATGTGATCTTTCACCTCACAGAGTTGAACCTTTCTTTACATTGAGTATTTTTTAAACTTTCTTTTTGTAGAATCTGCAAATGGATATTTGGAGCAATTTGAGGCCTATGGTGAAAAAGGAGATATCCAGATAAAAACTATACAGAACCATTCTGAGAAACTTCTTTGTGATATGTGCATTCATCTCAAAGAATTGAACGATACTTTTGATGGAGCAGTTTGGAAACAGTCTTTCTGTAGTATCTTCAGAGGGATATTTGTGAGCGGTTTAATTCATACGGTGAAAAAGGAAATATCTTCCCAAATAACTAGACAGAGGTATTCTGAAAAACTTCTTCATGATGTGTGCATTCAACTCTGTGAGTTGAACCTTTCTTTTGATAGAGCAGTTTTGAAACACTCTTTTTGTAGAATCTGCAAGTGGATATTTGGAGTGCTTTGAGGCCTATGGTGAAAACGGAAACATCTTCACTTAAAAACTAGACAGAAGCATTCTTAGAAACTGCTTTGATTAGTAGAATCTGGAAATGGATATTTGGAGCGCTTTGAGGCCTATGGTGAAAAAGCAAATATCTACACAAAAAAACTAGACAGAAGCATTGTGAGAAACTTCTTTGTGATATCTGCATTCATCTAAGAGAGCTGAAATTTTCTTTTCATTGAGCAGCTTGGAAACATTCTCTTTGTGCAATCTGCAAAGGGATATTTCCCAGCCATTTGAGGCCTATGGTGAAAAAGAAATATCTTCACAGAAAAAGTAGACAGAAGTATTCTGAGAAACCCCTTTGTGATGTGCGCATTCATCTCAAAGACTTGAACCTTTCTTTTGATTGACCAGTTTTGAAACACTCTTTTTGTAGAATATGCAAGTGGATATTTGGAGCACTTTGTGGCTTATGGTGGAGAGGGAAATATCTTCACATATCAACTAGATAGAAACATTCTAAGAAACTTCTTTGTGATGTGTGCAATCATCTCACATAGATGAACATTTGTTTTGATTGAGCAGTTTGGAAACTGTCTTTTTGTAGTATCTGCAAATGGATATTTGAAATGCTTTGAGGCCTATGGTGAAAAAAAATATCTCCACGTGGAAACTATACAGAAGCATTGTGTAAAACATCTTTGTGATGTGTGCTTTCATCTCAAAGAGTTGAATATTTCATTTGATTGAGCAGTTTGGAAAATGCCTTTTTGTAGTATCTGGAAAAGTTTTCTTTGAGTGCTTTGAGGCCTATCATGAAAAAGGAAATATCTTCACATAAAAACTAGACAGAAGGATTCTGATAAATTTCTTGGTGATGTGTGCATTCATATCACAGAGCCAAAACTTTATTTTGATTGAGCAATTTTGAAACACTCTATGGTAGACTCCGCAATAGATATTTGGAGCACTTTGAGGCCTCAGGTGGAAAAGGAAATATCTTCACATAAAAACTAGACAGAAGCATTCTCAGAACCTCCTTTGTGATGTGGGCATTCGTCTCAGAGAGTTGAACCTTTCTTTTGATTGAGCAGTTTTGAAACACGCTTTTTGAAGAATCTTCAAGTGGATATTTGGAGCGCTTTGAGGTCTATGTGGGAAAAGGAAACATCATCATATAAAAACTAGACTGAAGCACTCTGTGAAACATCTTTGTGATTTGTGCATTCATCTCACAGAGTTGAATATTTCTTTTGATTGTGCAGTTTGGAGACATTCATTTTGCAGAATCTGCAAAGGGATATTTTTGAGCCAATTGAGGCCTATGGGGAAATAGGAAATATCTCCACATAAAAACTAGAAAGAAGCATCCTGAGAAACTTGTGTGTGATGTGTGCATTCATCTCACAGAGTTGAACCATTCTTTTGATTGAGCAGTATTGAAACTTCTTTTTTTAGAATCTGCAAGTGGATATTTGGAGCGCTTTGAGGCCTACAGTGGAAAAGGAAATATCTTCAGATAAAAACTAGACAGAAGCATTCTGAGAAACTTCATTGTGATGTGTATATTCATTTCACAGAGCTGAACCTTTCTTTTGATTGAGTAGTTTGGAAAATGTCTTTTTGTAGTATCTGTTAGTGGATATTTGGAGCGCTTTGAGGCCTATGGATTAAAAGGAAATATCTGTCAAAAAAAAAATAAAATAATAAACAGAAGCATTCTGAGAAACTCCTTTGTGATGTGGGCATTTGTATCACACAGATGAACCTTTCTTTTGATTGAGCAGTTTGGAAACACTTTTGTAGAATCTGCAATTGGATATTTGGAGCACTTTGAGGCCTACTCTGCAAAAGGAAATATCTTCACATAAAAAACAGGCAGCAGCATTCTGAGAAACTTCTTTGTGATGTATGTATTCAAGTCACATGGTAGAAACATTCTCTTGATTTAGAGGTTTGGAAACAGTCTTTTTATAGTATCTGCAAATGGATATGTGGAGGGCTTTTAGGCCTATTGAGAAAAAGGAAATATATTCACATAAAAACTAGACAGAAGCATTCTGAGAAACTTCTTTGTGATTTGTGCATTCATCTCAGAGAGTTGAACATTTCTTTTGATTGAGTAGCTTTGAAGCAATCTTTTTGTAGAATCTGCAAGTGGATATTTGGAGTGCTTTGAGGCCTATTGTGGAAAATGAAATATCTTCACATAAAAACTAGACAGAAGCATTCTGAGAAACTTCTTTGAGAGGTGTGAATTCATCTTACAGAGTTGAACATTTATTTTGATTGAGCAGTTTGGAAACTGTCTATCTGTATCATCTGCAAATGGATTCTTGGAGCACTTTGAGGACTATGGTGAAAAAGGAAATATATTCACATAAAAACTAGACAGAAGCATTTTGATAAACTTCTTTGTTATGTGTGCATTCATTTCACAGAGTTGAACATTTCTTTTGATTGAGCAGTTTTGAAACACTCTCTTTGAAGTATCTGCAAGTGGATATTTGGAGAGCTTTGAGGCCTGTGGTGGAAAAGGAAATATCTTCACATAAAAACTAGACAGAAGCATTCTGAGAAACTCCATTGTGAAGTGTGCATTCATCTCACAGAGTTGAAAATTTATTTTGATTGAGCAGTTTGAAAACTGTCTTTTTGTAGTATCTGAGAAGGGATATTTGGAGCGATTTGAGGCCTAGGGTGAAAAAGGAAATATCTTCACATAAAAACTAGACAAAGTAGAATTCTGAGAAAATTCTTTGACACGTGTGTATGCATCTCACAGAGTTGAACCTTTCTTTTGAATGAGAGGTTTGGAAACAATCTTTTTGTAGTACTTGCAAATGGATACTTTGAGCTCTTTTTGGCCTATGAGGAAAAAGGTAATATCTTCATATAAATACTAGACAGAAACATTCTGAGAAACTACTTTGTGATGTGTGAATTCAACTCACAGAGTTGCACCTTTCCTTTGATTGAGCAATTTGGAAACACTCTTTTTGTAGAATCTGCAAGTGAATTTTTGGAGAGCTTTGAGGCCTATGGTGGAAAAGGAAATATCTTCACATAAAAACTAGAAAGAAGCATTCTGAGAAACTACTTGGTGATGTATGATTTCATCTCACAGATTTGAACATTTCTTTTGATTGACCAGTTTGGAAACAGTAGTTTTGTAGAATCTGCAAAGGGATATATGGGGGCCCTTGAGGCCTATGGGGACATACGAAATACCTTCACATAAAAACTAAACAGAAACATTCTCAGAAACCTCTTTTGGATGTGTACTGTCATCTCACCCAGTTGAAACTTTCTTTTATTTGAGCTATTTCAAAACTCTCTTTTTGTAGAATATGCAAGTGGATGTTTTGAGCATTTTGAGGACTACGATCGAAAAGGAACTATCTTCCCAAAAAAACTAGACAGAGCATTCTGAGAAACTTCTTTTTGATGTGTACATTCATCTAACAGAGTTGAACATTTGTTTGGATTGAGCAGTTTGGAAACAGTCGTTTAGTAGAATTCACAAAGGGATATTTGTGAGCCCCTTGAAACCAATGGGGAAATAGGAAATATCTTCACATAAAAACTTGACAGAAGAATTCTGAGAAACTTCTTTGTGATGTGTGCATTCATCTCACAGAATTGAACCTTTTTTCGATTGAGCAGTTTGGAAACAGTTATTTAGTAGAATTCACAAAGGGATATTTGTGAGCCCCGTGAAACCAATGGGGAAATAGGAAATATCTTCACATAAAAACTTGACAGAAGAATTCTGAGAAACTTCTTTGTGATGTGTGCACTCATCTCACAGAATTGAACCTTTCTTTCGATTGAGCAGTATGGAAACAGACTTTTTGTAGTATCTGCAAATTGATATATGGAGCGTTTTTAGGCCTATAGCAGAAAAGGAAATATCTTCATATAAAAACTAGACAGAAACATTCCGAGAAACTTCTTTGTGAAGTGAGCATTCAACTCAGAGAGTTGAATCTTTCTTTTGATTGAGCAGTTCAGGAACACAGTTTTTGTAGTATCTGCAAATGGATATTTGGAGCGATTTGATTCCTATAGCTGAAAAGCAAATATCTTCACATATAAAAACTAGACAGAAGCATTCTGTGAAACTATCTGTGATGTGTGCATTCATCTCACAGAGTTGAACCGTTCCTTTGTTTGAGCAGTTTTGAGACACTCTTTTTATAGAATCTGCAAGTTTATATTTGGAGTGCTTTGAAGCCTATGGTGGAAAAGGAAACATATTCACATAAAAACTAGACAGATACATTCTCAGAAACTTCTTTGTGGTGTGTGCATTCAACTCACAAAGTTGAACATTTCTATTCATTGAGCAGTTAGGAAACAATCTTTATGTAGTATCTGCAAATGAATTTTTGGAGCACTTTGAGGTCTATAGCTGAAAAGGGAATATCTTCACATAAAAACAAGAGAGAAGCCTTCTGAGAAGCTTCTTTGTGAAGTGTGCATGCATCTCACAGAGTTGAATCTTTCTTTTGAATGAGCGGTTTTGAAACACTCTTTTTGTAGAATCTGCAAGTGGATATTTGGAGTGCTATGAGTATCTTTACATAAAAACTAGACAGAAGCATTCTCAGAAACTTCTTTGTGATGTGTGCATTCAACTAACCGAGTTGAACCTTTCTTTTGATTGAGCAGTTTGGAAACACTCTTTTTGTACTATCTGCAAATGGATATTTGGAACGCTTTGATTCTTATAGCTGAAAAGGAAATATCTTCACATAAAAACTAGACAGAAGCCTTCTGAGAAACTTATTTGTGATGTGTGTATTCATCTCACAGAATTGAAGTTTTTTTTTTGATTGAACATTTTGGAAACACTCTTTTTGTAGAACCTGCAAGTGGATATTTGGAGCACTTTGGGGCCTATGGTGGAAAAGAAAATATCTTCACATGAAAACTAGCGAGAAGAATTCTCAGAAATTTCTTTTGATGTGTGCATACAACTCACAGAGTTGAACCTTTCTTTTGATTGAGCAGTTGGGAAACTCTCTTTATGTAGTAGTATCTGCAAATGAATATTTGGAGCCCTCGAGGTCTATAGATGAAAAGGAAATATCTTCACATAAAAACTAGACAGAAGCATTCAGAGAAACTTCTTTGTGATGTGTGCATTCAATTCACAGAGTTGAATCTTTCTTTTGATTGAGCAGTTTTGAGACACTCTTTTTGTAGTATCTGAAAGTGGATATTTGGAGCTCTTTGAGGCCTATGGTGGAAAACGAAATACCTTCACATAAAAAACTAGACAGAAGCATTCTCAGAAACTTCTTTGTGATGTGTGCATTCAACTCACAGAGTTGAACAGTTTTTTTTGATTGAGCAGTTTGGAGACACTCTTTATGTAGAAGCTGAAAGTGGATATTTGGAGTGCTTTGAAGCCTAAGGTAGAAAAGAAAATATCTTCATGTAAAAACTAGACAGAAGCATTCTCAGAAACTTCTTTGTGACGTGTGCATTCATCTCACAGAGTTATGTCTTTCTTTTGATTGAGCGGTTTGGAAACACTATTTTTGTAGTATCTGTAAATGGATATTTGGAGCGCTTTGTGGCCTATAGCTGAAAAGGAAATATCTTCACATAAAATCTAGACAGAACTATTCTCAGAAACTTCTTTGTGATGTGTGCATTCAACTCACAGAATTGAACCTTTCTTTTGATTGAGCAGTTTGGAAACACTCTTTTTGTAGTATCTGCAAATGGATATTTGGAGTGCTTTGATACCAATAGCTGAAAAGGAAATATATTCATATAAAAACTAGACAGCAGCATTCTGAGAAACTTCTTTTTGATGTGTGCATTCAAGTAACAGAGCTGAACCTTTCTTTTTATTGAGCAGTTTGTAAACACTTTTTTTGTGGTATCTGCAAGTGGATATTTGGAGCACTTTGATTCCTATAGCTGAAAAGGAAATATCTTCACATAAAAACTAGACAAAAGCATTCTGAGAAACTTCTTTGTGATGTGTGTATTCATCTCACAGAATTGAACTTTTCTTTTGATTGAGCCATTTGGAAACCTTCTTTTTGTAGAATCTGCAAATGGATATTTGGAGCCCTTTGAGGCCTATGGTGGAAAAGGAAGTATCTTCACATGAAAACTAGATAGAAGCATTCTCAGAAACTTCTTTTGATATGCGCATTCAACTCACAGAGTTGAACATTTCTTTTGATTGAGCAGTTTGGAAACACTCTTTATGTAGTATCTGCAAATGAATATTTGGAGCCCTTGAAGCCTATAGATGAAAAGAAAATATCTTCACATAAAAACTAGACAGAAGCATTCAGAGAAACCTCTTTGTGATGTGTGCATTCATCTCACAGAGTCGAACCTTCCTTTTGATTGAGCAGTTTTGAAGCACTCTTTTTGTAGAATCTGCAAGTGGATATTTGGAGTGCTTTGAGGCATATGGTGGAAAAGGAAATACCTTCACAAAGAAACTAGACAGAAGCATTCTCAGAAACGTCTTTGTGATGTGAGCATTCAACTCACAGAGTTGAATCTTTTTTTTGATTGAGCTGTTTGGAAACCCTCTTTATATAGAATATGCAAGTGAATATTTGGAGTGCTCTGAGGCCTATAGTTGTAAAGAAAATATCTTCACATTAAAACTAGACAGAAACATTCTGAGAAACTTCTTTGTGATGTGTGCATTCATCTCTCAGAGTTGAACCTTTCTTTTGATTGAGGAGTTTGGAAACACTCTTTTTGTAGAATCTGCAAGTGGATATTTGGAGAGCTTTGAGGCCTATTGTGAAAAAGGAAATATCTTCACATAAAAACCAGACAGAATCATTCTCAGAAACTTCTTTGTGATGTGTGCATTCAACTTCCACAGTTAAACCTTTCTTTTGATTGAGAAGTTTGTATACTCTTTGCAGAATCTGCAAGTGGATATTTGGATCACTTTGAGGCCTATGGTGGAAAAGGAAATATCTTCACATAAAAAGTAGACAGAAGCATTCTCAGATACTTCTCTGTGATGTGTGCATTCATCTCACAGTGTCGAAACTTTCTTTTGATTGAGCAGTTTTGAAACACTCTTTTTGTAGAAAGTGCAAGTGAATATTTAGAGTGCTTTGAGGCCCATAGTGGAAAAGGAAACGTCTTCACAGAAAAACTAGACAGAAGCATTCTCAGAAACTTCTTTGTGATGTGCGCATTCAACTTACCGTGTTGAACCTTTGCTTTGATTGAGCGGTTAGAGAACACTCTTTATGTAGTTTCTGCAAATGGATATTTGCAGCGCTTTAAGGCCTATAGCTGAAAAGGAAATATCTTCGTATAAAAACAAGAGAGAAGCATTCTCAGAATATTTTGTGATGTAGGCATTCATCTCACAGAGTTTATCCTTTCTTTTGATTGAGCAGTTTTGAAACCCTCTTTGGTAATATCTGCAAGTGGATATTTGGAATGCTTTGGGGCTTACGGTGGAAAAGGAAATACACTCACATAAAAGTAGACAGAAGAATTCTCAGAAACTTCTTTGTGATGTGTGCATTCGTCTCACAGATTTGAAATTTCTTTTGATTGAGCAGTTTTGAAACACACTTTTTGTAGAACCTGCAGGTGGATATCTGGAGCGCTGTGAGGCCTATTGTATAAAATGAAATATCTTCACATAAAAACTACACTGAAGCATTCTCAGAAACTACTTTGTCATGTGTGCATTCATCTCACAGAGTTGAACCTTTCTTTTGATTGAGCAGTTTGGAAACACTCTTTTTGTAGTTTCTGCAAATGGACATTTGGAGGACTTCGAGGCATATGGTGGAAAAAAATATCTTCACATAAAAACTAGACAGAAGCCCTCTCAGAAACTAGTTTGTGATGTGTGCATTCAACTCACAGAGTTGAACATTTCTTTTGATTTTGCACTTTGGAAACACTCTTTCTGTAGAATCTGCAAGTGGATATTTGGAGCGTTTTGAAGCCTATGGTTGAAAAAGAAATATCTTCCCATCAAAACTAGACAGAAGCATTCTGAGAAACACCTTGTGACGTGTGCATTCATCTCACGGAGCTGAAACTTTCTTTTGATTGAGCAGTTTTGAAACACTCTTTTTGTAGAATTTGCAAGTGGATATTTGGAGCGCACTGAGGCCTATTGTGGAAAAGGATATATCTTCACATAAAAAATGGAGAGAGGTATTCTGACAAACTTCTTTCTGATGCATGCATTCATCTCACAGTGTTGAACCTTTTTTTTTTTTTCATTGAGCAGTTTTGAAACACTCTTTTTGTAGAATCTGCAAGTGGATATTTGGTGCGCTCTGAGACTTATGGTGGAAACGGAAATATCGTGAGATAAAAACTATACAGAAGCATTCTCAGAAACTTCTTTGTGATATGTGCATTCAGCTCACATAGATGAACTTTTCTTTTGATTGAACAGTTTGGAAACACTCTTTTTGTAGTATCTGCAAATGGATATTTGGAGTGCTTAGTGGCTATAGTTGAAGAGGAAATATCTTCAAATAAAAACTAGACAGCAGCATTCTGAGAAACTGCTTTGTGATGTGTGCATTCATCTCACACAGTTGAACCTTTCTTTTGAATGAGCAGTTTTGAAACACTTTTTTTGTATAATATACAAGTGGATATTTGGAGCGCTTTGAGGTCTATGGTGGAAAAGGAAATATCATCACATAAAAACTAGACAGAAAGATTCTCAGAAACTTCTTTGTGATGTGTGCATACAACTCACAGAGTTGAAACTTTCTTTTTATTGAACAGTTTAGAAAAACTCTTTTTGTAGTATCTTCAAATGGATATTTGGAGCGCTTTGAGGCCTATAGCTGAAAAGGAAATACCTTCACATAAGAACTAGACAGAAGCATTCTGAGAAACTTCTTTGGGATGTGTGCATTCATCTCACAGTGGTGAAACTTTCTTTTGATTGAGCTGAATTGAAACACTCTTTGTAGAATCTGTGAGTGGATATTTGGAGTTCTTTGAGGCCTGTTGTGGAAAAGGAAATATCTTCACATAAAAGCAAGACAGAAGCATTCTGAGAAACTTCTTTGTGATGTGTGCACTCAACTCACAGAGTTGAAGCTTTCTATTGATTGAGCAGTTTGGAAAAACTCTTTTTGTGGTGTCTGCAAATCGATATTTGGAGCGCTTTGAGGCCTATAGTTGAAAAGGAAATACTTCACATTAAAACTAGACAGAAGCATTCTGAGAAAATTCTTTGTGATACATGCATTCATCTAACAGTGTTGAACGTTTCTTTTGTTTGAGCAGTTTTGTACCACTCTTTTTGTGGAATCTGCAAGTGGATATTTGGTGCACTTTGAGGCCTATGGTGGAAATGAAAATATCTTCACTTAAAAACTAGACAGAAGTAGTGTCAGAAACTACTTTGTGATATTTGCATTCAACACACAGAGTTGAAATTTTCTTTTGTTTGTGCAGTTTGGAAACCATCTGTTTGTTGTATCTGCAGTTGGATATTTGGAGAGCATTGAGATAAATAGTTGAAAAGGAAATATCTTCACATAAATACTAGACAGAAACATTCTGAGAAACTCTTTTGTGATGTGTGCATTCATCTGACGGAGTTGAACCTCTCTTTTGATTGAGCAGTTTTGAAACCCATTTTGTAGAATCTGCAAGTGGATATCTGGAGTGCTTTGAGGCCTATGGTGGAAAAGGAAATATGTTCACATAAAAATGAGACAGACGCATTCTCAGAAACTTCCGTGTGATGTGTGCATTCAACTCACAGAGTTGAATCTTTCTTTAGATTGAGCAGTTTTGAAACAACCTTTTTGTCGTACCTGCAAATGGATATTTGGAGCGCTTCGAGGCCTATAGGTGAAAATGAAAAATCTTCACAGAAAAACTTGACAGAACCATTCTCAGAAACTTCTTTTTGATGTGTGCATTTATCTCACAGAGTTGAACCTTTCTTTTGATTGAGCAGTTTGAAAACACTGTTTCTGCAGTATCTGCAAATGGACATTTGGAGCACTTTGACGGCTATGGTGGAAAAGGAAATATCTTCACACAAAAACTAGACAGAAGCATTCTCAGAATCTCCTTTGTGATGTGTGCATTCAACTCACAGATTTGAACCTTTCTTTTGGTTGAGCAGTTTGGAAACACTATTTTTGCAGTATCTGCAAATGGATATTTGGAGCACTTTGAAGCCTACAGTTGAAAAGGAAGTATCTTCACATAAAAATTAGACAGAAGCATTCTGAGAAACTTCTTTGTGACGTGTGCATTCATTGCAAAGAGTTGAACCTTTCTTTTGATTGAGCAGTTTTCAAACATTCTTTTTGTTGTATCTGCAACTGGATATTTGGAGCACTTTGAGGCCTATAGCTGTAAAGGAAATATCTTCACATAATAACTAGACAGAAGCATTCTCAGACACTACTTAGTGACGTGGGCATTCATCTCACAGAGTTGAACCTTTCTTTTGCTTGAGCAGTATTGAAACACTCTTTTTGTAGAGTCTGCAAGTGGATATTTGCAGCGCTTTGTGGCCTATGGTGGAAAAGGAAATATCTTCACATAAAAAATAGAAAAAAGCATTCTCAGAAGCTTCTTTGTGATGTCTGCATTCAACTCACAGGGTTCAAACATTCTTTTGAGGCCTATGGTGGACAGGAAATATCTTCATATGAAAACGAGACAGAAGCATTCTCAGAAACTTCTTTGAGATGTGTGCATTCAACTCACAAAGTTGAACCTTTCTATTCATTGAGGAGTTTGGAAACATTCTTTTTGTAGTATCTGCAGATGGATATTTGGAGCGCTTTGAGTCCTATAGCTGAAAAGGAAATATGTTCACGTAAACACTAGACAGAAACATTTTGAGAAACTTCATTGTGATGTGTGCATTCATCACACTGAGTTGAAACTTCCTTTTGATTGAGCAATTTTGAAACACTCTTTTTGTAGAATCTGCAATGGATATTGGGGGCGCTTTGAGGCCTATGGTGGAAAAGGAAATATCTTCACCTAAACAGTAGACAGAGGCATTCTCAGAAACTTCTTTGTGATGTGTGCATTCATCTCTCAGAGTTGAACCTTTCTTTTGATTGAGCTGTTTTGAAACAATCTTTTTGTAATATCTGCTAATGTATAGTTGGAGTGTTTTGAGGCCTGTAGATGAAAAGAAAATATCTTCACATAAAAACTAGAAAGATGAATTCTGAGAACCTTCACTTTGATGTGTGAATTCAACTCACAGAGTTCAACCTTTCTTTTGATTGGTCAGTTAGGGAACACTCTTTTTGTAGTATCTACAAATGGATATTTGAAGTGCTTTGTGGCCTATTGGTGAAAAGGAAATATCTTCACATAAAAAATAGAGAGAAGCATTCTGAGAAACTTCTTTGTGAGGTGTGCGTTCGTCTCACAGAGTTGAACCTTTCTTTTGATTGAGCAGTGCTGAAACATTCTTATGGTAGAATCTGCAAGTGGATATTTGGAGTGCATTGAAGCCTATGGTACAAAAGGAAACATCCTCACATAAAAACTAGACAGAAGCATTCTCAGAAAATGCTTTGTGTTGTGTGCATTCAACTAATAAAGTTGTACCTTTCTTTTATTGAGCAGTTTGGAAACACTCTTTTTTTTATATCTGCAAACGGATTTTTTGAGCGCTTTGAGCCAATAACTTAAAAGGAAATATCTTCACATCAAAACTAGACAGAAGCATTGTGAGAAACTTCTTTGTGATGTGTACATTCATCTCACAGAATTGAAGCTTTCTTTTGATTGAGCAGTTTTGAAACTCTCTTTTGTAGAATCTGCAAGTGGATATTTGGAGCGCTTTGGTGCCTATGGTGGAAAAGGAAATATCTTCACATAAAAACTAGACAGAAGCATTCTCCAGAACTTATTTGTGATGCGTACATTCAACTCTGAGAGTTGAAACTTTCTTTTGATTGAGCAGTTTGGAAACACTCTTTTTCTAGTATCTGCAAATGGATATTTGGAGCACTTCATTGCCTACAGTTGAAGAGGAAATATCTTCACACAAAAACTAGACAGAAGCATTCTCAGAAACTTCTTTGTGATGTGTGCATTCAACTCACAGATCTGAACGTTTCTTTTGAGTGAGCAGTTTGGAAACCCTCTTTTTGTAGTATCTGCAAATGGATATTTGGAGTGCTTTGGGGCCTATAGTTGAAAAATAAATATCTTCACATAAAACCTGGACAGAAGCATTCTGAGAAACTTCTTTGTCATGTGTACATTCATCTCACAGAGTTGAACCTTTCTGTTGATTGAGAAGTTTTGAAACACTCTTTTTGTAGGGTCTGCAAGTGGATTTTTGGAGCACTTTCTCTCCTATGGTGGAAAAGGAAATATTTTCACACAAAAACTGGACAGAAGCATTCTCAGAAAATTTTTTGTGATGTGTGCATAAAACTCACAGGGTTGAACTTTCTTTTTATTAAGCTCCTTGGAAACACTCTTTTTGTAGTATCTGCAAATGGATATTTGTAGCGTTTTCTGTCCTATAGCTGAAAAGGAAATATCTTCACCTAAAAACTAGACAGAAGAATTCTGAGAAATTTCTTTGTGATGTGTCCATTCATCTGACAGAGTTCAACCTTATTTTACTAAGCAGTTTGGAATCACTTTTTTTGTACTATCTGCAAATGGATATTTGGAGGGATTTGAGGCCTATAGTGGAAAGGGATATATCTTCACTTAAAAACTACACAGAAGCATTCTCAGAAACTTCTTGAATGCTTCTCAGAAGTGTGTCAATCTTGGATATTTCCTACTTTCTCTTGTGGGCATTTAGTGCTAAAATTTTCCCTCTTCACACTGCTTTGAATGTGTCCCAGAGATTCTGGCATGTTGTGTCTTTGTTCTCATTGGTTTCAAAGAACATCTTTATTTCTGCCTTCATTTCATTATGTACCCAGTAGTCATTCAGGAGCAGGTTGTTCAGTTTCCATGTAGTTGAGGGGTTTTGAGTGAGTTTCTTAATCCTGAGTTCTAGTTTGATTGCACTGTAGTCTGAGAGACAGTTTGTTATAATTTCTGTTCTTTACATTTGCTGAGGAGAGCTTTATTTCCAAGTATGTGGTCAATTTTGGAATAGGTGTGGTGTGGTGCTGAAAAAAATGTATATTCTGTTGATTTGGGGTGGAGAGTTCTGTAGATGTCTATTAGGTCCGCTTGGTGCAGAGCTGAGTTCAATTCCTGTGTATCCTTGTTAACTTTCTGTCTCGTTGATCTGTCTAATGTTGACAGTGGGGTGTTAAAGTCTCCCATTATTATTGTGTGGAAGTCTAAGTCTCCTTGTATGTTACTCAGGACTTGCTTTATGAATCTGGGTGCTCCTGTATTGGGTTCATATACATTTAAGATATTTAGCTCTTCTTGTTGAATTGATCCCTTTACCATAATGTAGTGGCCTTCTTTGTCTCTTTTGATCTTTGTTGGTTTAAAGTCTGTTTTATCAGAGACTAGGATTGCAACCCCTGCCTTTTTTTGTTTTCCATTTTCTTGGTAAGTCTTCCTCCATCCTTTTATTTTGAGCCTATGTGTGTCTCTGCACATGAGATGGGTTTCCTGAATACAGCACACTGATGGGTCTTGACTCTTTATCCAATTTGTCAGTCTGTGTCTTTTAATTGGAGCATTTAATCCATTTACATTTAAAGTTAATATTGTTATGTGTGAATTTGATTCTGTCATTATGATGTTAGCTGGTTATTTTGCTTGTTAGTTGATGTAGTTTCTTCCTAGTCTCCATGGTCTTTACATTTTGGCATGATTTAGCAGCGGCTGGTACCGTTTGTTCCTTTCCATGTTTAGTGCTTCCTTCAGGAGCTCTTTTAGGGCAGTCCTGGTGGTGACAAAATCTCTCAGCATTTGCTTGTCTGTAAAGTATTTTATTTCTCCTTCACTTATGAAGCTTACTTTGGCTGGATATGAAATTCTGGCTTGAAAATTCTTTTCTTTAAGAATGTTGAATATTAGCCTCCACTCTCTTCTGGCTTGTAGAGTTTCTGCCAAGAGATCTGCTGTTAGTCTGATGGGCTTCCCTTTGTGGGTAACCTGATCTTTCTCTCTGGCTGCCTTAACATTTTTTCCTTCTTTTCAACTTTGGTAAATCTGACAATTACGTTTCTTGGAGTTGCTCTTCTCGAGGAGCATCTTTGTGGCATTCTCTGTATTTCCTGAATCTGAATGTTGTCCTGCCTTGCTAGATTGGGGAAGTTCTCCTGGATAATATCCTGCAGAGTGTTTTCCAGCTCGGTTCCATTCTGCCCATCACTTTCAGGTACACCAATCAGACGTAGATTTGGTCTTCTCTCATAGTCCCATATTTCTTGGAGGCTTTATTCGTTTCTTTTTATTCTTTTTTCTCTAAACTTTCCTTCTCACTTCATTTCATTTATTTCATCTTCAATCACTGATACCCTTTCTTCCAGTTGATCGCATCAGCTCCTGAGGCTTCTTCATTCTTCACATAGATCTCAAGCCTTGGCTTTCTGCTCCATCAGCTCCTTTAAGCACTTCTGTGTATTGGTTATTCTAGTTATACATTCGTCTCATGTTTTTCAAAGTTTTCAACTTCTTTGCCTTTGGTTTGAATTTCCTCCTGCAGCTCGGAGTAGTTTGATTGTCTGAAGCCTTCTTCTCTCAACTCATCAAAGTCATTCTCCATCCAGCTTTGTTCTTTTGCTGGTGAGGATCTGTGCTCCTTTTTAGGAGGAGAGGCACTCCACTTTTTAGAGTTTCCAGTTGTTCTGCTCTGTTTTTTCCCCATCTTCGTGGTTTTATCTTCTTTTGGTCTTTGATGATGGTTATGTACAGAGGGATTTTTTGTGTGGATGTCCTTTGTGTTTGTTAGTTTTCATTCTAACAGACTGGACCCTCAGCTGCAGGTCTGTTGGAGTTTGCTAGACGTCCACTCCAGACCCTGTTTGCCTGGGTATCAGCAGCGGTGTCTGCAGAACAGTGGTTTTTCTTGAACCACGAATGCTGCCATCTGATTGTTCCTCTGGAAGTTTTGTCTCAGAGGAGTACCCGGCCGTGTGAGGTGTCAGTCTGCCCCTACAGGGGGTTGCCTCCCAATTAGGCTGCTTGGTTTTCAGGGGTCACGGACCCACTTGAGGAGGCAGTCTGCTCGTTCTCAGATCTCCAGGTCTGTGCTGGGAGAAACACTGCTCTCTTCAAAGCTGTCAGACTGGGGCATTTAAGTCTGCAGAGGTTACTACTGTCTTTTTGTTTTTCTGTGCCATGCACCCAGAAGTGGAGCCTACAGAGGCAGGCAGGACTCCTTGAGCTGTGGTGGGCTTCACCTAGTTCGAGCTTCCCAGCTGCTTTGTTTACCTAAGCAAGCCTGGGCAATGGTGGGTGCCCCTCCCCCAGCCTCGTTGCCACCTTGCAGTTAGATCTCAGACTGCTGTGCTAGCAATCTGTGAGACTCCATGGGCACAGGACCCTCTGAGCCATGTGTAGGATATAATCTCCTGGTGTGCCATTTTTTAAGCCCGTGGCAAAAGTGCAGTATTCAGGTGGGCATGACCCAATTTTCCAGGTGCCATCTGTCACCCCTTTCTTTGACTAAGAAAGAGAACTCCCTGACCCCTTGCACTTCCTGTGTGAGGCAATGCCTTGCACTGCTTTGACTCACACTTGGTGCATGCACCCACTGATCTGCACCCACTGTCTGGCACTCCCTAGTGAGATGAACCCAGTATTTCAGATGGAAATGCAGAAATCACCTGTCTTCTGTGTCAGTCATGCTGGGAGCTGTAGACTGGAGCTGTTGCTATTCAGCCATCTTGGCTCCAAAATCCCTATATTTTGATTGAGCAGTTAGGAATCTAACATTTTGTGTAATCTGCATGTGGTTATTTGGAGCCATTTTTGGCCTATGGTGGAAAATTAAATATCTTCAAATAAAAACAACATGGAAGGATTCTGATAACCTTCTGTGTGATGTGTGCATTCGTTTCACAGAATTGAAACTTTCTTTTGAATTAGCAGTTTTGGAACACTCTTTTTGTAGAATCTGCAAGTGGATATTTGGAGCGCTTTGTGTCCTATGATGGAAAAGGAAATATCTTCACATAAAAACTACACAGAAGCATTCTGAGAAACTTCTTTGTGAAGTTTGCATTAAACTCACAGAGTTGAAACTTTCTTTTGATTGAGCAGTTTTGAATCACTCTTTTTGTAGATTCTGCAAGTGGATATTTGGAGCGCTTTGAGGCCTATGGTGGAAGTGGAAATATCTTCACATAAAAACTAGACAGAAGCATTCTGACAAACTTCTTTCTGATGTGTGCATTCAACTCACAGACTTGAACCTTTGTTTTCATTGAGCAGTTTTGAAACACTGTTTTTGTAGAATCTGTAAGTGGATATTTGGAGCACGTTGAGGCCTTTGGTAGAAAAGGAAATATCTTCATGTAAAAACTAGGCAGAAGCATTCTGACATACTTCTTGTGATGTGTGCTTTCCACTCACAGAGTTGAAGCTGTTTTGATTGAGTAGTGTTGAAACTCTCTTATTGTAGATTCTGCAAGTGTATATTTAGAACCCTTTACGGCCTATGGTGGGAAAGGAAATATATTCACATAAAAACTACACAGAAGCATACTGAGAAACTTCTTTGTGATGTGTGCATTCATCTCACAGAGTTGAAACTTTCTTTTGATTGAGCAGTTTGGAAACACTCTTTTGTAGAATCTGTGAGTGGATAATTGGAGCACTTTGAGGCCTATGGTGGAAAAGAAAATATCTTCACATAAAAACTAGACAGAATCATTATGAGAAACTTCTTTGTGATGTGCACATTCATCTCACAGAGTTGAACCTTGGTTTTCATTGAGCAGTTTGGAAACACTCTTTTTGTAGGATCTGAAAGTGGATATTTGGAGGGCTTTGAGGCCTATGATGGAAAAGGAAATATCTTCGCATAAAAGCTAGACAGAAGCATTCTGACAAAATGCTTTCTGATGTGTGAGTTCAACTCACAGAGTTGAACCTTTCTTTTGATTGAGCAGTTTTGAATCACTCTATTTGTAGATTCTGCGAGTGGCTATTTGGTGTGCTTTGAAGCCTATGGTGGAATAGGAAGTATCTTCACATAAAAACTAGATAGAAGCATTCTGACAAACTTCCTTCTGATGTGTGCATTCATCTCAGAGAGTTAAACCTTTGTTTTAATTGAGCAGTTTTGAAACACTCTTTTTGTAGAATCTGCAAGTGGATATTTGGAGCACTTTGTGGCCTATGGTGGAAAAGAAAATATCTTCACGTAAAAACCAGACAGAGGCATTCTGAGAATCTTCTTTGGGATGTGTGCATTCATCTCAAAGAGTTGAACCTTTGTTTTCATTGAGGATTTTGGAAACCTTATTTTTGTAGAATCTGCAAGTGGATATTTGGAGCCCTTTAGGGCCTATGGTTGGAAAGGAAATATCTTCACATAAAAACTACACAGAAGCATTCTGAGAAACTTCCTGGTGTTGTGTGCATTCGTCTCACGGAGTTCAACCTTTCCTTTGATGGTGCAGTTTGGAAACACTCTTTTTGTAGAATCTGCAAGTGGACATTTGGAGTGCTTTGGGGCCTCTAGTGGAAAAGGAAATTTCTTCACATCAAAAGTACACAGAAGCTTTCTGAAAAACTCCTTTCTGATGTGTGCATTCAACTAGAAGAGTTGAACCTTTCATTTGATTAAGCAGTTTTGAATCTCTCTTTTTGTAGAATCTGCAAGAGAATATTTGGAGCGCTTTGAAGCCTGTGGTGGAAATGGAAATATCTTCACATGAAAACTAGATAGAAGCATTCTGACAAACTTCTTTCTGATGGGTGCATTCATCTCACAGAGTTAAAGCTTTGTTTTCGTTGAGGAGTTTGAAACACTGTTTTTGTAGAATCTGCAAGTGGACATTTGGAGCACTTTGAGGCCTATGTTGGAAAAGGAAATAATTTCGCTTAAAAACTAGACAGAAGCATTCTGAGAAACTTCTTTCTGATGTGTGCATTCATCTCACAGAGTTGATCCTATATTTTGATTGTCCAGTTTTGAAACTCTCTTTTTGTAGAATCTACAAGTGGATATTTAAAGCCCCTTAAGGACTATGGTGGGAAAGGAAATATATTCACATAAAAACTACAAAGAAGCATTCTGGGAATCTTCTTTGTGATGTGTGCATTCATCTCACAGAGTTGAACATTTCTTTTGATTGAGCAGTTTGGAAACACTATTTTTGTATAATCTGCAAGTGGATATTTGGAGCACTTTGAGATCTATTGTGGAAAAGGAAATATCTTCACATTAAAACTACACAGAAGCATTCTGAGAAACTTCTTTGTGATGTGTGCTTTCAACTTACAGAGTTTAACTTTTCTTTTTAATGAGCAGTTTCAAAGCACACTTTTTGTAGATAGTGCAAGTGGATATTTGGAGTGCTTTGAGGCCGACAGTATAAAAGAAAATATCTTCACATAACAACTAGGCAGAAGCATTCTGACAAACTTCTCTCTGATGTGTGCATTCATCTCACATTGTTCAACATTTGTTTTCATTGAGAAGTTTTGAAACTATCTTTTTGTAGAATCTGCATTTGGATATCTGGAGCGCTTTGAGGCTTATGTTGGAAAAGGAAATATCTTCACATAAAAACTAGAGAGAAGCATTCTGACAAACTTTTTTTTTATGTGTGCAGACATCTCACACAGTTGAACCTTTCTTTACATTGACTACTTTTGAAACACTCTTTTTGTAGAATCTGCAAGTGGATATTTTGAGCGTTTTTAGACCTATTGTGGAAAAATGAAATATCTGCACATAAAAACTAGACAAAACATTCTGAGAAAGTTAATTGTCATGTGTGCATTCATCTCACACAGTTGAACCTTTCTTTACATTGACCAGTTTTGAAACACTCTTTTTGTAGAATCTGCAAGTGGATATTTGGAGTGCTTTTAGGCCTATGGTGGAAAACGAATTATCTTCACATGAAAACTAAACAGAAGTATTCTGAGAAACTTCTTTGTGATGTGTACGTTCAGCTCACAGGGCTGAAACTGTCTTTGGATTGAGCAGTTTTCAAAACCTCTTTTTGTAGAATCTGGAAGTGCGTATTTGGAGCCCTTTGCAGCCTTTTGTGGAAAAGGAAATATCTTTACATAAAAACTAGACAAAAGCATTCTGAGAAAATTCTTTGTGATGTGTGCATTCATTTCACAGAGTTGCACATTTCTTTACATTGAGCAGTTTTCAAACACTCCTTTTGTAGAATCTGCAAATGGATATTTGGAGGGTTTTGAGGCCAATTGTGGAAAAAGGAAATATCTTCACATAAAAACTAGAAAGAAGCATTCCAAGAAACTCCTTCATGATATGTGCATTCGTCTCACAGATTTCTTCGTTTCTTTTGATTGACCACTTTTGAAACACTCTGTGTAGAATCTGCAAGTGGATATTTGGAGTGCTTTGAGGCTTTTGACGGAAAAGGAAATACCCTCACATAAAAACTACACAGAAGAATTCTGAGAAGCTGCTTTGTTATGTGTGCTTTCAACTCACAGAGTTGAACCTTTGTTTTGATTGAACAGTTTTGAAAGACTCTTTTTGTAGATTCTGAAAGTGGATATCTGGAGTGCTTTGAGGCCTATTGTGGAAAAGGGAATATCTTCACATAAAAACTGGACAGAAGCATTCTGACGAACGTCTTTCTGATGTGTGCATTCATCTCGCAGAGTTTAACGTTTCTTTTGATTGAGCAGTTTTGAAAAACACTTTTTGTAGATTCTGCAAGTAGATATTTGGAGTGCTTTGAGGACTATGGTGGAAAAGGAAACATCTTCACATAAAAACTAGACAGAAGAATTGTGAGAAACTTCTTTGTGATGTGTGCTTTCAACTCACAGAGTTGAACATTTCTTTTGATTCAGCAGATTTGAAACACTCTTTTTGTAGAATCTGCAAGTGGATATTTGGATCCCTTTTTCGCCTATGGTGGAAAAGGAAATGTCTTCACATAAAAACTACAGAGAAGCATTCAGAGAATCTTCTTTGTGATGTGTGCTTTCAACGCACAGAGTTGAAACTTTCTTTTGATTGAGCAGTTTTGAATATCTCTTTTTGTAGAATCTGCATGTGGTATTAGGAGCTTTTGGTTGCCTATTGTGGAAAAGAAAATATCTTCACATAAAAACTAGATTGGGCATTCTGAGAAACTTTTTCTGACGTGCTCATTCATCTCACAGAGTTGAACCTTTCTTTTCATTTAGCAGTTTAGAAGCACTCTTTGTGGAATCTGCAAGTGGATATTTGGTTTCGTTTGAGGCCTATTGTGGAAAAGAAAATATCTTCACATAAAATCTAGGCAGAAGCATTCTGAGAAACTTCTTTTTGATATGTGCATTCATCTCACAGAGTTGAACGTTTCTTTTGTTTGAGCAGTTTGGAAATATGCTTTTTATGTAATCTGCAAGTGGATATTTGGAGCGCTTTGAGGCCTTAGGTGGAAAAGGAAATATCGTCACATAAAAACTAGACAGAAGCATTCTGACAAACTACTTTCTGATGGGTGCATTCATCTCACAGAGTTGTACCTTTCTTTTGACTGAGCAGTTTGGAAACACTCTTTTTGTAGAATCTGGAAGTGGAAATTTGGAGCGCTTTGAGGCCTATGGTGCAAAAGGAAATATCTTCACATAAAAGCTACACTGAAGCATTCTGACATACTTCTTTCTGATGTGTGCATTCATCTCACAGACTTGAATCTTTCTTTTGTTTGAGCAGTTTTGAATCTCTCTTTTTGTAGAATCTGCATGTGGTATTGGGAGCTTTTTGCTGCCTATTGTGGAAATGGAAATATCTTCACATAAAAACTAGACTGGGGCATTCTGAGAAACTTTTTCTGATGTGTGCATTCATCTCACAGAGTTGAAACTTTCTTTTCATTGAGCAGTTTGGAAACACTCTTTTTGTAGAATCTGCAAGTGGATATTTGGAGCACTTTGAGGCCTATGGTGGAAAAAGAAATATCTTCACATAAAAAGTATACCGAAGCATTCTGAGAAACTCCTTTGTGATGAGTGCGTTCAGCTCTCAGAGTTGAACATTTCTTTTGATAGAGCAGTTTTGAAACACTCTTTTTGTAGAATCTGTAAGTGGATATTTCCAGTGCTTTGAGGCCTATAGTGGAAAATAAAATATCTCCATATAAAAACTAGGCAGAAGCATTCTGAGAAAGTTCTTTTTGATATGTGCATTCATCTCACAGAATTGAAGCTTTCTTTTGATTGAGCAGTTTGGAAATACAGTTTTTATGTAATCTGCAAGTGATATTTGGAGCGCTTTGAAGCCTTAGGTGGAAAAAGAAATATCTTCACATAAAAACTAGACAGAAGCATTCTGACAAAATTCTTTCAGATGTGTGCATTCATCTCACAGAGTTGAACCTTTGTTTTCATACAGCAGTTCTGAAACACACGTTTTGTAGAATCTGTAAGTGTATATTTGGAACCCTTTTCGTCCTATGGTGGAAAAATGAAATATGTTTACATAAAAACTAGAAAGAAGCATTCTGAGAGACTTCTTTGTGATGTGTGAATTTATATCACAGGGTTGAAACTTTCCCTTTATTATTATTATTATACTCTAAGTTTTAGGGTACATGTGCACAATGTGCACATTAGTTGCATATGTATACATGTGTCATGTTGGTGTGCTGCACCAATTTACTCGTCGTTCAGCATTAGGTGCATCTCCTAATGCTATCCCTCCCCCATCCCCGCACCCCACAACAGTCCCCAGTGTGAGATGTTCCCCTTCCTGTGTCCATGTGTTCCCATTGTTCAATTTTCTCCTATGAGTGAGAAACTGTGGTGTTTGGTATTTTGTCCCTGTGATAGTTTACTGAAAATGATGATTTCCAATTTCATCCATGTCCCTACAAAGGACATGAACTCATCATTTTTTTATGGTTGCATAGTATTCCATGGTGTATATGTGCCACATTTTCTTAATCCAGTCTATCATTGTTAGACATTTCGATTGGTTCCAAGTCATTGTTGCTGTGAATACCGCCACAATGAACATACGTGTGCATGTGTCTTTATAGCAGCATGATTTATAGTCCTTTCGGTATACACCCAGTAATGGGATGGCTGGGTCACATGGTATTTCTAGTTCTAGATACCTGAGGAATCGCCACACTGACTTCCACAATGGTTGAACTAGTTTACTGTCCCACCAAGAGAGTGAAAGTGTTCCTATATCTTCACATCCTCTCCAGCACCTATTGTTTCCTGACTTTTTAATGATTGCCATTCTAACTGGTGTGAGGTGGTATCATATTGTGGTTTTGATTTGCATTTCTCTGATGGCCAGAGATGATGAACATTTTTTCATGTGTTTTTTGGCTGCATAAATGTCCTCTATTCAGAAGTGTCTGTTCATGTCCTTTGCCCACTTTTTGATGGGGTTGTTGGTTTTTTTCTTGTAAATTTGTTTGAGTTCATTGTAGATTCTGGATACTAGCCCTTTGTCAGAAGAGTAGGTTGCAAAAATGTTCTCCTATTTTGTAGGTTGCCTGTTCACTCCGATGGTAGTTTCTTTTGCTGTGTAGAACTCTTTAGTTTAATTAGATCCCATTTGTCAATTTTGGCTTTCGTTGCCATTGCTTTTGGTCAAAAATCCTCAATAAAATACTGGCAAACAGAATCCAGCAGCACATCAAAAAGCTTATCCACCATGATCAAGTGGGTTTCATCCCTGGGATGCAAGGCTGGTTTCAATATATGCAAATCAATAAATGTAATCCAGCATATAAACAGAACCAAAGACAACAACCACATGATTATCTTAATAGATGCAGAAAAGGCCTTTGACAAAATTCAACAACCCTTCATGCTAAAAATTCTCAATAAATTAGGTATTGATGGGAAGTATCTCCAAATAATAAGAGCAATCTATGACAAACCCATAGCCAATATCATACTGAATGGGCAAAAACTGGAAGCATTCCCTTTGAAAATTGGCACAAGACAGGGATGCCCTCTCTCACCACTCCTATTCAACATAGTGTTGGATGTTCTGGCCAGGGCAATTAGGAAGGAGGAGGAAATAAAGGCTATTCAATTAAGAAAAGAGGAAGGCAAATTGTCCGTGTTTGCAGACAACATGATTGTATATCTAGAAATCCCTATTGTCTCAGCCCCAAATCTCCTTAAGCTGATAAGCAACTTCAGCAAAGTCTCAGGATACAAATCAACGTACAAAAATCACCAGCATTCTTATACACCAATAACAGACAAGCACAGAACAAAATCATGAGTGAACTCCCATTCACAATTGCTTCAAAGAGAATAAAATACCTAGGAAACCAACTTACAAGGGATGTGAAGGACCTCTTCAAGGAGAACTACAAACCACTGCTCAATGAAATAAAAGAGGATACAAACAAGTGGAAGAACATTCCATGCTCATGGGTAGGAAGAATCAATAACGTGAAAATGGCCATACTGCCCAAGGTAATTTATAGATTCAACACCATACCCATCAAGCTACCAACGACTTTCTTCACAGAATTGGAAAAAACTACTTTAAAGTTCATATGGAACTAAAAAATTGTCCACATCGCCAAGTCAATCCTAAGCCAAAAGAACAAAGCTGGAGACATCACGCTACCTGACTTCAAACTATACTACAAGGTTACAGTAACCAAAACAGCATGGTACTGGTACCAAAACAGAGATATAGATCAATGGAACAGAACAGTGTCCTCAGAAATAATGCTGCATATCTACAACTATCTGATCTTTGACAAAACTGAGAAAAACAAGCAATGGGGAAAGGATTCCCTATTTAATAAATGGTGCTGGGAAAACTGGCTAGCCATATGTAGAAAGCTGAAACTGGATACCTTCCTTACACCTTATACAGAAATCAATTCAAGATGGATTAAAGACTTAATCGTTAGACCTAAAACCATAAAATCCCTAGAGGAAAAGGAAATATCTTCACCTAAAAACTACACAGAAGCATTCTGAGAAACTTCTTTGTGATGTGTGCATTCATCTAACAGAGTTGAATCTTTCTTTTGATTGAGCAGTTTTGAAACACATTTTTTGTAGAATCTGCAACTGGATATTTGGCATGCTTTGAGGCTGATTGTGGAAAAGGAAATGTCTTCACATAAAAACTACACAGAAGCATTCTCAGAAACTTCTTTGTGATGTGTGTGTTTAACTCACAGAGTTGAACCCTCCTTTGATTGTGCAGTTTGGTAACCATGTTTTTGTGGTATCTGCAAATGGATATTTGGAGAGGTTTGACACCTATGTTGGAAAAGGAAATATGTTTACATAATAACTCGCCAGAAACATTCTGAGAAACTTGTTTGTGATGTGTGCATTCATCTCACAGAGTTGAAGCTTTCTTTACATTGAGCAGTTTTTAAACCTTATTTTGTAGAATCTGCAAGTGAATAATTGGAGCGCTTTGAGGACAATCGTGGAAAAGGAAATATCTTCACATAAAAACTAGAGAGAAGCATTCTCAGAAACTTATTTGTGATGTGTGTATTCAACTCACAGAGTTGAACCTTTCTTTTGCTTGAGCAGTTTTGAAACACTCTTTTTTTAGAATCCATAAGTGGATATTTGGAGCGCTTGGCAGCATCTAGTGGAAAAGGAAATATCTTCATATAAAATCTAGACAGAAGCTTTCTGAAAAACTTCATTGTGATGTGTGAAATTAACTCACAGAGTTGAAACTTTCTTTTGATTTCGCAGTTTGGAAAAAGTGTTTTTGTGGAATCTGCAAATAGATATTTGGAGAGGTTTGATGCCTATGGTGGATAAAGTAATATCTTTACATAAAAACTACACAGAATCAGTCTGAGAAGCTTCTTGTGATGTGTGCGTAGAACTCACAGATTTGAAACTTTCTTTTGATTTAGCAGTTTTGAAACACTCTTTTTGTAGAATCTGGCAGAGGATATTTGGAGCGCTTTCAGACCTATTGTGGAAAAGGAAATATCTTCACATAAAACTAGACAGAAGCATTCTGGGAAACTTCTTTGTTATGTGTGCGTTTAAGTCACAGAGATGACACTTTCTTTTGATTGCACAGTTTGGAAACAGTGTTTTTGTGGTATCAGCAAATGGATATTTGGAGAGGTTTGAAGCCTAAGGTGGAAAGTAAATATCTTCACATAAAAACCAGGCAGGAGCATTCTGAGGAACTTCTTTGTGATGTGTGCATATATCTCACAGAGTTGATACTTTCTATTCATTGAGCAGTTTTGAAACACCCTTTTTGCAGATTCTGCAAGTGGATATTTGGTACGCTTTGAGGCCTCATGTAGAAAAGGAAATATCTTCACATAAAAACTAGACAGAAGATTTCTGAGAAACTTCCTTCAGATGTGTGCATTCATCTCACAGAGTTGAACTTTTTTTTGATTGCACAGTTTGGAAACAGTGTTTTCTGGTATCTGCAAATGTATATTTGGAGATTTTTGAGGCCTATGGTGGAATAGGAAATATCTTCACATAAAAACTACACAGAAGCATTATGAGAAACTTCTTTGTGATGTGTGCATTTATGTCACAGAGTTGAACTTTTGTTTTGATTCATCAGTTTTGAAACTTTTTTTTGTAGAATCTGCAAGTGGATATTTGGAGCAATTTGAGGCATATAGTGGAAAAGTTAATATCTTCAAATAAAACTAGACAGAAGCATCCTGAGAAACTACTTTGTAATGTGTGCATTCATCTCACAGAGTTGAACCTTCCTTTTGATTCATCAGTTTTGAAACACTCTTTTGTAGAATCTGCCAGTGGATATTTGGAGGGTTTGGAGGCCTATTGTGGAAAAGGAAATATCTTCACATAAAAACTAGACAGAAGCTTTCTGAGAAACTTCTTTGTAATGTGTGCATTCGTCTCACAGAGTTGAACATTTGTATTGATTGAGAAGTCTTGAAACATTTTTTTTGCTGAATCTCCAAGAGGATATTTGGAGCACAATGAGACCTATTGTGGAAAAGGAAATATTGTCATATAAAATCTACGCAGAAGCATTCTGAGAAACTTCATGTGACGTGTACAAAGCTTCACAGGGTTGAACCTTTGTTTTGATTGCGCACTTTGGAAACAGTGTTTTTGTGGTATCTGCAAATGGATATTTGGAGAGTTTTGAGGCCTATGGTGGAGAAGGAAAAAATTTTACCTAAAAACTAGACAGAAGCGTTCTGAGAAACTTCTCTATGATGTGTGCATTCATCTCACAGACTTGAATCTTTCTTTACATTTAGCAGTTTGGAAACACTCGTTTTGAATAATCTGCAAGTGGATATTTGGAGCGCTTTCAGGCCTATGGTGGAAAAGGAAATATCTCCACATAAAAACTACACTGAAGCAATCTGAGAAACTTCTTCGTGATATTTGCATTCATCTCACAGAGTTGAAACTTTCTTTTGATTGAGCGGTTTTGAAACACCCTTTTTGTAGAATCGGCAAGTGGATATTTGGAGCGCTTTGAGGCATATTGTGGAAAAGGAAATATCTTCACATAAAAACTACACAGAAGCATTCTGACAAAATTCTTTCTCATGTGTGCATTCATCTCACAGAATTGAAACTTTCTTTTGATTGAGCAGTTTCAAAATGCTCTGTTTGTAGAATCTGCACGTGGATATTTGGAGCACTTTGAGGCCTATGATGGAAAAGGAAATATCTTCATATAAAAACTAGACAGAAGCATCCTGAGAATCATTTTTTTGACTTGCGGATTCATCTCCCAGTGTTGAAACTTTCTTTTCATTGAGCAGTTTTGAAACACTCTTTCTGTAGAGTCTCCAAATGGATATTTGGAGCGCTTTGAGGCCTATGGGAGAAAAGGAAATATCTTCACATAAAAACTACACAGAAGTATTTTGAGAAACTTCTTTGGGATGTGTGCATTCAACTCACAGATTTGAAACTGTATTTTGATTGAGCAGCATTGAAGCACTCTTTCTGTAGAATCTGCATGTGGATATTATGAGCGCTTTGCTGCCTACAGTACAAAAGGTAATATTTTCATATAAAAACTAGAGAGATGCATTCTGAGAAACTTTTTTGGGATGTGTGCATTCATCTCACAAAGTTGGACCTTTCTTTTGATTGAGCGGATTTGAAATACTTCTTTTGTAGAATCTGCAAGTGGATATTTGGAGCACTAACGGGCCTACTGTGGAAAGTTAAATACCTTCACATAAAAAGTACACAGAAGCATTAGGAGAAGCTCCTTTGTGATGTGTGCATACAACTGATAGAGTTGAACCTTTCTTTGGATTAAGGAGTTTTGATACAATCTTTTTGTAGAATCTGCAAGTGAATATTTGGAGCGCTTTGCCACCTCTAGTGGAAAAGGATATAACTTCACATAAAAAATAGACGCATTCTGAGAAACTTCTTTGTGATGTGTGCATTCATCTCACAGATTTCAACCTTTCTTTTCATTGAGCAGTTTTGAAACACTGTTTTTGTAGAATCTCCAAATGGATATTTGAAGTGCTTTGAGGCTGATGGTGGAAAGGAAAATATCTTCACATAAATACTAGAGAGAAGCATTCTGAGAAACTTCTTTTTGATGGTGCATTCATCTCACAGAGTTGAACCTTTCTGTTGATTGAGCAGGTTGGAAAAACTCTTTTTGTAGACTCTGCAAGTGAATATTTGGAGCCCGTTGCAGCCTAAGGTGGAAAAAGAAATATTTTCACATAAAAACTTCACAGAAGCATTCTGGGAAACTTCTTTGTGATGTGTGCATTCAACTCACAGTGTTGAACCTTCCTTTTGATTGAGCAGTTTTGAAACACTCTTTTAGTGGAACCTGAAAATGATATTTGAACGATTTGAGGCCTATGGTTGAAAAGGAAATATCTTCAAGTAAAAACTAGACAGAAGCATTCTCAGAAACTTCTTTGTGATGTGTACGTTCAACTCACAGAGTTGAAGCCTTCTTTTGATAGCGCAGTTTTTAAACACTCTTTTTCTAGCATCTCCATGTGGACATTAAGATCTTTTTGTGGCCTACAGAGGAAAAGGAAATATCTTCATATAAAAACTACACAGAAACATTCTAAGAAACTTCTTTGTGTTATTTGCATTTAAATCACAAAGCTGTACTTTTCTTTTGATTGTGCAGTTTGGAAATAGTGTTTTTGTGGTATCTGCAAATGGATATTTCGAGAGGTTTGAGGCCTATTGTGGAAAAGGAAATATCTTCACATTAAAACTACACAGAAGCACTCTGAGAAATTCCTTTGTGATGTGTTTATTCATCTCACAGAGTTGAAACATTCTTTTGATTGAGCAGTTTTGAAACATTCTTTTTGTAGAATCCGCAAATGGATATTTGGAGCCCTTTGCAGCCTACAGTGGTAAAGGAAATATCTTCACATTAAAACTAGACAGAAGATTCTGAGAAACTTCTTTTTGTGTGTGTGAGTCAAACTCACAGAGATGAATCTATATTTTGATGGAGCAGTTTTGAAACTCTCTTTTTGTAGAATCTGCAAGGGGATATTTGGAGCCGTTTTCAGCCTGTGGTGTGAAAGTAAATATCTTCACATAAAAACTACACAGAAACATTCTGAGAAACTACTTTGTGATGTGTGCATTCATATCACAGAGTTGAACCTTTCTTTTGATTCAGCATTTTTCAAGCACTCCTTTTCTAGAATCTGCAAGTGGATATTTAGAGCACTTTTAGGCCTTTTGAGGAAAAGGAAATATCTTCACATAAAAACTAGACAGAAGTATTCTGACAAACTTCTGTCTGATGTGTGTGTTTATCTCACAGATTTGAACCATTGTTTTCATTGAGCTTTTTTGAAACACTCTTTTTGTGGAATCTGGAAGTGGATATTTGGAGTGCTTTGAGGCCTACGGTGGAAAAGGAAATATTTTCACATAAAAAATAGACAGAAGCATTCTGAGAAACTTCTTTGAGATGTGTTAGTTCAACTCACAGAGTTGAACCTTTCTTTTTATTGAGCAGTTCGGAAACACTCTATTTTTAGAATCTGCAAGTAGGTATTTGGAGCACTTTGAGTCCTATGGATGGAAAAGGAAATATCTTCACATAAAAACTCCACAGAAGCATTCTGAGAAACCTCTTTGTGATGTGTGCATTCAACTCACAGAGTTGAACTTATGTTTTGATTGAACAGTTTTCAAACACTCTTTTTGTAGATTCTGCAAGAAGATATTTGGAGCGTTTGAGGCCTATTGTGGAAAAGGAAATAACTTCACATAAAAACTAGACAGAAGCATTCCGACAAACATTTTTCTTATGTCTCCATTCATCTAACAGAGTTCAAATTTGTTTTCATTGAACAGTTTTGAAACACTCTTTTTGTAGAATCTGCAATGGATATTTGGAGTGTTTTGAGGCCTATGGTGGAAAAGGAAATATCTTCACATAAAAACTAGACAGAAGCATACTGAGAAACTTCTTTGTGATGTGTGCATTCATCTCACAGAGTTGAACCCTTCTTTCAATTGAGCAGTTTTGAAACATTCTTTTTGTAGTATCTGCAATTGGATATTTGGACCGATTGGAGGCCTAAGGTGGAAAAGGAAATATCTTCAAATAAAAGCTAGACAGAAGCATTCTGAGAAAATTCGTTGTGATGTGTGCATTTAACTCAGAGAGTTGAAAATTTCTTTTTTTGAAAACAGTGTTTTTTTGGTATTTACAAAAGGATATTTGGAGAGGTTTGAGGCCTATGGCGGAAAAGGAAGTATCTTTCAATAAAAACTAGACACAAGCATTCTGAGAAATATCTTTGGGATGTGTGCATTCGTCTCACAGGGTTGAACCTTTGTTTTGTTTGAGCAATTTGGAAACACTCTTTTTGCAAAATCTGCTACTGGATATTTGGAGCGCTTTGGGGTGTCTGGTTTAAAAGGATATATCTTCACCTAAAAACTGCACAGAAGCATTGTGAGAAACTTCTGTGCGATGGGTGCATTCAAGTCACAGAGTTGAACAGTTATTTTCATTGAGCAGTTTTCAAACACTCTTTTTGTAGAATCTGCAAGTGGATATTTGGAGCGCTTTCAGGCCTATGATGTAAAAGGAAATATCGTCACATAAAAACTAGACAGAAGCATTCTGAGAAATTACTTTGTTTCGTCTGCGTTTAACTCACAGATTTTAACCTTTCTTTTGATAGAGCAGTTTTGAAACCCTCTTTTTGTAGATTCTGCTAGTGGTTGTTTGGAGCGCTTTGTGCCCTACTGTGGAAAAGGAAATATCTTCACATAAACACCAGACAGAAGCATTTGACAAACTTCTTTTCGATGTGTCCATTCATATCACAGTGTTCAAACTTTGTTTTCTTTCATCAGTTTTGAAACACTCTTTTTACAGAATCTGCAAGTGGATATTTGGAGAGCTTTGAGGCCTATGGTGGAAAAGGAAATATCTTCACATAAAAACCACAGAAGCATTCTGAGAAACTTGATTGTGATGTGTGCATTGATCCCACAGAGTTCATCCTTTACTTTGATTGAGCAGTTCTGAAACACTCTTTTTGTAGAATCTGTAAGTGGATACTTGGAGCGTTTTGAGACCTATGGTGGAAAAAGGAATTATCTACATATAAACACTAGACAGAAGCATTCTGAGAAACTTGTCTGTGATATGTGCGTTCAACTCACAGAATTGAACCTTTCTTTGGGTTGAGTAGTTTTGAAACACTCTTTTTGTAGATTCTGCAAGTGAATATTTGGAGCCTTTTCAGCCTATTGTGGGAAAGGAAATATCTTTACATAAAAACTAGACAGAAGTATTCTGAGAAACTTCGTTGTGATGGTTGTACTCATCTCACAGAGGTGAAACTTTCTTTACATTGAGCAGTTTTGAAACACTCTTTTTGTAGAATCCGAAGTGGATATTTGGAGTGTTGGGAGACCTATGGTGGAAAAAGGAAATATCTTCATATAAATACTAGACAGAAGAATTCTGACAAACTCCTTTCTGATGTGTGCATTCATCTCACAGAGTTGAAAATTGTTTTCATTGAGCAGTATTGAAACACTCTTTTTGTAGAATCTGCAAGTGGATATTTGGAGTGCTTTGAGTCCTATGTTGGAAAAGGAAATATCTTCACCTAAAAACTAGACAGAAGCATTCTGAGAAACTTCTTTGTGATGTGTGCATTCATCTCACAGAGTTGAACCTTTCTTTTGATTGAGCAATTCGGAATCACACACTTGTAGAATCTGTAAGTGGATATTTGGAGCAATTTGGAGCCTATGATTGAAAAGGCAATATCTTCAAATAAAAACTCCACAGAAGCATTCTGAGAAAATTCTTTGTGATGTGTGCTTTGAACTCACAGAATTGAACTTCTCTTTTGATGGAGTACTTTTGAATCACTCTTTATGTAGTTTCTACAAGTGGATATTTGGAGGGCTTTGAGGCCTATGATGGAAAAGGAAATATCTTAACATAAAAACCAGAAAGAATCATTCTGTGAAACTTCTTTGTTTTGTGTGCGTTCAACTCACAGATTTGAACATATATTTTGATTGAGCAGTTCTGAAACTCTCTTTTTGTAGAATCTGCAAGTGGATATTTTGAGTGCTTAGAGGCCTATGGTGGAAAAGGGAATATCTTCACATAAAAACTACATGGAAGCATTCTCAGAAACTTGTTTGTGATGTGTGCAATCATCACAAGGATTTGAAAGTTTCTTTTAATAATTGAGCAGTTTGGAAACATTCTTTTGTAGAAATTGCAAGTGGATATTTTGAGCACTTTGTTGTCTATGGTGGAAAAGGGAATATCTTCAAATAAAAACTACACAGAAGCATTCTGAGTAACTTGTTTGTGATGTGCACATTCAACTCACGGAGTTGAACTATTCTTTTGATTGAGTAGTGTTGAAACTCTCTTTTTGTAGTATCTGCAAGAGGATATTTGGAGATCTTTGCCGACTTTTGTGGAAAAGGAAATATCTTTACATAAAAACTACACAGAAGCATTCCTAGAAAATTTTGTCAAGTGTACTTTCAACTCACAGAGTTAAAACTATATTTTGATTGAGTAGTTTTCAAACTCTCTTTTAGAAGAAACTTGCAAGTGGATATTTAGAGCAGTTTTCGGCCTATGGTGGGAAAGGAAATATCTTCACATAAAAACTACAGAGCAGCATTCTGAGAAACATCTTTGTGATGTGTGCATTCATCTCACAGAGTTGAATCTTTTTTTTAATTGAACAGGTTTGAAACACTGTTTGTTTAGAATCTGCAAGTGCATATTTGAAGCGTTTTAAGGCCAATGGTGGAAAAGGAAATATCTTCATATAAAAACTAGACAGAAGCATTCTGAGAAACTTCTTAGTGATGTGTGCATTCATCTCACAGTGTTGAATCTTTGTATTTATAGAGCAGTTTGGAAACACTGTTTTTGTACAATCTGCAAGTGGATATTTGGAGCGCTTTGAGGCCTATGTGGGAAAATGAAATATCTTCACATGAAAACTACACAGAAGCATTCTGAGAAACTTCATTGTGAAGTGCACATTCATCTCACAACTTTGAACCTTTCTTCAAGTTGAGCAGTTTTGAAACTCTGTTGTTGTAGAATCTGCAAGTGGATTGGAGCCCTTTTTGGCCTATGGTGGAAAAGGGAATATCTTCATATAAAAAAAACACAGAAGAATTCTGAGAATCTTTTCTGTGATGTGTGAATTCATCTCACAGAGTTGAATGTTTCTTTCTATTGAGCAGTTTTGAAACACTCTTGTTGTAGAATCTACGAGTGGACATTTGCAGCACTGTGAGTCCTATGGTGGAAAAGGAAATATCTTCAAATAAAAACTAGACAGAAGCATTCTGAGGAACTTCTTTGTGATGTGTGCATTCATCTCACAGATTTGAACCTTTCTTTTGATTCAACAGTTTGAAACACTCTTTCTGCAGAAACTGCAGTTGGATATTTGGAGTGCTTTGAAGAGTATGGTGGAAAAGAAAATATCTTCACATAAAAAGTAGACAGAAGCATTCTGAGACACTTCTTTGTGATGTGTGCATTCATCTCAAACAGTTGAACTTTTCTTTTTATCGAGCAGTTTTGAAACACTGTTTTTCAGAATCTGCAAGGGATATTTGGAGACCTTTGAGGCCTATGGTGGAAAAGGAAATATCTTCATATAAAAAATAGACAGAAGCATTCTGACAAACTACTTTCTGATGTGTGCATTCATCTCACAGAGGTGAACCTTACTTTTGATTGAGCAGTTTGTGAACACTCTTTTTGTAAAATCTGCAAGTGGATATTTTGTGTGCTTTGAGGCCTCTGGTGGAAAAGGATATATCTTCACATAAGAACTACACAGAAGCATTCTGAGAAACTACTTTGTGAAGTGTGCATTCAACTCACAGAGTTGAAACTATATTTTTATTGAGCAGATTTGAAATTCTCTTTTTGTAGAATATGCAAGTGGATATTTGGAGCCCTTTTTGGCCTATGGTGGAAAAGGAAATATCTTCACCTAAAAACTAAACAGAAGCATTTTGAGAAACTTCTTTGTGACGTTTGCATTCATCACACAGAGTTGAAACTTTCTTTTGATTGAGAAATTTTGAAACACTCTTTTCGTAGAATCTGCAAGTGGATATTTGGAGCGATTTGAGGCCTATTGTGGAAAAGGACATATCTTCACATAAAAGTTGCACAGAAGCACTTTGTGAATCTTTTTGTGATGTGTGAGTTTCACTCCCAGAGTTGAAACTTTCTTTTGATTGTGCATTTTGGGAACGGTGTTTTTGTGGTATTAGCAAATGGAGATTTGGAGAGTTTTCAGGCCTGTTGTGGAAAAGGAAATATCTTCACATAAAAACCAGATGGAAGCATTCTGAGAACCTTCTTTGTGATGTGTGCATTCATCTCACAAGTTGAAAATTTCTTTTCATTGAGCAGTTTTGAAACACTCTTTTTGTTGAATCTGAAAGTGGATATTGGGAGCACTTTGAGGCCTATTGAGGAAAAGGAAATATCTTCACGTGAAAACTACACAGAAGTATTCTGAGAAACTTCTTTGAGATATGTGTATTTAACACAGAGAATTTAACCTTTCTTTTCATTGTGCACTTTGGCAACAGTGTTTTTGTGATATCTGCAAATGGATATGTGGAGAGGTTTGAGTCCTATGGTGGAAAAGGAAATATCTTCACATAAAAACTAGACAGAAGCGTACGGAGAAACTACCTTGAGTGTGTCCATTCATCTATCAGAGTTTAAACTTTCTTTTGATTAAGCAGTTTTGAAACACACTTTTTGTAGGATCTGCAAGTGGATATTTGGAGTGCATTGAGGCCTAAGGTGGAAAAGGAAATGTCTTCACATAAAAAGTAGACAGAAGCATTCTGAGAAACTTCTTTGTGATGTGTACATTCATCTCACAGAGTTAAAACTTTCTTTTGATTGAGCAATTTTGAAGCACTCCTTTTGTAGAATCTGCAAGTGGATATTTGCAGCGATTTGGGGCCTACTGTGGAAAGTAAATATCATCCCATAAAAACTACACATCGTCCCATAAAAACTACACAGAAGCATTCTGAGAAACTTCTTTGTGATGTGTGCATTCATCTCACATAGTTGAAAGTTTCTGTTGATTGAGCAATTTTGAAACACTCTTTTTGAAGAATCTGCAAGTGGATATTTGGAGATATTTGATTTCTATGGTGGAAAAGGAAATATCTTCAAATAAAAAATAGACAGAAGCATTCTGAGAAACTACTTTGTGATGTGTGCATTCATCTCACAGAGTTGAAACTTTCTTTGGATTGCGCAGTTTTGAAACACTGTTTTTCTAGGATATGCTGGTGGATATTAGGAGTGCTTGGAGGCCTGCGGTGGAAAAGGAAATATCTTCACATAAAAACTACACAGAACCTTTCTGAGAACCTAGTTCTTGACGTGTGCATTCATCTCACAGAGTTGAACATTTGTTTTGTTTGAGCAGCTTAGAAACACTCTTTTTGTAAAATCTCCAAGTGGATATTTGGAGAGCTTTGAGGCCTATTGTGGAAAAGGAAATATCTTCAAATAAAAACTACACGGAAGCATTCTGAGAAAATTCTTTGTGATGTGTGCATTTAACTCACAGAATTTAACTTTTCTTTTGAGTGTGCAGTTTTTAAACAGTTTTTTTCTGGTATCTACAAATGGATATTTGGAGGGTTTTGAGGCGTATAGTGGAAAAGGAAATATCTTTATATAAAAAGTAGACAGAAGCATTCACAGAAACTTCTTTGTGATGTATGCTTTCATCTCACAGAGTTGAACCTTTCTTTACATTGGGCCGTTTTGAAAAACTCTTTTTGTAGAATCTGCAAGTGGATAATTGGAACAATTTGATGCCTATTGTGGAAAAGGAAATATCTACACATAAGCATTCTGAGAAACTCCTTTGTGATGTGTGCATTCAACTCACAGAGTTGAACCTTTATTTTCATTGAGCAGTTTTGAAAGACTCTTTTTGTAGAATCTGCAGGTGGTTATTTGGAGCGTTTTGAGGCCTATGGTGGAAAAGGAAATATTTTCACAGAAAAACTACACAGAAACGTTCCGTGAAACTCCTTTCTGATGTGTGCATTCCACTTACAGAGTTGAACCTATATTTTGATTGAGCAGTTTTAAAACTCTCTTTTTGTAGAATCTGCAAATTGATATTGGGAGCACTTATCAGCCTATGGTGGGAAAGGAAATATCTTCACATAAAAACTACAGAGAAGCATTCTAAAAAAATACTTTGTGATTTGTGAATTCATATCACAGAGTTGAACCTTTCTTTTGATTGAGCAGTTTTGCAGCACTCTTTTTGGAGACTCTTCAAGTGAATATTAGGAGAGATTTGAGAATCATAATGGAAAAGGAAATTTCTTCACAGAAAAACTAGACAGAAGCATTCTGAGAAACACTTTGTGATGTGTGCAATCCACTCACAGAGTTGAAACTATATTTTGATTGAGCAGTTTTGAAACTCTCTTTTTGTAGAATCTGCAAGTGGATATTTGGAGCACTTTTTGGCCTATGTTGGGAAGGAGTTATTTTCACATAAAAACTACACAGAAGCATTCTGACAAACTACTTTGTGATGTGTGCTTTCATCACAAAGAGTTGAACCTTTCTTTGGATTGAACAGTTATGCAACACTCTTTTTGTAGATTCTGCAAGTGGATATTTTGAGACCTTTGCTGCCTATGGTGGAAAAGGAAATATCCTCACATAAAAACTACAAAGAAGCATTCTGAGAAACTTCTTTGTGATGTGTGCATTCATCTCACACAGTTGAACCTTTCTTTTGATTGAGCAGTATCAAAACACTCTTTTTGTTTAATTCGCAAGTGGATGTTTGGAGCCCTTTGAGGTCTATAGTGGAAAAGGAAATATCTTCACGTAAAAACTAGACAGAAGCATTCCGAGAAACATCTTTGTGATGGGTGGATTTATCTCAGAGAGTAGAAAGTTTCTTTACATTCAGCAGCTTTGTAACACTCTTTGTAGAATCTTCAGGTGGATATTTGGATCCCTTTGAGGCCTGTGATGGAAAAGAAAATATCTTCCCATAGAAAGTACACAGAATCATTCTGGGAAACTTAATTGTGATATGTGCATTCAACTCACAGAGTTGAGCATTTCCTTTGATTGAGCAGCTTTGAAACTCTCTTTTTGTTGAATCTGTTAGTGAATATTTGGAGTCCTTTGCAGCCTATTGTGGAAAAGGAAATATCCTCACAAATAAAACCAGACAGAAACATTGTGACAAACTGCTTTGTGATGGGGATATTCATTTCACAGAGTTGAAACTTTCTTTAGATTGAGCATTTAGGTAACACTCTTTTTGTTGAATCTGCAAGTGGATATTTGGAGTGATTTGAGGCCTATGGGGGAAAAGGATATATCTTCACATAAAAACTACACAGAAGCATTTTGAGAAACTTCTTTGTGATGTTTGCATTCAACTCTAAAAGATGAACCTTTCTTTTTATTGAGCAGTTTTGAAACTCTCTTGTTGTGGAATCTGCTAGTGAATATTTTGAGCCCTTTGCAGCCCTTTGCAGCCTACTATGGAAAAAGAAATATCTTTACATAAAAACTAGACAGATGCATTCTGAGAAACTGCTTTGTGGTGGGTGCATTCATCTCACAGAGTTGAACCTTTCGTTTGATTGAACAGTTTTGAAACACTCTTTTTATAAAATCTGCCATTGGATATTTGAAGCGCTTTGAGGCCTATGGTGGAAAAGGAAATATCTTCACATAAAAACTACAGAGAATCATTCTCAGAAACTTCATTGTGATGTGTGCATTCCACTCACAGAGTTGAACCTTTCTTTTGATTGAGCAGTTTTGAAACACTCCTTTTGTAGATTCTGCAAGTGGATATTTGGAGCGCTTTGAGGCCTATGGTGGAAAAGGAAATATCTTTTCATAAAAACTAGACAGAAGCTTTCTGACAAACTTCTTTATGGTGTGTGCATTCATCTCACAGAGTTGAAACTTTAGTTTGGTTGAGCAGTTTGGAAACACTCTGTTTGTAAAATTTGCATTTGGATATTTGGGGCGCTTTGAGGTCTATGGTGGAAAAGGAAATATCTTCACATAAAAACTACACATAAACATTCCCAGAAACTTCACTGTGATGTGTACATTCCACTCACAAAGATGAACCTTTCTTTTGATTGAGCAGTTTTGAAACACTCTTTTTGTAGATTCTTCAAGTGGATATTTGGAGCTCTTTTGAGGTCTATGGTGGAAAAGGAAATATCTTCACATAAAAACTAGAAAGAAGCAGTCTGACAAACATCTTTCTGATGTGTGCATTCATCTCACAGAGTTCAAACTTTGCTTTCATTGAGCAGTTTTGAAACATTCTTTTTGTCGTATCTGCAAGTAGATATTTTGTGTGCTTTGAGGCCTATGGTGGAAAAGGAAATATCTTCACATAGAAACCAGACAGAAGCATTCTGAGAAATTTCTTTGTGATGTGTGCGTTCAACTCACAGAGTTGAACCTAAATTTTGTTTCAGCAGTTTTGAAACTATTTGTAGAATCTGCAAGTGGATATTTGGAGCCCTTTTCAGCCTATAGTGGGAAAGGAAATATCTTTTCATAAAAACTACACAGAAGAATTCTGAAAAACTTCTTTATGATGTGTGCATTTATCTCACAGAGTTAACCTTTATTTTGATTCAGCAGTTTTGAAACATACTTTTTGTAGAATCTGCAAGTGGATAATTGGAGCGCTTTGACGCCTGTGGTGGAAAGGGAAATATCTTCACATAAAAACTAGACAGAAGCATTCTTAGAAACTCCTTTGTGATGTGAGCATTCATCTCACCACGTGGAACCTTTCTTTTGACTGAGTAATTTGGTAACACTCTTTTTGTGAATTTTGTGGGTGGATATTTGGAGCGCTTTTAGGCCTCTAGTAGAAAAGGAAATATATTCACATAAAAACTACATGGAAGCATTCTAAGAAGCTTCTTTGTGATGTGTGCATTCATCTCACAGAGTTGAACCTATATTTTGGTTAAGCCATTTTTAAACTCTCTTTTTGTATAATCTTCAAGTGGATATTTGGAGCACTTTTAGGCCTATGGTGGAAAAGGCAATATCTTCACATAAAAACTAGACAGAAGCGTTCTGAGAAACTTCTTTATGATGTGTGCGTTCAACTCACAGAGTTGAACTTTTCTTTTGATTGAACAGTTTTGAAATACTCTTTTTGTAGATTCTGCAAGTGGATATTTGGAGCGCTTTAAGGACTATAGTGGAAAAGGAAATATCTTCACATAAATCTAGAAAGAAGCATTCTGAGAAACTTCTTTGTGATGTATGCATTCATTTCACAGAGTTGAACCTTTCTTTTGATTTATCAGATTTGAAACACTCTTTTTGTAGATTCTTCAAGTGCATATTTGGAGCGCTTTGAGACCTGTTGTTAAAAGGAAATATTGTCACATAAAAACTAGACAAAAGTATTCTGACAAACTTCTTTCTGAAGTGTGCATTCATCCCACAGAGTAGAACCTTTGTTTTCATTAAGCAGTTTTGAAACACTCTTTTTGTAGAGTCTGCAACAGGATATTTGGAGTGCTTTGACACCTATGGTGTAAAAGGAAATATCCTCAAATAAAAACTTCACAGAAGCTTTCTGAGAAACTTCTTTGTGGTGTCCTCATTCATCTCACAGAGTTGAACCTTTCTTTTGATTTAGCAGTTTTGAAACACTCTTTTACTAGATTCTGCAAGTGGATATTTGGAGCTCTCTGAGGCCAATTGTGGAAGAGGAAATATCTTTACATAAAAACTAGACAGAAGCATTCTGACAAACTTCTTTCTGATGTGTGCATTCACCTCACAGAGTTGAAAATTTGTTTTCATTGAGGTGTTTTGAAACCCTCTTTTTGTGTATTCTGCATGTGGGTAGTTTGAGCGCTTTAAGGCCTATGGTGGAAAAGGGAATATAATCAAATAAAAACTTCACAGAAGCATTCTGTGAAACTTCTTTGTGATGTCTTCATTCATCTCACAGAGTTGAAACTTTGTTTTCATCGAGCAGTTTGGAAACTCTCTTTTTGTGGATTCTGCAAATGAATATTTGAAGCGCTTTAAGGTCTATTGTTTAAACGGAAATATCTTCACAGAAAAATTACACAGAAGCATTCTGACATATTTCTTTCTAATGTGTGCATTCATCTCACAGAGTTGAACCTTTGTTTTCATTGAGCAGTCTTGAAACACACTTTTTGTAGAATCTGCAAGTTATAATTGGAGGGCTTGGAGGTGTATGGTGGAAAAGAAAATATCTTCACATAAAAACTACAAAAAAACATTCTGAGTAACTTACTTGTGATGTCGTGTTCACTTAGATTGAGCATTTTTGAAACACACTTTTTGTAGATTTTGCAACGGGATATTTGGAGTGCTTTGAGGCCTATGGTGGAAATGGAAATATCTTCACATAAAAACTAGACAGAGACATTCTGACAAACTACTTTCTGATGTGTTTATTCATCTCACAGAGTTGAACCTTTGTTTTCATAGAGCCGTTTTGAAACATTCTTTTTTTTATAATCTGCAAGTGGATATTTTGAGAGATTTGTGGCCTATGGTGGAAAAGGAAATATCTTCACATAAGAACTACACAGAAGCATTCTGAGAAACTTCTTTGTGAGGTGTGCATTCAACTCACAGAGTTGAACCTATATTTTGATTGAGCAGTTTTGAAACTCTCTTTTTGTAGAATCTGCAAGTGGATATTTGGAGCCCTTTTCAGCCTATGGTAGGATAAGAAAGGTCTTCACATAAAAACTACACTGAAGGATTCTGAGAAAGTTCTTTGTGATGTGTGCATGCATCTCACAGAGGTTAACCTTTCTTTTGATTGAGCAGTTTTGAAACACTCTTTTTGTATTTTCTGCAAGTGGATATGTGGAGCACTTTGAGGCCAATTGTGGAAAAGGAAATATCTCCACATAAAAACTAGACAGAACCATTCTGAGAAACTACTTTCTGATGTGTGCATTCATCTCACAGAGTTGAACCTTTGTGTTCATTGAGCACTTTTGAAACACTCTTTTTGTAGATTCTGCAAGTGGATATTAGGGACACTTTGAGGCTTAAGGTAGAAAAGGAAATATCTTCACATAAAAACTACACAGAAACATTCTGAGAAACTACTTTGTGATGTGTGCGTTCAACTCACAGAGTTGAACTTTTGTTTTGATTGAGCAGTTTTGAAACGCTCTTTTTGTAGATTCTGCAAGAGGATATTTGGAGCGCTTTGAGGACTATAGTGGAAAAGGTAATATCTTCACGTAAAAACTAGACTGAAGCATTCTGAGAAACTTCTTTATGATGTGAGCATTCATCCCACAAGGTTGAAACTTTCTTTTCATTTAGGGATTTGAAATACTCTTTTTGTAGGTTCTGCAAGTGGATAGTTGGTGTACTCTGAGGCCTGTTGTGATAAAGGAAATATCTTCACATAAAAACGAGATAGAAGCATTCTGAGAAACTTCTTTCTCATGTGTGCATTAATCTTACAGAATTGAAACATTGTTTTCATTGAGCAGTTTTCAAACACTTTTTTTTGTAGAATATGCAAGTGGATATTTGGAGCACTTTGAGGGCTATGGTGGAAAAGGAAATATTTTCACATAAAAACTAGACAGAGGCATTCTGGCAAACTTCTTTCTGATGAATGCATTCCTCTCACAGAGTTGAAACTTTTTTTTCAATGGGCAATTTTGAAGCACTCTTTTTTGTAGAATCTGCAGATGGATATTCGGAGTGCTTTGAGGCTTATGGTGGAAAATTATATATCTTCACATAAAAACTAAACAGAAGCATTCTGAGAAACTTCTCTGTTTTGTGTGCGTTCAACTCACAGATTTGAACCTATATTTTGATTGAGCAGTTTTGAAACTCTCTTTTTGCAGAATCTGCAGGTGGATATTTGGAGCCTTTTTCAGCCAACAGTGGGTAAGGAAATATCTTCACATAAAAACTACACAGAAGCATTCTGAGAAACTTCTTTCTGATGTGTGTATTCATCTCACAGAGTTGAACTTTTCTTTTGATTAATCAGTATGGAAACACTCTTTTTGTAGTTTCTGAAATGGGATATTTGGAGCACTTGGGGGCCTAGGGTGGAAAAGGAAATATCTTCACATTAAAACTACACAGAAGCATTCTTAGAAACTTCTTTGTGATGTGTGCTTTCAACTCACAGAGTTGAAATTTTCTTTTGAATGAGTAATTTTGAATCACTCTTTTTATAGGATCTTCATGTGGATATTTACAGCCCATTTTGGCCTATGGTGGGAAACGTAATGTCTTCACATGAAAACTACACAGAAGCATTCTGAGAAACTTCTTTGCGATGGGTGCATTCATCTCACAGAGTTGAAGCTTCCTTTACATTGAGAAGTTTTGAAACACTCTTTTTGTAGAATCTGCAAGTGGATATTTGGAGCACTTTGAGGGCTATGGTGGAAAAGAAAATATCTTCACATAAAAACTAGACAGAAGCATTCTGAGAAACTTCTTTATGATGTGTGCATTCATCTCACAGAGGAGAAGCTTCTTTTACACTGAGCAGTTTTGTAACACTCATTTTGTAGGATCTGCTAGTGGATATTTGGAGCCCTTTGCAGCCTATTGTGGAAAAGGAAGTATCTTTACATAAAAACTAGACAGAAGCATTATGAGAAACTTCTTTGTGATGGGTGCATTCATCTCAAAGAGTTGAACCTGTCTTTTGATTGAGCAGTTTTGCAACACTCCTTCTGTAGATTCTGCATGTGGATATTTGGAGCGCTTTGAGGCCTATTACGGAAAAGGAAATATCTTCACATAAAAACTAGACAGAAGCATTCTGACAAACTTCTTTCTGATGTGTTGCCTTCATCCCACAGGGATGAACATTTGTTTTCATTGAACAGTTTTGAAACACACTTTTTGTAAAATCTGCAACTGGATATTTGGAGTGCTTTGAGGCCTATGGGGGAGAAAGGAAATATCTTCACATAAAAACTGGACAGAAGCATTCTGACAAACTTTTTTCTGATGCGTGCATTCATCTCAAAGAGTTGAATCTTTGTATTCATTGAGAAGTTTTGAAACGCTCCTTTTATAGAAGCTGAAAATGGATATTTGGAGCACTTCGAGGCCTATGGTGGAAATGGAAATATCTACACATAAAAACTAGACAGAAGAATTCTGAGAAACTTCTTTGTGATGTGTGCATTCACCTTACAGAGTTGAACCTTTCTTTTGATAGAGCTGTTTCGAGACAAGCTTTTTGTTTAATCTGCAGGTGGATATTTGGAGCTCTTTAAGGCCTATGGTGGAAAAGGAAATATCGTCACATAAAAACTACACAGAAGCATTCTGAGAAACTTCTTTGTGATATGTGCATTCACTCACAGAGTTGAACCTTTCTTTTGATTGAGAAGTTTTGAAAGTCTATTTTTGATAGAGCAGTTTTGAAACTCTCTTTTTGTAGGATCTGCAAGTAGATATTTAGAGCCCTTTGAGGCATACTGTGGAAAAGTAAATGTGTTCACATGAAAACGAGACAGAAGCATTCTGAGAAACTTCTTTCTGATTTGTGCATTCATCTCAAAGACTTCAATCTTTGTTTTCATTGAGCAGTTTTGAAGCACACTTTTTGTAGAATCTGCAAGTGGATATTTGGAGGGCTTTTCGGCCTATGTTGGAAAAGTAAATATCTTCACATAAAAACTAGACAAAAGCATTCTGAGAAACTTCTTTCTGATGTGTGCATTCCACTCACAGTGTACAACCTATATTTTGATTGAGCAGTATTGAAACTTTCTTTTTGTAGAATCTGCAAGTGGATACTTTGAGCCTTTATATCCTATGGTGGGAAAGGAAATATCTTCACATAAAAACTACACAGAACTTTCTGAGAAACTTCTTTGTGATGTGTGCTTTCATATCACAGATTTCAACCTTTCTTTTGATTGAGCAGTTTGGAAACACTCTTTTTGTAGAAGTTGTAAGTGGATATTTGGAGCACTTTGAGGCCTATGGTTGAAAATGAAATATCTTCACATAAAAACTACTCAGAGGCATTCTGAGAAACTTGTTTGTGATGTGTGCATTCAACTCATAGTGTTGAAACATTGTTTTCATTGAGCAGTTTTGAAACACACTATTTGTAGTATCTGCAAGTGGATATTTGGATTGCTTTTAGGTCTATGGTGGAAAAGGAAATATCTTCACATAGGAACTAGAGAGAATCATTGTGAGAAACTTCTTTGTGATGTGTCCATTGATCTCACATAGTTGAATCTTTGTTTAGATTGAGCAGTTTTGAAACTCTCTTTTTGTAGAATCTGCAAGTGGATATTTGGAGCACTTTGTGGCCTATGGTGTAAAATAAAATATCTTCACATGAAAACTAGACAGAAGCATTCTGAGAAACTACTTTTTGATGTGTGCATTCATCTCACTGAGTTGAAGCTTTCTTTTGATTGAGCAGTTTTGAATCACTCTTTTTGTATATTCTGCAAATGGATATTTGGAGCGCTTTGAGACTTATGGTGGAAAATGAAATATCTTCACATAAAAACTGGACAGAAGCATTCTGACCATCTAGTTTCTGATGTAAACATTCATCTCACAGAGTTGAATTTTTCTTCATATTGAGTAGTTTTGAAACACTCTTTTTGTGGAATCAGCAAGTGGATATTTGGAGCGCTTTCAGACATGTGGTGGAAAAGAATATATCTTCACATAAAAACTAGAGAGAAGCATTCTGAGAAACTTCTTTGTGATGTGTGCATTCATTTCAACCTTTCTTTTGATGGTGCAGTTTTGAAACCCTCTTTTTGTATATTCTGCAAGTGCATATTTGGATTGCTTTGAGGCCTATTGTGGCAAAGGAAATATCTTCACCCAGATATCAGACAGAAGCATTCTGAGAAACTTCTTTCTGAAGTGTGCATTCAACTCACAGTTTTGAACCTTTATTTTCATTGAGCAGTTTTGAAATACTCTTTTTGTAGAATCTGCAAGTGGATATTTGTAGCACTTTGAGGCCTACGGTGGAAAAGGAAATATCTTCAAATAAAAACTACACAGAAGCATTCTGAGAAACTTATTTGTGACGTGTGAGTTCAAATCACAGAGTTGAACCTTTGTTTTGATTGAGCCGTTTTGAATCAATCTTTTTGTGCATTCCGCAAGTGGATATTTGGAGCTCTTTGAGGCCTATGGTGGAAAGGGAAATATCTTCACAGAAAAACTAGAAAAAAGTATTCTGAGAAACTTCTTTGTTTTGTGTGCGTTCAAATCACAAAGTTGAACATATATTTTGATTGAGCAGTTTTGAAACTCTCTTTTTGTAGAATCTGCATGTGGATATTTATAGCTCTTTTCAGCCTATGGTGGGAAAAGAAATGTCATCATATTAAAACTACACAGAAACTTTCTGAGAAACTTCTTTGTGATATGTGCATTCATCTCACAGACTTGAAGCTATTTTTTTGATTGAGCAGCTTTGAAACACTCTTTTTGTACATTCTGCATGTGGATATTTGGAGCACTTCGATGCCTACTTTGGAAAAGGAAGTATCTTCACATAAAAACTACTCAGAGGCATTCTCAGAAACTTGTTTGTGATGCGTGCGTTCAACTCATAGTGTTGAAACTTTGTTTTCATTGAGCAGTTTTGAAACACTCTTTTTGTGTATTCTGCCTGTCGATATCTGGGTCGCTTTGAGGCCTATGGTGGAAAAGGAAATACCTTCACATAAAAACTAGACAGAAGCATTCTGACTTTATTTTGATAAAGCAGTTTTGAAACTCTCCTTTTGTAGAATCTTCAAGTGGATATTTGGAGCCCTTTTCATCTATGGTGGGAGAGGAAATGTCTTCACATAAAAACTACACAGAAGCATTCTGAGAAACTTCTTTGTGATGTGTGCATTCATCTCACGGAGTTGTACCTTTGTTTTCATTGAGCAGTTTTGAAACACTCTTTTGTAAAATCTGCAAGTGGCTATTTGGGGCAGTTTGAGGCCTATTGTGGAAAAGGAAATATCTTCACATAAAAACAAGACAGAAGCATTCTGAGAAACTTATTTCTGATGTGTGCACTCATCCCAAAGAGTTGAACACTTGGTTTCATTGAGCAGTTTCGAAAGACTCTTTTTGTAGAATCTGCAAGTGGATGTTCGGAGTGCTTTGAGGCCTGTGGTGGAAAAGGAAATACCTTCACATAAAAACTACACTGAAGCACTCTGAGAAACCTCTTTCCAATGTGTTCATTCAACTCAAAGAGGAACCTTTCTTTTGATTGAGCAGTTTTGAATCACTCATGTTGTAGATTCTGCAATTGTATATGTGGAGTGCTTTGAAGCCTATGCTGGAAAAGGAAATATCTTCACATAAAAACTAGATAGAAGCATTCTGACACACTTCTTTCTGATGCGTGCATTCTTCTCACAGAGTTGAATCTTTGTTTTCATTGAGGAGTTTGGAAACACTCTTTTTGTAGAATCTGCAAGTGGATATTTGGAGCGCTTTGAGGCCTATGGTGGAAAAGGAAATATCTTCCCATAAAAACTATACAGAAGAATTCTGAGAAATTGCTTTGTAATATGTGTGTTCAACTCACAGAGTTGAACCTATATTTTCATTAAGCAGTTTGGAAACTCTCTTTTTGTAGAATCTGCAAGTGGATATTTGGAGCACTTTGAGGCCCATAGTGAAAAAGGAAATATCTTCACCTAAAAACTACACAGAAGCATTCTGAAAAACTTCTTTGTGATGTGTGGGTTCAACACACACAGTTGAACCTTTCTTTTGACTGGGCAGTTTTGAAACACTCTTTTTGTATATTCTGCAAGTGGATATTTGGAGCGCTTTGTGGCCTATGGTGGAAAAGGAAATATTGTCACATAAAAACTATACAGAAGAATTCTGAGAAACTGCTTTGTAATGTGTGTGTTCAACTCACAGAGTTGAACCTATATTTTCATTGAGTTGTTTGGAAACTCTCTTTTTGTAGAATCTACAAGTGGATATTTGGAGCACTTTGATTCCCATAGTGAAAAAGGAAATATCTTCACCTAAGAACTACACAGAAGCATTCTGAGAAACTTCTTTGTGATGTGTGGGTTCAACACACACAGTTGAACCTTTCTTTTGACTGGGCAGTTTTGAAACACTCTTTTTGTATATTCTGCAAGTGGATATTTGGAGCACTTTGAGGCCTACGGTGGAAAAGGAAATATCTTCACATAAAAAATAGACAGAAGGATTCTGAGAAACCTCTTAGTGATGTGTGCGGTCAGCTCACAATTTTGAAACTTTCTTTTGATTAGACAGTTTTGAAATTCGCTTTTTGTAGAATCTGCAAGTGGATATTGGGGGCCCTTTGTGGCCTATGCTGGAACATTAAATACCTTAACATAAAAACTACACAGAAGGATTCTTATAAACTACTTTGTGATGGGTACATTCACCTCACAGATTTGAAGCTGTCTTTACATTGAACAGTTTTGAAACATTCTTTTTGTATAATCTTCAGGTGGATATTTGGAGCGTTTTGGGAACTATGATGGAAAAGGAAATATCTTCACATAAAAACTACACAGAAACATTCGGGGTAACTTCTTTGTGATGTGTGCATTTAACTCACATTATTGAACATTTCTTTTGTTTGGGCAGTTTTGAAACTCTCTTTTTGTAGAATCTGCAAGTGGATATTTGGAGCGCTTTGAGGCGTATTGTGGAAAATGAAATATCTTCCCATAAAAACTACACAGAAGCATTCTGACAAACTTTTTTCTTATGTATGTGTGCATTCATGTCACAGAGAGGAAACTTTATTTTCATTGAGCAGTTTAGAAACACTCTTTTTGTAGAATTTGCAAGTGGATATTTGGTGCGCTTTGAGGCCTCTGATGGAAAAGGGAATATCTTCACATTCAAACTAGACAGAAACATTCCTAGAAACTTCTTTGTGATGTGTGGGGTCATCTCACAGAGTTGAAGATTTATTTTGATTGAGCATTTTGAAACACTCTTTTGGTAGATTCTGCAAGTGACTATTTGGAGCGCTTTGAGGCCTATGGTGGAAAAGGAAATACCTTCACAGAAAAACTAGACAGAACCATTCTGGCAAACTTCTTCCTGATGTGTCCATTCACTTCACAGAGTTGAACACTTGTTTTCATTGAGCAGTTTTGAAACACTCTTTTTGTATCATCTGCAAGTGCATATTTGGAGGGCCTTGAAGTCTGTGGTGGAAAAGAAAATATCTTCACATAAAAAATAATATACAGAAGCATTCTGAGAAACTTCTTTGTGATGTGTGCATTCAACTCACAGAGTTGAACCTGCATGTTGATGGAGCAGTTTTCAAACACTCTTTTTGTAGAATCTGCAAGTAAATATTTTGAGCCCTTTTCAGCCTACGGTGGGAAAGGAAATGTCTTCACATAAAAACTACACAGAAGCATTCTGAGAAACTTCTTTATGACGTGTCCATTCATCTCACAGAGTTGAAACTTTCCTTTGATTGCGTAGTTTTGAAACACTCTTTTTGTATATTCTGCAAGTGGATACTTGGAGCACGTTGAGGCCTATTGTGGAAAACGAAATATCTTCATATGAAAACTAGATAGAATCATTCAGACAAAGTTTTTGTGATGTTTGCATTCATCTCACAGAATTGAAACTTTCTTTTCATTGAGCAGTTTTGAAACACTCTTTTTGTCGATTCTCCAATTGGATATTTGGAGGGCTTTGAGGCCTATGGTGGAAAAGGAAATATCTTCACATAAAAACTACACAGAAGCATTCTGAGAAACTTCTTTGTGATGTGTGCATTCATCTCATGGGTTGAACCTATCTTATGATTGAGCAGTTTTGAAACACTGTTTTTGTAGAATCTGCAAGTGGATATTTGGAGCACTTTGAGACCTATTTTGCAAAAGGAAATATCTTCACTTAAAAACTACACAGAGGCATTCTCAGAAGCTACCTTGTGATGTGTGCGTTCAACTCACAGTGTTGAACCTATATTTTGATGGAGCAGTTTTGAAACTGTCTTTTTGTAGAATCTGCAAGTGGATATTTTGAGACCCTTTCGGCCTGAGGTGGGAAAGGAAATAAATTCACAAAAATCTACACAGAAGCATTCTGAGAATCTTCTTTGTGATGTGTGCCTTCATCTCACAGAGTTGAAACTTTCTTTTAATTGAGTAGTTTTGAAATACTTTTTTGTAGATTCTGCAAGTGGATATATGGAGAGTTTTGAAGCCTGTGGTGGAAAAGGAAATGTCTTCACAAAAATAACAGAAACATTCTGACAAAATTTTTAGTGATGTGTGCATTCATGTCACAGATTTGAACTCTGTTTTCATTGAGCAGTTTTGAAACACTCATACATAGATTCTGCATGTGGATATTTAGAGCGCTTTGACGCCTATGGTGGAAGACAAAATATCTTCACATAAAAACTTGACAGAAGGATTCTGAGAAATTTCTCTACATGTGTATGTTCAACTCAAAGAGTTGAAACTATATTTTCATTGAGCAGTTTAAAACACTCTTTTCTAGAATGTGAAAGTTGATATTTGGAGCCCTTTTCAGCCTATGGTGAGAAAGGAAATGTCTTCACATAAAAACTAAAAAAACATTCTGAGAAACTTCTTTGTGACGTGTGCATTCATCTTACAGAGATGAAGCTTTCTTTTGATTGAGCAGTTTTGAAACACTCTTTTTGTATATTCTGCAAGTGGGTATTTGGAGCGCTTTCAGGCCTACTGTGGAAAAGGAAATATCTTCACATAAAAACAACACAGTAGAATTCTGACAAACTTCTTTGTGATGTGTGCATTCATCTCACAGAGTTCAAACTTCCTTTTGATTGAGCAGTTTGGAAACACTCTTTTTGTTGAATCTGCAAGGGGATATTTGGAGTGTTTTGAGGCCTCTGGTGGAAAAGGAAATATCTTCACTTAAAAACTTCACAGAAGCATTCTGAGAAAATTATTTGTGCTGTGTGCATTCAACTCACAGATTTGAACCTATATATTGATTGAGCAGTGTTGAAACTCTCTTTTTTAGAATCTGCAAGTGGATATTTGGAGCCCTTTATGGCCTATGCTGGGAAAGGAAATATCTCCACATAAAAACTACACAGAAACATTCTGAGAAACTTCTTTGTGATGTGTGCATCCATCTCACAGAGTTGACCCATTCTTTTTATTGAGCGGTTTTGAAACTCTCTTTTTCTATTGAGGCTTATTATGGAAAAGGAAATATCTTCCCGTAAAAACTGCACAGAAGCATTCTGAGAAACTTCTTTGTGATGTGTGCATTCATCTCACAGAAATGAACCTTTTTTTTGACTGAGCAGTTTTGAAACACACTTTTTGAAGATTCTGCAAGTGGATATTTAGAGGGCTTTGAGGTCTATGGTGCAAAAGGAAATAACTTTACTTAAAAACTACACAGAAGCATTCTCAGAATCTACCTTGTGATGTGTGCATTCAACTCACAGAGTTGAACCTATATTTTGATTGAGCAGTTTTCAAACTCTCTTTTTGTAGTATCTACAAGTGGATATTTTGTGATCCTTTTGGCCTAAGGTGGGAAAGGAAATAAATTCACATAAAAACTACACAGAAGCATTCTGAGAACCTTATTTGTGATGTGTGCATTCATCTCACAGAGCTGAAACTTTCTTTTAATTGAGTAGTTTTGAAACACTCCTTTTGTAGATTCTGAAAGTGGATATTTGGGACGATTTGAAGCCTATGGTGGAAAAGGAAATATCTTCACAAAAATAATAGACAGAAGCACTCTGGCAAAATTCTTAGTGATGTGTGCATTCATCTCACAGAGCTGAACTTTGTTTTCATTCAGCAGTTTTGAAACACTCATATGTAGCTTCTGCAGTTGGTTATTTGGAGCTATTTGAGGGCTATGGTGGAAGACGAAATATCTACACATGAAAACTAGACAGAAGAATTCTGAGAAACTTCCTTGTGATGTATACTTTCAAACTCACAGAGTTGAAACTATGTTTTCATTAAGCAGTTTTGAAACTCTCTTTTTGTAGAATCTGCAAGTGGATATTTGGAGCCCTTTACGGTCCATGGTGGAAAAGGAAATATTTTCACATAAAAACCATACAGAAGCATTCTGAGAAACTTCTTTGTGATGTGTGCATTCGTCTCACATGGTTGAAACTTTCTTTTGATTGACCAGTTTCGAATCACACTTTTTGTAGAATACACAAGCAGATATTTGGAGCACTTTGAGGCCTATGGTGGAAAAAAAAAATCGTCACATAAAAACTACACTGAAGCGTTCTGAGGAACTTCTTTGTGATGTGTGCATTCAACTCAAAGATTTGAAACTTTCTTTTGATTGAGCAATTTTGAAACACTCTTTTTGTAGATTCTGCAAGTGGATATTGGGAACACTTTGAGGCCTTTCGTGGAAAAGAAATATCTTCACATAAAAACTAGACAGAAGCATTCTGACAAACTACTTTCTGATGTGTGCATTCATCTCACAGAGTTGAAACTTTGTTTTCATTGAGCAGTTTTGAAACACACTTTTTCTAGGATCTGCAAGTGGATATTTTGAGCACTTTGAGGCCTATGGTGGAAAAAGAAATACCTTCACATAAAAACTAGACGGAAGCATTCTGAGAAACTTCTTTGTGTTGGGCGCATTCATCTAACAGAGTTGAACCTTTATTTACATTGAGCAGTTTCGAAACACTCTTTTTGTAGAATCTGCAGGTATATATTTGAAGGGATTTGAGGCTTATGGTGGAAAACAAATATATTCACATAAAAACTAGAAAGAAGTATTATGAGACACTTCTTTGTGATGTATGTGTTCCACTCACTGAGTTGAATCTGTATATTGATTGAGCAGTTTTCAAAATCACTTTTTGTAGAATCTGCAAGTGGATCTTTGAAGCCATTTTTGGCCTATGGAGAGAAAAGAAATATCTTCACACAAAAACTAGACAGAAGCATTCTGACAAACTTCTTTCTGATGTGTGCATTCATCTCACAGAGTTGAACCCTTGTTTTCATTGACCAGTTATGAAACACTCCTTCTGTAGATTCTGCAAGAGGTTATTTGGAGCACTTTGATGCCCATGGTGGAAAAGGAAATATCTTCACATCAAAACTATACAGAAGCATTCTTAGAAAATTCTTTGTTATGGGTACGTTCAACTCACAGAGTTGAAACTTTCTTTTGATTGAGCAATTTTGAAACTCTCTTTTTGTAGAATCTGCAAGTGCATTTTTGGAGCCCTTAGTGGCCTATGGTGGAAAAGGAAATATCTTTACATAAAAACTAGACAGAAGCATTTGAGAAACATCTTTGTGATGGGACCATTCATCTCACAGAGTTGAACGTTACTTTACATTGAGCAGTGTTGAAACACTCTTTTTGTAGTTTCTGCAAGTGGATATTTGGGGCATTTTGGGGCGTATGGTGTAAAAGGAAATATCTTCCCATAAAACTAGAAGGAAGCATTCTGAGAAACTTCTTTGTGATGTGAGCGTTCCACTCACAGAGTAGAACATATAATTTGATTGAGCAGTTTTGAAACTCTCTTTTTGCAGAATCTGCAAGTGGATGTTTTGAGCCCTTTTTGGCCTATAATGGGAAGGGAAATATCTTCACATAAAAATTACACAGAAGCATTCTGAGAAACTTCTTTGGGATGTGTGCATTCACCTAACAGAGCTGAAAATTTATTTTGATTGAGCAGTTTGGAAACACTCTTTTTGTAGTATTTGAAATGGATATTTGGAACGTTTTGAGGCCTATGGTGGAAAAGAAAATATCCTCACAGAAAAAACTACACAGAAGCATTCTAAGAAACTTAATTGTGATGTGTGCATTCATGTCTCAGAGATGAACAATTTTTTACATAGAGGAGTTTTGAAACACTGCTTTTTTTAGAATCTGCTAGGGGATATTTGGAGTGTTTGGAAGGCTATGTTGGATAAGGAAATATCTTCACATCAAAACTAGGCAGAAGCATTCTGAGAAACTACTTTGTGATGTGGGCATTCCAATCACAGTGTTGAACCTATATTTTGAATGAGCAGTTTTGAAACTCTCTTTTTGAAGAATCTGCAAGTGGATGTTTGGAGCCCTTTAAGGGCTATGGTGGGAAAGGAAATAACTTCACATAAAAAGTACACAGAAGCATGCTGAGAAACTACTTTGTGATGTGTGCATTCATCTCACAGAGTTGAACCTTTTTTTTTCATTCAACAGTTTCAAAACACTCTTTTTCTTGAATCTGCAAGTGGATATTTGAAGCACTTTGAGGCCTATGGTGGAAAAGATATATATTCACATAAAGACTACACATAAGCATTCTGAGAAACTTCTTTGTGATGTGTGCGTTCAACTCACAGAGCTGAACTTTTCTTTTGATTGAGCAGTTTTGAAACATTCTTTTTATAGAATCTACAAGTAGATAATTTGAGCACTTTGAGGCCTATGGTGGAAAAGGAAATATCTTCATATAAAAACTAGATGGAAGCATTCTGAGAAACTTCTCTGTGATGTGTGCTTTCAACTCACAGAGTTGAACATTTCCTTTGATTGAGCAGTTTTGAAACTCTCTTTTTGTAGAATCTGCAAATGGATATTTGGAGACCTTTGCGGCCTATTGTGGAAAAGGAAATATGTTTACATAAAAACTAGACAGAAGCATTCTTAGAAAAAATTTTGTGATGGTTGCATTCATCTCACAGAGTTGAATCTTTCTTTTCCTTGAACAGTTTTGAAACACTCTTTTTGAAGGATCTGCAAGTGGATATTTGGTGCGTTTTGGGACCTATGGTGCAAAAGAAAATATCTTCACATAAAAGCTAGAAAGAAGCATTCTGAGAAACTGCTTTGTGATGTGTGCGGTCCATTCACAGAGTTGAACATATATTTTGATTGAGCAGTTTTGAAACTTTCTTTTTATGGAATCTGTAAGTGGATATTTGGAGCCGTTTTTGGCCTATGTTGGGAAGGGTAATATCTTCACATAAAAACTAGACAGAAGCATTCTGACAAACTTCTTTCTGATCTGTGCATTCATCTTCCAGAGTTGAAACTTTGTTTTCGTTGATCAGTTTTGAAACAATCTTTTTGTAGTTTCTGCAAATTGGTATTTGGAGCGCTTTGAGGCCTTTGGTGGAAAAGGAAATATCTTCACATAAAAACTACACAGAAGCATTCTGAGAAAATTCTTTGTGATGTATGCATCCAACTCACAGAGTTGAACATTTCTTTTGACTGAGCAGTTTCGAAATTCTCTTTTTGTAGAATCTGCAAGTGGATATTTGGAGGCCTTTGTGGTCTATTGTGGAAAAGCAAATATCTATACATAAACACTAGACAGAAGCATTCTGAGAAACTTATTTGTGATGGGTGCATTCATCTCACAATGTTGAACTTTTCTTTACATTTAGCAGTTTTGAAACACTCTTTTTGTAGAATCTGCAAGTGGATATTTGGAGGGCTTTGAGGCCTCTTTTGGAAAAGGAAATAACTTCACATAAAAACTAGACAGCAGCATTATGACAAACTTTTTTCTGATGTGTGCATTCAACCCACAGAGTTGAACTTTTGTTTTCATTGAGCAGTACTGATACGTTCTTTTTGTAGAATCTGCAAGTGGATATTTGGAGCACTATGAGGCCTGTGGTGGAAAAGGATATATCTCCACATAAAAACTAGACAGAAGCATTCAGAGAAACTTCTTCGTGATGTGTGCATTCATCTCACAGAGTTGAAATTTTCTTTTGATTAAGCAGTTTTGAAACTCTCTTTTTGTAGAATCTTCAAGTGTATTTATGGAGACCTTTTCAGCCTAAGGTGGGAAAGGAAATGTCTTCACATAAAAACTACACAAGAAGCATTCTGAGAAACATCTTTGTGATGTGTGCATTCATCTCACAGAGTTGAACATTTCTTTCAATTGAGTATTTTTGATACACTCTATTTATATATTCTTCATGTGGATATTTGGAGCGCTTTCAGGCCTATTGTGGAAAAGGAAATAACTTCATACAAAAACTAGACAGCAGCATTCTGGCAAATTTCTTTCTGATGTGTGCATTCATCTCCCAGAGTTGAGCCTTTGTTCTCATGGAGCAGTTATGAAACGTACTTCTTCTAGATTCTTCAAATGGATATTTGAGTGCTTTGAGGCCTATGGTGGAAAATGAAATATCTTCACATAAAAACTAGACAGAAGCATTCTGAGAATCTTCTTTGTGATGTGTGCATTCATCTCATGGACTTGAACCTTTATTTTCATTGAGGAGTTTGGAAACATTCTTTTGTAGAATCTGCAACTGGATATTTGGAATGCTTTGTGGACTATGGTGGAAAAGGAATTATCTTCACATAAAAACCACACAGAAGCATTTGGAGAAAATTCTTTGTGATGTGTGTTCAACTAACAGAAATGAACCTTTGTTTTGATTGAGCAGTTTTGAAACTCTCCTCTTGTAGTACCTGAAAGTGGATATTTGGAGCTCTTTTTTTTTTTTTTTTGAGACGGAGTCTCGCTCTGTAGCCCAGGCTGGAGTACAGTGGCGGGATCTCGGCTCACCGCAAGCTCCGCCTCCCGGGTTCACGCCATTCTCCTGCCTCAGCCTCCCAAGTAGCTGGGACTACAGGCGCCCACCACTACGCCCGGCTAATTTTTTGTATTTTTAGTAGAGACGGGGTTTCACCATTTTAGCCGGGATGGTCTCGATCTCCTGACCTCGTGATCCGCCCGCCTCGGCCTCCCAAAGTGCTGGGATTACAGGCGTGAGCCACCGCGCCCGGCCATTTGGAGCTCTTTTCAGCCTGTGGTGGGAAACGAAATGTCCTCACATAAAAACTACACAGAAGCAATCGGAGAATCTTCTTTTTGATGTGTGCATTCATCTCACAGAGTTGAAACTTTCTTTACATAGAGCAGTTTTGAAAAAAATCTTTTTGTAGAATCTGCAAGTGGATATTTGGAGCGTTTTGAGGCCTATGGTGGAAAAGGAAATATCTTCACATAAAAACTAGACTGAAGCATTCTGAGAAACTTCTTTGTCAAGTGTGCATTCCACTCACAGAGTTGAACCTATATTATGATTGAGCTGTTTGGAAACTCTGTTTTTGTAGAATCTGCAAGTGGATATTTGGAGCCCATTTCGGCCTATGCTGGGAAGGGAAATATCTTCACATAAAAACTACACAGAAGCATTCTGAGAAGTTTCTTTTTGATGTGTGCATTCATCTCACAGAGCTCAACTTTTGCTTTCATGGAGCAATTTTGAAACACACTTTTTGAAGAATCTGCCAGTGTATATTTGGAGTGCTTTGAGGCCTATGGTGGAAAAAGGATATACCTTCACCTAAAAACTAGACAGAAGCATTCTGACAAACTTCCTTCTGATCTGTGCGTTCATATTACAGAATTTAACCTTTCTGTTCATTGAGCAGTTTTGAAACACTCTTTTTGTAGAATCTGTGTTTGGATATTTGGAGTGCTTTGAGGCCTATGGTGGAAAAGAAATTATCTTCACATAAAAACTAGATAAAAGCATTATGAGAAACTTCTTTGTGATGTGTGCATTCAACTCACAATGTTGAACCTTTCTTTTCATTGAGAAGTTTTGAAACTCTCTTTTCATAGAATCTGCAAGTGGATATTTGTAGACCTTTTCCATCTATGCTGTGAAAGGAAATGTCTTCCCATAACAACCACACAGAAGCATTCTGAGAAACTTCCTTGTGATGTGTGCATTCATCTCACAGAGTTGAACCATTCTTTTGATTGAGCAGTTTTGAAACACTTTTTGTATATCCTGCAACTGGATATTTGTAGCACTTTGAGGCCTATTGTGGAAAAGGAAATATCTTCACATAAAAACTAGACAGAAGCATTCTGACAAACTTGTTTCTGATATGTGCATTCATCTCACAGAGGTGAACCTTTGTTTTCATTGAAGAGTTTTGAAACGCTGTTTTTGTAGAATCTGCAATTGGATATTTGGAGCGCTTTGAGGTCTATGGTGGAAAAGGAAATATCTTCACATAAAAACTAGACAGAATCTTTCTGAGAAACTTCCTTGTGATATGTGCATTCATCTCACAGAGTTGAACCTTTCTTTTGGTTGAACAGTTTCGAAAGACTCTTTTTGTAGAATCTGCAAGTGGATATTTGGAGCACTTTGAGGTCTATGGTGGAAAAGGAAATATCTTCACAAAAAAAACTACACAGAAGCATTCTGAGAAACTTCTTCATGATGTGTGCATTCCACTCACAGAGTCAAACCTATATTTTGATTGAGCAGTTTTTGAAACTGTCTTTTTGTAGAATCTTTAAGTGCATATTTGGAGACATTTTCAGCCTATGGTGGGAAAGGAAATATCTTTGTGTAAAAATTACGCAGAAGCATTCTGAGAAACTTCTTTCAGACGTGTGCCTTACTCTCACAGAGTTGAAACTTTCTTTTGATTGAGCAGCTTTCAAACACTCTTTTTCTATATTCTGTAAGTGGATATTTTGAGCACTTTGAGGCCTATAGTGGAAAAGGAAATATCTTCACATGAAAACTACACAGAACTTTCTGAGAAACTTCTTTGTGATGTGTGCATTCATCTCACGGATTTGAATCTTTGTTTTGATTGAGCAGTTTGGAAACACTCTTTTTGTAGTATCTGCAACTGGATATCTGTAGTTCTTTGCGGCCTAAGGTGAAAAGAATTATCATCTTCACATAAAAACCAGACAGATGCATTCTGAGAAAATTCTTTGTGATGTGTGTTCAACTCACAGAGTTGAACCTTTCTTTTGATTGAGCAGTTTGGAAACTCTCTTTTTGTAGATTCTGCAAGATGATATTTGGAGCCCTTTTCAGCCTATGGTGGGAAAGGAAATGTCTTTGCATAAAAACTACACAGAAACATTCTGAGAAACTTCTCTGTGATGGGAGCATTCATCACACAGAGCTGAAACTTTCTTTTCATTGAGCAGTTTTGACATACTCTTTTTGAATATTCTGCAAGTGGATATTTGGAATGCTGTGAGGCCTCTTGTGGAAAAGGAAATATCATCACATAAAAACTATACAGAAGCATTCTGTGAAACTTCTTTCTGATGTTTGCATCACCTCCCAGATTTGAACCTTTCTTTACATTGAGCAGTTTTGAGACACACTTTTTGTAGAATCTGCAAGTGGATATTTGGAGTGTTTTGAGCACTGTGGTGGAAAACGAAATATCTTCACATAATAACTAGACAGAAGCATTCTGAGAAACTTCTTTGTGATGTGTGCGTTGAACTCTCAGACTTGAACCTTTCTTTTGATTGAGCAGTTTCAAAACTCTCTTTTTGTAGAATCTGAAAGTGGATTTTTGGAGCCCTTTGCGGCTCATTGTGGAAAAGGAAATATGTTTACATAAAAAGAATACAGAAGGATTCAGAGAAACTTCTTTTTGATGTGTGCATTCATCTCACAGTGTTCAAACTTTCTTTGCATTAAGCAGTTATGAAACACTCTTTTTGTAGAATCTGCAAGTGGATATTTGGAGCGTTTTCAGGACTATGGTGGAAAAGGAACTATCTTCACATAAAAACTAGACAGAAACATTCTGAGAAACTTCTTTGTGATATGTGCCTTCCACTCACAGAGTTGAACGCATATTTAGATTGAGCAGTTTTGAAACTCTTTTTGTAGAGTCTGCTACTGGATATTTGAGGCCTTTTTGGCCTATGGTGGGAAAGGAAATATCTTCACATAAAAACTACACAGAAGCGTTCTGAGAAACTTCTTTGTGATGTGTGCATTCACCTCACAGAGTTGAACTTTTCTTTTCCTTGAGCAGTTTTTAAACCCTTTTTTGTAGAATCTGCAAGTGCATATTTGGAGCCCTTTGAGGCCTATGGTGGAAAAGGAAATATCTTCACATAAAAACTAGAGAGAAGCATTCTGATAAACTTCTTTCTGATGTGTACATTCATCTCTCAGAGTTGAATATTTGTTTTGATTGAGCAGTTTTGAAACATTTTTTTTCTAGAATCTGCAAGCGGATACTTGGAGCCATTTTAAGCCTAAGGTGGGAAAGGAAATATCTTAACATAGAAACTACACAGAAGCATTCTGAGAAACTTATTTCTGAGATGTGCATTCATCTCACAGAGTTGAACATTTATTTTCATTGAGCAGTTATTAAACACACTTTTTGTGGAATCTGCAAGTGGATATTTGGAGTGTTTTGAGGACTGTGGTGGAAAACGAAATAACTTCACATAAAAACTAGACAGAAGCATTCCGTGAAACTTCCTTGTGATGGGTGCATTCATCTCACATAGTTGAATCTTTCTTTTGATAGCACAGTTTGGAAAAACTATTTTCGTGGTGTCTGCAAAAGGATATTTGGAGAGGTTTGAGGCCTAGGTCAGGAAAGAAAATATATTTACATTAACACAAGACAGAAGCATTCTGAGAAACTTCTTTGTGTTGTATGCATTCATCTCACAGAGTTGAACCTTTCTTTTCATTGAGCAATTTTGAAACACCCTTTTGGTAGAATCAGCAAGTGGATATTTGGAGCCCTTTGAGCTTATTGTGGAAAAGGAAATATCTTCACATAAAAACTACACAGAAGCATTCTGACAAATTTCTTTCTGATGTCTGCATTTAACTCAAAGAGTTGAAAGTTTCTTTTGATTGAGCACTTTTGAAATACACTTTTTGTAGGATCTGCAAGTGGTTATTTGGAGTGCTTTGTGGCCACTCATGGAAAAGGAAATATCTTCCCATAAAATCTCGACAGAAGCATTCTGAGAAACATCTCTGTGATGTGTGCATTCATCTCACCGAGTTGAACCTTTCTTTTGATTGAGCAGTTTAGAAGCACTCCTTTTGTAGAATCTGCCAGTAGATATTTGGAGCGCATTGCAGCCTATTGTGGAAAAGGGAATATCTTTACATAAATACTAGACAGAAGCATTCTGATAAACTACATTGTGATGTGTGCATTCATCTCACAGAGTTGAACTTTGTTTTGACTGAGCAGTTTGGAAACACAATTTTTGTGGAATCTGCCAGTGGATATTTGGAGTGCTTTGAGGCCTATCTTGGAAAAGGAAATATCTTCCCATAAAAAATACACAGAAGCATTCTGATAAACTTCTTTGTGATGTGTGAATTTGACTCACAGAATTGAACCTTTCTTTTGTTGAACAGTTTTGAACCACTCTTTTTGAAGAATCTGCAAGTGGATATTTGGAGCCATTTGCAGTTTATTGTGGAAAAGGAAATATCTTCATGTAAAAAGTACAGAGAAGCATTCTGAGAAACTGCTTTCTGAAGTGTGCATTCAGCTAACAGGGTTGAATCTTTCTTTTACTTGATCTGTTTTGAAAAACTCTTTTTGTAGAATCTATAAGTGGATATTTTGAGCACTTTGCAGCCTATGATTGAAAAAGTAACATCTTCACATTAAAACTACACAGAAGCATTCTGAGAAACTTCTTTGTGATGTGTGCATTCAACTCACAGAGTTGAAACTTTCTTTTCATTGAGAAGTTTGAAATACTCCTTTTTTAGAATCTGCATGTGGATATTAGCAGCGCTTTGGGGTCTATATTTCAAAAGGAAATATCTTCATATAAAAACTAGCCAGAAGCATTCTGAGAAACTTCTTTGTGATCTGTGCATTCATCTCACCTAGATGAAACGTTATTTACATGGAGCAGTTTTGAAACACTCTTTTTGTAGAATCTACAAGTGGATATTTGGAGTGCTTCCAGGCCTACGGTGGAAAAGGAAATATCTTCATGGAAAAACTAGAGAGAAGCATTCTGAGAAACTTATTTGTGATGTGTGCACTCATCACACAGATGTGAACTTTTCTTTTGGTAGAGCAGTTTGGAAACACTCTTTTTGTAGAATCTGCAAGAGGATACTTGGAGCACTTTCAGGCCTACAGTGGAAAAGGAAATATCTTCACTTAAAAACTAAATAGAATTATTCTGAGAAACTTCTTTGCTATGTGTGTGTTCAACTCACAGAGTGGAACCTATATTTTGATTGAGCAACTTTGAAACTCCCTTTTTGCAAAATATGCAAGTGGATATTTGGAGCCCTTTTCAGTCTATGATGGAAAAGGAAATATCTTCACATAAAAACTACACAGAAGCATTCTGAGAAACTTCTTTGTGATGTGTGCATTCATCTCACATAGTGGAACTTTTCTTTAGATTGAACAGTTTTGAAACACAGTTTTTTGGTAAAATCTACATGTCGATATTTATTGCGCTTTGAGGCCTATAGTGGAAAAGGTAATATCCTCACATAAAAAGTAGACAGAAGCATTCTGGGAAACTTCTTGGTGATGTGTGTGTTCAACTCACAGAATTGAACCTATATTTTGATTAAGCAGTTTTGAAACTCTCTTTTTGTAAAATCTACAAGTGGATATTTGGAGCCCTTTTGGGCCTATGGTGGAAAAGTAAATATCATCACAACAAAACTACACAGAAGCATTCTGAGAAACTTCTTGATATGTGCTTTTAACTCACAGAGTTGAAACTTTCCCTTGATTGCACAGTTTGGAAACACTGTTTTTGTGGTACCTGCAAACTGGTATTTGGAAATGTTTGAGGCCTATGGTGGAAAAGGAAATATCTTTACGTAAAAACTATACAGAATCATTCAGAAAACCTTCTTTGTGATGTTTGCATTCATCTCACAGAGCTGAAACTTTCTTTTCATTGAGCAGTTCTGAAACACCTTTTTTGTAGGATCTGCAAGTGGATACTTGGACCGATTTGAGGCCTGTTGTGGAAAAGGAAATATCTGCACATAAAAACTATACAACAGCATTCTCAGAGGCTTCTTAGTGATGTGTGCATTCATCTCACAGCAATGAACCTTTCTTTTGATTGAGCAGTTTAGAAACACTCTTTTTGTATGATCTGTAAGTGGATATTTGGAGCGCTTAGAGGCCTATGGTTGAAAAGGAAATATCTTCACATAAAAACTAGAAAGAAGCATTCTGAGAAACTTCTTTGTGGCGTGTGCATTCATCTCAAAGAGTTGAACCTTTCTTTTGATTGAGCAGTTTTGAAACACTCTTTTTGTAGAATCTGCAAGGGGATATTTTGTTCCCTTTGAAGCCTATAGTGAAAAACTAAATATCTTCATATAAAAAGTAGCCAGAAGCATTCTCAGAAACTTCTTTGTGATATGTGCATTCATCTCAAGGAGTTCAACCTTTCTTTTGACTAAGCAGTTTGGAAATTCTCTTTTTGTAGACTCTGCAAGTGGATATTTGGAGCGCTTTGAGGCTTACGGTGGAAAAGGAAATATCTTGAAATACAAACTAAACAGAAGCATTCTGAGAAAACACTTTTTGATAGGTGCGTTTAAGTCACAGAGTGGAAACTTTGTTTTATTGTGCAGTTTGGAAACAGTTTTTTTGTGGTATCAGCAATTGGATATTTGGAGAGGTTTGAGGCTTATGGTGGAAAAGGAAATATCTTCACAGACAAACTAGACAAAAGCATTCCGAGAAACTACTTTGTCATGTGTGCATTCATCTCATAGAGTTGAAAGTTTGTTTTCATTGAGCAGTTTTGAAACACTCATTTTGTGGAATCTGCAAGTGGATATTTGGAGTGTTTTGAGGCCTATGGTGGAAAAGGATATATCTTCACATGAAAACTACACAGAAGCATTCTGAGAAACTTCTTTGTGAGGTGTGCTGTCAACTCAAAGAATTGAAACAATATTTTGATAGAGTAGTTATGAAACTCTCTTTTTGAAGAATCTGCAAGTGAATATTTGGAGCCCTTTTGAACCTATGGTGGAAATGGAAATATCTTCATATAAAGACTACACAGGAGCATTCTCAGAAACTTCTTTGTGATGTGTGCATTCATCTCACAGAGTTGAATCTTTCTTTTCATTGTGCAGTTTTGAAACACTCTTTTTGTAGTATCTGCAAGTGGATATTTGGACTGTTTCGAGGCCTATGGTGGAAAAGGAAATATCTTCATATAAAACCTAGACAGAACCATTCTGAGAAACTTCTTTGTGATGTGTGCATTCAACTCACACAGTTGAACCTTTCTTTTGATTGAGCAGTGTGGAAACACTCTCTTGTAGAATCTGCAAGTGGATATTTGGAGCGCTTTGAGGCCTATGGTGGAAAAGGAAATATCTTCACATAAAAACTACATAGAAGCCTTCTGAGAAACTTCTTTGTGATGTGTGCGTTCACTTCACAGAGTTGAAATTTTCTTTGGATTGAGCTGTTTTGAAACACTCTCTTTGTTTAATATGCAAGTGGATAATTGTTGCTGTTTGTGGCCTATGGTGGAAAAGGAAATATCTTCACATAAAAACTAGACAGAAGCATTCTGAGTAACTTCTTTGAGATGTTCACATTCATCTCACAGAGTGGAAACTTTCTTTTCATTTAGCAGTTTTAAAACACTATTTTTGTAGAATCTGGAAGTGGCTATTTGGAGTGCTTTGAGGACTATGATGGAAAAGGAAATATCTTCACATAAAACTAGACAGAAGCATTCTGAGAAACTTCTTTTTGTTGTGTGAATTCTTCTCACAGAGTTGAACCTTTCTTTTGATTGATCAGCTTGGAAACACATTTTGTAGAATCTGCAAGTGGATATTTAGAACGCTTTGAGGTCTATGGTGGAAAAGGAAATATCTTCACATAAAAACTACATAGAAGCCTTCTGAGAAACTTCTTTCTGATGTGGTCTTTCAACTCACACAGTTGAACTTTTCTTGTGGTTGAGCATTTTTGAAATGCGCTTTTTGTGGAATTTGCTTGTGGATATTAGGAGTGCTTTGTAGCCTACAGTGCAAAAGGAAATATCTTCACATAAAAACTAGATGGAAGCATTCTGAGAAACTTCTTCGTGATTTGTGCATTCGTCTCACAGAGTTGAACCTTTCATTTGATTGAGCAGTTTTGAAACCCTCTTTTTGTAGAATCTGCAAGTGGATATTTGGACCAATTTCAGGCCTATGCTGGAAAAGGAAATATCTTCTAATAAAAATCAGTCAGAAGAATTCTGAGAAACTTCTTTGTAATATTTGCATTCATCTCACAGAGTTGAACCTTTCTTTGATTGAGCAGTTTTGAAACACTCTTTTTTGCAGCATCGGCAAGTGGATATTTGGAGCACTTTGAGACCTATGGAGTAAAATGAAATATCTTCAGATAATAACTATACAGAAGCATTCTGAGAAACTTTTAGTGATGTGTGCACTCATCTCATAGAGTTGAAACTTTCTGTTGATTTAGCAGTTTTCAAGCACACTTTTTGTAGAATCTACCTGTGGATATTAGGAGCGCTTTGTGGCCTCTAGTGTAAAAGGAAATATCTTCAGATAAAAACTATACAGAAGCATTCTGAGAAATTTTAGTGATGTGTGCACTCAACTCATAGAGTTGAAACTTTTTTAGATTGAGCAGTTTGGAAACACTCTTCTTGTAGAATCTGCAAGTGGATATTTGCAGTGCTCTGAGGCCTATGGTGGAAAAAGTAATATTTTCACATAAAAACTACACAGAAGCATTCTGAGAAACTTCTTTGTGATGTGTGTGTTCAACTCACAGAGTTGAAGGTTTCTTTTTTGTGATCAGTTTTGAAACTCTCTTTTCGTAGAATCTGCAAGTGGATATATGGAGCCCTTTACGGCCTATGGTGGAAAAGGAAATATCTTCATATAAAAACTACAAAGAAGCATTCTGAGAAACTTCTTTGTGGTGTGTTCATTCAACTCACAGTGTTGAAACTTTCTTTTAATTGAGCAGTTTTGAAACACTATTTTTGTACCATCTGTAAGTGGATATTTGGAGCAACTCGAGGCCTATGGTGGAAGAGGAAATATCTTCAAATAAAAATTGGACAGAAGCATTCTGATAAAGTATTTTGTGATGTATGCCTTCATCTCATGGTGTTGAATATTTCTTTTGATTCATCAGTTTTGAAACACTCTTTTTGAATAATCTGCAAGTGGATATTTTTAGCCATTGGTGGCCTACGGTGACAAAGGAAATATCTTCAGATAAAAACTGCACAGAATCATTCTGAGAAACTATTTTGTGATGTGGGCATTCATCTCACAGAGTTGAATATTTCTTTTGATTGGGCAGTTTTGAAAAACTCTTTTTATATAATCTACAAGTGGATATTTGAAGTGCTTTGAAGCCTATTGTGGAAAAGGAAATATCTTCACATAAAAACTACACAGAAGCATTCTGAGAAACTTCCTTGTGATGTGTGCATTTAACTCACAGAGTTGAACCTTTGTTTAGACAGCACAGCTTGGAAAAAGTGTTTTGTGATATCTTCAAATGGATATTTGGAGAGGTATGAGGCCTATTTTGGAAAAGGAAATATGTTCACATAAAAACTAGGCAGAAGCATTCTGGGAAACATCTTTGTGATGTGTGTATTCGTCTCACGTGGTTGAAACTTTCCTTTGGTTCAGCAGATAGGAAACACTCTTTTTGTAGAATCTGCAAGTGAATATTTGGAGCGCTTTGAGGCCTATGGTGGAAAGGAAGTATCTTCACATAAAAACTGGACAGAAGCATTCTGAGAAACTTCTTTGTGATGGGTGCGATCAGCTCACAGAGTTGAAAATTTCTTTTATTTCATTAGTTTTGAAACAGTCTTTTTGAAAAATCTGCAAGTGGATATTTGAGGTACTTGGAGGCCTACGGTGGAAAAGGAAATATCTTTACATAAAACCTGCACAGAAGCATTCTGGGTAACTTCTTTTGATGTGTACATTCAACTCACAGAGTTGAACCTTTCTTTTCATGAGCAGTTTTGAAATACTCTTTTTGTAGTATCTACAAGTAGATATTTGGAGCGCTTTGAGGCTTATTGTGGAAAAGGAAATATCTTCACACAAAAACTACACAGAAGCATTCTGGGAAACTTCTTTGTGATGTGTGCATTCATCCCACAGAGTTGAACCTTTCTTTTGATTGAGCAGTTTGGAAGCACCCTTTTTGTAGAATCTGCAAGTGGATGTTTGGAGCACTTTGAGGCCTATGGTGGAAAAGGAAATATCTTCACATAAGAACTACACAGAAGCATTCTGAGAAACATCTTTGGGTTGTGTGTGTTCAACTCACAGAGTTGAAACTATATTTTCAGTGAGCAGTTTTGAAACTCTCTTTTTGTAGAATCTACAAGTGGATATTTGGAGCCATTTTCGGCCTATGGTGGGAAAGGAAATATCTTCACATAAAAACTACACAGAAGCATTCTGAGAAACTTTTTTGTGAAGTGTGCATTCATCTCACAGAGTTAAAACTTTCGTTTGATTGAGCCCTTTCGAAACACGCTTTTTGTAGGATCTGCATGTGGATATTAGGATAGCTTTGTGGCCTATAGTGCATAACGAAATATCTTCATATAAAAACTAGACAGAAGCATTTTGAGAAACTTCTTTGTGATATGTGCATTCTTGTCACAGTGATGAACCTTTTTTTGGTTGAGCAGTTTTGAAACACTCTTTTTGTACAATCTGCAAGTGGATATTTGGAGCAATTTGAGGCCTATGGTGGAAAAGGAAATATGTTGAAATATAAATTAGACATAAGCATTATGAGAAAACTCTTTGTGATGTGTGCATTCATCTCACAGAGTTGAACTTTTCATTTGATTGAGCAGTTTGGAAACACTCTTTTGGTAGAATCTACAATTGGATATTTTGGGTGCTTTGAGGCCTATGTTGGAAAAGGAAATTTCTTCACATAAACACTACACAGAAGCATTCTGAGAAACTTCTTTGTGATGTTTGCATTCAATTCACAGAGTTGAACCTTTCTTTTATATTTATTTTTATTTTTATTTTTTATTTATTATTATTATACTTTAAGTTTTAGGGTGCATGTGCACATGGACACAGGAGGGGAACATCACACTCTGGGGACTGTTGTGGATTGGGGTGAGGGGGGAGGGATAGCATTGGGAGATATACCTAATGCTAGATGAACCTTTCTTTTTATTGAGTAGTTTAGAACCACTCTTTTTGTAGATTCTGCAAGTCGATATTTACAGCGTTTTGACGCCTATTGTGGAAAAGGAAATATCTTCACATAAAAACTAGACAGAAGCGTTCGGACAAACTTCTTTCTGATGTGTGCATTCATCACCCAGATTTGAAACTTTGTTTTCATTGATCAGTTTTGAAACACACTTTTTGTAGAATCTGCAAGTAGATATTATGTAGAGCTTTGGGGCTTATTTTGGAAAAGGAAATATCTTCACTTCAAAACTTCACAGAAGCATTCTGAGAAACTTCTTTCTGATGTGTCCATTCATCTCACAGGGTTGAACCAATGTTTTCATTGAGCAGTTTTGAAACACTCTTTTTGTAAAATCTGCAAGTGCATATTTGGAGCTCTTTGAGGCCTATGGTTTAAAAGGAAATATCTTCACATAAAAACTAGACAGAAGCATTCTGACGAACTTCTTGATTTTGTGTGCATTCAACTCACACAGTTGAACATATATTTTGATTTTACAGTTTTGAAACTTTGTTTTTGTAGATTCTGTAAGTGGATATTTGGAGGCTTTTTCAGCCTATGGTGGGAAAGGAAATGTCTTCACATAAAAACTATACAGAAGCATTCTGAGAAACTTATTTGTGATGTCTGCATTCATCTTAAAGAGTTGAATCTTTCTTTTGGTTGAACACTTTTTAAACACTCTTTTTATAAAATCTGCAAATGGATATTTAAAGCACTTTGAGTCCTATTGTGGAAAAGGAAATATCTTCACATAAAAAATAGACAGAAACATTCTGACAATCTTCTTCCTGATGTGTGCATTCATTTCACAGAGTTGAACCTTTGTTTTCATTGAGCAGTTTTGAAACCATCTTTGTGTAGAATCTGCAAGTGGATATTTGGATCCCTTTTCAGCCTATGGTGGGAAAGCAAATATCTTCACATAAAAACTACACAGAAGCATTCTGAGAAAATTCTTTGTGATGTGTGCATTCATCTCACAGAGGTGAAACTTTCTTTTGATGGAGCAGTTTTGAAACACTCTTTTTGTAGATTCTGCAAATGGATATTTGGAGCTCTCTGAGCCCCATTGTGGAAAAGGAAATGTCTTTACATAAAAAATAGGCTGAAGCATTCTGAGAAACTTCTTTGTGATGTTTGCGTTCAACTCACAGAGTTGAGTCTTTCGTTTGATTGAGCAGTTTTGAAACACTCTTTTTGTAGTTTATGAAATGGGATATTTGGAGCGCATTGAGGCCTATGGTGGAAAAGGAAATATCATCACAGAAAAACTGGACAGAAGCATTCTGACAAACTTCTTTCTAATGTGTCCATTCATCTCACAGAGTTGAACCTTTGTTTTCATTGAGAAGTTTTGACACACTGTTTTTGTAGAATCAGCATGAGGCTATTTGGAGGACTTTGAGACCTACAGTTGAAAAGAAAATATATTCACATAAAAACTAGACAGAAGCATTCTGAGAAACTTCTTTGTGATGTTTGCATTCATCTCATAGAGCTGAACCTCTTTTTTGATTGACCAGTTTTCAAACACTCTTTTTGTAGAATCTGCAAGTGGATATTTGGAGCACTTTGAGTCCTATGGTGGAAAAGGACATATCTTTACAGGAAAACTAGACAGAAGCATTCTCAGAAACGTCTTTTTGATGTGTGCATTCAACTCACAGGGTTGAAATTTTCTTTTCATTAAACAGTTTGGCAACACTCTTTTTGTAGTATCTGCAAATGGATATTTGGAGCGTTTTGAGGCCTCTAGTTGACAATGAAATATCTTCACATAAAAACTAGAAAGAAGGATTCTCAGAAACTACTTTGTGATGTGTGCGTTCATCTCACAGTGTTGGACCTTTCTTTTTTATTGAGCAGTTTTGAATCACTCTTTTTGTAGTATCTGCAAGAGGATATTTAGAGGGTTTTGAGACCTATGGTGGAAAAGGAATTACCTTCACATCAAAACTAGACAGAAGCATTCTTAGCACCTTCTTTGTGATGTGTGCATTGAACTTATGGAGTTGAACCTTTCTTTTGATTGAGCAGTTTGGAAACACTCCTTTTGTAGTATCTGCACATGGATATATGGAGTGCTTTGAGGCCTGTAGATGAAAAGTTAATATCTTCACATAAAAACTAGACAGAAGCATTCTGAGAAACTTCTTTGCGATGTGTACATTCATCTCACAGAGTTGAAACTTTCTTTTGATTGAGCAGTTTTGAGACACTCTTTTTGTAGAATCTGCAAGTGGATATTTGGAGCACTTTGAGATCTATGGTGGAGAGGAAATATCTTCACATAACAACTAAACAGAAGCATTCTCAGAAACTTCTTTGTGATGTGTGCATTCATCTCACAGAGTTGAACCTTTGTTTTTATTGAGCAGTTTGGAAACACTCTTTTTGTAATGTCTGCACATGGATTTTGGAGCACTTTTTTGCCTATAGTTGAAAAGGAAATATCTTCACATGAAAAGTAGACAGAAGCGGTCTGAGAAAATTCTTTGTGATGTGAGCATTCATTTTACAACGTTGAAACGTTCTTTTGATTGAGTAGTTTTGAAACACCCTTTTGTAGAATCTGCAAGTGGATATTTGTAGCGCTTTGAGGAATATGGTGGAAAAGGAAATATCTTCTCATGAAAACTAGTCAGAAGCATTCTCAGAAACTTATCTGTGATGTGTGCATTGAACTCACAGAGTTGAACTGTTCTTTTGATTGAGCACTTTGGAAAGACTCTTGTTGTTGTATTTGCAAATGGATATTTGGAGTGGTTTGAGGCCTATAGCTGACAAGTCAATATCTTCCCTTAAAAACTAGAAAGAAGCATTCTGAGAAACTTATTTGAGATGTGTGCACTGACTCATAGAGTTGAACCTTTCTTTTGATTGAGCAGATTTGAAACACTCTTTTTGTAGTATCTGCAAATGGATATTTGGGGCTCTTTGTGGCTTCTGATTTGTGCATTCACCTCACAGAGTTGAAACTGTCTTTGGAGTGAGCAGTTTGGAAACACTCTGTTTGTAGAATCTACAAGTGAATATTTGGAGTGCTTTGAGGCCTATGATGGAAAAGGAAATATCTCCACATAAAAACAAAAGAGAAGCATCCTCCAAAACTTCTTTGTGATGTGTGCATTCACCTCACAGAGTTGAGCCTTTCTTTTGAGTGATATGTTTGGAAACACTCATTTTGTACTATCTGCATATGAATATTTGGAGCACTTTGAGGCCTATAGTTGAAAAGGATATAACTTCACATAAAAACTGAACATAAGCATTCTGAGAAACTTCCTTGTGATGTGTGCATTCATCTCACAGAGTTGAACTTTTCTTTTCATCCAGCAGTTTTGAAACACTCTTTTTGTAGAATCTGCAAGTGGATATTTGGAGTGCTTTGAGGCCTATGGTGGAAAAGGAAATACCTTCACATAAAAACCAGACAGAAGCATTCTGAGAAACTTCTGTCTGATGTGTGCATTCATCTCACAGAGTTGAACCTTTCTTTGGAGTAAGCAGTTTGCAAAATCTCTTTTTCTAGTATCTGCAAATGGATATTTGGAGAGCTTTGAGGCCAGTAGTTGAAAAGGAAATATCTTCACATAGAAACTAGACAGAAGCATTGTGGGAAACTTCTTTGTGATGTGTGCATTCATCTCACAGAGTCGAAACTTTCTTTTGATTGAACAGTTTTGAAACACTCTCTTTGTAGAAACTGAAAGTGGATATTTTGAGTGCTTAGAGGCCTATGGTGAAAAAGGAAATATCTTCACACGAAAACGAGACAGAAGCATTCTCAGAAACTTCTTTGTGTTGTGTGCATTCAACTCACAGAGTTTAACCTTTATTTTGATTGAACAGTTTGGAAACACTCTTTTTGTAGTATCTGCAAATGGATATTTCGAGTGCTTTGAGACCTATAGCTGAAAAGGAAATATCTTCACATGAAAACTAGTCAGAAACATTCTGAGAAACTGCTTTGTGATGTATGCACTCATCTCACAGAGTTCAACCTTTCTTTTAATTGAGTAGTTTTGAAATATTTTTTTTGTAGAATCTGCAGGTGGATATTTGGAGTACTTTGAGGCCTGTGGTGGAAAAGAAAATATCTTCAATAAAAACTAGACAGAAACATTCTCAGCAACTTCTTTGTGATGTGTGCATTCAAATCACATACTTGAAAATTTCTTTTGTTGAGTAGTTTGGAAACTCTCTTTTTGTTGTATCTCCAATGGATATTTGGAGCCCTTTGAGTCTTATATTTGAAAAGAAAATTTTGTTGGGAAGCCAAGATGGCCGAATAGGAGGAGCTCCCATCTTCAGCTCCCAGCATGAGTTACACAGAAGACAATTGATTTCTGCATTTCCATCTGAGGTACCGGGTTCATCTCACTAGGGAGTGCCAGACAGTGGGTGCAGGACAGTGGGTGCAGTGCAATGTGCATAAGCCAATGCAGGGCAAGGCATTGCCTCACTCAGTAATCACAAGGGGTGAGGGAGTTCCCTTTCCTAGTCAAAGAAAGGGTGAAAGCCCACACTTGGAAATTCATGTCACTCCCACCCTAATACTGCACTTTCCCAACGGGCTTAAAAAAGGGCATACCCGGAGATTATATCCCGCACCTGGCTTGGAGGGTCCTATGCCCACAGAGGCTCACTGATTGCTAGCACAGCTGTCTGAGATCAAACCGCAAGGTGGCAGTGAGGATGGGGGAGGGACATCCGCCCTTGCCCAGGCTTGCTTATGTAAACAAAGCAGCCAGGAAGCTCTAACTGGGTGGAGCCCACCACAGCTCAAGGGGCCTGCCTGCCTCTGTAGGCTCAACCTCTGGGGGCAGGGCACAGACAAACAAAAAGACAGCAGTAACCTCTGCAGACTTAAATGTCCATGTCTGACAGATTTGAAGACAGCTGTGGTTCTCCCAGCATGCAGTTGGAGATCTGAGAAAGGTCAGTCTGCCTCTTCAAGTGGGTCTCTGGTCCCTGACCCCCAAGCAGCCTAAGTAGGAGGCATGTCCCAGTAGGGGTAGACTGACATCTCACACGGCCGCGTACTCTTCTGAGACAAAACTTCCAGATGAATTTTCAGACAGCAGCATTCACGGTTCATGAAAATCCACTGTTCTGCAGCCACCTCTGCTGCTACCCAGGCAAACAGGATCTGGAGGGGACCTCTAGGAAACTCCAACAGACCTGCAGCTTAGGGTCCTGTCTGTTAGAAGGAAAACTAACAAACAAAAAGGACATTCACAAGAAAAACCCATCTGTACATCATCACCATCATCAAAGACCGAAAGTAGATGAAACCAAAAAGACGGGAAAAAAACAGAGCAGAAAAACTGGAAACTCTAAAAAGAAGCATGCCTCTCCTCCTAAAAAGGAATGCAGTTCCTCACCAGCAACAGACCAAACATGGATGGAGGATGACTTTGATGAGTTGAGAGAAGAAGGCTTCAGACGATCAAAGATTTCAGATGATCAAACAATCAAACAGAGCTACAGGAGGAAATTCAAACCAAAGCCAAAGAAGTTAAAAACTTTGAAAAAAATTTAGACAAATGTACAACTAGAATAAAAAATACAGAGAAGTGCTTAAAGGAGCTGATGGAGCTGAAAGGCAAGGCTCAAGAACTATGTGAAGAATGCAGAAGCCTCAGGAGCTGATGTGATCAACTGGAAGAGAGGGTATCAGTGATGGAAGATGAAATATATGAAATGAAGTGAGAAGGGAAGTTTAGAGAAAAAAGAATAAATAGAAATGAGCAAAGGTTCCAAGAAATATGGGACTATGTGAAAAGACCAAATCTACGTCTGATTGGTGTACCTGAAAATGACGGGGTGAATGGAACCAAGTTGGTCAACACTCTGCAGAATATTATCCAGGAGAACTTCCCTAAGCTAGCAAGGCAGGCCAACATTCACATTCAGGAAATACGGAGAACACCACAAATATATTTCTCGGGAAGAGCAACTCCAAGACAAATAATTGTCAGATTCACCAAATTTGAAATGAAGGAAAAAGTCTTAACGGCAGCCAGAGATAGGTCGGGTCACCCACAAAGGTAAGCCCATCAGACTAACAACGGATCTCTCCGCAGAAACTCTACAAGCCAGAAGAGAGTGGGGGCCAATATTCAACAGTCTTAAATAAAGAATTTCCAACACAGAATTTCATATCCAGCCAAACTAAGCTTCATAAGTGAAGGAGAAATAAAATACTTTATAGACAAGAAAATGCTGAGAGATTTTGTCACCACCAGCCCTGCCCTAAAAGAGCTCCTGAAGGAGGCACTAAAAGTGAAAAGGAACAACCGGTACCAGCCACTGCAAAATCATGCCAAAATATAGAGACCATCAAGACTAGGAAGAACCTGCATCAACTAACGAGCAAAATAACCAGCTAACATCAGAATGACAGCATTGAATTCACACATAACAATATTAACTTTAAATGTAAATGGACTAAATGCTCCAATTAAAAGACACAGACTGGCAAATTGGATAAAGAGTCAAGGACTATCAGTGTGCTGTATTCAGAAAACCCATCTCACATGCAGAGACACACATAGGCTCAAAATGAAAGGATGGAGGAAGATCTACCAAGAACATGGAAAACAAAAAATGGCAGGGGTTGGAATCCTAGTCTCTGATAAAACAGACTTTAAACCAACAAAGATCAAAAGAGACAAAGAAGGCCATTGCATAATGGTAAAGGGATCAATTCAACAAGAAAAGCTAACTATCCTAAATATATATGCATCCAATACAGGAGCACCCAGATTCATAAAGCAAGTCCTGAGTGACCTACAAAGAGACTTAGACTCCCACACAATAATAATGGGAGAATTTAACATCCCACTGTCAACATTACAAGATCAAGGAGACAGAAAGTTAACAAGTGTACCCAGGAATTGAACTCAGCTCTGCACCAAGCAGACCTAATAGACATCTACAGAACTCTCCACCACAAATCAACAGAATATACATTCTTTTCAGCACCACACCATACCTATTCCAAAATTGACCACATAGTTGGAAGTAAAGCTCCCCTCAGCAAATGTAAAAGAACAGAAATTATAACAAACTGTCTCTCAGACCACAGTGCAATCAAACTAGAACTCAGGATTAAGAAACTCACTCAAAACCACTCAACTACATGGAAACTGAACAACCCGCTCCTGATTGACTACTAGGTACATAATGAAATGAAGGCAGAAATAAAGACGTTCTTTGAAACCAATGAGAACAAAGACACAACATACCAGAATCTCTGGGACACATTCAAAGCAGTGTGTAGAGGGAAATTTACAGCACTAAATGCCCACAAGAGAAAGCAGGAAAGATCCAAAATTGACACTCTAAAATCACAATTAGAAGAACCAGAAAAGCAAGAGCAAACAAATTCAAAAGCTGGCAGAAGGCAAGAAATAACTAAAATCAGAGCAGAACTGAAGGAAATAGAGACACAAAAAAACCCTTCAAAAAATTAATGAATCCAGGAGCTGGTTTTTTGAAAGGATCAACAAAATTGATAGACTGCTAGCAAGACTAATAAAGAAAAAAAGACAGAAGAATCAAATATATGCAATAAAAAATGATAGACGGAGTATCACCACTGATCCAACAAAAATACAAACTACCTTAAGAGAAAACTACAAACACCTCTACACAAATAAACTAGAAAATCTAGAAGAAATGGATAAATTCCTCCACACATACACCCTCCCAACACTAAACCAGGGAGAAGTAGAGTCTCTGAATAGATCAATAACAGGCTCTGAAATTGTGGCAATAATCAATAGCTTACTAACCAAAAAGAGTCCAGGTCCAGATGGATTCACAGCCGAATTTTACCAAAGGTACAAGGAGGAACTGGTACCATTCCTTCTGAAACTATTCCAATAAATAGAAAAGGGGGGAATCCTCCCTAACTCATTTTATCAGGCCAGTATCATCCTGATACCAAAGACGGGCAGAGACACAACCAAAAAGGAGAATTTTAGACCAATATCTTTGATGAACATTGATGCAAAAATCCTAAATAAAAGACTGGCAAACAAAATCCAACAGCACATCAAAAAGCTTATCCAACATGATCAAGTGGGATTCAACCCTGGGATGCAAGGCTGGTTCAATATATGCAAATCAATAAATGTAATACAGCATATAAACAGAACCAAAGACAAAAACCACATGATTATCTCAATAGATTCAGAAAAGGTCTTTGACAAAATTCAACAACCCTTCATGCTAAAAACTCTCAATAAATTAAGTATTGATAGGACGTCTCTCAAAATAATAAGAGTTATCTATGACCAATCCACAGCCAATATCATACTGAATGGGCAAAAACTGGAAGCATTCCCTTTGAAAACTGGCACAAGACAGGGATGCCTTCTCTCACCACTCCTATTCAACATAGGGTTGGAAGTTCTGGCCAGGGCAATTAGGCAGGAGAATGATATAAAGGGTATTCAATTAGGAAAAGAGGAAGTCAAATTGTCCCTGTTTGCAGATGACATGATTGTATATCTAGAAAACCTCACTGTCTCAGCCCAAAATCTCCTTAAGCTGATAAGCAACTTCAGCAAAGTCTCAGGATACAAAATATATGTACAAAAATCACAAGCATTCTTACACACCAATAACCGACAAACAGAGAGCCAAATCATGAATGAACTCCTACTCACAATTGCTTCAAAGAGAATAAAATACCTAGGAATCCATCTTACAAGGGTTATGAAGGACCTCTTCAAGGAGAACTACAAACCACTGCTCAAGGAAATAAAAGAGGATACAAAGAAATGGAAGAACATTCCATGCTCATGGGTAGGAAGAATCAATATCGTGAAAATGGTGATACTGCCCAAGGTAATTTATAGATTCAATGCCATCCCCATCAAGCTACCAATGACTTTCTTCACAGAATTGGAAAAAAAATAAAGTTCGTGTGGATCCTAAACAGAGCCTGCATTGCCAAGTCTATCCTAAGCCAGAAGAACAAAGCTGGAGGCATTACGCTACCTGACTTCAAACTATACTACAAAGCTACAATAATGAAAACAGCATGGTACTGGTATCAAAACAGAGATGTAGATCAAGGGAACAGAACAGAGTTCTCAGAAATAACACCGTTTATCTACAACTATCTGATCTTCACAAACCTGAGAAAAACAAGCAATGGGGAAAGGATTCCCTATTTAATAAATGGTGCTGGGAAAACTGGCTAGCCATATGTAGAAAGCTGAAACTGGATAACTTCTTTATACCTTATACAAAAATTAATTCAAGCTGGATCAAATACTTAAACATTAGACCTAAAAGCATAAAAACCCTAGAAGAAAACTTAGGCATTACCATTCAAGACAGAGGCATGGGCAAGGACTTCATGTGTAAAACACCAAAAGCAATGGCAACAAAAGACAAAATTGACAAATGGAAACTAGTTAAACTAAAGATCTTCTGCACATCAAAAGAAACTATCATCAGAGTGAACAGGCAACCTAGAAAATGGGAGAACATTTTTGCAACCTACTCATCTGACAAAGGGCTAATATCCAGAATCTACAATGAATTCAAACAAATTTACAAGAAAAAAACAAACAACCCCATCAAAAAGTGGGTGAGGGACATGAACAGACACTTCTCAAAAGAAGACATTTATGCAGCCAAAAAACACATGGAAAAATGCTCATCATCACTGGCCATCAGAGAAATGCAAATCAAAACCACAATGAGATACCATCTCACACCAATTAGAATGGCAATCATTAAAAAGTCAGGAAACAACAGGTGCTGGAGAGGATGTGGAGGAATAGGAACACTTTTACACTGTTGGTGGGACTGTAAACTAGTTCAACCATTGTGGAAATCAGTGTGGCGATTCCTCAGGGATCTAGAACTAGAAATACAATTTGACCCAGCCATCCCTTTACTGGGTATATAACCAAAGGACTAGAAATCATGCTGCTATAAGACATACGCACACGTATGTTTATTGCGGCACTATTCACAACAGCAAAGACTTGGATCCAACACAAATGTCCAACAATGATAGCCTGGACTAAGAAAATGTGGCACATATACATCATGGAATAATACGCAGCCATAAAAAATGATGAGTTCATGTCCTTTGTAGGGACATGGATGAAATTGGAAATCATCATTCTCAATAAACTATCTCAAGGACAAAAAACCAAACACCACATGTTCTCACTCATAGGTGGAAATTGAACAATGAGAACACATGGACACAGGAAGGGGAATATCACACTCTGGGGACGGTTGTGGGGTGAGGGGAGAGGGGAAGGATAACGTTAGGAGATATATCTAATGCTAAATGACGAGTTAATAGGCACAGCAAACCAGCACGACACATGTACACATATGTAACTAACCTGCACATTATTCACATGTACCCTAAAACTTAAAGTATAATAATAATAAAATAAAATAAAGGAAATATCTTCACATAAAAACTAGACAAAAATATTCTGAGAAACTTCTTTGTGATGTGTGATTTCATCTCAGAGTTGAACCTTTCTTTTGATTGAGTTGTTTTGAAACACTCTTTTTGTAGAATCTGCAAGAGGATATTTGGAGTGCTTTCAGGTCTATGGTGGAAAAGTAAATATCTTCACACAAATACAAGACAGAAATATTCACAGAAACTTCTTTGTGATGTGTGAATTCAACTCACACAGTTGAACCTTTCTTTTGATTGAGCAGTTTGTGAACAATCTTTTTGAAGTATCTGTAAATACATATTAGGAGAGCTTTGAGGCCTACAGTTGAAAAGGAAATATCCTCACATAGAAACTTGACAGAAGCATTCTGAGAAACTTCTTTCTGATGTGTGCATTCGTCTCACAGAGTTGAAGCTTTCTTTAGATTGAGCAGTTCTGAAACACTATTTTTGTGGAATCTGCAAGTGGATATTTGGAGTGATTAGAGGCATATGGTGGAAAAGGAAATATGTTCACATAAAAACTAGACACAAGCATTCTCAGAAACTTATTTGTGATGTGTGCATGCAACTCACAGAGTTGAACCTTTCTTTTGATTGAGAAGTTTGGAAACACTTTTTTTGTAGTATCTCCAAATGGATATTTGGAGCGTTTTGAGTCCTATGGTGGGAAAGGAAATATCTTCACATAAAAACTAGACTGAAGCATTCTCAAAAACTTCTTTGTGATGGGTGCATTCAACTCACAGAATTGAAGCTTTCTTTTGATTGCATAGTTTAGAAACACTCTTTTTGTAGTATCTGCAAATGTACATTTGGAGTGCTTTGAGGCCTATAGTTGAAAAGGAAATATTTTCACGTAAAAACTAGACAGAAGCATTCTGGGAAACTTCTTTGTGATGTGTGCATTCATCTCACAGAGGTGAACCTTTCTTTTGAATGAGCAGTTTTGAAGCGCTCTTTTTGGAGAATCTGCAAGTGGATATTTTGTGCACTTTGAGACCTACGGTAGAAAAGGAAATATCTTCACTTAACAACTAGACAGAAGCATTCTTATAAACTTCTTTGTGATGTGTGCATTCAACTAACAGAGTTGAACCTTTCTTTTGATTGAGCAGTTTGGAAACACTCTTTTTGTAGTATCTGCAAATGGATATCTGGAGCGCTTTGAAGGTAATTCTTGAAAAGGAAATATCTTCACATAAAAACTAGACAGAAGCATTCTGAGAAACTTTTTGTGATGTGTGCATTCATCTCACAGAGTTGAACCTTTCTTTTGATTGAGCAGTCTTGAAACACTCTTATGGAAGAATCCGTATGTGGATATTTGAAGCCTATGGTGAAAAGGAGATATCTTCACTTAATACTAGACAGAAGCATTCTGAGAAACTTCTTTGTGATGTGTGCATTCATCTCATGGAGTTGAATCTTTCTTTGGACTGATCAGTTTTGAAAAACTCTTTTTTCAGAATCTGCAAGTGGATATTTCGAGGGCTTTGAGGCCTAAGGTGGAAAAGTAAATATCTTCACATAAAAACTAGACAAAAGCATTCTGAGCAACTTCTTTGTGATCTGTGCATTCATCTCACAGAGTTGAAAATTTCATTGAGCAGTTTTGAAACACTCTTTTTGTATAATATGCAAATGGATATTTGGAGAGCTTTGAGGCTTATAGCTGAAAAGCAAATATCTTCACATGAAAACTAGACAGAAGGATTCTGAGAAACTACTTTATGTTGTATGCATTCATCTCACAGAGTTGAAACTTTCTTTTGATTGAGCAGTTTGGAAACGCTCTTTTGTAGTATCAGTAAATGGGTAATTTGAGTGCTTTGGGGCCTATGGTGGAAAAAGAAATATCTTCACATAAAAAATAGGCAGAAACAGTCTGAGAAATTTCATTTTTATGGGTGCATTCAACTCACAGAGTTGAGCCTTTCTTTTGATTGAGCAGTCTGGAAACACTATTTTTGTAGTATGTACAAATGGATATTTAGAGTGCTTTCAGGCCTGTAGTTGAAAAGGAAATAACTTCACACAAAAACTAGACAGAAGGATTCTGAGAAATTTCTTTGTGATGTGTGCATTAGGCTCACAGAGTTGAACGTTTCTTTTGAATGAGCATTTTTGAAACACTCTTTTTGTAGAATCTGCAAGTGGATATTTGGAGTGCTTCGTGGCCTATGGTGGAAAAGGAAATATCTTCACATAACAAATAGACAGAAACATTCTCAGAAAACTGTTTGTGATGTGTGCATTCAGCTCACAGATTTCAAACTTTCTTTGATTGAGCAGTTTGAAAACACTCTTTCTGTAGTATCTGCAAATGTATATTTTGAGTGCTTTGAGACCTATAGTTGAAAAGAAATATCTTCACTTAATGACGAAACAGAAGTTTTCTGAGAAACTTCTTTGTGATGTGTGCATTCAACACACAGAGTTGAACCTTTCTTTTAATTGAGCAGTTGTGAAACACTTTTTTGTAGAACCTACAAGTGGATAGTTGGAGTGCTCTGAGGCCTAGAGTTGAAAGGCAATATCGTCACAGAAAAACTAGGCAGAAGCATTCACAGAAACTTTTTTGTGATGTGTGCATTCAACTCACAAATTTGAATATTTCTTTTGATTGAGCACTTTTGAAACACTTTTTGTAGTATCTGCAAATGGATATTTGGAGCGTTTCGAGGCCTATAGTTGAAAAGGAAATATCGTCACATAAAAACAAGACAGAAGCATTCTGAGGAACTTCTTCGTGATGTGTGCATTCATCTCAAAGAGTTCAACCTTTCTTTGGATTGAGCAGTTTGGAAACACTCTTTTTGTTGAATCTGCAAGTTGATATTTGGAGCACTTTCAGGCCTATGGTGGAAAAGGAAGTATCTTCACATAAAACTATACAGAAGCATTCTCAGAAACTTTGTAGTGATGTGCTCATTCAATTCACAGAGTTGAATCTTTCTTTTGATTCACCAGCCTGGAAACACTCTTTTTGAAGTATCTGCAAATGGATATTGGGAGCACTTTGAGGCCTGTAGTTGAAAAGGTAAAATCTTCAAATAAAAACTAGACAGAAGCATTCTGAGAAACTTCTTTATGATGTGTACCTTCATCTCACAGAGTTGAACCTTTCTTTTGATTGAGCAATTTAGAAACACTCTTTTTGTACTATCTGCAAATGGATATTTGGAGTGCTTTGAGGGCTATGGAGGAAAAGGAAAGATCTTCACATAAAAACTAGACAGAAGAATTCTCAGAAACTTCTTTATGATGTGTGCACTCATCTCACAGAGTTGAACCTTTCTTTTGATTGAGCCATTTCGAAACACTCTTTAGTATGATCTGCAAATGCATATTTAGGGTGCTTTGAGGCCTGTAGTTGAAAAGAAAATATCTTCACACAAAAAATAGACAGAAGTATTCTCAGAAACTTCTTTGTGATGTGTGCATTCATCTCACAGAGTTGAAGCTTTCTTTTGATTGAGCAGTTTTGAAACACTCTTTTTGTAGAATATGCAAGTGGATACTTGGAGCGCTTTGAGACATATGGTGGAAAAGGAAATATTTTCACATAAAAACTTGACAGAAGCATCCTCAGAAACGTCTTTGGAATCGGTGCATTCAACTTACAGACGTTTCTCTTGATTAGCAGTTTGGAAACACTCTTTTTGTAGTATCTGCAAATGGATATTTGGAGCGCTATGAGGCCTATGGTGGAAAAGGAAATATCTTCACATAAAAACTAGACAGAAGCATTCTGAGAAACTTCCTTGTGATATGTGCATTCATCTCAAAGGTTTGAACCTTTCTTTTGATTGAGAAGTTTTGAGACACTCTTTTTGTAGAATCTGCAAGTGGTTATTTGCAGCACTTTGAGGCCTATGGTGGAAAAGGAAATATCTTCACATAAAAACTAGACAGAAGCATTCTCAGAAACTTCTTTGTGATGTTTGCATTCAACTCACAGAGTTGAACTTTTCTTTTGATTGAGCAGTTTGGAAACACACATTTTGACGTATCTGAAAATGCATATTTGGAGCACTTTGAGCCCTTTAGTTGACAAGGATATATCTTCACATAAATTCTAGACAGAAGCATTGTGAGAAACTTCCTTGTGATGTTTGCATTCAACTCACAGAGGTGAAGATTTCTTTTGATTGGGTAGTTTTGAAACACTCTTTTTGTGGAATCTGCAAGTGGATATTTACAGCACTTTGAGGTCTATGGTGGAAAAGGAAATATCTTCACATAAAAACTATACAGAAGCATTCTCAGAAACTTCTTTCTGATGTGTGCATTCAACTCACTGAGTTGAACCTTTCTTTTGATTGAACAGTTTTGAAACACTCTTTTTGTAGTACCTGCAAATGGATATTTAGAGCGATTTGAGGCCTGTGGTGGAAGAGGAAATATCCTCGCATAAAAACTAGACCGAAGCATTCTCAGAAACTTCTTTGTGATGCTTGCATTCAACTCACAGAGTTGAGCTTCCTTTTGATTGAGCAGTTTGCAAAGAATCTTTTTGTAGTATCTGCAAATGCATATTTGGAGCGTCTTGAGGTCTATGGCTGTAAAGGAAATATCTTCACATAAAAACTAGACAGAAGCCTTCTGAGAAACTTCTTTGTGATGTGTGCATTCATTTCACACAGTTGAACTTTTCTTTTTTTTTAAATTTTATTATTATTACACTTTTTGTTTTAGGGTACTTGTGCCCAATGTGCAGGTTTGTTACATATGTATTCATGTGCCATGTGGGGGTTCTACACCCATTAACTCGTTATTTAACATTATGTATATTTCCTAATTCTATCCCTCCCCACTCCACTCACCCAACAACAGTCTTCAGAGTGTGATGTTCCCCTTCCTGTGTCCATGTGTTCTCATTGTTCAATTTTCACCTATGAGTGAGAACATGCGGTATTACTTTTTTTGTCCTTGTGATAGTTTGCTGAGAATGATGGTTTCCAATTTCATCCATGTCCTTACAAAGGACATGAACTCATCATTTTTTATGGCTGCATAGTATTCCATGGTGTATATGTGCCACATTTTCTTAATCCAGTCTATAGTTGTTGGACCTCTCAGTTGGTTCCAAGTCTTTTCTATTGTGAATAGTGCTGCAATAAACATACATGGGCATGTGTCTTTATAGCAACATGATTTATAATCCTTTGGGTATACACCCAGTAATGGGATGGCTGGGTCAAATGGTATTTCTAGTTCTAGATCCCTGAGGAATCGTGACACTGACTTCCACAATGGTTGAACGAGTTTACGTCCCACCAACAGTGTAAAAGTGCTCCTATTTCTCCACATCCTCTCCAGCACCTGTTGTTTCCTGACTTTTTAATGATTGACATTCTAACTGGTGTGAAATGTTATCTCATTGTGGTTTTCGTTTGCATTTCTTTGATGGCCAGTGATGGTGAGCCTTGTTTCATGTTTTTTTTTTTTTTTTGGCTGCATAAATATCTTCTTTTCAGAAGTGTTTGTTCATGTCCTTCGTCCACTTTTTGATGGTGTTGTTGTTTTTTTCTTATAAATTTGTTTGAGTTCATCAAAGATTCTGGATATTATCCCTTTGTCAGATGAGTAGGTTGTGAAAATTTTCTCCCATTTTCTAGGTTGCCTGTTCACTCTGATGGTGGTTTCTTTTGCTGTGCAGAAGCTCTTGAGTTTAATTAGATCCCATTTGTCAATTTTGGCTTTTGTTGCCATTGCTTTTGGCGTTTTAGATATGAAGCCCTAGCCCATGCCTATGACCTCAATGGTATTGCCTAGGTGTTCTTCTAGGGTTTTTATGGTTTTAGGTCAACATGTAAATCTTTAACCCAACTTGAATAAATTTTTGTGTAAGGTGTAAGGAAGGGATCCAGTTTCAGCTTTCTACATATGGCTAGCCAGTTTTCCCTGCACCATTTCATTGTGCAGATTTGAAACACACTTTTTCTACAGTCTGCAAGAGGATAGTTGTAATACTTTGATGCCTATGGAGGAAAAGGAAATATCTTCACACAAAAACTACACAGAAGCATTCTCAGAAACTTCTTTGTGACGTGTGAATACAAATCACAAAGTTGAAACATTCTTTTGATTGAGCAGTTTGGAAACACTCTTTCTTTTGGTAGTATCTGCAAATGGATATTTGGAGTGTTTTGAGGCCTATAGTTGAAAAGGAAGTATCCTCACATAAAAACTAGACAGAAACATTCTGAGAAACTACTTTGTGATGTGTACATTCATCTCACAGAGTTGAATGTTTCTTTTGATTGAGCAGTTTTGAAACACACTTTTTGTAGAATCTGAAAGTGGATATTTGGATCGTTTTGAGGCCTATGGTGGAAAAGGAAGTATCTTCACATAAAAACTAGGTAGGAGCATTCTCAGAAACTTCTTTTGATGTGTGCATTCAACTCACAGAGTTGAACTTTTCTTTTCATTGAGCAGTTTTGAAACCCTCCTTTTGTGGTATCTCCAAGTGGATATTGGGACTGCTTTCAGGCCTATAGTTCAAAAAGAAGTATCTTCAAATAAAGACTAGATAGAAACATTCTCAGAAACCACTTTATGTTGTGTGCATTCAGTTAACAGAGTTTAACCATTCTTTTGATTGAGCAGTTTTGAAACACTATTTTGTAGTATCTGCAAATTGATATTTGCAGTGCTTTGAGGCCTAGAGCTGTAAGTAAATATCTTCACATAAAAACTAGACAGAAGCATTCTCAGAAAGTTTTTGTGATCTGTGCATTCATTTCACAGAGTTGAACTTTTCTTTTGATTCAGCACTTTTGAAGCACTCTTTATGTGGAATCTGTAAATAGATATTTGAAGTGCTTTGAGGTCTATAGTTGAAAAGGAAATATCATCACATAAAAACTAGACAGAAGGATTCTGAGAAACTTCCTTGTGATGTGTGCATTCATCTCACAGAATTGAACCTTTCTTTTGATTGAGCTGTTTTAAAACACTCTTCTTGTAGTATCTGCAAATGGATGTTTGGAGTGCTTAGAGGCCTATAGTTGAAAAGGAAATAACTACCCCTAAAAACTAGACAGAAGCATTCTGAGAAACAACTTTGTGATGTGTGCATTCATCTTACAGAGTTGAACCTTTGTTTTCATTAAGCAGCTTTGAAACAACTCTTTTTGTTCAATCTGCAAGTGAATATTTGTAGCTCTTTGAGGCCTTTGGTGGAAAAGGAAATATCTTCACAGAAAAGCTAGACAGAAACATTCTCGGAAACTTCTTTGTGAAGTGTCCATTCAACTCACAGAGTTGAAACTTTCTATTGATTGAGCTGTTTGAAAAAAATCTTTTTGTAGTTTCTGCAAATGGATTGTTGGAGCGCTTTGAGGCCTATTGCTGAAATGGAGATGTCTTCACATAAAAAATAGACAGAAGCATTCTGAGAAACTTCTTTGGGATGTGTGCATTCATCTCACAGAGTTGAACCTTTCTTTTGAATGAGGAGTTTTTTTTATTATACTTTAAGTTTTATGGTACATGTGCACAATGTGCAGGTTAGTTACATATGTATACATGTGCCATGCTGGTGCGCTGCACCCATTAACTCGTCATCTAGCATTAGGTATATCTCCCAAAGCTATCCCTCCCCCCTCCACCCACCCCACAACAGGTCCCAGAGTGTGATGTTCCCCTTCCTGTGTCCATGTGTTCTCATTGTTCAATTCCCACCTATGTCCTTGCCCATGCCTATGTCCTGAATGGTATTGCCTAGGTTTTCTTCTAGGGTTTTTATGGTTTTAGGTCTAACATTTAAGTCTTTAATCCATCTTGAATTGATTTTTGTATAAGGTGTAAGGAAGGGATCCAGTTTCAGCTTTCTACATATGGCTAACCAGTTTTCCCAGCACCATTTATTAAATAGGGAATCCTTTCCCCATTGCTTGTTTTTCTCAGGTTTATCAAAGATCAGATACTTGCAGATATGTGGCATTATTTCTGAGGGCTCTGTTCTGTTCCATTGATCTATATCTCTGTTTTGATACCAGTACCATGCTGTTTTGGTAACTGTAGCCTTGTAGTATAATTTGAAGTCAGGTAGTATGATGCCTCAAGCTTTGTTCTTTTGGCTTAGGATTGACTTGGTGATGTGGGCACTTTTTTGGTTCCATATGAACTTTAAAGTAGTTTTTTCCATTCTGTGAAGAAAGTCATTGGTAGCTTGATGGGGATGACATTGAATCTGTAAATTACCTTGAGCAGTATGGCCATTTTCACAATATTGATTCTCCCTACCCATGAGCATGGAATGTTCTTCCATTTGTTTGTATCCTCTTTTATTTCCTTGAGCTGTGGTTTGTAGTTCTCCTTGAAGAGGTCCTTCACATCCCTTGAAAGTTGGATTCCTAGGCATTTTATTCTCTTTGAAGCAATTGTGAATGGGAGGTAACTCATGTATTTGATCTCTGTTTGTCTGTTGTTGGTGTATAAGAATGCTTGAATTTTTGTACATTGATTTTGTATCCTGAGACTTTGCTGAAGTTGCTTATCAGCTTAAGGAGATTTTGGGCTGAGACAATGGGTTTTCTAGATATACAAGCATGTCGTCTGCAAACACGGACAATTTGACTTCCTATTTTCCTAATTGAATACCCTTTATTTCTTTCTCCTGCCTAATTGCCCTGGCCAGAACTTCCAACACTATGTTGAATAAGAGTGGTGAGAGAGGGCATCCCTGTCTTGTGCCAGGTTTCAAAGGGAATGTTTCCAGTTTTTGCCCATTCAGTATGATATTGGCTGTGGGTTTGTCATAGATAGCTTTTATTATTTTGAGATACATCACATCAATACCTAATTTATTGAGAGTTTTTAACATGAATGGTTGTTGAATTTTGTCAAAGGCCTTTCCTGAATCTATTGAGATAATCATGAGGCTTTTGTCTTTGGTTCTGTTTATATGCTGGATTACATTTATTGATTTGTGTATATTGAATCAGCCTTGCATCTCAGGGATGAAACACTTGATCATGTTGGATAAGCTTTTTGATGTGCTGCTGGATTCGGTTTGCCAGTATTTTATTGAGGATTTTTGCATCAATGTTCATCAAGGATATTGGTCTAAAATTCTCCTTTTTGGTTGTGTCTCTGCCCGTCTTTGGTATCAGGGTGATGCTGGCCTCATAAAAGGAGTTAGGGAGGATTCCCTCTTTTTCTATTGATTGGAATAGTTTCAGAAGGAATGGTACCAGTTCCTCCTTGTGCCTCTGGTAGAATTCGGCTGTGAATCCATCTGGTCCTGGAGTCTTTTTGGTTGGTAAGCTATTGATTATTGCCACAATTTCAGAGCCTGTTATTAGTCTATTCAGAGATTCAATTTCTTCCTGGTGTAGTCTTGGGAAAGTGCATGTGTCGAGGAATTTATCCATTTCTTCTAGATTTTCTAGTTTATTTGCGTAGAGGTGTTTGTAGTATTCTCTGATGCTAGTTTGTTTTACTGTGGGATTGGTGGTGATATCCCCTTTATCATTTTTTATTACATCTAGTTGTTTCTTCTCTCTTTTTTTCTTTATTAGTCTTGCTAGCGGTCTATCAATTTTGTTGATCCTTTCAAAAAAACAGCTCCTGGATTCATTAGTTTTTTGAAGGGTTTTTTGTGTCTCTATTTCCTTCAGTTCTGTTCTGATTTTAGTTATGTCTTGCCTTCTGCTAGCTTTTGAATGTGTTTGCTCTTGCTTTTCTAGTCCTTTTAATTGTGATGTTAGGGTGTCAATTTTGGATCTTTCCTGCTTTCTCTTGTGGGCATTTAGTGCTATAAATTTCCGTCTACACACTGCTTTGAATGTGTCCCAGAGATTCTGGTATGTTGTGTGTTTGTTCTCGCTGGTTTCAAAGAACATCTTTGTTTCTGCCTTCATTTCGTTATGTACCCAGTAGTCATTAAGGAGCAGGTTGTTCAGTTTCCATGTAGTTGAGTGGTTTTCAGTGAGATTCTAAATCCTGAGTTCTAGTTTGATTGCACTGTGGTCTGAGAGATAGTTTGTTATAATTTCTGTTCTTTTACATTTGCTGAGGAGAGCTTTACTTCCAACTATGTGGTCAATTTTGGAATAGGTGTGGTGTGGTGCTGAAGAAAATGTATATTCTGTTCAATTGGGGTGGAGAGTTCTGTAGATGTCTATTAGGTCCGCTTGGTACAGAGCTGAGTTCAATTCCTGGGTATCCTTGCTGACTTTCTGTCTCACTGATCTTCTAATGTTGACAGTGGGGTGTTAAAGTCTCCCATTATTAATGTGTAGGAGTCTAAGTCTCTTGTAGGTCACTCAGGACTTGCTTTATGAATCTGTGCGCTCCTGTATTGGGTGCATATATATTTAGGATAGTTAGCTCTTCTTGTTGAATTGATCCCTTTACCATTATGTAATGGCCTTCTTGGTCTCTTTTCATCTTTGTTGGTTTAAAGTCTGTTTTATCAGAGACTAGGATTGCAACCCCTGCCATTTTTTGTTTTCCATTTTCTTGGTAGATCTTCCTCCATTCTTTTATTTTGAGCCTATGTGTGTCTCTGCACATGAGATGGGTTTCCTGAATACAGCACACTGATGGGTCTTGACTCTTTATCCAATTTGCTAGTCTGTGTCTTTTAATTGGAGAATTTAGTCCATTTACATTTAAAGTTAATATTGTTATGTGTGAATTTGATCCTGTCATTATGATGTTAGCTGGTTATTTTGCTCGTTAGTTGATGCAGTTTCTTCCTAGTCTCCATGGTCTTTACATTTTGGTGTGATTTTGAAGCAGCTGGTACTTGTTGTTGCTTTCCATGTTTAGTGCTTCCTTCAGGAGCTCTTCTAGGGCAGGCCTGGTGGTGACAAAATCTCTCAGCATTTCCTGGTCTGTAAAGGATTTTATTTCTCCTTCACTTATGAAGCTTACTTTGGCTGGATATGAAATTCTGGGTTGAAAATTCTTTTCTTTAAGAAGGTTGAATATTGACCCCCACTCTCTTCTGGCTTGTAGAGTTTCTGCCGAAAGATCCGCTGTTAGTCTGACGAGCTTCCCTTTGAGGGTAACTCGACCTTTCTCTCTGGCTGCCCTTAACATTTTTTCCTTCATTTCAACTTTGGGGAACCTGACAATTATGTGTCTTGGAGTTGCTCTTCTTGAGGAGTGTCTTTGTGGCGTTCTCTGTATTTCCTGAATGTGAATGTTGGCTTACCTTGCTAGATTGGGAAGTTCTCCTGGATAATACCCTGCCGAGTGTTTTCCAACTTGGTTCCATTCTCCCCATCACTTTCAGGTACACCAATCAGACGTAGATTTGGTCTTTTCACATAGTCCCATATTTCTTGGAGGCTTTGTTCGTTTCTTTTTATTCTTTTTTCTCTAAACTTCCTTTCTCGCTTCATTTCATTCATATCATCTTCCATCTCTGATACCCTCTCTTCCAGTTGATTGCATCAGCTCCTGAGGCTTCTGCATTCTTCACGTAGTTCTCGAGCCTTGGTTTCAGCTCCATCAGCTCCTTTAAACACTTCTCTGTATTGGTTATTCTAGTTATACATTCTTCTAAATTTTTTTCAAAGTTTTCAACTTCTTTGCCTTTGGTTTGAATGTCCTCCCATAGCTCAGAGTAATTTGATCATCTGCAGCCTTCTTCTCTGAGCTCGTCAAAGTCATTCTCCGTCCAGCTTTGTTCCGTTGCTGGTGAGGAACTGCATTCCTTTGGAGAAGGAGAGGCACTCTGATTTTTAGAGTTTCCAGTTTTTCTGCTCTGCTTTTTCCCCATCTTTGTGGTTTTATCTACTTTTGGTCTTTGATGATGGTAATGTACAGATGCGTTTCTGTGTGAATGTCTTTTCTGTTTGTTAGTTTTCCTTCTAACAGACAGGACCCTCAGCTGCAGGTCTGTTGGAGTCCCCGGCCATGTGAGGTGTCAGTCTACCCCTGATGGGGGGTGCCTCCCATTTAGGCTGCTCGGGGGTCAGGGGTCAGTGACCCACTTGAGGAGGCAGTCTGCCTGTTCTCAGATCTCCAGCTGTGTGCTGGGAGAACCACTGCTCTCTTTAAAGCTGTCAGACAGGGACATTTAAGTCTGCAGAGGTTACTGCTGTCTTTTGTTTGTCTGTGCCCTGCCCCCAGAGGTGGAGCCTACAGAGGCAGGCACCGCCAAGTTCGAGCTTCCCAGCTGCTTTGTTTACCTAAGCAAGCCTGGGCAATGGCGAGCACCCCTCCCCCAGCCTCGCTGCCGCCTTGCAGTTTGATCTCAGACTGCTGCACTAGCAATCAGCGAGACTCCGTGAGTGTAGGACTCTCTGAGCCAGATTTGGGATTTAATCTCCAGGTGCGCCGTTTTTTAAGTCTGTCAGAAAAGCACAGTATTGAGGTGGGAGTGACCTGATTTTCCAGGTGCCGTCTGCCACCCATTTCTTTGACTAGGAAAGGGAACTCCCTGACCCCTTGTGCTTCCTGATTGAGGTAACGACTCGCCCTGCTTCGCCTCATGCACGGTGCATGCACCCACTGACTTGTGCCCACTGTCTGGCACTCCCTAGTGAGATGAACCCGGTACCTCAGATGGAAATGCAGAAATCACCTGTCTTCTGTGTTGCTCACGCTGGGAGCTGCAGACCAGAGCTGTTCCTATTTGGCCATCTTGGCTCCTCCCACCAATTGAGCAGTTTTGAGATAGTCTTTTTGTAGAATCTCCAAGTGGATATTCTGAGCGCTTTGAGGCCTATGGTGGAAAGGGAAATATCTTCAGATAAAAAGCAGACAGAAGCATTCTCAGAAACTTCTTTGTGATGTGTGCATTCAACTCACAGAGTTGAACCTTTCTTTTCATTGAGTAGTTTGGAAAATCTTTTTGTATTATCTGCAAATGGATATTTGGAGGGGTTTGAGGCCTATGGTGGAAAAGGATATATCTTCACATAAAAACTAGATGGAAGCATTCTCAGAAACTTCTTTGTGATATGTGCATTCAACTGACAGAGTTGATCCTTTCTTTTGATAGAGCACTTGGGAAACATTCTTTTTGTAGTATCAGCAAATGGTTGTTTGGAGCTCTTTAAGGCCAATAACTGAAAAGGAAATATCTTCACATAAAAACTAGACGGAAGAATTCTGAGAAACTTCTTTGTGATGTGGGAATTCATCTCACAGATTTGACCTTTCATTTGATTGAGCAGTTTTGAAATACTCTTTTTGTAGAATCTGTAAGTGGATATTTGGAGCACTTTGAGGTCTATGGTTGAAAAGAAAATGTCTTCACATAAAAACTAGACAGAAGCATTTCAGAATTTTCTTTGTGATGTGTGCATACAACTCACAGAATTAAACCTTTCTTTTGATTCAGCAGTTTGGAAAAACTCTTTTTGTAGCATCAATAAAAGGATATTTGGATCGCTTTGTGGCCAGTAGATGGAAAGGAAATATCTTCAAATAGAAACTAGACAGAATCATTCTGAGAAACTTCTTTGGGATGCGTGCATTCATCTAACAGAGTTGAACCTTTCTGTTGACTGAGCAGTTTTCAAACACACTTTTTGTAGAATCTGAAAGTGGTTTTTGGGTGCTTTGAGGACTATGGTGGAAAAGGAAACATCTTCACATAAAAACTAGACAGAACCATTCTGAGAAACTTCTTTGTGATGAGTGAATTTAACACACAGAGTTGAACCTTTCCTTTGATTGAGCCATTTGGAAACACTCTTTTTGTAGTATCTGCAAATGGATATTTGGAGTGCTTTGAGGCCGAAAGTTGAAAAGGAAATATCTTCACATGACAACTATACAGAAGCATTCTGAGAAACTACTTTCTTAGGTATGCATTCATCTCACAGGGTTGAACCTTTCTTTTGATTGAGCAGTAGTGAAAAATTCTTTCTGTAGAATCTGCAAGTGGATATTCAGAGTGATTTCAGACTTATGCTGGAAAAGGAAATATCTTCATATAAAAAGTAGACAGAAGAATTCTCAGAAATTTCTTTGTGATGTGTGCATTCAACTCACAGAGTTTAACCTTTCTTTAATTGAGCAGTTTGGAAACACTCCTTTGTACTATCTGCAGATGGATTCCTGTAGTGCTTTGAGGACTATAGCTGAAAATGAAATATTTTCACATAGAAACGAGACAGAAGCATTCTGAGAAACTTCTCTGGGATGTGTGAATTCATCTCACAGAGTTGAACCCTTCTTTTGATTGAGCGGTTTGGAAACACTCTTTTTGAAGGATCTGCAAGTGGATATTAGGAGTGCTTTGAAGCCTATTGTGAAAAAGGATATATCTTCACAGAAAAACTACACAGAAACATTCTGAGAATCTTCTTTGTGATGTGTGCATTCATCTCACGGAGTTAAAGATTTATTTTGATAGAGCAGTTTGGAAACAGTGTTTTTGTGGTATCTCCAAATGGATATTTGAAGGGGTTTGAGGCCTATGGTGGAAAAGGAAATATCCTCACAAAGAAACTAGACAGAAGCATTCTGAGAAACTTGTTTGTGATCTGTGCATTCATTTCACAGAGTTGAACATTTCTTTTCATTGAGCAGTTTTGAAACACTCTTTTTGTAGAGTGTCCAAGTGGATATTTTGAGTGCTTTGAGGCCTATGGTGGAAAAGGAAATATCTTCACATAAAAACTAGACAGAAGCATTCTGAGAAACTTCTTTGTGGTGTGTGCATTCACCTCACACAGTTGAACCTTTGTTTTGATTGAGCAGTTTCGAAACATACTTTTTGTAGAATCTGCAAGTGAATATTTGGAGCGATTTGAGGCCTTTTGTATAAAAGGAAATATCTTCACATGAAAACTACACAAAAGCATTCTGGGAAACTACTTTGCGATATGTGCATTTAACTCACAGAGTTGAATCTTTCTTTTGATTGCGCGTTTTGGAAACAGTGTTTTTGTGGTATCTGCAAAAGGATATTTGGAGAGGTTTGAGGCCTATGGTGTAAAAGGAAATATCCTCACATAAAAACTAGACAGAAGCATTCTGAGAAACTACTTTGTGTTGTACTCATTCAACTCACAGATTTGAACATTTGTTTTGGTTTAGCAGTTTGGAAACACTCTTTCTGTAGAATCTTCAAGTAGTTATTTGGAGCTCTTTGAGGCCTATGATGGAAAAGGGAAAATCTTCACATAAAAAATACAAAGAAGCATTCTGAGAAACTTCTTTGTGATTTTTGTGTTCAACTCACACAGGTGAACCTATCTTTTGATTGAGCAGTTTTTAAACTCTTTTTTTGCAGAATCTGTAAGTGGATATTTGGAGCACTTTTTGGCCTATGGAGGGAAAGGAAATATGGTTACATAAAAACTAGACAGAAGCATTCTGAGAAACTTCTTTGTGATGTATGCTTTCTTCTCACAGAGTTTAACCTTACTTTTTATTGAGCCTTTTTGAAACACTCTTTTTGTAGAATCTCCAAGTGGATATTTGGAGACCTTTGAGGCTTATGGTGGAAAAGGAAATACCTTCACATAAAAATTAGACAGAAGCATTTTGAGAAACCTCTCATTGATGTGTGCATTCATCTCACAGAGATGTACCTTTCTTTTGATGGTGCAGTTTGGAAACACTCTTTTTGTGGAAACTGCAATGTATATTTGCACTGATTTGAGGCCTATCGTGGAACAGGAAATATCTTCAAATAAAAACTAGACAGAAGCATTCTGAGAAACTTCTTTGTGATGTGCTCATTTATATCACAGAATTGAAACTTTCTTTTGATTCATCAGCTCTGAAACACTCTTTTTGTAGAATCTGCAAGTTGATATTTGGAGCGCTTGGAGGTCTTCAGTGGAAAAGGAAATATCTTCACATAAAAACTACATAGAAGCATTCTGAGAAACTTCTTGGTGATGTGGGAATTCACCTCAGAGAGTTGAACCTTTCTTTTGATTGAGCAGTTTTGAAACACACTTTTTGTAGAATCTGCAAGTTGATATTTGCATTGATTTGAGGACTATTATTGTGGAAAAGGAAATATCTTCACATAAAAACTACACAGAAGCATTCTGAGAAACTTCTTCATGATGTGTGAATTCATCTCACAGAGTTGAACCTTTCTTTTGATTGAGCAGTTTTGAAACACTCTTTTTGTGGAATCTCCAGTGGATATTTCAAGCCCTTTGCAGCCTATGATGGAAAAGGAAATATCTTCACATAAAAACTACACAGAAGCATTCTGAGAAAATTCTTTGTGATGTTTACATTCACCTCACAGAGTTGAACCATTCTTTTGATTGAGCAGTTTTGAAGCTCTCTTTTTGTACAATTTGCAAGTGGATATTTGGAGTGGTTTTGTGGCCACTTGTGGAAAAGGAAATATCTTCACATAAAAACTGCACAGAAATATCTGATAAACTTCTTCGTGATGTGTGCATTCAACTCACGGAGTTGAACCTTTCTTTTGATTGAGCAGTTTTGAAACACTCTTTTTGTTGAATCTGCAAGTGGATATTTGGAGCGCTTTGCTGCTTCTAGTGGAAAAGGAAATATCTTCACATAAAAAGTAGACAGAAGCATTCTGAGAAACTTCTTTGTGATGTGAGCATTCATCTCAAAGACTTGAATCTTTCTTTTCATTGAGCAGTTTTGAAACACTCTTTTTGTAGAATTTCCAAGTGGATATTTGCAGTGCTTTGAGGAATATGGTGGAAAAGGAAATATCTTCACATAAAAACTAGACAGAAGCATTCTGTGAAACTTCTTTTTGATGTGTGCATTCACCTCACAGTTGAAACTTTGTTTTGATTCAGCAGTTTTGAAACACTCTTTTTTATAATCTGCAAGTGGATATTTGGAGGGATTTGAGGCCTATCGTGGAAATGGACATATCTTCAAATAAAAACTACACAGAAGCATCATGAGAAACTTCATTATTATGGGTGCATTTATATCACAGTGTTGAAACTTTCTCTTTTATTATTATTATTATAGTTCAAGTTTTATGGTACATATGCATAATGTGCAGGTTAGTTACATGTGTATACATGTGCCATGCTGGCGTACTGCACTCATTAACTCGTCATTTAGCATTAGGTGTATTTCCTAATGCTATCCCTCCCCTCTCTCCCCACCCCTCAACAGTCCCCAGAGTGTGATGCTCCCCTTCCTGTGTCCATCTGTTCTCATTCTTCAATTCCCATCTATGAGTGAGAACATGTGGTGTTTGGTTTTTCATCCTTGTGATAGTTTACTGAGAATGATGATTTCCAATTTTATCCATGTCCCTACAAAGGACATGAACTCATCATTTCTTATGGCTACATAGTATTCCATGGTGTATATGTGCTATATTTTCTTAATCCAGTCTATCATTTTGGACTTTTGGTTGGGATGCAAGTCTTTGCTATTGTGAATAGTGCCGCAATAAACATACGTGTGCATGTGTCTTTATAGCAGCATGATTTATAGTCCTTTGGATATATACCCAGTAATGGGATGGCTGGGTCAAATGGTATTTCTAGTTCCAGATCCCTGAGGAATCACCACACTGACTTCCACAATGGTTGAACTAGTTTACAGTCCCACCAACAGTGTAAAAGTGTTCCTGTTTCTCCACACGCTCTCCAGCACCTGTTGTTTCCTGACTTTTTAATGATTGCCATTCTAACTGGTGTGAGATTGTGTCTCATTGTGTTTTTGATTTGCTGTGATGGCCAGCGATGGTGAGCATTTTTTTTCATGTGTTTTTTAGCTGCGTAAATGTCTTCTTTTGAGAAGTATCTGTTCATGTCCTTCACCCACGTTTTGATGGGGTTGTTTGTTTTTTTCTTATAAATTTGTTTGAGTTCATTGTAGATTCTGGATATTAGCCCTTTGTCAGATGAGTAGGTTGCAAAAACTTTCTCCCAATTTGTAGGTTGCCTGTTGACTCTGATGGTAGTTTCTTTTGCTGTGCAGAAGATCTTTAGTTTAATTAGATCTCATTTGTCAATTTTGGCTTTTATTGCCATTGCATTTGGTGTTTTAGACATGAAGTCCTTGCCCATGCCTATGTCCTGAATGATAATGCCTAGGTTTTCTAATAGGGTTTTTATGGTTTTAAGTCTAACGTTTAAGTCTTTAAAACATCTTGAATTATTTTTTGTATAATGTGTAAGGAAGGGATCCAGTTTCAGCTTTCTACATATGGCTAGCCAGTTTTCCCAGCACCATTTATTAAATAGGGAATCCTTTCCCCATTGCTTGTTTTTCTCAGGTTTGTCAAAGATCAGATAGTTGTAGCTATGTGGTGTTTTTTCTGAGGGCTCTGTTCTCTTCCATTGATCTATATCTCTGTTTTGATAGCAGTACCATGCTGTTTTGGTTACTGTAGCCTTGTAGTATAGTTTGAAGTCAGGTAGTGTGATGCCTCCAGCTTTGTTCTTTTGGCTTAGGATTGATTTGGGGATGCGGGCTCTTTTTTGGTTGCACATGAACTTTAAAGTAGTTTTTTCCAATTCTGTGAACACAGTCATTGGTAGTTTGATGGGGATGGCTTTGAATCTATAAATTACCTTGGGCAGTATGCCTTTTTTCATGGTATTTATTCTTTCTACCCTTTCTTCCATTTCTTTGTATCTTCTTTTATTTCATTGAGCAGTGGTTTGTAATTCTCCTTGAAGTGGTCCTTCACGTCCCTTGTAAGTTGGATTCCTAGGTATTTAACTCTCTTTGAAGCAATTATGAATGGGAGTTCACTCATGATTTGGCTCTCTGTTTGTCTGTTATTGGTGTATAAGAATGCTTGTGATTTTTGTACATTGATTTTGTATCCTGAGACTTTGCTGAAGTTGCTTATCAGCTTAAGGAGATTTTGGGCTGAGACAATGGGGTTTTCTAGATATACAATCACGTCGTCTGCAAACACGGACAATTTGACTTCCTCTTTTCATAGTTGCATACCCTTTATTTCCTTCTCCTGCCTAATTGCCCTGGCCAGAACTTCCAACACTATGTTGAATAGGAGTGGTGAGAGAGGGCATCCCTCTCTTGTGCCAGTTTTCAAAGGGAATGCTTGCAGTTTTTGTCCATTCAGTATGATATTGGCTGTGGGTTTGTCATAGATCACTCTTATTATTTTGAGATACGTCCCATCAATACCTAATTTATTGAGAGCTTTTAGCATGAAGGGTTGTTGAATTTGTCAAAGGCCTTTTCTGCATCTACTGAGATAATCATGTGGTTTTTGTCTTTGGTTCTGTTTATATGCTGGATTACATTTATTGATTTGCATATATTGAACCAGTCTTGCATCCCAGGGATGAAGCCTACTTGATCAGGATGGATAAGCTTTTTGATGTGCTACTGGATTTGTTTTGCCAGTTTTTTACTGAGAATTTTTGCCTCAATATTCTTCAACTATATTGGTCTAAAGTTCTCTTTTTTGGTTGTGTCTCTGCCTGGCTTTGGTATCAGGATGATGCTGGCCTCATAAAATGAGTTAGGGAGGATTCCCTCTTTTTCTATTGATTGGAATAGTTTCAGAAGGAATGGTACCAGTTCCTCCTTTTACCTCTGGTAGAATTCGGCTGTGAATCCATCTGGTCCTGCACTCTTTTTGGTTGGTAAGCTATTGATTATCGCCACAATTTCAGAGCCTGTTATTGGTGTATTCAGAGATTCAACTTCTTCCTGGTTTAGTGTTGGGAGGGTGTATGTGTCGAGGAATTTGTCAATTTCTTCTAGATTTTCTAGTTTATTTGCATAGAAATATTTGTAGTATTCTCTGATGGTAGCTTGTATTTCTGTGGGATCGGTGGTGATATCCCCTTTATCATTTTTTATTACATCTATGTGATTCTTCTCTCTTTTCTTCTTTATTAGTCTTGTTAGTGGTCTGTCAATTTTGTTGATCCTTTCAAAAAACCAGCTCCTCAATTCATTAATTTTTTGAATGGCTTTTTGTGTCTCTATTTCCTTCAGTTCTGCTCTGATTTTAGTTATGTCTTGCCTTCTGCTAGCTTTTGAATGTATTTATTCTTGCTTTTTTAGTTCTTTTAATTGTGTTGTTAGGGTGTCTATTTTGGATCTTTCCTGCTTTCTCTTGTGGGCATTTAGTGTTGTAAATTTCCATCTACACACTGCTTTGAATGTGTCCCAGAGATTCTGGTATGTTGTGTCTTTGTTCTCGTTGGTTTCAAAGAACATCTTTATTTCTGCCTTCATTTCGCTATGTACCCAGTAGTCATTCAGGCGCAGGTTGCTCAGTTTCCATTTAGTTGAGCAGTTTTGAGTGAGTTTCTTAATCCTGAGTTCTAGTTTGTTTGCACCGTGGTCTGAGAGACAATTTGTTATAATTTCTGTTCTTTTACATTTGCTGAGGAGAGCTTTACTTCCAAGTATGTGGTCAATTTTGGAATAAGTGTGGTGTGGTGCTGAAGGAAAAGTATATTCTGTTGATTTGTGGTGGAGAGTCCTTTAGATGTCCATTAGGTCACTTGGTGCAGAGCCAAGTTCAATTCCTGGATATCCCTGTTAACTTTCTGTCTCAATGATCTGTCTATTGTTGACAGTGGGGTGTTAAAGTCTCCCATTATTAATGTGTGGGAGTCTAAGTCTCTTGTAGTTCACTCATAACTTGCTTCATGAATCTGGGTGCTGCTGTATTGGTTGCATATATATTTAGGATAGTTAGCTCTTCTTGTTGAATTGATCCCTTTACCATTATGTAATGGCCTTCTTGGTCTCTTTGGATCTTTATTGGCTTAAAGTCTGTTTTATCACAGACTAGGATTGCAACCCCTGCCTTTTTTGTTTTCCATTTGCTTGGTAGATCTTCCTCCATCCTTTTATTTTGAGCCTATGTGTGTCTCTGCACATGAGATGGGTTCCCTGAATACAGCACACTGATGGGTCTTGTCTCTTTATCCAATTTGCCAGTCTGTGTCTTTTAATTGGAGCACTTAGTCCATTTACATTTAAAGTTAATATTGTTATGTGTGAATTTGATCCTGTCATTCTGATGTTAGCTAGTTATTTTGCTCGTTAGTTGATGCAGTTTCTTCCTAGTCTCCATGGTCTTTACATTTTGGTGTGATTTTGAAGCAGCTGGTACTGGTTGTTGCTTTCCATGTTTAGTGCTTCCTTCAGGAGCTCTTCTAGGGCAGGCCTGGTGGTGACAAAATCTCTCAGCATTTGCTTGTCTGTAAAATATTTTATTTATCCTTCATTATGAAGCTTAGTTTGGCTGGATGTGAAATTCTGGGTTGAAAATTATTTTCTTTAAGAATTTTGGCCAGGCACAGTGGCTCACGCCTGTAATCCCAGCACTTGGGAGACAAAGGCGGGTGTATCACGAGGTCAGGAGATTGAGACCATCCTGGCTAACATGGTAAAACCCTGTCACTACTAAATATACAAAAAATTTACAGGGCTTGGTGGCGGGTGCCTGTATACCAGCTACTCGGGAGGCTGAGGCAGGAGAATGCCATGAACCTAGGAGGTGGAGCTTGCAGTGAGCCCAGATCGCTCCCCCATGCTCCAGACTGGGAGACAGAGTGAGACTCCGTCTCAAAAAAAAAAAAAAATGTTGAATATTGGTCCCCACTATCCTCTGGCTTGTAGAGTTTCTGCCAAACGATCCGCTGTTATTCTGATGGACTTCCCTTTGTGGGTAACCCGACCTTTCTCTCTGGCTGCCCTTAATATTTTTTCCTTCATTTCAACTTTTGTGAATCTGACAATTATTTGTCTTGGAGTTGCCCTTCTCGAGGAGTATCTTTGTGGCATTCTCTGTATTTCCTGAATGTGAATGTCAGCCTGCCTTGCTAGATTGGGGAAGCTCTCCTGGATAATATCCTGCAGAGTGTTTTCCAACTTGGTTCCATTCTCCTGGTCACTGTCAGGTACACCAATCAGACGCAGATTTGGTCTTTTCACATAGTCCCATATTTCTTGGAGGCTTTGTTTGTTTCTTTTTATTATTTTTTCTCTAAACTTCCCTTCTCACTTCATTTCATTCATTTCATCTTCCATCACTGATACCCTTTCTTCCAGTGGATCACATTGGCTCCTGAGGCTTCTGCATTCTTCACATAATTCTCGAGCCTTGGTTTTCTGCCCCTTCAGCTCCTTTAAGCACTTCTCTGTATTGCTTATTCTATTTATACATTCGTCTAAATTTTTTTCAAAGTTTTTAACTGCTTTGCCTTTGGTTTGAATTTCCTCCTGTAGCTTGGAGTAGTTTGATCATCTGAAGCCTTCTTCTCTCAACTCATCAAAGACATTCTCCATCCAGCTTTGCTCTGTTGCTGGTGAGGAACTGTGATCCTTTGGAGAAGGAGAGGCATTCTGCTTTTATCAGTGTCCAGTTTTTCTGCTCTGTTTTTTCCCCATCTTTGTGGTTTTATCTACTTTTGGTCCTTGATGATGGTGATGTACATATGGATTTTTGGTGTGGATGTCCTTTCTATTTGTTAGTTTTCCTTCTAACAGACAGGACCCTCAGCTGCATGTCTGTTGAAGTTTGCTTGAGGTCCACTCCAGACCCTGTTTGTCTGAGTATCAGCAGCGGTGGCTGCAGAACAGCAGATTTTTGTGAACCAAATATGCTGCTGTCTGATTGTTCCTCCCGAAGTTTTGTCTCAGAGGAGTATCCGGTAGTGTGAGGTTTCAGTCTGCCCCTACTGGGGGATGCCTCCCAGTTAGGCTGCCTGGGGGTCCAGGGTCAGGGAATCACTTGAGGAGTCCAGTCTGCCGATTATCAGATCTGCAGCTGCATGCTGGGAGAAGAACTGCTCTCTTCAAAGCTGTCAGACAGGGACATGTAAGTCTGCAGAGGTTACTGCTGTCTTTTGTTTGTCTGTGCCTTACCCCCAGAGGTGGAGTCTATACAGGAATGCAGGTCCCTTTGAGCTATGGTGGTCTCCCCCCAGTTCGTGCTTCCCAGTTGCTTTCTTTACCTAAGCACGACTGGGCTATGCCAGGTGACCATCCCCCAGCCTCGCTGCCACATTGCAGTTTGATTTCAGACTGCTGTGCTAGAAATCAGCGATACTCCAAGGGCATAGGACCCTCCGAGCCAGAGGGTACTTTGAACCCAGAGAGATGAACCTTTCCTTTGATAGAGCAGTTTTGAAACGTGTTTTTGTAAGATCTGCAAGCGGATAATTGGCTTCGCGTTGTGTCCTTTGGTGGAAACGGGAATATCTTCTAATAAAAACTAGACAGAAATATTCTCAGAATCTTCTTTGTGATGTGGGCATTCAACTAACAACGTTGAACATTTCTTTTCACAGAGCAGTTTTGAAAGACTCTTTTGGTAGAATCTGCCAGTGGATATTTGGAGCGCTTTGAAAGCTATAGTGCCAACGGAAATATCTTCCCCTAAAATCTAGACAGAAGCATTCTCAGAAACTGCTTTGTGATGTTTGCATTCAACTCACAGAGGTGAACATACCTCTTCATAGAGCAGTTTTGAAAACCTCTTTTTGTAGAATCTATAAGTGGATATTCGGACCACTTTGAGGTCTTCATAGGAAACAGTAATATCTTCACATAAAAACTAGATAGAAGTATTGTCAGAAAGTTCTTTGTGATGTGTGAATTCAACTCACAGAGTTGAACCTTCCTTTAATAGAGCAGTTTTGAAACACTCTTTTTCTAGAATCTGCAAGTAGATATTTGGAGCGCTTTGAGGCCTTCGTTGGAAACTGGAATATCTTCACATAAAAAGTAGATAGAGGCATTCTCAGAAACTTTTTTGTGATATGTAGATTCAACTCACAGCGTTGAACCTTTCTTTTGATAGAGCAGTTTTGAAAAACTCTTTTATCGAATCTGCAAGTAGACATTTGGAGTGCTTTGAGGGCTGTGGTGCAAAAGGAAATGTCTTCCCATAGAAACTAGACTGAAGCATTCTCAGCAACTTCTTTGTGACGTTTGCATTCATCTCACAGTGTTGAACATACCTTTCCATAGAGTAGTTTTGAAACACTATTTTTGTAGAATCTGCAAGTGGATATTTGGACTGCTTTGAGGCCTTCATCGGAAACGGCAATATCTTCACATAAACACTAGACAGAAGCATTCTCAGAAACTTCTTTGTGATCTGTCCATTCAACTCACAGAGTTGAAACTTCCTTTTTATGGAGCAGTTTTGAAACACTGTTTTTGGAGAATCTGCAAGTGGATATTTGGAGAGATTTGAGGCCTATGGTAGAAAAAGGAATATCTACCTCTAAAAACTAGACAGAAGCATTCTGAGAAACTTCTTTGTGATGTTTGCATTCAACTACCAGAGTTGAACCTTCCTTTTGATAGGGCAGTTTGGAAACACTCTTTTTGTAGAATCTGCATGTGGATATCTGGAGCGATTTGAGGCCTACGGTCAAAAAGGAAATATCTTCCTGGGAAAAATAGACGAAAGCATTCTCAGAAACTGCTTTGTGATATGTGCATTCGACTCACCGAGTTGAAACTTTTTTTTTGATAGAGCAGTTTTGAAAAACTCTATAGATTCTGAAAGTGCATATTTGGAGCTCTTTGAGGGCTATGGCGGAAAAGAAAATATATTCACATTAAACTAGACAGCAGCATTCTCAGAAACTTCTTTAGGATGTTTGCAGTAAACTCACAGAGTTGAACATACCTTTCCATAGAGCAGTTTTGAAACACTCTGTTTGTGGGATCCGCAAGTGGATATTTGGACCGCTTTGAGACCTATGCTGGAAATGGGAATATCTTCACATATAAACTAGACAGAAGCATTCTCAGAAACTTCTTCGTGATGTGTGCATTCTACCCCCAAATTTGAATCTTCCTTTTCATGAAGCAGTTTTGAAACACTCTATTTGTGCAATCTACAATGGGATAATTGGAACGCTTTGATGCCCATGGTAGAAAAGGAAATATCCTCATATAAAAACTAGACAGAAGGATTCACAGAAAATGCTTTGTGATGTGTGCATTCAAATCACGGAGTTGAATCTTTCTTTTATTAGAGCAGTTTTGAAACACTCTATTTGTGCAATCTACAATTGGATAATTGGAACCCTTTGATGCCCATGGTAGAAAATGAAATATCCTCATATAAAAACTAGACGGAAGCATTCACAGAAAATGCTTTTTGATGTGTGCATTCAAATCACGGAGTTGAATCTTTCTTTTGTTAGAGCAGTTTTGAAACACTGTTTCTGTGGAATCTGCCAGCGGACACTTGGAGCGCTTTGAGGGCTATGGTGGAGAAGGAAATATCTTCACATAAAAACTAGAAAGAAGCATTCTCGGAAACATTTATGTGAAGCGTGCATTCAACTCACAGAGTTGAACCTTTCTTTTGATAGAACAGTTTTGAAACACTCTTTTGAACAATTGCAGGTGAATCTTTGGAGCGCTTTGAAGGCTTTGTTGGAAATGGGAATATCTTCACACACAAACTAGCCAGAAGCATTCTCAGAAACTTCTTTGTGATGTGTGCGTTGAACCCAGAGAGATGAAACTTTCCTTTGATAGAGCAGTTTTGAAACGTGTTTTTGTAAGATCTGCAAGCGGATAATTGGCTTCGCTTTGTGTCCTTTGGTGGAAACGGGAATATCTTCTAATAAAATCTAGACAGAAATATTCTCAGAATCTTCTTTGTGATGTGGGCATTCAACTAACACAGTTGAACATTTCTTTTCACAGAACAGTTTTGAAACACTCTTTTGAACAATTGCAGGTGAATCTTTGGAGCGCTTTGAAGCCTTTGTTGGAAATAGGAATATATTCACACACAAACTAGCCAGAAGCATTCTCAGAAACTTCTTTGTGATGTGTGCGTTGAACCCAGAGAGATGAACCTTTCCTTTGATAGAGCTGTTTTGAAACGTGTTTTTCTAACATCTGCAAGCGGATAATTGGCTTCGCGTTGTGTCCTTTGGTGGAAACGGGAATATCTTCTAATAAAAACTAGACAGAAATATTCTCAGAATCTTCTTTGTGATGTGGGCATTCAACTAACACAGTTGAACATTTCTTTTCACAGAGCAGTTTTGAAAGACTCTTTTGGTAGAATCTGCCAGTGGATATTTGGAGCGCTTTGAGGGTTATTGTGCCAATGGAAATATATTCCCCTAAAAACTAGACAGAAGCATTCTCAGAAACTGCTTTGTGATGTTTGCATTCAACTCACAGAGGTGAACATACCTCTTCATAGAGCAGTTTTGCAAACCTCTTTTTGTAGAATCTGCAAGTGGATATTCGGACCACTTTGAGGCCTTCATAGGAAACAGTAATATCTTCACATAAAAACTAGATAGAAGCATTGTCAGAAAGTTCTTTGTGATGTGTGAATTCAACTCACAGAGTTGAACCTTCCTTTAATAGAGCAGTTTTGAAACACTCTTTTTCTAGAATCTGCAAGTAGATATTTGGAGCGCTTTGAGGCCTTCGTTGGAAACCGGAATATCTTCACACAAAAAGTAGATAGAGGCATTCTCAGAAACTTTTTTGTGATATGTAGATTCAACTCACAGCGTTGAACCTTTCTTTAGATAGAGCAGTTTTGAAAAACTCTTTTATCGAATCTGCATGTAGACATTTGGAGTGCATTAAGGGCTGTGGTGCAAAAGGAAATGTCTTCCCATAGAAACTAGACTGAAGCATTCTCAGCAACTTCTTTATGACGTTTGCATTCATCTCACAGTGTTGAACATACCTTTCCATAGAGTAGTTTTGAAACACTATTTTTATAGAATCTGCAAGTGGATATTTGGACTGCTCTGAGGCCTTCATCGGAAACGGGAATATCTTCACATAAACACTAGACAGAAGCATTCTCAGAAACTTCTTTGTGATCTGTCCATTCAACTCACAGAGTTGAACCTTCCTTTTTATGGAGCAGTTTTGAAACACTGTTTTTGGAGAATCTGCAAGTAGATATTTGGAGCGCTTTGTGGCCTATGGTAGAAAAAGAAATATCTGCCTATAACAACTAGACAGAAGCATTCTGAGAAACTTCTTTGTGATGTTTGCATTCAACTACCAGAGTTGAACCTTCCTTTTGATAGGGCAGTTTGGAAACACTCTTTTTCTAGAATCTGCATGTGGATATCTGGAGCGATTTGAGGCCTATTGTCAAAAAGGAAATATCTTCCTGGGAAAAATAGACGAAAGCATTCTCAGAAACTGCTTTGTGATATGTGCATTCGACTCACCGATTTGAAACTTTTTTTTGATAGAGCAGTTTTGAAACACTCTGTAGAATCTGAAAGTGGATATTTGGAGCTCTTTGAGGGCTATGGCGGAAAAGAAAATATATTCACATTAAACTAGACAGCAGCATTCTCAGAAACTTCTTTAGGATGTTTACAGTAAACTCACAGAGTTGAACATACCTTTCCGTAGAGCAGTTTTGAAACACTCTGTTTGTGGGATCCGCAAGTGGATATTTGGACCGCTTTGAGACCTTTGCTGGAAATGGGAATATCTTCACATATAAACTAGACAGAAGCATTCTCAGAAACTTCTCCGTGATGTGTGCATTCTACTCCCAAATTTGAATCTTCCTTTTCATGAAGCAGTTTTGAAACACTCTGTTTGTGCAATCTACAATGGGATAATTGGAACGCTTTGATGCCCATGGTAGAAAATGAAATATCCTCATATAAAAACTAGACGGAAGCATTCACAGAAAATGCTTTGTGATGTGTGCATTCAAATCACGGAGTTGAATCTTTCTTTTGTTAGAGCACTTTTGAAACACTGTTTCTGTGGAATCTGCCAGCGGACACTTGGAGCGCTTTGAGGGCTATGGTGGAGAAGGAAATATCTTCACACAAAAACTAGAAAGAAGCATTCTCGGAAACATTTATGTGAAGCGTGCATTCAACTCACAGAGTTGAACCTTTCTTTTGATAGAACAGTTTTGAAACACTCTTTTGAACAATTGCAGGTGAATCTTTGGAGCGCTTTGAAGCCTTTGTTGGAAATGGGAATATCTTCACACACAAACTAGCCAGAAGCATTCTCAGAAACTTCTTTGTGATGTGTGCGTTGAACCCAGAGAGATGAACCTTTCCTTTGATAGAGCAGTTTTGAAACGTGTTTTTGTAAGATCTGCAAGCGGATAATTGGCTTCGCTTTGTGTCCTTTGGTGGAAACGGGAATATCTTCTAATAAAAACTAGACAGAAATATTCTCAGAATCTTCTCTGTGATGTGGGCATTCAACTAACACAGTTGAACATTTCTTTTCACAGAACAGTTTTGAAACACTCTTTTGAACAATTGCAGGTGAATCTTTGGAGCGCTTTGAAGCCTTTGTTGGAAATAGGAATATATTCACACACAAACTAGCCAGAAGCATTCTCAGAAACTTCTTTGTGATGTGTGCATTGAACCCAGAGAGATGAACCTTTCCTTTGATAGAGCTGTTTTGAAACGTGTTTTTCTAACATCTGCAAGCGGATAATTGGCTTCGCGTTGTGTCCTTTGGTGGAAACGGGAATATCTTGTAATAAAAACTAGACAGAAATATTCTCAGAATCTTCTTTGTGATGTGGGCATTCAGCTAACACAGTTGAACATTTCTTTTCACAGAGCAGTTTTGAAAGACTCTTTTGGTAGAATCTGCCAGTGGATATTTGGAGCGCTTTGAGGGCTATTGTGCCAATGGAAATATCTTCCCCTAAAAACTAGACAGAAGCATTCTCAGAAACTGCTTTGTGATGTTTGCATTCAACTCACAGAGGTGAACATACCTCTTCATAGAGCAGTTTTGCAAACCTCTTTTTGTAGAATCTGCAAGTGGATATTCGGACCACTTTGAGGCCTTCATAGGAAAGAGTAATATCTTCACATAAAAACTAGATAGAAGCATTGTCAGAAAGTTCTTTGTGATGTGTGAATTCAACTCACAGAGTTGAACCTTCCTTTAATAGAGCAGTTTAGAAACACTCTTTTTCTAGAATCTGCAAGTAGATATTTGGAGCGCTTTGAGGCCTTCGTTGGAATCCGGAATATCTTCACATAAAAAGTAGATAGAGGCATTCTCAGAAACTTTTTTGTGATATGTAGATTCAACTCACAGCGTTGAACCTTTCTTTTGATAGAGCAGTTTTGAAAAACTCTTTTATCGAATCTGCATGTGGACATTTGGAGTGCTTTGAGGGCTGTGGTGCAAAAGGAAATGTCTTCACATAGAAACTAGACTGAAGCATTCTCAGCAACTTCTTTGTGACGTTTGCATTCATCTCACAGTGTTGAACATACCTTTCCATAGAGTAGTTTTGAAACACTATTTTTGTAGAATCTGCAAGTGGATATTTGGACTGCTCTGAGGCCTTCATCGGAAACGGGAATATCTTCACATAAACACTAGACAGAAGCATTCTCAGAAACTTCTTTGTGATCTGTCCATTCAACTCACAGAGTTGAACCTTCCTTTTTATGGAGCAGTTTTGAAACACTGTTTTTGGAGAATCTGCAAGTAGATATTTGGAGCGCTTTGTGGCCTATGGTAGAAAAAGAAATATCTGCCTATAACAGCTAGACAGAAGCATTCTGAGAAACTTCTTTGTGATGTTTGCATTCAACTACCAGAGTTGAACCTTCCTTTTGATAGGGCAGTTTGGAAACACTCTTTTTGTAGAATCTGCATGTGGATATCTGGAGCGATTTGAGGCCTATGGTCAAAAAGGAAATAACTTCCTGGGAAAAATAGACGAAAGCATTCTCAGAAACTGCTTTGTGATATGTGCATTCGACTCTCCGAGTTGAAACTTTTTTTGGATAGAGCAGTTTTGAAACACTCTGTAGGATCTGAAAGTGGATATTTGGAGCTCTTTGAGGGCTATGGCGGAAAAGAAAATATATTCACATTAAACTAGACAGCAGCACTCCCAGAAACTTCTTTAGGATGTTTACAGTAAACTCACAGAGTTGAACATACCTTTCTGTAGAGCAGTTTTGAAACACTCTGTTTGCGGGATCCGCAAGTGGATATTTGGACCGCTTTGAGACCTTTGCTGGAAATGGGAATATCTTCACATATGAACTAGACAGAAGCATTCTCAGAAACTTCTTCGTGATGTGTGCATTCTACTCCCAAATTTGAATCTTCCTTTTCATGAAGCAGTTTTGAAACACTCTATTTGTCCAATCTACAATGGGATAATTGGAACGCTTTGATGCCCATGGTAGAAAAGGAAATATCCTCATATAAAAACTAGACAGAAGGATTCACAGAAAATGCTTTGTGATGTGTGCATTCAAATCACGGAGTTGAATCTTTCTTTTGTTAGAGCAGTTTTGAAACACTGTTTCTGTGGAATCTGCCAGCGGACACTTGGAGCGCTTTGAGGGCTATGGTGGAGAAGCAAATATCTTCACATAAAAACTAGAAAGAAGCATTCTCGGAAACATTTATGTGAAGCGTGCATTCAACTCACAGAGTTGAACCTTTCTTTTGAGAGAACAGTTTTGAAACACTCTTTTGAACAATTGCAGGTGAATCTTTGGAGTGCTTTGAAGGCTTTGTTGGAAATGGGAATATCTTCACACACAAACTAGCCAGAAGCATTCTCAGAAACTTCTTTGTGATGTGTGCGTTGAACCCAGAGAGATGAACCTTTCCTTTGATAGAGCAGTTTTGAAACGTGTTTTTGTAAGATCTGCAAGCGGATAATTGGCTTCGCTTTGTGTCCTTTGGTGGAAACGGGAATATCTTCTAATAAAAACTAGACAGAAATATTCTCAGAATCTTCTTTGTGATGTGGGCATTCAACTAACACAGTTGAACATTTCTTTTCACAGAACAGTTTTGAAACACTCTTTTGAACAATTGCAGGAGAATCTTGGAGCGCTTTGAAGGCTTTGTTGGAAATGGGAATATCTTCAAACACACAAACTAGCCAGAAGCATTCTCAGAAACTTCTTTGTGATGTGTGCGTTGAACCCAGAGAGATGAACCTTTCCTTTGATAGAGCAGTTTTGAAACGTGTTTTTCTAACATCTGCAAGCGGATAATTGGCTTCGCTTTGTGTCCTTTGGTGGAAACGGGAATATCTTCTAATAAAAACTAGACAGAAATATTCTCAGAATCTTCTTTGTGATGTGGGCATTCAACTAACACAGTTGAACATTTCTTTTCACAGAGCAGTTTTGAAAGACTCTTTTGGTAGAATCTGCCAGTGGATATTTGGAGCGCTTTGAGGGCTATTGTGCCAATGGAAATATCTTCCCCTAAAAACTAGACAGAAGCATTCTCAGAAACTGCTTTGTGATGTTTGCATTCAACTCACAGAGGTGAACATACCTCTTCATAGAGCAGTTTTGCAAACCTCTTTTTGTAGAATCTGCAAGTGGATATTCGGACCACTTTGAGGCCTTCATAGGAAACAGTAATATCTTCACATAAAAACTAGATAGAAGCATTGTCAGCAAGTTCTTTGTGATGTGTGAATTCAACTCACAGAGTTGAACCTTCCTTTAATAGAGCAGTTTTGAAACACTCTTTTTCTAGAATCTGCAAGTAGATATTTGGAGCGCATTGAGGCCTTCGTTGGAAACCGGAATATCTTCACACAAAAAGTAGATAGAGGCATTCTCAGAAACTTTTTTGTGATATGTAGATTCAACTCACAGCGTTGAACCTTTCTTTTGATAGAGCAGTTTTGAAAAACTCTTTTATCGAATCTGCATGTAGACATTTGGAGTGCTTTGAGGGCTGTGGTGTAAAAGGAAATGTCTTCCCATAGAAACTAGACTGAAGCATTCTCAGCAACTTCTTTGTGACGTTTGCATTCATCTCACAGTGTTGAACATACCTTTCCATAGAGTAGATTTGAAACACTATTTTTGTAGAATCTGCAAGTGGATATTTGGACTGCTTTGAGGCCTCCATCGGAAACGGGAATATATTCACATAAACACTAGACAGAAGCATTCTCAGAAACTTCTTTGTGATCTGTCCATTCAACTCACAGAGTTGAACCTTCCTTTTTATGGAGCAGTTTTGAAACACTGTTTTTGGAGAATCTTCAAGTAGATATTTGGAGCGCTTTGTGGCCTATGGTAGAAAAAGAAATATCTGCCTATAACAACTAGACAGAAGCATTCTGAGAAACTTCTTTGTGATGTTTGCATTCAACTACCTTAGTTGAACCTTCCTTTTGATAGGGCAGTTTGGAAACACTCTTTTTGTAGAATCTGCATGTGGATATCTGGAGCGATTTGAGGCCTATGGTCAAAAAGGAAATATCTTCCTGGGAAAAATAGACGAAAGCATTCTCAGAAACTGCTTTGTGATATGTGCATTCGACTCACCGATTTGAAACTTTTTTTTGATAGAGCAGTTTTGAAACACTCTGTAGAAACTGAAAGTGGATATTAGGAGCTCTTTGAGGGTTATGGCGGAAAAGAAAATATATTCACATTAAACTAGACAGCAGCACTCTCAGAAACTTCTTTAGGATGTTTACAGTAAACTCACAGAGTTGAACATACCTTTCCGTAGAGCAGTTTTGAAACACTCTGTTTGTGGGATCCGCAAGTGGATATTTGGACCGCTTTGAGACCTTTGCTGGAAATGGGAATATCTTCACATATAAACTAGACAGAAGCATTCTCAGAAACTTCTTCGTGATGTGTGCATTCTACTCCCAAATTTGAATCTTCCTTTTCATGAAGCAGTTTTGAAACACTCTATTTGTCCAATCTACAATGGGATAATTGGAACGCTTTGATGCCCATGGTAGAAAAGGAAATATCCTCATATAAAAACTAGACAGAAGGATTCACAGAAAATGCTTTGTGATGTGTGCATTCAAATCATGGAGTTGAATCTTTCTTTTGTTAGAGCAGTTTTGAAACACTGTTTCTGTGGAATCTGCCAGTGGACACTTGGAGCGCTTTGAGGGCTATGGTGGAGAAGGAAATATCTTCCCATAAAAACTAGAAAGAAGCATTCTCGGAAACATTTATGTGAAGCGTGCATTCAACTCACAGAGTTGAACCTTTCTTTTGAGAGAACAGTTTTGAAACACTCTTTTGAACAATTGCAGGTGAATCTTTGGAGCGCTTTGAAGCCTTTGTTGGAAATGGGAATATCTTCACACACAAACTAGCCAGAAGCATTCTCAGAAACTTCTTTGTGATGTGTGCGTTGAACCCAGAGAGATGAACCTTTCCTTTGATAGAGCAGTTTTGAAACGTGTTTTTGTAAGATCTGCAAGCGGATAATTGGCTTCGCTTTGTGTCCTTTGGTGGAAACGGGAATATCTTCTAATAAAAACTAGACAGAAATATTCTCAGAATCTTCTTTGTGATGTGGGCATTCAACTAACACAGTTGAACATTTCTTTTCACAGAACAGTTTTGAAACACTCTTTTGAACAATTGCAGGTGAATCTTTGGAGCGCTTTGAAGCCTTTGTTGGAAATAGGAATATATTCACACACAAACTAGCCAGAAGCATTCTCAGAAACTTCTTTGTGATGTGTGCGTTGAACCCAGAGAGATGAACCTTTCCTTTGATAGAGCTGTTTTGAAACGTGTTTTCCTCACATCTGCAAGCAGATAATTGGCTTCGCGTTGTGTCCTTTGGTGGAAACGGGAATATCTTCTAATAAAAACTAGACAGAAATATTCTCAGAATCTTCTTTGTGATGTGGGCATTCAACTAACACAGTTGAACATTTCTTTTCACAGAGCAGTTTTGAAAGACTCTTTTGGTAGAATCTGCCAGTGGATATTTTGAGCGCTTTGAGGGCTATTGTGCCAATGGAAATATCTTCCCCTAAAAACTAGACAGAAACATTCTCAGAAACTGCTTTGTGATGTTTGCATTCAACTCACACAGGTGAACATACCTCTTCATAGAGCAGTTTTGCAAACCTCTTTTTGTAGAATCTGCAAGTGGATATTCGGACCACTTTGAGGCCTTCATAGGAAACAGTAATATCTTCACATAAAAACTAGACAGAAGCATTGTCAGAAAGTTCTTTGTGATGTGTGAATTCAACTCACAGAGTTGAACCTTCCTTTAATAGAGCAGTTTTGAAACACTCTTTTTCTAGAATCTGCAAGTAGATATTTGGAGCGCATTGAGGCCTTCGTTGGAAACCGGAATATCTTCACATAAAAAGTAGATAGAGGCATTCTCAGAAACTTTTTTGTGATATGTAGATTCAACTCACAGCTTTGAACCTTTCTTTTGATAGAGCAGTTTTGAAAAACTCTTTTATCGAATCTGCATGTAGACATTTGGAGTGCTTTGAGGGCTGTGGTGCAAAAGGAAATGTCTTCCCATAGAAACTAGACTGAAGCATTCTCAGCAACTTCTTTGTGACGTTTGCATTCATCTCACAGTGTTGAACATACCTTTCCATAGAGTAGTTTTGAAACACTATTTTTGTAGAATCTGCAAGTGGATATTTGGACTGCTTTGAGGCCTAAATCGGAAACGGGAATATCTTCACATAAACACTAGACAGAAGCATTCTCAGAAACTTCTTTGTGATCTGTCCATTCAACTCACAGAGTTGAACCTTCCTTTTTATGGAGCAGTTTTGAAACACTGTTTTTGGAGAATCTTCAAGTGGATATTTGGAGCGCTTTGTGGCCTATGGTAGAAAAAGAAATATCTGCCTATAACAACTAGACAGAAGCATTCTGAGAAACTTCTTTGTGATGTTTGCATTCAACTACCAGAGTTGAACCTTCCTTTTGATAGGGCAGTTTGGAAACACTCTTTTTGTAGAATCTGCATGTGGATATCTGGAGCGATTTGAGGCCTACGGTCAAAAAGGAAATATCTTCCTGGGAGAAATAGACGAAAGCATTCTCAGAAACTGCTTTGTGATATGTGCATTCGACTCACCGAGTTGAAACTTTTTTTTGATAGAGCAGTTTTGAAACACTCTGTAGAAACTGAAAGTGGATATTAGGAGCTCTTTGAGGGTTATGGCGGAAAAGAAAATATATTCACATTAAACTAGACAGCAGCACTCTCAGAAACTTCTTTAGGATGTTTACAGTAAACTCACAGAGTTGAACATACCTTTCCGTAGAGCAGTTTTGAAACACTCTGTTTGTGGGATCCGCAAGTGGATATTTGGACCGCTTTGAGACCTTTGCTGGAAATGGGAATATCTTCACATATAAACTAGACAGAAGCATTCTCAGAAACTTCTTCGTGATGTGTGCATTCTACTCCCAAATTTGAATCTTCCTTTTCATGAAGCAGTTTTGAAACACTCTATTTGTCCAATCTACAATGGGATAATTGGAACGCTTTGATGCCCATGGTAGAAAAGGAAATATCCTCATATAAAAACTAGACAGAAGGATTCACAGAAAATGCTTTGTGATGTGTGCATTCAAATCATGGAGTTGAATCTTTCTTTTGTTAGAGCAGTTTTGAAACACTGTTTCTGTGGAATCTGCCAGCGGACACTTGGAGCGCTTTGAGGGCTATGGTGGAGAAGGAAATATCTTCACATAAAAACTAGAAAGAAGCATTCTCGGAAACATTTATGTGAAGCGTGCCTTCAACTCACAGAGTTGAACCTTCCTTTTGATAGAACAGTTTTGAAACACTCTTTTGAACAATTGCAGGTGAATCTTTGGAGCGCTTTGAAGCCTTTGTTGGAAATGGGAATATCTTCACACACAAACTAGCCAGAAGCATTCTCAGAAACTTCTTTGTGATGTGTGCGTTGAACCCAGAGAGATGAACCTTTCCTTTGATAGAGCAGTTTTGAAACGTGTTTTTGTAAGGTCTGCAAGCGGATAATGGGCTTCGCTTTGTGTCCTTTGGTGGAAACGGGAATATCTTCTAATAAAAACTAGACAGAAATATTCTCACAATCGTCTTTGTGATGTGGGCATTCAACTAACACAGTTGAACATTTCTTTTCACAGAGCAGTTTTGAAACACTCTTTTGCTAGAATCTGCCAGTGGATACTTGGAGCGCTTTGAGGGCTATTGTGCCAATGGAGATATCTTCCCCTAAAAACTAGACAGAAGCATTCTCAGAAACTACTTTGTGATGTTTGCATTCAACTCACAGAGTTGAACATACCTCTTCATAGAGCAGTTTTGAAAACCTCTTTTTGTAGAATCTGCAAGTGGATATTCGGACCACTTTGAGGCCTTCATAGGAAACAGTAATACCTTCACATAAAAACTAGATAGAAGCATTGTCAGAAAGTTCTTTGTGATGTGTGAATTCAACTCACAGAGTTGAACCTTCCTTTAATAGAGCAGTTTTGAAACACTCTTCTTCTAGAATCTGCAAGTAGATATTTGGAGCGCTTTGAGGCCTTTGTTGGAAACCGGAATATCTTCACAGAAAAAGTAGATAGAGGCATTCTCAGAAACTTTTTTGTGATATGTTGATTCATCTGACAGCGTTGAACCTTTCTTTTGATAGAGCAGTTTTGAAAAACTCTTTTGTCGAATCTGCAAGTAGACATTTGGAGTGCTTTGAGGGCTGTGGTGCCAAAGGAAATGTCTTCCCATGGAAACTAGACTGAAGCATTCTCAGCAACTTCTTTGTGACGTTTGCATTCATCTCACAGTGTTGAACATACCTTTCCATAGAGTAGTTTTGAGACACTATTTTTGTAGAATCTGCAAGTGGATATTTGGACTGCTTTGAGGCCTTCATCGGAGACGGGAATATCTTCACATAAACACTAGGCAGAAGCATTCTCAGAAACTACTTTGTGATCTGTCCATTCAACTCACAGAGTTGAACCTTCCTTTTTATGGAGCAGTTTTGAAACACTGTTTTTGGAGAATCTGCAAGTGGATATTTAGAGCGCTTTGAGGCCTATGGTAGAAAAAGAAATATCTGCCTCTAAAAACTAGACAGAAGCATTCTGAGAAACTTCTTTGTGATGTTTGCATTCAACTACCAGAGTTGAATCTTCCTTTTGATAGGGCAGTTTGGAAACACTCTTTTTGTAGAATCTGCATGTGGATATCTGGAGCGATTTGAGGCCTATGGTCAAAAAGGAAATATCTTCCTGGGAAAAATAGACGAAAGCATTCTCAGAAACTGCTTTGTGATATGTGCATTCGACTCACCGAGTTGAAACATTTTTTTGATAGAGCAGTTTTGAAACACTCTGTAGAATCTGAAAGTGGATATTTGGAGCTCTTTGAGGGCTATGGCGGAAAAGAAAATATATTCACATTAAACTAGACAGCAGCATTCTCAGAAACTTCTTTAGGATGTCTGCAGTAAACTCACAGAGTTGAACATACCTTTCCGTAGAGCAGTTTTGAAACACTCTGTTTGTGGGATCCGCAAGTGGATATTTGGACAGCTTTGAGATCTTTGCTGGAAATGGGAATATCTTCACATATAAACTAGACAGAAGCATTCTCAGAAACTTCTTCGTGATGTGTGCATTCTACTCCCAAATTTGAATCTTCCTTCTCATGAAGCAGTTTTGAAACACTCTATTTGTGCAATCTACAATTGGATAATTGGAACCCTTTGATGCCCATGGTAGAAAAGGAAATATCCTCATATAAAAACTAGACAGAAGGATTCACAGAAAATGCTTTGTGATGTGTGCATTCAAATCACGGAGTTGAATCTTTCTTTTGTTAGAGCAGTTTTGAAACACTGTTTCTGTGGAATCTGCCAGCGGACACTTGGAGCGCTTTGAGGGCTATGGTGGAGAAGGAAACATCTTCCCATAAAAACTAGAAAGAAGCATTCTCGGAAACATTTATGTGAAGCGTGCCTTCAACTCACAGAGTTGAACCTTCCTTTTGATAGAACAGTTTTGAAACACTCTTTTGAACAATTGCAGGTGAATCTTTGGAGCGCTTTGAAGCCTTTGTTGGAAATGGGAATATCTTCACACACAAACTAGCCAGAAGCATTCTCAGAAACTTCTTTGTGATGTGTGCGTTGAACCCAGAGAGATGAACCTTTCCTTTGATAGAGCAGTTTTGAAACGTGTTTTTGTAAGGTCTGCAAGCGGATAATGGGCTTCGCTTTGTGTCCTTTGGTGGAAACGGGAATATCTTCTAATAAAAACTAGACAGAAATATTCTCACAATCGTCTTTGTGATGTGGGCATTCAACTAACACAGTTGAACATTTCTTCTCACAGAGCAGTTTTGAAACACTCTTTTGCTAGAATCTGCCAGTGGATACTTGGAGCGCTTTGAGGGCTATTGTGCCAATGGAGATATCTTCCCCTAAAAACTAGACAGAAGCATTCTCAGAAACTACTTTGTGATGTTTGCATTCAACTCACAGAGTTGAACATACCTCTTCATAGAGCAGTTTTGAAAACCTCTTTTTGTAGAATCTGCAAGTGGATATTCGGACCACTTTGAGGCCTTCATAGGAAACAGTAATACCTTCACATAAAAACTAGATAGAAGCATTGTCAGAAAGTTCTTTGTGATGTGTGAATTCAACTCACAGAGTTGAACCTTCCTTTAATAGAGCAGTTTTGAAACACTCTTCTTCTAGAATCTGCAAGTAGATATTTGGAGCGCTTTGAGGCCTTCGTTGGAAACCGGAATATCTTCACAGAAAAAGTAGATAGAGGCATTCTCAGAAACTTTTTTGTGATATGTTGATTCATCTGACAGCGTTGAACCTTTCTTTTGATAGAGCAGTTTTGAAAAACTCTTTTGTTGAATCTGCAAGTAGACATTTGGAGTGCTTTGAGGGCTGTGGTGCCAAAGGAAATGTCTTCCCATGGAAACTAGACTGAAGCATTCTCAGCAACTTCTTTGTGACGTTTGCATTCATCTCACAGTGTTGAACATACCTTTCCATAGAGTAGTTTTCAGACACTATTTTTGTAGAATCTGCAAGCGGATATTTGGACTGCTTTGAGGCCTTCATCGGAGACGGGAATATCTTCACATAAACACTAGGCAGAAGCATTCTCAGAAACTACTTTGTGATCTGTCCATTCAACTCACAGAGTTGAACCTTCCTTTTTATGGAGCAGTTTTGAAACACTGTTTTTGGAGAATCTGCAAGTGGATATTTGGAGCGCTTTGAGGCCTATGGTAGAAAAAGAAATATCTGCCTCTAAAAACTAGACAGAAGCATTCTGAGAAACTTCTTTGTGATGTTTGCATTCAACTACCAGAGTTGAATCTTCCTTTTGATAGGGCAGTTTGGAAACACTCTTTTTGTAGAATCTGCATGTGGATATCTGGAGCGATTTGAGGCCTATGGTCAAAAAGGAAATATCTTCCTGGGAAAAATAGACGAAAGCATTCTCAGAAACTGCTTTGTGATATGTGCATTCGACTCACCGAGTTGAAACTTTTTTTTGATAGAGCAGTTTTGAAACACTCTGTAGAATCTGAAAGTGGATATTTGGAGCTCTTTGAGGGCTATGGCGGAAAAGAAAATATATTCACATTAAACTAGACAGCAGCATTCTCAGAAACTTCTTTAGGATGTCTGCAGTAAACTCACAGAGTTGAACATACCTTTCCGTAGAGCAGTTTTGAAACACTCTGTTTGTGGGATCCGCAAGTGGATATTTGGACAGCTTTGAGATCTTTGCTGGAAATGGGAATATCTTCACATATAAACTAGACAGAAGCATTCTCAGAAACTTCTTCGTGATGTGTGCATTCTACTCCCAAATTTGAATCTTCCTTCTCATGAAGCAGTTTTATAACTCTCTATTTGTGCAATCTACAATTGGATAATTGGAAACCTTTGATGCCCATGGTAGAAAAGGAAATATCCTCATATAAAAACTAGACAGAAGGATTCACAGAAAATGCTTTGTGATGTGTGCATTCAAATCACGGAGTTGAATCTTTCTTTTGTTAGAGCAGTTTTGAAACACTGTTTCTGTGGAATCTGCCAGCGGACACTTGGAGCGCTTTGAGGGCTATGGTGGAGAAGGAAACATCTTCCCATAAAAACTAGAAAGAAGCATTCTCGGAAACATTTATGTGAAGCGTGCCTTCAACTCACAGAGTTGAACCTTCCTTTTGATAGAACAGTTTTGAAACACTCTTTTGAACAATTGCAGGTGAATCTTTGGAGCGCTTTGAAGCCTTTGTTGGAAATGGGAATATCTTCACACACAAACTAGCCAGAAGCATTCTCAGAAACTTCTTTGTGATGTGTGCGTTGAACCCAGAGAGATGAACCTTTCCTTTGATAGAGCAGTTTTGAAACGTGTTTTTGTAAGGTCTGCAAGCGGATAATGGGCTTCGCTTTGTGTCCTTTGGTGGAAACGGGAATATCTTCTAATAAAAACTAGACAGAAATATTCTCACAATCGTCTTTGTGATGTGGGCATTCAACTAACACAGTTGAACATTTCTTCTCACAGAGCAGTTTTGAAACACTCTTTTGCTAGAATCTGCCAGTGGATACTTGGAGCGCTTTGAGGGCTATTGTGCCAATGGAGATATCTTCCCCTAAAAACTAGACAGAAGCATTCTCAGAAACTACTTTGTGATGTTTGCATTCAACTCACAGAGTTGAACATACCTCTTCATAGAGCAGTTTTGAAAACCTCTTTTTGTAGAATCTGCAAGTGGATATTCGGACCACTTTGAGGCCTTCATAGGAAACAGTAATACCTTCACATAAAAACTAGATAGAAGCATTGTCAGAAAGTTCTTTGTGATGTGTGAATTCAACTCACAGAGTTGAACCTTCCTTTAATAGAGCAGTTTTGAAACACTCTTCTTCTAGAATCTGCAAGTAGATATTTGGAGCGCTTTGAGGCCTTCGTTGGAAACCGGAATATCTTCACAGAAAAAGTAGATAGAGGCATTCTCAGAAACTTTTTTGTGATATGTTGATTCATCTGACAGCGTTGAACCTTTCTTTTGATAGAGCAGTTTTGAAAAACTCTTTTGTCGAATCTGCAAGTAGACATTTGGAGTGCTTTGAGGGCTGTGGTGCCAAAGGAAATGTCTTCCCATGGAAACTAGACTGAAGCATTCTCAGCAACTTCTTTGTGACGTTTGCATTCATCTCACAGTGTTGAACATACCTTTCCATAGAGTAGTTTTGAGACACTATTTTTGTAGAATCTGCAAGTGGATATTTGGACTGCTTTGAGGCCTTCATCGGAGACGGGAATATCTTCACATAAACACTAGGCAGAAGCATTCTCAGAAACTACTTTGTGATCTGTCCATTCAACTCACAGAGTTGAACCTTCCTTTTTATGGAGCAGTTTTGAAACACTGTTTTTGGAGAATCTGCAAGTGGATATTTGGAGCGCTTTGAGGCCTATGGTAGAAAAAGAAATATCTGCCTCTAAAAACTAGACAGAAGCATTCTGAGAAACTTCTTTGTGATGTTTGCATTCAACTACCAGAGTTGAATCTTCCTTTTGATAGGGCAGTTTGGAAACACTCTTTTTGTAGAATCTGCATGTGGATATCTGGAGCGATTTGAGGCCTATGGTCAAAAAGGAAATATCTTCCTGGGAAAAATAGACGAAAGCATTCTCAGAAACTGCTTTGTGATATGTGCATTCGACTCACCGAGTTGAAACTTTTTTTTGATAGAGCAGTTTTGAAACACTCTGTAGAATCTGAAAGTGGATATTTGGAGCTCTTTGAGGGCTATGGCGGAAAAGAAAATATATTCACATTAAACTAGACAGCAGCATTCTCAGAAACTTCTTTAGGATGTCTGCAGTAAACTCACAGAGTTGAACATACCTTTCCATAGAGCAGTTTTGAAACACTCTGTTTGTGGGATCCGCAAGTGGATATTTGGACAGCTTTGAGATCTTTGCTGGAAATGGGAATATCTTCACATATAAACTAGACAGAAGCATTCTCAGAAACTTCTTCGTGATGTGCGCATTCTACTCCCAAATTTGAATCTTCCTTCTCATGAAGCAGTTTTGAAACTCTCTATTTGTGCAATCTACAATTGGATAATTGGAACCCTTTGATGCCCATGGTAGAAAAGGAAATATCCTCATATAAAAACTAGACAGAAGGATTCACAGAAAATGCTTTGTGATGTGTGCATTCAAATCACGGAGTTGAATCTTTCTTTTGTTAGAGCAGTTTTGAAACACTGTTTCTGTGGAATCTGCCAGCGGACACTTGGAGCGCTTTGAGGGCTATGGTGGAGAAGGAAACATCTTCCCATAAAAACTAGAAAGAAGCATTCTCGGAAACATTTATGTGAAGCGTGCCTTCAACTCACAGAGTTGAACCTTCCTTTTGATAGAACAGTTTTGAAACACTCTTTTGAACAATTGCAGGTGAATCTTTGGAGCGCTTTGAAGCCTTTGTTGGAAATGGGAATATCTTCACACACAAACTAGCCAGAAGCATTCTCAGAAACTTCTTTGTGATGTGTGCGTTGAACCCAGAGAGATGAACCTTTCCTTTGATAGAGCAGTTTTGAAACGTGTTTTTGTAAGGTCTGCAAGCGGATAATGGGCTTCGCTTTGTGTCCTTTGGTGGAAACGGGAATATCTTCTAATAAAAACTAGACAGAAATATTCTCACAATCGTCTTTGTGATGTGGGCATTCAACTAACACAGTTGAACATTTCTTCTCACAGAGCAGTTTTGAAACACTCTTTTGCTAGAATCTGCCAGTGGATACTTGGAGCGCTTTGAGGGCTATTGTGCCAATGGAGATATCTTCCCCTAAAAACTAGACAGAAGCATTCTCAGAAACTACTTTGTGATGTTTGCATTCAACTCACAGAGTTGAACATACCTCTTCATAGAGCAGTTTTGAAAACCTCTTTTTGTAGAATCTGCAAGTGGATATTCGGACCACTTTGAGGCCTTCATAGGAAACAGTAATACCTTCACATAAAAACTAGATAGAAGCATTGTCAGAAAGTTCTTTGTGATGTGTGAATTCAACTCACAGAGTTGAACCTTCCTTTAATAGAGCAGTTTTGAAACACTCTTCTTCTAGAATCTGCAAGTAGATATTTGGAGCGCTTTGAGGCCTTCGTTGGAAACCGGAATATCTTCACAGAAAAAGTAGATAGAGGCATTCTCAGAAACTTTTTTGTGATATGTTGATTCATCTGACAGCGTTGAACCTTTCTTTTGATAGAGCAGTTTTGAAAAACTCTTTTGTCGAATCTGCAAGTAGACATTTGGAGTGCTTTGAGGTCTGTGGTGCCAAAGGAAATGTCTTCCCATGGAAACTAGACTGAAGCATTCTCAGCAACTTCTTTGTGACGTTTGCATTCATCTCACAGTGTTGAACATACCTTTCCATAGAGTAGTTTTGAGACACTATTTTTGTAGAATCTGCAAGCGGATATTTGGACTGCTTTGAGGCCTTCATCGGAGACGGGAATATCTTCACATAAACACTAGGCAGAAGCATTCTCAGAAACTACTTTGTGATCTGTCCATTCAATTCACAGAGTTGAACCTTCCTTTTTATGGAGCAGTTTTGAAACACTGTTTTTGGAGAATCTGCAAGTGGATATTTGGAGCGCTTTGAGGCCTATGGTAGAAAAAGAAATATCTGCCTCTAAAAACTAGACAGAAGCATTCTGAGAAACTTCTTTGTGATGTTTGCATTCAACTACCAGAGTTGAATCTTCCTTTTGATAGGGCAGTTTGGAAACACTCTTTTTGTAGAATCTGCATGTGGATATCTGGAGCGATTTGAGGCCTATGGTCAAAAAGGAAATATCTTCCTTGGAAAAATAGACGAAAGCATTCTCAGAAACTGCTTTGTGATATGTGCATTCGACTCACCGAGTTGAAACTTTTTTTTGATAGAGCAGTTTTGAAACACTCTGTAGAATCTGAAAGTGGATATTTGGAGCTCTTTGAGGGCTATGGCGGAAAAGAAAATATATTCACATTAAACTAGACAGCAGCATTCTCAGAAACTTCTTTAGGATGTCTGCAGTAAACTCACAGAGTTGAACATACCTTTCCGTAGAGCAGTTTTGAAACACTCTGTTTGTGGGATCCGCAAGTGGATATTTGGACAGCTTTGAGATCTTTGCTGGAAATGGGAATATCTTCACATATAAACTAGACAGAAGCATTCTCAGAAACTTCTTCGTGATGTGTGCATTCTACTCCCAAATTTGAATCTTCCTTCTCATGAAGCAGTTTTATAACTCTCTATTTGTGCAATTTACAATTGGATAATTGGAACCCTTTGATGCCCATGGTAGAAAAGGAAATATCCTCATATAAAAACTAGACAGAAGGATTCACAGAAAATGCTTTGTGATGTGTGCATTCAAATCACGGAGTTGAATCTTTCTTTTGTTAGAGCAGTTTTGAAACACTGTTTCTGTGGAATCTGCCAGCGGACACTTGGAGCGCTTTGAGGGCTATGGTGGAGAAGGAAACATCTTCCCATAAAAACTAGAAAGAAGCATTCTCGGAAACATTTATGTGAAGCGTGCCTTCAACTCACAGAGTTGAACCTTCCTTTTGATAGAACAGTTTTGAAACACTCTTTTGAACAATTGCAGGTGAATCTTTGGAGCGCTTTGAAGCCTTTGTTGGAAATGGGAATATCTTCACACACAAACTAGCCAGAAGCATTCTCAGAAACATCTTTGTGATGTGTGCGTTGAACCCAGAGAGATGAACCTTTCCTTTGATAGAGCAGTTTTGAAACGTGTTTTTGTAAGGTCTGCAAGCGGATAATGGGCTTCGCTTTGTGTCCTTTGGTGGAAACGGGAATATCTTCTAATAAAAACTAGACAGAAATATTCTCACAATCGTCTTTGTGATGTGGGCATTCAACTAACACAGTTGAACATTTCTTCTCACAGAGCAGTTTTGAAACACTCTTTTGCTAGAATCTGCCAGTGGATACTTGGAGCGCTTTGAGGGCTATTGTGCCAATGGAGATATCTTCCCCTAAAAACTAGACAGAAGCATTCTCAGAAACTACTTTGTGATGTTTGCATTCAACTCACAGAGTTGAACATACCTCTTCATAGAGCAGTTTTGAAAACCTCTTTTTGTAGAATCTGCAAGTGGATATTCGGACCACTTTGAGGCCTTCATAGGAAACAGTAATACCTTCACATAAAAACTAGATAGAAGCATTGTCAGAAAGTTCTTTGTGATGTGTGAATTCAACTCACAGAGTTGAACCTTCCTTTAATAGAGCAGTTTTGAAACACTCTTCTTCTAGAATCTGCAAGTAGATATTTGGAGCGTTTTGAGGCCTTCGTTGGAAACCGGAATATCTTCACAGAAAAAGTAGATAGAGGCATTCTCAGAAACTTTTTTGTGATATGTTGATTCATCTGACAGCGTTGAACCTTTCTTTTGATAGAGCAGTTTTGAAAAACTCTTTTGTCGAATCTGCAAGTAGACATTTGGAGTGCTTTGAGGGCTGTGGTGCCAAAGGAAATGTCTTCCCATGGAAACTAGACTGAAGCATTCTCAGCAACTTCTTTGTGACGTTTGCATTCATCTCACAGTGTTGAACATACCTTTCCATAGAGTAGTTTTGAGACACTATTTTTGTAGAATCTGCAAGTGGATATTTGGACTGCTTTGAGGCCTTCATCGGAGACGGGAATATCTTCACATAAACACTAGGCAGAAGCATTCTCAGAAACTACTTTGTGATCTGTCCATTCAACTCACAGAGTTGAATCTTCCTTTTTATGGAGCAGTTTTGAAACACTGTTTTTGGAGAATCTGCAAGTGGATATTTGGAGCGCTTTGAGGCCTATGGTAGAAAAAGAAATATCTGCCTCTAAAAACTAGACAGAAGCATTCTGAGAAACTTCTTTGTGATGTTTGCATTCAACTACCAGAGTTGAATCTTCCTTTTGATAGGGCAGTTTGGAAACACTCTTTTTGTAGAATCTGCATGTGGATATCTGGAGCGATTTGAGGCCTATGGTCAAAAAGGAAATATCTTCCTGGGAAAAATAGACGAAAGCATTCTCAGAAACTGCTTTGTGATATGTGCATTCGACTCACCGAGTTGAAACTTTTTTTTGATAGAGCAGTTTTGAAACACTCTGTAGAATCTGAAAGTGGATATTTGGAGCTCTTTGAGGGCTATGGCGGAAAAGAAAATATATTCACATTAAACTAGACAGCAGCATTCTCAGAAACTTCTTTAGGATGTCTGCAGTAAACTCACAGAGTTGAACATACCTTTCTGTAGAGCAGTTTTGAAACACTCTGTTTGTGGGATCCGCAAGTGGATATTTGGACAGCTTTGAGATCTTTGCTGGAAATGGGAATATCTTCACATATAAACTAGACAGAAGCATTCTCAGAAACTTCTTCGTGATGTGTGCATTCTACTCCCAAATTTGAATCTTCCTTCTCATGAAGCAGTTTTGAAACACTCTATTTGTGCAATCTACAATTGGATAATTGGAACCCTTTGATGCCCATGGTAGAAAAGGAAATATCCTCATATAAAAACTAGACAGAAGGATTCACAGAAAATGCTTTGTGATGTGTGCATTCAAATCACGGAGTTGAATCTTTCTTTTGTTAGAGCAGTTTTGAAACACTGTTTCTGTGGAATCTGCCAGCGGACACTTGGAGCGCTTTGAGGGCTATGGTGGAGAAGGAAACATCTTCCCATAAAAACTAGAAAGAAGCATTCTCGGAAACATTTATGTGAAGCGTGCCTTCAACTCACAGAGTTGAACCTTCCTTTTGATAGAACAGTTTTGAAACACTCTTTTGAACAATTGCAGGTGAATCTTTGGAGCGCTTTGAAGCCTTTGTTGGAAATGGGAATATCTTCACACACAAACTAGCCAGAAGCATTCTCAGAAACTTCTTTGTGATGTGTGCGTTGAACCCAGAGAGATGAACCTTTCCTTTGATAGAGCTGTTTTGAAACGTGTTTTTGTAAGGTCTGCAAGCGGATAATGGGCTTCGCTTTGTGTCCTTTGGTGGAAACGGGAATATCTTCTAATAAAAACTAGACAGAAATATTCTCACAATCGTCTTTGTGATGTGGGCATTCAACTAACACAGTTGAACATTTCTTCTCACAGAGCAGTTTTGAAACACTCTTTTGCTAGGATCTGCCAGTGGATACTTGGAGCGCTTTGAGGGCTATTGTGCCAATGGAGATATCTTCCCCTAAAAACTAGACAGAAGCATTCTCAGAAACTACTTTGTGATGTTTGCATTCAACTCACAGAGTTGAACATACCTCTTCATAGAGCAGTTTTGAAAACCTCTCTTTGTAGAATCTGCAAGTGGATATTCGGACCACTTTGAGGCCTTCATAGGAAACAGTAATACCTTCACATAAAAACTAGATAGAAGCATTGTCAGAAAGTTCTTTGTGATGTGTGAATTCAACTCACAGAGTTGAACCTTCCTTTAATAGAGCAGTTTTGAAACACTCTTCTTCTAGAATCTGCAAGTAGATATTTGGAGCGCTTTGAGGCCTTCGTTGGAAACCGGAATATCTTCACAGAAAAAGTAGATAGAGGCATTCTCAGAAACTTTTTTGTGATATGTTGATTCATCTGACAGCGTTGAACCTTTCTTTTGATAGAGCAGTTTTGAAAAACTCTTTTGTCGAATCTGCAAGTAGACATTTGGAGTGCTTTGAGGGCTGTGGTGCCAAAGGAAATGTCTTCCCATGGAAACTAGACTGAAGCATTCTCAGCAACTTCTTTGTGACGTTTGCATTCATCTCACAGTGTTGAACATACCTTTCCATAGAGTAGTTTTGAGACACTATTTTTGTAGAATCTGCAAGCGGATATTTGGACTGCTTTGAGGCCTTCATCGGAGACGGGAATATCTTCACATAAACACTAGGCAGAAGCATTCTCAGAAACTACTTTGTGATCTGTCCATTCAACTCACAGAGTTGAACCTTCCTTTTTATGGAGCAGTTTTGAAACACTGTTTTTGGAGAATCTGCAAGTGGATATTTGGAGCGCTTTGAGGCCTATGGTAGAAAAAGAAATATCTGCCTCTAAAAACTAGACAGAAGCATTCTGAGAAACTTCTTTGTGATGTTTGCATTCAACTACCAGAGTTGAATCTTCCTTTTGATAGGGCAGTTTGGAAACACTCTTTTTGTAGAATCTGCATGTGGATATCTGGAGCGATTTGAGGCCTATGGTCAAAAAGGAAATATCTTCCTGGGAAAAATAGACGAAAGCATTCTCAGAAACTGCTTTGTGATATGTGCATTCGACTCACCGAGTTGAAACTTTTTTTTGATAGAGCAGTTTTGAAACACTCTGTAGAATCTGAAAGTGGATATTTGGAGCTCTTTGAGGGCTATGGCGGAAAAGAAAATATATTCACATTAAACTAGACAGCAGCATTCTCAGAAACTTCTTTAGGATGTCTGCAGTAAACTCACAGAGTTGAACATACCTTTCCGTAGAGCAGTTTTGAAACACTCTGTTTGTGGGATCCGCAAGTGGATATTTGGACAGCTTTGAGATCTTTGCTGGAAATGGGAATATCTTCACATATAAACTAGACAGAAGCATTCTCAGAAACTTCTTCGTGATGTGTGCATTCTACTCCCAAATTTGAATCTTCCTTCTCATGAAGCAGTTTTGAAACACTCTATTTGTGCAATCTACAATTGGATAATTGGAACCCTTTGATGCCCATGGTAGAAAAGGAAATATCCTCATATAAAAACTAGACAGAAGGATTCACAGAAAATGCTTTGTGATGTGTGCATTCAAATCACGGAGTTGAATCTTTCTTTTGTTAGAGCAGTTTTGAAACACTGTTTCTGTGGAATCTGCCAGCGGACACTTGGAGCGCTTTGAGGGCTATGGTGGAGAAGGAAACATCTTCCCATAAAAACTAGAAAGAAGCATTCTCGGAAACATTTATGTGAAGCGTGCCTTCAACTCACAGAGTTGAACCTTCCTTTTGATAGAACAGTTTTGAAACACTCTTTTGAACAATTGCAGGTGAATCTTTGGAGCGCTTTGAAGCCTTTGTTGGAAATGGGAATATCTTCACACACAAACTAGCCAGAAGCATTCTCAGAAACTTCTTTGTGATGTGTGCGTTGAACCCAGAGAGATGAACCTTTCCTTTGATAGAGCAGTTTTGAAACGTGTTTTTGTAAGGTCTGCAAGCGGATAATGGGCTTCGCTTTGTGTCCTTTGGTGGAAACGGGAATATCTTCTAATAAAAACTAGACAGAAATATTCTCACAATCGTCTTTGTGATGTGGGCATTCAACTAACACAGTTGAACATTTCTTCTCACAGAGCAGTTTTGAAACACTCTTTTGCTAGAATCTGCCAGTGGATACTTGGAGCGCTTTGAGGGCTATTGTGCCAATGGAGATATCTTCCCCTAAAAACTAGACAGAAGCATTCTCAGAAACTACTTTGTGATGTTTGCATTCAACTCACAGAGTTGAACATACCTCTTCATAGAGCAGTTTTGAAAACCTCTTTTTGTAGAATCTGCAAGTGGATATTCGGACCACTTTGAGGCCTTCATAGGAAACAGTAATACCTTCACATAAAAACTAGATAGAAGCATTGTCAGAAAGTTCTTTGTGATGTGTGAATTCAACTCACAGAGTTGAACCTTCCTTTAATAGAGCAGTTTTGAAACACTCTTCTTCTAGAATCTGCAAGTAGATATTTGGAGCGCTTTGAGGCCTTCGTTGGAAACTGGAATATCTTCACAGAAAAAGTAGATAGAGGCATTCTCAGAAACTTTTTTGTGATATGTTGATTCATCTGACAGCGTTGAACCCTTCTTTTGATAGAGCAGTTTTGAAAAACTCTTTTGTCGAATCTGCAAGTAGACATTTGGAGTGCTTTGAGGGCTGTGGTGCCAAAGGAAATGTCTTCCCATGGAAACTAGACTGAAGCATTCTCAGCAACTTCTTTGTGACGTTTGCATTCATCTCACAGTGTTGAACATACCTTTCCATAGAGTAGTTTTGAGACACTATTTTTGTAGAATCTGCAAGTGGATATTTGGACTGCTTTGAGGCCTTCATCGGAGACGGGAATATCTTCACATAAACACTAGGCAGAAGCATTCTCAGAAACTACTTTGTGATCTGTCCATTCAACTCACAGAGTTGAACCTTCCTTTTTATGGAGCAGTTTTGAAACACTGTTTTTGGAGAATCTGCAAGTGGATATTTGGAGCGCTTTGAGGCCTATGGTAGAAAAAGAAATATCTGCCTCTAAAAACTAGACAGAAGCATTCTGAGAAACTTCTTTGTGATGTTTGCATTCAACTACCAGAGTTGAATCTTCCTTTTGATAGGGCAGTTTGGAAACACTCTTTTTGTAGAATCTGCATGTGGATATCTGGAGCGATTTGAGGCCTACGGTCCAAAAGGAAATATCTTCCTGGGAAAAATAGAGGAAAGCATTCTCAGAAACTGCTTTGTGATATGTGCATTCGACTCACCGAGTTGAAACTTTTTTTTGATAGAGCAGTTTTGAAACACTCTGTAGAATCTGAAAGTGGATATTTGGAGCTCTTTGAGGGCTATGGCGGAAAAGAAAATATATTCACATTAAACTAGACAGCAGCATTCTCAGAAACTTCTTTAGGATGTCTGCAGTAAACTCACAGAGTTGAACATACCTTTCCGTAGAGCAGTTTTGAAACACTCTGTTTGTGGGATCCGCAAGTGGATATTTGGACAGCTTTGAGATCTTTGCTGGAAATGGGAATATCTTCACATATAAACTAGACAGAAGCATTCTCAGAAACTTCTTCGTGATGTGTGCATTCTACTCCCAAATTTGAATCTTCCTTCTCATGAAGCAGTTTTGAAACACTCTATTTGTGCAATCTACAATTGGATAATTGGAACCCTTTGATGCCCATGGTAGAAAAGGAAATATCCTCATATGAAAACTAGACAGAAGGATTCACAGAAAATGCTTTGTGATGTGTGCATTCAAATCACGGAGTTGAATCTTTCTTTTGTTAGAGCAGTTTTGAAACACTGTTTCTGTGGAATCTGCCAGCGGACACTTGGAGCGCTTTGAGGGCTATGGTGGAGAAGGAAACATCTTCCCATAAAAACTAGAAAGAAGCATTCTCGGAAACATTTATGTGAAGCGTGCCTTCAACTCACAGAGTTGAACCTTCCTTTTGATAGAACAGTTTTGAAACACTCTTTTGAACAATTGCAGGTGAATCTTTGGAGCGCTTTGAAGCCTTTGTTGGAAATGGGAATATCTTCACACACAAACTAGCCAGAAGCATTCTCAGAAACTTCTTTGTGATGTGTGCGTTGAACCCAGAGAGATGAACCTTTCCTTTGATAGAGCAGTTTTGAAACGTGTTTTTGTAAGGTCTGCAAGCGGATAATGGGCTTCGCTTTGTGTCCTTTGGTGGAAACGGGAATATCTTCTAATAAAAACTAGACAGAAATATTCTCACAATCGTCTTTGTGATGTGGGCATTCAACTAACACAGTTGAACATTTCTTCTCACAGAGCAGTTTTGAAACACTCTTTTGCTAGAATCTGCCAGTGGATACTTGGAGGGCTTTGAGGGCTATTGTGCCAATGGAGATATCTTCCCCTAAAAACTAGACAGAGGAATTCTCAGAAACTACTTTGTGATGTTTGCATTCAACTCACAGAGTTGAACATACCTCTTCATAGAGCAGTTTTGAAAACCTCTTTTTGTAGAATCTGCAAGTGGATATTCGGACCACTTTGAGGCCTTCATAGGAAACAGTAATACCTTCACATAAAAATTAGATAGAAGCATTGTCAGAAAGTTCTTTGTGATGTGTGAATTCAACTCACAGAGTTGAACCTTCCTTTAATAGAGCAGTTTTGAAACACTCTTCTTCTAGAATCTGCAAGTAGATATTTGGAGCGCTTTGAGGCCTTCGTTGGAAACCGGAATATCTTCACAGAAAAAGTAGATAGAGGCATTCTCAGAAACTCTTTTGTGATATGTTGATTCATCTGACAGCGTTGAACCTTTCTTTTGATAGAGCAGTTTTGAAAAACTCTTTTGTCGAATCTGCAAGTAGACATTTGGAGTGCTTTGAGGGCTGTGGTGCCAAAGGAAATGTCTTCCCATGGAAACTAGACTGAAGCATTCTCAGCAACTTCTTTGTGACGTTTGCATTCATCTCACAGTGTTGAACATACCTTTCCATAGAGTAGTTTTGAGACACTATTTTTGTAGAATCTGCAAGCGGATATTTGGACTGCTTTGAGGCCTTCATCGGAGACGGGAATATCTTCACATAAACACTAGACAGAAGCATTCTCAGAAACTACTTTGTGATCTGTCCATTCAACTCACAGAGTTGAACCTTCCTTTTTATGGAGCAGTTTTGAAACACTGTTTTTGGAGAATCTGCAAGTGGATATTTGGAGCGCTTTGAGGCCTATGGTAGAAAAAGAAATATCTGCCTCTAAAAACTAGACAGAAGCATTCTGAGAAACTTCTTTGTGATGTTTGCATTCAACTACCAGAGTTGAATCTTCCTTTTGATAGGGCAGTTTGGAAACACTCTTTTTGTAGAATCTGCATGTGGATATCTGGAGCGATTTGAGGCCTATGGTCAAAATGGAAATATCTTCCTGGGAAAAATAGACGAAAGCATTCTCAGAAACTGCTTTGTGATATGTGCATTCGACTCACCGAGTTGAAACTTTTTTTTGATAGAGCAGTTTTGAAACACTCTGTAGAATCTGAAAGTGGATATTTGGAGCTCTTTGAGGGCTATGGCGGAAAAGAAAATATATTCACATTAAACTAGACAGCAGCATTCTCAGAAACTTCTTTAGGATGTCTGCAGTAAACTCACAGAGTTGAACATACCTTTCCGTAGAGCAGTTTTGAAACACTCTGTGGGATCCACAAGTGGATATTTGGACAGCTTTGAGATCTTTGCTGGAAATGGGAATATCTTCACATATAAACTAGACAGAAGCATTCTCAGAAACTTCTTCGTGATGTGTGCATTCTACTCCCAAATTTGAATCTTCCTTCTCATTAAGCAGTTTTGAAACACTCTATTTGTGCAATCTACAATTGGAGAATTGGAACACTTGGATGCCCGTGGTTGAAAAGGAAATATCCTCATATAAAAACTAGACAGAAGGATTCACAGAAAATGCTTTGTGATGTGTGCATTCAAACCACGGAGTTGAATCTTTCTTTTGTTAGAGCAGTTTTGAAACACTGTTTCTGTGGAATCTGCCAGCGGACACTTGGAGCGCTTTGAGGGCTATGGTGGAGAAGGAAACATCTTCCCATAAAAACTAGAAAGAAGCATTCTCGGAATCATTTATGTGAAGCGTGCCTTCAACTCACAGAGTTGAACCTTCCTTTTGATAGAACAGTTTTGAAACACTCTTTTGAACAATTGCAGGTGAATCTTTGGAGCGCTTTGAAGCCTTTGTTGGAAATGGGAATATCTTCACACACAAACTAGCCAGAAGCATTCTCAGAAACTTCTTTGTGATGTGTGCGTTGAACCCAGAGAGATGAACCTTTCCTTTGATAGAGCAGTTTTGAAACGTGTTTTTGTAAGGTCTGCAAGCGGATAATGGGCTTCGCTTTGTGTCCTTTGGTGGAAACGGGAATATCTTCTAATAAAAACTAGACAGAAATATTCTCACAATCATCTTTGTAATGTGGGCATTCAACTAACACAGTTGAACATTTCTTTTCACAGAGCAGTTTTGAAACACTCTTTTGCTAGAATCTGCCAGTGGATACTTGGAGCGCTTTGAGGGCTATTGTGCCAATGGAGATATCTTCCCCTAAAAACTAGACAGAAGCATTCTCAGAAACTACTTTGTGATGTTTGCATTCAACTCACAGAGTTGAACATACCTCTTCATAGAGCAGTTTTGAAAACCTCTTTTTGTAGAATCTGCAAGTGGATATTCGGACCACTTTGAGGCCTTCATAGGAAACAGTAATACCTTCACATAAAAACTAGATAGAAGCATTGTCAGAAAGTTCTTTGTGATGTGTGAATTCAACTCACAGAGTTGAACCTTCCTTTAATAGAGCAGTTTTGAAACACTCTTCTTCTAGAATCTGCAAGTAGATATTTGGAGCGCTTTGAGGCCTTCGTTGGAAACCGGAATATCTTCACAGAAAAAGTAGATAGAGGCATTCTCAGAAACTTTTTTGTGATATGTTGATTCATCTGACAGCGTTGTACCTTTCTTTTGATAGAGCAGTTTTGAAAAACTCTTTTGTCGAATCTGCAAGTAGACATTTGGAGTGCTTTGAGGGCTGTGGTGCAAAAGGAAATGTCTTCCCATGGAAACTAGACTGAAGCATTCTCAGCAACTTCTTTGTGACGTTTGCATTCATCTCACAGTGTTGAACATACCTTTCCATAGAGTAGTTTTGAGACACTATTTTTGTAGAATCTGCAAGTGGATATTTGGACTGCTTTGAGGCCTTCATCGGAGACGGGAATATCTTCACATAAACACTAGACAGAAGCATTCTCAGAAACTTCTTTGTGATCTGTCCATTCAACTCACAGAGTTGAACCTTCCTTTTTATGGAGCAGTTTTGAAACACTGTTTTTGGAGAATCTGCAAGTGGATATTTGGAGCGCTTTGAGGCCTATGGTAGAAAAAGAAATATCTGCCTCTAAAAACTAGACAGAAGCATTCTGAGAAACTTCTTTGTGATGTTTGCATTCAACTACCAGAGTTGAATCTTCCTTTTGATAGGGCAGTTTGGAAACACTCTTTTTGTAGAATCTGCATGTGGATATCTGGAGCGATTTGAGTCCTACGGTCCAAAAGGAAATATCTTCCTGGGAAAAATAGAGGAAAGCATTCTCAGAAACTGCTTTGTGATATGTGCATTCGACTCACCGAGTTGAAACTTTTTTTTGATAGAGCAGTTTTGAAACACTCTGTAGAATCTGAAAGTGGATATTTGGAGCTCGTTGAGGGCTATGGCGGAAAAGAAAAGATATTCACATTAAACTAGACAGCAGCATTCTCAGAAACTTCTTTAGGATGTCTGCAGTAAACTCACAGAGTTGAACATACCTTTCCGTAGAGCAGTTTTGAAACACTCTGTTTGTGGGATCCGCAAGTGGATATTTGGACAGCTTTGAGATCTTTGCTGGAAATGGGAATATCTTCACATATAAACTAGACAGAAGCATTCTCAGAAACTTCTTCGTGATGTGTGCATTCTACTCCCAAATTTGAATCTTCCTTCTCATGAAGCAGTTTTGAAACACTCTATTTGTGCAATCTACAATTGGATAATTGGAACCCTTTGATGCCCATGGTAGAAAAGGAAATATCCTCATATGAAAAGTAGACAGAAGGATTCACAGAAAATGCTTTGTGATGTGTGCATTCAAATCACGGAGTTGAATCTTTCTTTTGTTAGAGCAGTTTTGAAACACTGTTTCTGTGGAATCTGCCAGCGGACACTTGGAGCGCTTTGAGGGCTATGGTGGAGAAGGAAACATCTTCCCATAAAAACTAGAAAGAAGCATTCTCGGAAACATTTATGTGAAGCGTGCCTTCAACTCACAGAGTTGAACCTTCCTTTTGATAGAACAGTTTTGAAACACTCTTTTGAACAATTGCAGGTGAATCTTTGGAGCGCTTTGAAGCCTTTGTTGGAAATGGGAATATCTTCACACACAAACTAGCCAGAAGCATTCTCAGAAACTTCTTTGTGATGTGTGCGTTGAACCCAGAGAGATGAACCTTTCCTTTGATAGAGCAGTTTTGAAACGTGTTTTTGTAAGGTCTGCAAGCGGATAATGGGCTTCGCTTTGTGTCCTTTGGTGGAAACGGGAATATCTTCTAATAAAAACTAGACAGAAATATTCTCACAATCGTCTTTGTGATGTGGGCATTCAACTAACACAGTTGAACATTTCTTCTCACAGAGCAGTTTTGAAACACTCTTTTGCTAGAATCTGCCAGTGGATACTTGGAGCGCTTTGAGGGCTATTGTGCCAATGGAGATATCTTCCCCTAAAAACTAGACAGAAGCATTCTCAGAAACTACTTTGTGATGTTTGCATTCAACTCACAGAGTTGAACATACCTCTTCATAGAGCAGTTTTGAAAACCTCTTTTTGTAGAATCTGCAAGTGGATATTCGGACCACTTTGAGGCCTTCATAGGAAACAGTAATACCTTCACATAAAAATTAGATAGAAGCATTGTCAGAAAGTTCTTTGTGATGTGTGAATTCAACTCACAGAGTTGAACCTTCCTTTAATAGAGCAGTTTTGAAACACTCTTCTTCTAGAATCTGCAAGTAGATATTTGGAGCGCTTTGAGGCCTTCGTTGGAAACCGGAATATCTTCACAGAAAAAGTAGATAGAGGCATTCTCAGAAACTCTTTTGTGATATGTTGATTCATCTGACAGCGTTGAACCTTTCTTTTGATAGAGCAGTTTTGAAAAACTCTTTTGTCGAATCTGCAAGTAGACATTTGGAGTGCTTTGAGGGCTGTGGTGCCAAAGGAAATGTCTTCCCATGGAAACTAGACTGAAGCATTCTCAGCAACTTCTTTGTGACGTTTGCATTCATCTCACAGTGTTGAACATACCTTTCCATAGAGTAGTTTTGAGACACTATTTTTGTAGAATCTGCAAGCGGATATTTGGACTGCTTTGAGGCCTTCATCGGAGACGGGAATATCTTCACATAAACACTAGACAGAAGCATTCTCAGAAACTACTTTGTGATCTGTCCATTCAACTCACAGAGTTGAACCTTCCTTTTTATGGAGCAGTTTTGAAACACTGTTTTTGGAGAATCTGCAAGTGGATATTTGGAGCGCTTTGAGGCCTATGGTAGAAAAAGAAATATCTGCCTCTAAAAACTAGACAGAAGCATTCTGAGAAACTTCTTTGTGATGTTTGCATTCAACTACCAGAGTTGAATCTTCCTTTTGATAGGGCAGTTTGGAAACACTCTTTTTGTAGAATCTGCATGTGGATATCTGGAGCGATTTGAGGCCTATGGTCAAAAAGGAAATATCTTCCTGGGAAAAATAGACGAAAGCATTCTCAGAAACTGCTTTGTGATATGTGCATTCGACTCACCGAGTTGAAACTTTTTTTTGATAGAGCAGTTTTCAAACACTCTGTAGAATCTGAAAGTGGATATTTGGAGCTCTTTGAGGGCTACGGCGGAAAAGAAAATATATTCACATTAAACTAGACAGCAGCATTCTCAGAAACTTCTTTAGGATGTCTGCAGTAAACTCACAGAGTTGAACATACCTTTCCGTAGAGCAGTTTTGAAACACTCTGTTTGTGGGATCCACAAGTGGATATTTGGACAGCTTTGAGATCTTTGCTGGAAATGGGAATATCTTCACATATAAACTAGACAGAAGCATTCTCAGAAACTTCTTCGTGATGTGTGCATTCTACTCCCAAATTTGAATCTTCCTTCTCATTAAGCAGTTTTGAAACACTCTATTTGTGCAATCTACAATTGGAGAATTGGAACACTTGGATGCCCGTGGTTGAAAAGGAAATATCCTCATATAAAAACTAGACAGAAGGATTCACAGAAAATGCTTTGTGATGTGTGCATTCAAACCACGGAGTTGAATCTTTCTTTTGTTAGAGCAGTTTTGAAACACTGTTTCTGTGGAATCTGCCAGCGGACACTTGGAGCGCTTTGAGGGCTATGGTGGAGAAGGAAACATCTTCCCATAAAAACTAGAAAGAAGCATTCTCGGAATCATTTATGTGAAGCGTGCCTTCAACTCACAGAGTTGAACCTTCCTTTTGATAGAACAGTTTTGAAACACTCTTTTGAACAATTGCAGGTGAATCTTTGGAGCGCTTTGAAGCCTTTGTTGGAAATGGGAATATCTTCACACACAAACTAGCCAGAAGCATTCTCAGAAACTTCTTTGTGATGTGTGCGTTGAACCCAGAGAGATGAACCTTTCCTTTGATAGAGCAGTTTTGAAACGTGTTTTTGTAAGGTCTGCAAGCGGATAATGGGCTTCGCTTTGTGTCCTTTGGTGGAAACGGGAATATCTTCTAATAAAAACTAGACAGAAATATTCTCACAATCATCTTTGTAATGTGGGCATTCAACTAACACAGTTGAACATTTCTTTTCACAGAGCAGTTTTGAAACACTCTTTTCCTAGAATCTGCCAGTGGATACTTGGAGCGCTTTGAGGGCTATTGTGCCAATGGAGATATCTTCCCCTAAAAACTAGACAGAAGCATTCTCTGAAACTACTTTGTGATGTTTGCATTCAACTCACAGAGTTGAACATACCTCTTCATAGAGCAGTTTTGAAAACCTCTTTTTGTAGAATCTGCAAGTGGATATTCGGACCACTTTGAGGCCTTCATAGGAAACAGTAATACCTTCACATAAAAACTAGATAGAAGCATTGTCAGAAAGTTCTTTGTGATGTGTGAATTCAACTCACAGAGTTGAACCTTCCTTTAATAGAGCAGTTTTGAAACACTCTTCTTCTAGAATCTGCAAGTAGATATTTGGAGCGCTTTGAGGCCTTCGTTGGAAACCGGAATATCTTCACAGAAAAAGTAGATAGAGGCATTCTCAGAAACTTTTTTGTGATATGTTGATTCATCTGACAGCGTTGAACCTTTCTTTTGATAGAGCAGTTTTGAAAAACTCTTTTGTCGAATCTGCAAGTAGACATTTGGAGTGCTTTGAGGGCTGTGGTGCCAAAGGAAATGTCTTCCCATGGAAACTAGACTGAAGCATTCTCAGCAACTTCTTTGTGACGTTTGCATTCATCTCACAGTGTTGAACATACCTTTCCATAGAGTAGTTTTGAGACACTATTTTTGTAGAATCTGCAAGTGGATATTTGGAGCGCTTTGAGGGCTATTGTGCCAATGGAAATATCTGCCCCTAAAAACTAGACAGAAGCATTCTCAGAAACTGCTTCGGGATGTTTGCATTCAACTCACAGAGTTGAACATACCTCTGCATAGAGCAGTTTTGAAAACCTCTTTTTGTAGAATCTGCAAGTGGATATTCGGACCACTTTGAGGCCTTCATGGGAAACAGTAATATCTTCACATAAAAACTAGATAGAAGCATTGTCAGAAAGTTCTTTGTGATGTGTGAATTCAACTCACAGAGTTGAACCTTCCTTTAATAGAGCAGTTTTGAA